>NC_000021.9:21715808-22965808 GCF_000001405.40 Homo sapiens | reverse complement strand
GGTTATTTTTATTATTATTTTACAGAAGGCAAATTTTCTAATCACTGCAAAATCTCTTGGAGATAAGGCAGAACCTTGACAAATGGCAAATCTGGTGAACCAGCATAAACAACTTCTAACTAGGCAGGATGCTGCCCCAACAAGGATGAACTGAGTAATGACCAGATGGTGCCACTATCTTCTCACTCCGGCAAGATTGTTGAGTCTTGCTGACAGTGTCAGCTGTACTAACTCAGGAAAAGTAATGTCCACCTCCATACCATAATTTCTACACTGTCCCTCGCAGACTACTGCTGAATTTCATTAAACGTAAAGGTTCTCTCTGTTCTGCAAGAAAACATCAAGACTAAATCAACTTCACCACTTGCCACTATTTTTCTTGGTCAGTGTTTAACATGTACGTTTCTCAGAGCATCAGTCTTACAAGTTGTTCTTTTTTCTAGTGACTTTTAAAATTCCTTTTCCCCGATGGAGTTTCCTCTTCATTTCCCCATCTCTTCTAATACTGCTGTTATGGAAACTGCATGCTGTGTTCTAATTTCAATAGCGTATAATGTTCCCTCAAAATTCTTTTGTCCAAAAGTTACTTCTACCTCTGTCTTTTAACTAAACACACTGTTTCCTCTTCAATCCATTCAAATAGAGGCTTTTTTATTTTTTCACATTTCATATGCCTCATGTTGGGAAGTAGAATCACTCTTTTCCTTATTTCCAACTATCCTTCATTCTCTTGTAGAACTCACTGTTCTTTGATGATTGTGCCATTTGATATACTGCTTTCTACTATATAATCATCTTATTTTACAGATATTATCTTCATTCATCTAAGATCTTAAAATCTGATCTACAGAATCCCACCCAACCCACCAGGACGCCTTCATATTCTTGAGAAAAAACACAATCCCCTATAAATAACTTTTTTCTATTTCATTTTTGTCTTCCAATATGTGCTCAATGCTGGATCATTGGGAACTAAAACTTTGAAGTTACTATGTTAAATATCCTAATCTCTAACCATATCCTTTTATTATCATGGTCTGTATTTGTCTTCATATGCAACTGAGACCATTATTCATGGACCATTATTCAGTTGTTCTTTTAACTCCCTTGCTCTTCCATAATTTGTTAACTTCCCAAGTAATACCTATTCATGTGTAAAATATCTCAATCAAATTATGTAAATTTGCCCCTGTACAATAAGCGCTGATGAATAAAATCAAATAGATACCACTATAGCATACATTCACAGTCACTAGTGACAGCTAGTTCTTGATCCTACATTATTTTTTTGTGATACTCAAGGAACTTTGTTCTGTGTTCACTCTTCATGATTACATCAAGCCATTGCAGGCCATACCATTTTTTAAACTTTCTTCTCTAATAAACTAATGAACATTTTTCATGTAGAAAAGAGCAAATAAAAGTCATGAAATGGTAATTCCCCAACATGTTGGTACTAAAATTGATCATTTCTGCTACCCCCCTTCCCTTCAGCAACAATGAGAAAAGTATCTCTTATTAAAACCCAATACTTCCATCTGCACACCGGTTTTTTCCCTTCTACCCTCATTTAGAAAACATTCGCTGGCATTTTCTTGTGCTTTACCAGAACATAATATATTTTTACTATCACAGTCAAAAGAAATTATTAACAACACTTCTAAGTTTCAAATGTAATAATAAAGTAGAATTTAAAAAGTTTTAACCTCCAGTATACCATCCAATTCAATCTCTCAAAACCAAGTAGAAAACTTATATATACATTACTTCCTAGCACAAGGCTGTCAAAATGGGCCTTACTTGCTTTTCTATAACTGTGGAATTTTATAATGGAAAGATTAGATCATTTAGTAAACAATCCTTATTTTAGAGATGGAAGATTGTTTTTAATTACATAACTGTATAGTGGAAGATTTATGATTACAAACCAATTATGCAATTATTTTGTTCTCTTTATTTTCACTCCGTTATTAATTTAAAACTGCACTAACCAGCTTTGAAGTCGGTTATCATTTGAGCAGCCTACAAAGTGTTTAGGGACATGGTATTTGAAATCAGACGTCCCTGAGATTAAACTGCAGGTCATCTTACAAGAACGAGATTTTGCACAATTTGCTTTACATTGCCAAGTCTGTTTTTGTTTGTTTGTTTGTTTGTTTGTTTTTTGAGTCTGGCTCTGTTGCCCAGGCTGGAGTGCAATGGCAAGATCTCAGCTCACTGCAACCTCTGCCTCCCAGGTTCAGGCGATTCTCCTGCCTCAGCCTCCTGAGTAGCTGGGATTACAGGCCTGCACCACCAGGCCCAGCTAATTTTTGTATTTTTAGTAGTGACGAGGTTTCATCATATTGGTCAGGCTGGTCTTGAACTCCTGACCTTGTGATCTGCCTGCCTCAGACTCTCAAACTGCTGGGATTACAGGCGTGAGCCACCACACCCGGCCTACATCGCCAAGTCTTATCATGCTTGTAATATATTGCCTAATTCACATGCTGATTGAGAATATCAAATGTAAGAATGTATATAAAAACTTGCTTATTGCTTTTCCAATGGTAATACCAAAAAATGGCAACTATTTCTGCAATTATTACCATAAAATATTCCACTTTATTTAACCAGTTATTCACCAAGTACTCTTATCCAGCAGCTTTACTACTTTCTATCATATACTATTTATATTACCAATTTTCTATCATTTTGTGATGTGTGGATTTGTTGATTTGTAAAATCTACGAAATACCAATCACTCAGCAAACTGATGGAAACTCAAACATGAAAAAGAAAATCTATGAATGTGGAATCATTTGGGCAAAGGGTTATCATTTTGATCTCTGTATCATTTAGCACTCTCCCTAGCATTTATGATATTTACCTTTTGGATCATACTTACTTCTGTCTTCTAGGGTTGTAGACAACAACTATAATATCATTCAAGAGACCATCTCCTCTATGCAAATGTCTTTGCTTTTTCTATTTAATACAGATTCCTTTATTACCCAAATTTTTAATTACTTTTAAAAAATCAAATTAATTATGAATTGCTACATAACAAAATTTCCACAAACTCAGTGGCTTAAATCAAGACACATCAGTTATTTCAATTTCTGAGCGTCAGGAATGCAGGCATGAATTAGCTTGCTACTGTGCTTCAGGATCTCTGACATACCTGCAATCAAGGTGTCAACCGGGGCCGGGGGTTCATTTCAGATCTTGGGAAGGATCAGCTTCCAGCCTCACATGGTTGTTGGTAAGACTCAGTCCCTTATAATATTCTGGTGTGAGAGACTCATTTTTTGTTGTCTATCAACCAGTGGTCCCCCTCACTTCCTAGCTGGCTGTTGGACAGGAGAAGTGCTCAATTCCTTACCACACAGGCCTCTCTTTCATGGTCATTTGATCCCTGCAAACATTAGAAACAAAAAGGCAAAAAACTGAAGTTATGAGCAAGAAGTCAGTTGCAATGATACATAATGTCCTAATGAAAGTAACAATGACATCGCCTTTGCCATAGTCTATGGATTAGATTACGTCACAGCTCCTATCTGTACTCAAAGGGAAGAGATTATATAATAATATAAATGTCAAGACTTGGGGATAAAGGGGGATAGGTGGAGGGAGCATTTTAGGAAAGTCAACTACACATACTTGTGTTCATTCATTTATTCTTTCATAAAAATATTGTTGGTTGAACAAACGAATGTAAGTAATTGGAGGTCATACATTTTTGTGTGTCTTATGACTTAAAAAAATTCACTTAAAGTTGGATGACTAATATATGCTGTTTTAGATTGGCTGTATTTAGATTTAGCTTACTTAGGGGATAAAAAAAAAACCTGGTAGAATGCATTGTAGATGTTCTACAGTGTTGTAATGATATGCTGATTTTATAACATTAATAAATAATTAGGCAGGTCAGTTTAGTGGAAACTTTTAGGGCTATTTTGGGGTAAATTTACGAGACCAAGCATCCTACTTAAAAAGAATATATTACATGTAATTTACCACAACTCCAACTCACTTTATGTGACTTGGAAGACTTCTTTTTCGCTATTACAGTTAATCATTTAATTTATTTCAGATTTGGGGCATCGGCTATGCCACTGGTTTCTATTGATTTCAATATGAACATTTCAGCCTGCATGAAGTAAGAACATTGATAGAATTTGAGAGATAGCTATCCCTCTTAATATTGCCTGTGGAAGCTCTGGACAGACTGCTGTTTGACCTTCTTAAATGAGCAGCTTGCTTTAAACACCCACAACCGATGTACATACATGATCACTTGGCTGTCAACACTCATAACCATCTGTTATGATGGCAACATGCCTGCGCTCAAATGATATTCCAGTTTAGGCTGCAGGTGCCAACTGAGTAGATTGGCAGTTTGAATTCTGAAAATGCTTTCTCTTGTGCGAAAAGGAAGTGATGCCACGTTAACACCCACATGACTTCTTACCACAACACCACCTGTTCATTATTTTTTAGGCCAAAAATATCCATGAAAAAGCCAACAGCGTGTGGTTGATGAAAAAACACTAGGCACCAATGGGATATTTCAAAGTACAACATGTTGTTCTGTTTTTAAAAAGTGATCTTATTATTGAAAAAGCACAAATATGTGGGTGTGACATAGTGTAGCACCCAGAGATCCTTTTAAGGAAAATGGTTCTAAGACTATATGGTATTCAACATAACAATATCTTACTATTTAATATTTTAGTATCTTTGTTATTGTCCACTTTGGTGGGAAATAGCTGGCTGCTCATCTGTATAAATATCACAAGAATTATGTAAATTTCCTTGCTTATATGCAGTGGTCTTAGATATTTTGTGTGAATTCACATCTGCATGCATTTCTTTGCAGCAGAATTCCAAAAGTGAAAAAAAGAATTAGACAGAAGCTACTCTATTATACTTCAGTGATTTCAGCATTAGTTTGCTTTCTGAAGAAGAGTACATATCTAAAGCTCTCCCCAATATTGTATTCAATTCCATCCTCCTCCTACACTACATTTGAAGCAAATAATAAAAGGCTGCTATTAGTATCTGAAGTGGGTTAAGTACCAGGTTTTAGCAAAGCTGAAGGAACAAACATTACCCTCTATAGCTATTTTATATCTTCTCTGCAGAAATGGTCCAATTTACCTTTGTCTGCAGCTTATGACCTTGTCTTACATTTCATGTAATAAATTATCTTTCATCAAACAAAAATTAGTGTGCCACTACTAAATACAAAAATGTGCCTAATCCTCTAATTTGTTTCTCCTCCTGCACAAGATAAAACTCTGCACTTGTGTTCATCCCACCTTTTCAGGAGCTGCTGTTCATGAATCGCTTCCTCCTGCTCTTGCAAATTCAGTCCTGTTTCCTCAGTCTCCCAGCTTGTCGGCATGTAATAATATTTCTCTTCATAAAGGAATACAAGCTGTCCTAACGCTGTATCCAGTTTCTGCCCTCAACATATAACCTTCCTAAAAGTCTTGTGTTCCATAATGTCTCCACTTTGTCACCTTATTCCTCTGAATCAATTCCAATCTTAATATGGCACTTAAAAAAATTATCACTTAACGTATCTTAAACAAAACTATACTTATTAACATTTTCTGGCCTTCCCACTTACTAAGTCTAATTTATTTTTTCTCTTCTCATCACACTTATTCTCCCACAGCATTCTTCAGAGCCAATAACTCCAGTTCTTTTTTTGTTTGTTTGTTTTTTTGAGACCAAGTCTCACTCTGTTGCCCATGCTGGAGTGCAGTGGTGTGATCTCAGCCCACTGTAACCTCCACCCTCCCAGATTCAAGCAATTCTCCTGCCTCAGCCACCCGAATAGCTGGGACTACAGGCATGCGCCACCATGCCTGGCTAAACTCCTACTTTTAAAAAATACTTCCTCTTCGCAGTCTCCTTCGCTTCTTCCTGATTTTCCTCTCGCCCTAAAACTATGGGCTTTCTCCCGTACCTCTGCACCTCCTTTTCGGACACCTGTGCTGGCCCCTTTTACTCTAGCTTTCCTGTAAATTGTTGAAATTACTCAGA
This sequence comes from Homo sapiens, assembly GCF_000001405.40. Lineage (NCBI taxonomy): Eukaryota > Metazoa > Chordata > Mammalia > Primates > Hominidae > Homo > Homo sapiens. The sequence continues at coordinate 22,959,772 of NC_000021.9, read as the reverse complement.
AATCAGGACTGGGTATTCTTTTTCACTAAAGAAATCTTAGAACATTTCCATGGATCCTAATAGAAACTACAGGCTAATTACCTGAATTATATATTTTTTTTTCCATGATGTCCTCCAAGTTCCAGGTAAGTATGTTTATTTGTGATTGTCATTTTCATGTGGATGCCTATGTTTCTGGGAGATCTATGCCCTTCTCCAAGTTCTGGTGAAGAAGGTTTGGAGACAGCCACTACCCAAAATGTATTTGTCTTCATTCTTCACCTTGCTAAATCTTACGCATTTTAAGGTCCCAGCTTTCTATTCCTCCATTCAAAAAACATAATTTGATTATTTGCTTCTATTCCAATATTCTTTGTATTTCCCACACAGGGTATATTACCTTAGGTGTCCTAAGAGATTTTTGCCTTTCAATGTACGCAAGCCCAGCACATGCCATGGTACATAGTAGAGATTTTCTCTCTCTCGCTGTCTCTCTCTCTGAGAGCAAATATACACATACATCTTGAACAAGTTTATATATTTTTACTCCAAACTCAGTTCTGATGCCCAGATGGAGAAAAAAATAGGAGAAAAATATTTTTCCATGTAAGAAAAAGTATACCAGTGAAGCAAAATGCATTGTGCTTCTTATCTAATTATTGCTACATAAAAACACAAAATTTTATCTCTACGATTTCAGAACTATTTACTTGATAACCTAGTAGTAAAAGGAATTTTGTATGTTCTCATTTTGCACATTGTCTCATTCAGACTTTCCTTTTATATGTATTATCTTCAGTGTTAACATATTGTAAAATGTTTCATTGTCACTCATATTCTGATTTTAAGACAGAAGTACATTTTAAGCATCAATTTCAACTTAAACAAAATTGCCTTCTCACAAAATTGGCTGTTATTCTGATAACCAAAAGGGCTAAGTGGAAGAGACATATAATTACTTATTCTAAAATTGTAGAATTTGGCAAGAAGTGAGACTTATTTGATTCATTTATAAAACATGTAAACAAAAGACAGTTATCCTCTGCCTGAATTAAAATAGATGAGTTTTTCATAAAAATAAATAAGTGACTGTTCTCATGCACTGAAGTAAAATTTCACCTTAATTGTGAGTAACTCTATAATCCAAGTAGGTAGAACAAAAATATTTATGATTAATATTTGAAATCTCAACTTCTATTTGAAAGGTAAGTTCAGGAGATAAAGACATTTTCTTAAAAATATAAAATAGAGAATAAAAAACTTTGTTGTATTTCTTTTTTTTTAATTATTATTATACTTTAAGTTTTAGGGTACATGTGCACATTGTGCAGGTTAGTTGCATATGTATACATGTGCCATGCTGGTGCGCTGCACCCACTAACTCGTCATCTAGCATTAGGTATATCTCCCAATGCTATCCCTCCCCCCTCCCCCCACCCCACAACAGTCCCCAGAGTGTGATGTTCCCCTTCCTGTGTCCATGTGATCTCATTGTTCAATTCCCACCTATGAGTGAGAATATGCGGTGTTTGGTTTTTTGTTCTTGCAATAGTTTACTGAGAATGATGATTTCCAGTTTCATCCATGTCCCTACAAAGGAAATGAACTCATCATTTTTTATGGCTGCATAGTATTCCATGGTGTATATGTGCCACATTTTCTTAATCCAGTCTATCATTGTTGAACATTTGGGTTGGTTCCAAGTCTTTGCTATTGTGAATAATGCCGCAATAAACATACGTGTGCATGTGTCTTTATAGCAGCATGATTTATAGTCCTTTGGGTATATACCCAGTAATGGGATGGCTGGGTCAAATGGTATTTCTAGTTCTAGATCCCTGAGGAATCGCCACACTGACTTCCACAATGGTTGAACTAGTTTACAGTCCCACCAACAGTGTAAAAGTGTTCCTATTTCTCCACATCCTCTCCAGCACCTGTTGTTTCCTGACTTTTTAATGATTGCCATTCTAACTGGTGTGAGATGGTATCTCATTGTGGTTTTGATTTGCATTTCTCTGATGGCCAGTGATGTTGAGCATTTTTTCATGTGTCTGTTGGCTGCATAAATGTCTTCTTTTGAGAAGTGTCTGTTCATGTCCTTCGCCCACTTTCTGATGGGGTTGTTTGTTTTTTTCTTGTAAATTTGTTTGAGTTCATTGTAGATTCTGGATATTAGCCCTTTGTCAGATGAGTAGGTTGCAAAAATTTTCTCCCATTTTGTAGGTTGCCTGTTCACTCTGATGGTAGTTTCTTTTGCTGTGCAGAAGCTCTTTAGTTTAATTAGATCCCATTTGTCAATTTTGGCTTTTGTTGCCATTGCTTTTGGTGTTTTAGACATGAAGTCCTTGCCCATGCCTATGTCCTGAATGGTAATGCCTGGGTTTTCTTCTAGGGTTTTTATGGTTTTAGGTCTAACATTTAAGTCTTTAATCCATCTTGAATTGATTTTTGTATAAGGTGTAAGGAAGGGATCCAGTTTCAGCTTTCTACATATGGCCAGCCAGTTTTCCCAGCACCATTTATTAAATAGGGAATCCTTTCCCCATTGCTTGTTTTTCTCAGATTTGTCAAAGATCAGATAGTTGTATATATGCGGCGTTATTTCTGAGGGCTCTGTTCTGTTCCATTGATCTATATCTCTGTTTTGTTACCAGTACCATGCTGTTTTGGTTACTGTAGCCTTGTAGTATAGTTTGAAGTCAGGTAGAGTGATGCCTCCAGCTTTGTTCTTTTGGCTTAGGATTGATTTGGTGATGTGGGCTCTTTTTTGGTTCCATATGAACTTTAAAGTAGTTTTTTCCAATTCTGTGAAGAAAGTCATTGGTAGCTTGATGGTGATGGCATTGAATCTATAAATTACCTTGGGCAGTATGGCCATTTTCACGATATTGATTCTTCCTACCCATGAGCATGGAATGTTCTTCCATTTGTTTGTATCCTCTTTTATTTCCTTGAGCAGTGAATTGTAGTTCTCCTTGAAGAGGTCCTTCACTTCCCTTGTAAGTTGGATTCCTAGAAATTTTATTCTCTTTGAAGCAATTGTGAATGGGAGTTCACTTATGATTTGGCTCTCTGTTTGTCTGTTGTTGGTGTATAAGAATGCTTGTGATTTTTGTACACTGATTTTGTATCCTGAGACTTTGCTGAAGTTGCTTATCAGCTTAAGGAGATTTTGGGCTGAGACAATGGGGTTTTCTAGATATACAATCATGTCATCTGCAAACAGGGACAATTTGACTTCCTCTTTTCCTAATTGAATACTTTTTATTTCCTTCTCCTGCCTAATTGCCCTGGCCAGAACTTCTAACTCTATGTTGAATAGGAGTGGTGAGAGAGGGCATCCCTGTCTTGTGCCAGTTTTCAAAGGGAATGCTTCCAGTTTTTGCCCATTCAGTATGATATTGGCTGTGGGTTTGTCATAGATAGCTCTTATTATTTTGAAATACGTCCCATCAATACCTAATTTATTGAGAGTATTTAGCATGAAGGGTTGTTGAATTTTGTCAAAAGCCTTCTCTGCATCTATTGAGATAATCATGTGGTTTTTGTCTTTGGCTCTGTTTATATGCTGGATTACAGTTATTGATTTGCGTATATTGAACCAACCTTGCATCCCAGGGATGAAGCCCACTTGATCATGGTGGATAAGCTTTTTGATGTGCTGCTGGATTCGTTTTGCCAGTATTTTATTGAGGATTTTTGCATCAATGTTCATCAAGGATATTGGTCTAAAATTCTCTTTTTTGGTTGTGTCTCTGCCCGGCTTTAAAAATATAAAATAGAGAATAAAAAACTTTGTTGTATTTCTTAAGCATTTAGTATAGTGTGGGAAGAAATCATTACTATGATGTTTTCATCAAATTGTGTTTTTTGTTACTTTTGGTGCATTCAGAGTAGTAAAGATGACAAAGTTCTGGCCAAGAAGTTAGAAAACTTAGCTATTCAAATTGACTTTCATTCTAATCAGCCACAGTTTCAGCCAATCTACTTAAAAACCTGGTATCTTAACTTCTTCAACTGTAAAATGAAACTGATGATGAAACTAATGATTACTGAAACAGTTGACAGCTGAAGTTGTATATTAGATGACAACCTAAACTCACAGATCCAAAAAGCTAAACAAATGCTAAGACAGAAAAACACTAAATTATACTGACAGAAAATATGTCAGTGGTTGCCTAGAAGGTGGGGTTGGTAAGAGATGACTACAGATGGAGCAGGAGGAAATTTCTGAGTCTGCAAAAATATTCTAAAACTTTATATGGGTAATATTCATACAACTGAATATATGTGTCAAAACATTTAATTGATAGCTTAAAATAAATATGTTATTATATATGTATTATACCCCAATAAAGTTAATTCAAAAGATGTACACACACCTTTTGTGTGTGTGTGTGTGTCTTGTGTGTGAACTAGTAGTATAATACAATACCATGAATTTCATGAATATGCCTTCTTCATAGCTACTATCTTATTATTTAGGTTATTTAAGATGTTTCTCTGTATCTCATACTTTAAATGTATACATACTCCATAAAATTATCACATATATGGTCATTGTCTTAGAAATGCAAATTGTCAGTTGTTCAGTTTTCACATGCTAAAACAAGTTAGCAGGTATTAAGTGAGTTTATTGCCCCAAACAGAATTTTGTCTTTGTTGGTTTACACTTTTCTGGAAGTTAACTAATTTTGTGATACCTTACTATTTATTTATAAACAAATGGAAATTAATTATTTAGCATAAGCCTGCAAAATATGGAATAATAAAAAATGTGGACCTTAATAAAAGAATGTATTGCCTAATTAGAACACCCTTTTAAAAATACTGTATGCTAAATGTGGCTTTATGAGATTGAGACAAATAAAATTGCCCTAAGACTTGATTTCTTCAAAACCTACATGCTTAAAAGCAAAAAAGTTTTATTAAACTAGGTGTGTTCCCTGCAGTCAATTTTAAATCAACATATTTGTGATTGATTTTCCAACATAATGGAGTCAAGATCTTAGATATCATTAGAAACTGATTATAAGACAGAAAGGATGTGAAATGAGACTTTAGAAAAAAAAAATTAAACTGGGAATTTAATAATCTATCTTCAAAAATATAGCAAGCAAATTATTGGGTGCATGTAAAAAAGCTATTTGAAAATAAAACAAAAATTTGACAAGTTATTTCATATAACTTATTGTTATTGTATAATTAATGATTATAATGTGGGAGAAATATTTTTTATTAAATTTTCAGGAAAATTTTAATATAGATGGCTCTTGCTTGGGATTTCATCCCCTCTTGGCATTTAATCTGACGTTGTTTGACTAGTGGTTTACGTGCAGTACTGTTTCTAGTTCAAAGTATAATCAGGATATTCCCTCATGTTCTCTTGCAGATCATATATTGTGTGAATCTATGATTTTCCTTCTGTATTACACTGTACTACAATGACAGGTTTATCAAAGTGCCCAGGTACAACAGTGACTTTTTCCATAAAAATACAGGAACATAGATTAACTTGCCAAGGTCATAAGGCAGGTTTGTGACAGAACCAGGATTAAAACTCCCAGAGTTCCTGACCAGTTACAGCAATTTCATGATAGCATTCTTGTAAAGCTATAACCTGAATCTGTGTAATTCATATTTGAGTTCACATGCCTAGAATCAGTGTGACCTAGGTCTACTTTAAATCTCAAATGAAAAAAGTATCTTTTAAGTTAAAAAAAGAGAAAGATTAGATGTGATGCTTTTAACTGAATAAAACCCACTAAAACATTGAATTGTGAAATAAAACTGATTTCAAAATTCAAATATACCCTTTATAATATGCCATGTAAAAATTTGGAGATTAGTCTAAATACTTGATAGTGTGACATAACAACAACTATACTTATTTTAGATGAATAGGTAGTTGCACATGGTTTAGGTTGCACAAATATAAAAGCTAAAGAGAATGTGTATTTGTCAGCTATTAAAACATATATATTGCATATAGGCAGTAGCAATTTAGCCCAATAAGGGAGTGATTTATATCGGAAATATATGCTGTATTTCACAGGCAAGAGAGATTTCCAATATGAAAGTGGGCTAATTGGATTTTGCCAGGAGTGGCAAGAATGAATAACGCTGATTTTTTAGGACTATAGAAAAAACAGAACATTATTGTATTACAATTATCCAGCTAGGAATAGTGAGGACAAAGAATTTGCAATAGATGCACTAAGGAGCTTGGACTTAGGTGCAACATATCAGACACAGAATAAGATATTATTTTGACTAAGAAAATGAGAATGTGGAAAGAAAGAAATGACTAGACAATGATATAAGGTTTGTGGCTTGTATACTCTGGAAAATGGCGGCATGATGAGCCAAGTCATCTTACTGGAAAATGAAGAATATCAGAAAAAAGAAGGATGAATTCATTTAAAGGAGAAGGTGATGTGTTTAGTTTTCAACATGTTGAATCATAGTCTAGCAGGATATTTACATTGATTTGTGGCAGATAATTTGAGATATGAATTTAGCTGTTTACAATAAATGTTGGAGATGAAACAAGAGTCATTCATATCTAGATTTTAAATAAATCTTGTAGTAACAGATGATGATTTTTAAATAAATTGTGTAGCCAAAGATGATGTAACTAAGGAGTATAATAACATGGAGTTAGAGAAGGCTAGGAATGAATTAGGCTTTTCTGAAGAATTTCTGTCACTAGTCTGGAACCTGAAAAGGTTATAGATAGATGTTGATGCTCTGGTGAACTGCAGAAAAGCCAGTTTATGCCTGAGTTCATGCAACTCAAATGATGTTGAGTCCACTGTATTTGGTCAGCCATAGAGAAGACCCCAAGACTTCCCAACTTTTAAAGACCAGAAACAAAGTCAATCCTCTATGTCAGTTAAAGAATGAGACAGGAGAGGATGAAGGAGGGAGCAAGAGAGAGAGAGAGAGAGAGAGAGAGAGAGAGAGAGAAAATAATGAGGGAAGAATGTAAGAATTTAAGATGATTAAGAAAGTCCTGTATCTTAATTGTGCTGGTGGTCACATAAATTAACATATGGAGCAAAGTTGCATAAATCAATACATGGAATACAATTGCAAACACACACACATAGGTTAAGTTTAAAAAGGTAAACCTGTATAAGATTTGTAGTCTTATTAAAAGTAATATGCCAATGTCAATTTTCTGGTTTGATATTGTGCTACAGCTATATAAGGTCTCACCACTTTGGGGCAGCTGAATGAAGGTTACATAAAATTCTTTATACAGTTTTTGAAACTTTTAGTGAATCCGTATTTTTTTTTCAAATGAAATTTATTTAAAATGGAAGAGATGAGTTTCCACATTGAGATGGTCCACTGTGCACTCAATTCCATGGATACCCCAGACAAAGATAAATCATTCTAAAATTTGAGATTATCAGGATAAAGAGCTAATTCTTAAAGATATCTGAATAAAAAATAGCAGAATAAAAAAAAATAGGAAAGTATTAGCCTTCTCAACATGATAACCAAAGCCAAATGACCAATATTGCAATATCTTTAACAGTTAAGGACAATTAATTCCAACTTCTCTTTTTTACCCAGCAAACTATCATACAGGTGTTCAAGTAGAGTAAAACTACTTGGAAAAATGTAGTCTCAAAATTGTCCTATTTACTATCCTTTCTCAAGAAATAAATGAACTACATTCTATACCATTTAAGTCAGTAAACAACTACAAAAACACAGGGTTCTAGAAAAAAGTAGATCCTATTTAGGATATAGGAGAGGGAAAATTCCTACTGTGACAAGAAGTCAAACAACAACAACTGTGCAATTTTCCTAGAGTTACAAGTCCAGGTTGGAATAAGAGGATAGAAACCTCTAGAAAAAAAAAAAAAAGAAAAGGAAAAAAGTCTCAAAAGGACAGAAAAATTACGTAATGGGCTATTTGGTAAGTTTGATTGTTGAAAAAATTTGATTAAAAGGGGTTTTACTAATTTGTTGGAGGTTAGGTTGGAGATTATATAGAACAATTAAATGGTCTTGAAAAAAGTCAAACAAATCTGAAAAGTGAGAAGAGTGGAACTAATGCTTGGAAAAATGGAAAAGGTTGCAGGGAAACAAATGTGACTAACAATAAGTACTTATTTATTACTCAATAATATTTCCATATTCATAAGAGGTTTCAAACTGTAATGTAGTTTTACCGCACATAAAAGAAATATATTAAAATTATCTGGGGAGGAAAAATTGAGAGAGAGTGGGAGTATAAGAGAGTTAAATTGTCATCATCACTCATAGAAAATCAGTAGATAATAAGTGCAACTAAAAAGTGAAAAATATATGGAGCCTGCTATCCAGAAAATAATGATAAATATTAAAAGAACACATTGAAAATAGATTCAGAAAAGTAGTAAATAACTAAAGAAATTATGAGCAGTAGATAGCATTTTTGCTGTTTTTTGATTTTGAGTTTTTCAGTACTATTTTATTCTATATTATGTGCATTTAATATTTTCATAAAGATATTTTTAAAGAACCCAGCATTTTAACTAACAGAGGCTCTCCTATGGTTTGAATGTGTCCCCCAAAAAGTACGTGTTGAAAACTTAATCCTTAATACAAGCATGATGGGTGGTTGGGTCTAGTGAAAGATGATTAGGACATGAAGGCTTTTCCTTTATGTAGAGATTAATATTATTATCATTTGGTGTGAGTTTCTTGTAAAAGGCTGAATTTCAATTTGGATTTTTTGGGTTTTTTTGAGACAAGATTCTTATTCTTATTCTGTCACCCAGGCTGGAGTGCAGTGGAATGATCTTGGTTCACTACAACCTCCACCTTCCGGATCCAAGTGATTCTTATGCCTCAGCCTCCCCCAAGCAGCTGGGATTATAGATGCATACCACTACATCTGGCTCATTTTTGTATTTTTAGTAGAGATGGCGTTTCCCCATGTTGGCCAGGCTGCTCTTGAACTTCTGAACTTAAGTAGTCTTCCCTCCTTGGCCTCCCAAGTGCTGGGATTACAGGCATGAGCCACTGTGCCTGGCCCTGAATTTGGACTTTTATCACTCTATCTCTATTGCTCTCTCATCCTTCCACCTCCTGCCATGGGATGACACAGTAAGAAGGCCCTCACCAGATGTCGTTTTCTGGATCTTGGACTTCCCAGCCTTCAGAATCATGAGCCAGTAATTTTCTGTTCATTACAAATTACCTGTTCTGTGGTGTTCTGTTATAGCAGCACAGAAAAAAAAAAAAAAAGACAGGTTTCATTTAATTGCCAGCATCCTAAAAGCTCTTGAAATAAAGAGATAGCCTAACTAGTTATAATAAGTGCCAGGAATAAAGTAAAATAAAGAGATTTGGCTACCAAATAAATGAAGAAAAAAAGAGGTAAAGTTCTGAGAGTAAGGTAGATTCAAGAAAAAATTATTTTTTAAGGGTAGAAATACTTGAATGAGAGAGGAGTATATGACGCACTACAACAGCGAAAGAAAATAGTTCTTTGAACAATTATTCTAGAAACTAAACTTTCTGAGACAGAGTCTCACTCTATAACCCAGGCTGGAGTGCAGTGGAATGATCTCAGCTCACTGCAACCTCTGCCTCTCGGGTTCAAGTGACTCTTATGCCTCAGCCTCCCAAGTAGCTGGGATTACAGACATGCACCATCATGCCCTGCTAATTTTTGTATTTTTAGTAGAGACAGGATTTCGCCATGCTGGCCAGGCCAGTCTCGAACTCCTGGCCTCACATAAATCCTCCCACCTCAGCTTCCCAAAGTGCTGGGATTACAGGTGTGAGCCACCGTGCCCTGTCTAAACTACATTTTAAAGTAAATATGTGCAATCAAAATATTTATAGAAAGAGGATCTTCATTAACAAGAAAAATATGTGTCTGACTATTAATTTCATGAATTAGGCCAAAGGGAAAAGGCGGGAGTTTTGGTGAGGACTGATGTTTAGTGTTGGTGAGGAGTTATACTTTGTAATGCCTGCTGAAGAATAGAAAATAATTTCCATTGTAGGTCACAGAACCTGGTATATTTATATGCAGATTTCAGAAAATGAAATGGGTTTATTTTAGAATAGTTATTTCTTGTGATGCCAGCAGTTATTTATTCATCCCATCTTGGACCAGGTCCTTTTGTAGGCACTTGGAATAAATTATTGGTAGCAATGAAGGGCAGGGGGTATAGGGCAGATAACAACCTGAAACCTTAATAAGATTAGACCATATTTTTTCTTAATTTCTTATGCTTCCACACTCCTGCCTATGTCATTTCTTTCCAGTACAAACCTCTAATGTGAAAGTTTAAGCCTCTATGATAAGACATAGTAACAGAAACCGTCTTGAAGGACAGGTTTTGTGTCACTGCTGCTATATGTTTTTGGTCAGTGCAGCACTGATTCAGTGTGGTAGAGGTTTGAACTTAATCTCTAGATGAGTGAAGTAGGGTGGTTCATACATACAAAGAGAAGAGAAATTTATGGCAGTCCATTTTCTTTTTGATAAGCCAATATATTGGTTATTTTGATTTATTAGACTCTAGTTTGAGGCTGATCAGAATTTCACAATTAAATGAATGAAAACCTGCACCTCAAGTGAATTTTAGAAAATTGTATGAGCAGATAATGATAATAGACTGTAAGTTCCAATCTGGTTAAAAAAATATAAAAGTGACAATAATTTAAAAAGTTTTCCAAAGAGAAATATTTGAGCAGAGAAACTGTAAGGAGAATTTTTTAAACCCCTAACAGTAAAGAGTAATGTTCTTGACCATACCACCAGTTCCTAAAGTAGAAAGTTCCAGTGATTGAGAAAGTAAGCCAATATTGAGCTAGTAAACATTAAAGAACAGGCTCTTTTTCTTACACTAATACATTTTTTTATTTGACCTGGAGAAATTTTTCTTACAACCATGGTACTCCAATATGAAATTTTTTAATATCAAATTCTAATGTTCAAAAGATTAAATATGGCATGTATTGGCAAGTAGAAGACAGATTATATGAACTGTATAATAATAATTTGGCATGCTTTATAGCATTTTCTCCTTTTAAAAATTAATTTTAGTCACAATTGGTTATAACTATTACAATACACAATATTTCAAATAAGGATGTGTTACATTGGATCATATGATGTTAAGTAAAGATGTGGGTAAGAGATCATCAAAGGAAAAGCTTCAGAAACAACACATTAATAAACATATGCATTTATTGAATAAACTCCTCCAACTGCTGAGGCTTTTTAAATATTTTGTTTAATCCAACAAGAAGGTGAAAGCTCTAGGCTCCAGGAACTGAAGATATGCTACTTGATATATATTAAATTTTATTATTTAAAAAAATTACATTGGAAGAAGATAAAATCAAAATGATGACAAAACATAACAAAGTAATGTATTAAAATATACTACATTTTAAGGAAGAATTGCATGTTGAACAGAGGGACCGATTTACACAAAAGTTTTGACAGGCCTGGCATGGCGGTTCATGCCTGTAATCCCAACACTTTGGGAGGCTGAGGCAGGCGTATCACCTGAGGTCAGGAGTTCAAGATCAGCCTGACCAATATGGTGAAACCCTGTCTCTACTAAAAATACAAATATTAGCCAGGCATGGTGGCCTGTGCCTGTAGTCCCAGCTACTCGGGAGGCTGAGACAGGAGAATTGCTTGAATCCGGGAGGCAAAGGTTGCAGGGTGAGCCAATCCATCACTGCACTCCAGCCTGGGGCATCAGAGCAAGACTGTCTAAAAAAACAAAACAAACAAACAAACAAAAAACTTGACAACTTTCCCCTGAGTTCATCATATTCAGAAAACTTGTTTCTCAACAAAATTAAAAAAATAAATCTGTCTTTGCTTTGGGTTACTTCACCCCTTTAAACTAAACACAGTGTTTCTTATTGACTCATGAGGCTAGTATCAACATTAAAAGCTACATAGTTTCCATAAAGAACATCCTTGGTGAGAAATAGTGTTGCACTATGTTGATATTTTTCTCCTTGGGATAAATTTTTTTTTCCCTAAAAGGATTTGACAACTCAAGGGGTGTTTACATTTCTAAAGATTATTTTAAGATATTATTTTCTGTTTAGAAAAATTAATATATAACTTTTTTAAGAATTTAGAAAAATAATAGTGCCCATAAACTCAGTACATGCAAATCTTATAATTATCTGTGATTATCTTTATAATTTGGGTTGATAAGACACTCTCTCACAATATAAAAATTAATAATAATGTAAAATTCCACTGATCATTGAATAAATAAAAAGTAATTCAAGCAGATTTTACAAGAAAAGCGTAATTTAAAGGTTAATTGTCTGTCTTTTTAGCCACAGAGACATGGAAAGAAAAATTTTCCTGAGTTCCTTAAGACAAAAATTTCTGGAAAGGGCAGAGTTGAGAAAGGAGGATATTAAGACAGAAAGTGTAGTGTGGGAACAAAAGAGAAGGCCTTTGGAGGTAGAAGCATGTGAGGCTATTTGGAACTGTGGTTTAAATTATTGAAATGTATAAATCTTAAATAACTCAATGCAAGTTTTTTGGTTGCAAGTTCTTTATAATTTTCAAAAGATACAAACATCATGTTTCTTACCTGCCCAGTGTCTGATTGAAGGAAACACGTTTTTGGATCCACAGAAGGATTGGAAAGACATGACCTACGATTTTAGCAAGGGTTTTCTCTAGTGGAGGAATTCATGGCCTTTATTCTTACTTTTTAACATTTACAATTTTCAGGTTTTCAACTTATTTTATCAGTAGAGTTTTTAAAGTTTATTTTAAACATACAAATATATTTGGAAATTCAGACTCTGTTGGGAGTCTTATAATGGCACATAATGCCACATTTGCAGTACTCATGATGGTACTAAGTAGGTTTTTGATTCAGACAAAATACATGCATCCCTGAGATCTCATGGCCAGGCAGTAGGAGGGATAGAACTCCCACCAGATTCTACCAAAATCTCTGGTTTAAAATTTTAAATCTAGTTTTATTATTCTAAATTGTCTATGTAAAAAGAAAAGTATACCCTTAAGTATTAAAATTTCAGATGGGCATAACATCTTAATTTCACAAAGTAACATGAATGTGGAATCTATAAATAATATACAACTTTAAGAAACTGTCAGTTTATGAATATGTAATTTTGCTATAATAGAAAATCACCAGCCACATCCTTGAAATATTATGTACATGTGTGTGTGCATGTGTGTGTGTGTATTCCATCTTGGTATATATACATATGTATATAATTTGTGGCTGAGTGGCTAAGATATATTTCATAGTAACAATAAAAAGATTTACAACAGTGGTGACAATGCAATCAACCAATATTTATGGCTATTTATTAGGTAACCAGGGCTCTTCCAACAGCTTTGAATAATTTATGTCAATTATTTTTCATATTAAACCATTATATATCTATTATTTAGGTTAAGAAAATGAAGTTTATAGAAGTTCCACAACTTGTCCAGCATCATAGAGCTATTGGGTGTCAAAGTCAAGATTCAAATCTTCTTGTAATCTCAGAATTTGCAATGGTAATAAGTTAGGTTTAATTTGTGTTTGCCTGACAAAGTTGTAATAGTAAGAGCACTTACATAATTAAGAATGTGAAAAGCCTGCAGTTTCATTCACACTCTTTATGTCTATGTCTACATCTATACCTATATCAACTATATCTATTTCTATGTCTATATTGATTATCTATCACTATATATATGTATAGGTAGTGATAGGTGATGAAACTTTATTTTTTGAATAAAATAAAATAGTTTTTACCACTTAGTGCAGTGATATTTATAGAATATATAAAATTTAAAGAAAAAAATAATATTGTGCTATGCTGGAAGTTCTTTGAAAAATAAGACATGAAGAAAATGAATATATTTCTAGAAGTGCAATAATCCTTAATTTTTTTAAACCACACATCAAAGTAGGCATCTATTTCAGGACGTGATTAACATTAATCCAACTTTTAGACAAACTGACAAATTTTACTTTAATTGACGTTTTGACAGTGAAGTTTTATTGGAAAGTGCTGGCAAGCTCATATCCAAACAACCTTCACTATAAAGAAGAGGTTCTGGAAATATGATGAGAATTTATTACAGTCTTCAGCATTTACTCAAAGAGATATACTGAACAATGGAACCGAAAGAAATAAGACCATTTATCACTTTCTCACAAGAGGACCTAAGCTCTTATGTCCATTAATACTGTTACATTCTGCCACCAGTCAATGAGAGAGTGTCCCTGAAAAATTCTTGCAAAAGTGTTAAGTTATAAATATGTCTGTAGCAAAGGCATTGCCTGGATTCTGGATGAACTTGATCCAATACAACTTTGCTTTTTTTCTGAAAAAATTCAACATTATCATGATTGCTATCTAGCCATTGAACTACTTTATCTCAGTGAGTTGAAAAAGAATTAATGATGCATATTTTATATCATATCATACATATAAATGTGTATGCATATAAAGAAGTGGAGCCTCTTGAATTTTCTAGGCTCTGACATAATAATTGCATCACAGTCTTCACATCAGGATGGAAGAAGAGTTTAAGGTATGTGTCGGGTATGTCTTGGTGAGAAGTACCTTTTCCACCAGGTGTATGCATGCACAATGCAAATTAATTACCTTCTGGTATAATTGTTTGCATGACCAAATACTATCTGACACTACCTTTTTAATCCTGTTGACAGGCACAACTAGCCAAAATAAACAAACATCTGGAAAGTGTCCTACAAAATTCCTTAAAATTCTCAGTCCAATGATTCTGAATCCCAAGGCATGGCAGAGAACATTTCATAACAATGTTTGGGTTTTATACAGTGAGGTTTCCAACAACCCAATGGGAATGGAGGCAGTGTCCAGTCCATCCTCATGATTAGCTCAGCTAATTCTATATTATAAGGTTTGTCACTTGCAAAACCCTCTGTTATATATCAATACCTGTATTAAATTTCTCTCTTTTGGGTTACAAGCAATGAAACCCAACTCAAAATATGCAACCAATATTGGGGCACCTAGATATATAAAGCAAATATTATTAAGCTAAAGAGGGAGATAGGCCCCAGTACAATAATAGCTGGAGACTTCAATCCCCAACTCTTAGCACCGAACAGATCTTCCAGACAAAAAATCAGGAAACATCGGACTTAATCTACACAATAGACCAAATGGATCTAACAGATATATACAGATCACTTAATCCAACAACTACAGAATACATATTCTTTTCCTCAGCACATGATAATTCTCAAGGATAGACCATATATTCTGTCTCAAAACAAGTCATTCTGACTGGTATGAGACAGTATCTCATTGTGGTTTTGATTTGCATTTCTCTATTGATCAGTGATATTGAGCTTTTTTTTCATATGGTTATTGGCCACATGTATGTCTTCTTTTGAAAAGTGTCTGTTCATGCCCTTTGCCTACTTTTTCAGGGGTTGTTTGCTTTTTTTTGTAAATTTCTGTAAGTGCCTTAAAGATGCTGAATATAAGACCTTTGTCAGATGCATAGTTTGCAAATTTTTTCTTCCATCATGTAAGTTATCTGTTTACTCTGTTGATAGTTTCTTTTGCTGTGCAGAAGCTCTTTAGTTTAATTAGATCCCATTCATCTGTTTTTGCTTTTCTTGCAATGGCTTTTGGTGTCTTCATCATGAAATCTTTGGCATTCCTATGCCAAGAATGGTATTTCCTAGGTTCTCTTCCTGGGTTTGTATAGTTTTTGGTTTTACATTTAAGTCTTTAATCCAGCTCAATGAAATTGATATTTCATTGAAATGGAACAGAATAGAGAGCCCAGAAATAAGGCTGCACACCTATAATAACCCGAGAAAGCTGACAAAAATAAGCAATGGGAATAGGACTCCCTATTCAATAAATAATGTGAGATAACTTGCTAATCATATGCAGAAGATTGAAACTGGCTCTATTCCTTCCACCATACACAAAAATCAACTCAAAATGTATTAAAGACTTAAATGTAAAAGCCAAAACTATACAAACCCTGGAAGACAATCCAGGCAATACCATTATTGGCATAGGAATGGACAAAGACTTCATGATGAAGACACCAAACGCCATCTCAACTAAAGCAAAAACTGACGAATGGGATCTAATTAAACTAAAGAGCTTCTGCACAGCAAAAGAAACTATCAACAGAGCAAACAGACAACCTACACAATGGAGAAAAAATTTGCAAACTATGCATCTGACAAAGATCTAATATTCAGTATCTATAAGGAACTGAAACAAATTTACAAGGAAAAAGCAAACAACCCCTTAAAAAGTAGGCAAAGGGCATGAACAGACACTTTTCAAAAGAAGACATACATGTGGCCAATAATCATATGAGGAAAGGCTCAACATTACTGATCAATAGAGAAATGCGAATCAAAACCACAATGAGATACCATCTCCCACTGGTCAGAATGACTAGTACTAAAATGTCAAAAAATAGCAGGCACTGGCAAGGCTGAGAGAAAAAGAAATGCCTTTCGTTTTACAAAAAACATTTTTTTTCTAATGAATAAGGTAAAGCAAAGATAGCTAATATCAAATGTTGTGGGAATCTAAGTTAGTTCAACCACTGTGGAAAACAGTGTTGCAATTCCTCAGAGACCTAAAAACAGAACTACCATTCAACCCAACAATCACATTACTGGGTATATGCCCAAGGAAATATACATTATTCTATCATAAAAAAATGACAGTATCTTCACTGTAGCACTAGCCACAACAGCAAAGACAAGGACTTAACCTAAATGCTCATCAACAGTAGACTGTATGAAGAAAACATGGAACATATACACCATGGATTACTATGCAGCCATAAAAAAGCATGAGGACATTTCTTTTGCAGGAACATGAATGGAGCTGGAGACCATTTTCCTGCACACTAATGCAGCAAGAGAAAAGCAAACACCTCATGTTCTCTCTTGTAAGTGGGAGCTAAAATATGAGAACACATGAATACATAGAGGGAACAAGACACTGGGGCCTACCAGAGGGTGAAAGGTGGTAGGAGGAAGAGGATCAGAAAAAATAATGATTGGCTTCTAGGTTTAGTACCCAAGTGATGGAGTAATCTGTACAACAAACCCCTGTTACGTGAGTTTACCTATATAACAAATCTGTACACGTACCCCGCCCTGAACTTAAAATAAAGTGAATAAAAGAAAAAGAAAACAATTTCAAAGTACAAAAAGAGGTCACAAAGGAAAGAACAAAATTTAATCATAATGTTGATAAAAATATTTAAGTATGATTTAAATGTCACTTCCATTGTGTAGTGAGCATAAAACAACACTTTTCAAAAAACATCTATATGAAAATTCTGTTATATTAAATTGTTACTAAATTAAAGAAGCATTTTTATAACTTTTTGTGTTCAGTGCAATTGTATTGAAATGTAAACATTGAAAAGAATCACTGAATTTCACGTTACTTCATTGGCTCTTGACCAAAAATGTAGTTATGATGACTTATCTTCAAATCTTCAATTTTATAGTCCTGTTGTTAGATATCCTTTTGAAATGTTTGAACTAAATGTATAAACTTGCATGTCCAGAAAGAAGTAACTCAAAATTAGATTAAGCTAAATAGAAAACATAGAATGTAAGATTCTCTCCTTATTCTTTGTTCTTTCTAAAAGTATGCATTTTATAATAAATTATTTCTATGCAGAAAAGATGATATAGGAGACTTTGTTGACATTAGCTATCTTTGCTTTACCTTATTCATTAATTTACTCTTTCATTAGTCAGGCTTCCAGTATGTAAACTATGTAAACAATACATTGCTAAAACTTCATTAGACGCTGATTCTCATTCACTACCTATTGCTTTGTCATAAGAGACTAAATATGGTAGTAAAAACACAAGAGTTCTCGAAATTTGGGAATTTTTTCAAACTTAAAACACAAACTCTATGAATTGATGCAAGACAAAATGCTTTGCACACAGTCAGTTCTGGGTCAGGGTACGGTTCAATGTTTATTGAAAAAAAAAAGTTGTGACATATTAAATGACCCTACTAATATTCTCCTTCTCCAAGGAACAATATCTCGAAGACTTTTAAATTAAAGACATCTTGGCTGTCAGGTTCAGCCTTTCTCTCCTAATTGTATGAAGAAATCTTTGAATAGGCAACCTGGTTTTCTGCTTCTTAAACCATGAAAAGTCTTTCTGAGAGACACATGAAATAGGCAGTTAAGCAGGCAGGTATAGATAATTCCTTAATAGTGAAATAAAATTACAACATTCACAAATCAAATTTTTCCTAATCAAATTTAATGAAAGTGTTGGCATTGGGAATGTTTACTTTATAAATCAATGT
The DNA here is from genome assembly GCF_000001405.40 of Homo sapiens. Taxonomy (NCBI): domain Eukaryota; kingdom Metazoa; phylum Chordata; class Mammalia; order Primates; family Hominidae; genus Homo; species Homo sapiens. The sequence continues at coordinate 22,941,436 of NC_000021.9, read as the reverse complement.
AGGGACTTGAGAAAAAGGGATAGAATCACACCTAATTTTGAAGTTTTTTTAGTTAATTAGTTTTAACATCAAAGCCAATAAAGACAGGTATATTCTTATGCTCTTCAGGAAAGAAAAATAGGAGGAATGTATAAACTTAATACCATATTTTCCTTTCCCTGATACCTGCTACTTTTCCTTAAATATCATGGAAAGAACCATTGGGAGAAATTCAATGATTGTCTTCAGAGACACTAGATTATGCTACTAATTAACTTACCGTCAGGCTCCTGCCATACCCACTTTTCCAAAGAGAAAAAAAGAGGGCGTTAAAGGTTGCACAAGATTTTATAGTACAAACTCCACACAAATAGAAGATTATTTCTTTCAGAATTATTTTACAACCAATATAGAGGGACCAATATTTATCTATGCAGATTTATGAGAGCCTAACTATTGAATTCACCAAGAGTTTTTAATCAAATTGAAAAGAAAACATTAACCTTATAAATTGTGACGTAGGTTTTAGAAGATAGAAAATCTCATTTTCTAATTTAAATTGAACTTACCTGAAAAAGCACCAAGAGAGTTTGTGGATGGAGTCAACACTGAGAGAGAAGAACCAAGAGAGGCAGCCAGTTCTGATCCTCTCTGCCAGATTTACATCTGATCTTTTTTTTGTGGAGTGCAGGATGGCAAAGGAACCACACATTCTCATTTTTCTAAAGTCATTCGCTGAGATTTTAAAGAAGAACAAGTTAGGATTTTTTTTTTCAGTTGCGAATAACAGAACACTGGGCTTGAAATTGCTTACAAAATAAAAGCAATTTATTGACCCACACAATTGAGGTAAGTGAATTCCAATTCTAGATGGAAAAATAAAGTACAAATGGGCACAATGTTAATAGTAAACACTAAATTAAATTGCATATTAAGAAGAAAATATGTATGTTAATTTTTATAAATTTTAGGTGGAAATATCCTCTGTATATAACACAAAAGAACCAAAATTTATTATTTATATATTTCATGCATATAAATTAATGCTACTACAGGTTAAACACACATACACATCATGAGTAACATCCAAATGTGTATATGTATATATATATATATAGTCTATGTACACATAAATAATACACATATGTATATATATACAAACATATGCAAACATCAAAAATCTGTATTAAACATATAACTTTTATAAATATGTTGTAAAATAGACAATCTAAAAAGTACTCACAGTGTATATAGCCAAGAGAAACCCAAAAGGCCGATTATCTTATAACGAAAATGTATTTATAAGGAACTAACCTTCAATTAAATAAATGGAATATTTTATTTTTTCAAATGCAGATTATCTAATAACATTTGACAATATCTGCCACTGCAGTGGTAATGATAAGAGTATATTAACATATATCATGTATAGCATTCCTTTCATATTAAACGTTAAATTGACATACATTTTAATTAAAAATTGTGGTTTTTAATTTATATACAGACTTAAAACTAGCAATAATAATTATTGCATTATCTGTTTAAAAATTAAAAGGATAATTTTATATGCCTATATTAAGATGAGTCATAATTTTTTTAGGTTACGCATGTTTGAGAAATATCTTCCAAATCATATAGTTGAAACATAGGACCTTTGGTTATGGTTTTAATTCATCAATGCAAAAGTATCAAGGAATAACTAGAACTTTTTCCATGGTTATAATAAAAAAGTAAATTTCTTAGAGTTAGCAAAATTATATTTAACCTTATTCTTTCCTTATTGTGTTTTTTTAAAATAAAGATATATTATCTTTTCAATCTTTAAAACATGCAACTATTTCTAATCAAAATATACACAGTAGTTATACAAAATTTATTTTTAATGGCAAAGTTAGCAAATGTATATTGTAGTTCTTTGTCTTCTTAGCGATTATGTGCTAAAATTGGAGATAAAATATTATTAAATGTGTTACCTAATTATTCTAATATATGACAGCATGATTATCTAAAATAAATTATTTCACATGTAGCAGATGTTTCTAGTGGCCGGTGGCACATCCTCCCTTGGCTTGCCTTTGATTTCAGCTGCAGTTTTTGTGGATGACACTGAGCATGCTGACTTGCAGCCCACAGCAGAAACCTGCTGCATTATGTATTTGTTTTTCTGCTTCAAGCCTTTCTTAAAAGTCACAGCAACATCTTCAGAAGGCACACACTTGCAACCTAGGATTGTGGGCTAGATAATGTCCTGTGAACAACCCTCAACCAATCTGCAACAGCGCTGGTAGATAAATGTCTCAGTCTCTTTTCCTTCTCCTGTGTTCTTAAGAGGCATTTCACAGTTTCTTAAAGGGACCCCAGCATAACTAACAGCCAATGCCACAGAATCACCTAAATAACCCACCATTTCTGGGTTTTCATACTTCTCTGTCTCACTCCCTTCCTTGATTTTTATTTCCCACGATAGCCTTCCAAATACATAAACTTGATTCAAGACCTTATCAATGTTTCTGCTTTTGGCTAAATTCAACCTAAGGTACTTAGCACTAGAAATAAACTCAAATAACAAATCCTTGTTTACTCATCAGACTATGTCAACTGAAGCTCCATTGCTGTTGATATGTGAGTTACTGATAACACTTAATGTGTTGCAGGATCACAACTACTAAGAATATCAACTTCAGCAGATTAGGATTAACTTCAAGTAGAAGAGAAACCTTTGTGTTAAGCAGTAACTCTAGCTTGTGATCTCCAGAATTCCATAGTAACATTAAAATTGTGACATTGCTGGCCTTGGAAAAAAAATGACCAGTTCACCTCAGGCAATTATCACCTGAGAGTACAATGAAAATCTTCATGCTGGCAATTTAAAAAGCCCTTATCGTCTAAGACAATAGGACAAATAGTGTTAGAAATTAGGCCCAGGACTAATCATAACAATAGCAAAAGTGAGAAGAGACTAAATATTTTTGAGATGTCTTCTATTTTAGAGTCAGTGCATCGATAGGGAAGAAATGAATCCTACTATTCAGTACGGGACATCTGTATGAGTACATTGGATAATCTTACAGTCCTCAATTCTGAAATTTCTGTTTGAGCAGAAATAACCCTCCTCTTGCAAGCAGAAGCAGCCTTTCCTGGCCTGGAGACAGTACAAACACCTCACTAAGGCCGATATCCCTTGGTGGTGTTTGTTTTTTTTTTAATGTCTTATCCAGCTTATCTTCATTGCATCCAGACTAATCATTATGGCCAGGCCTCTGTATAAACTGCAGAGAGAAGTCTGTACCCCTGCTCCCAAAGAAAATTGCTTATTCCCTGATAGAGTTGCTAGATCGAGATAACTAAGAAGGATGGAAAACATGTGAGGATATATTCTAAGTATGCTGAACTAGATTCAACAGATTATATGGCTATATAAGAAAAAGTTAATTGACATGAAGTCATGAGAGCACTTTCCTAGTCTCAGGATTTAATATTCTATCAATAATACATACATATAGCGTTCTGGGATGTCTTCTAGCATGGTTCCTTGAAAGTTGCATTCAGCAATGCCCTAATATCATGAGTTGAGGATGACAGAACTCTTTTGTAGAAAGATTTAGAAGACTCAGGGAATTGAGCATGTTATACTCACCAGGAACCCCTAGAGGACATACATTACTAAAGCAGGAAGGAACAGAACCTGCATGATTGGATGGCTACATATCAAATGTCCTCTATAGTTCTGGGTGGATGATAGAACATTTTTTTTCATAGAACTAGATAAATGTGGGATAAGAGTGATAATATGATGTGATTTTGAATAGCAAAAATGCAATGTTGACCCTTAACCATTAGAGACAATGTGAGCATGAACATCAGAAGGGCAACAAAGGTACAGTGAGAACCAGGGGGCCTTGATCTTAAGAAACTCAAATCATAAGTCTATGGCATTGGCTAATAAATTGCAAAGTCTTAACCATGAAGATAGAAAGGCAATTAAATAATGACTTGACTTTTACAAACCAAAAAGAATGAAGAGTTGATAAGAAACAGGCTGATGTCAGCTATGGCAATGGAAAATTAAAAGTCCTCACCCATTTCTTGATCTGAGTCAGTTTACAAACCCATTGTCAATATATTAAAAGAGATACAGAGTTATCTTGCAAAAAGATTTTGAAATACTGCTATACCATAACCATATAAATGGCTTTTTTACCTCTGGTTTTTCCCAAAGGAAAAGTGTAATGGAAAAAACTGAATACCAAAAGAATTTGATGGCTATTGTTATAGGGTCTTGATAGTAAGAAACAGGAATGTTATTACAGCCTCCTATTTATAATGGGGGAGCTAATGGATGCTAGATACAAATGGGGTATGATGTCGGGACTCTTACAATTTGACCACAAATTTTTGAATTTTCAATTAGTGACCATTTTCCCAGTTCTCACCTGCTTAACTAACATAGATATATTAAGCAACAAACATAAACCACAGGTTGTTCCCAGATGTGAGAGAGTATTGTCATGAAAAGAAATTACAATCAATTTCATATTCTGAGGTCAATTTCCGCAATGACTGAAAGCTTGAAGGCATGATGATCCCCATCATATTCTCTTTCAAAACCAGATAGATCAAGCTGAATGATATGGAATACACTAAACTTAACCAATTAGTTAACTTTAAATCTCAGCATACTTGCCAGTTACGGGATATTTTCCTAGCACTAATCAACATGGCATCTGGCACTCAATATGCAGCAATTGGTCTGACAAGTGTATTATTTTCAGTCCTCATCAGTAGAAAGATCAGAAACAATGAAAGGAACAACAGGACATTTTACTCTTTTCCCTAGGGCTATGTTAATTTTCCTTCTGTCGGTTACTATACAGTCTACAGGGAATATGATCATCTAGATCAAGAATTGGCAAGCTGCAGTTCATGGGTCGAATCTGGCCTGTATTTTCGTGCCTTTGAGCTAAGAATGGTTTTTAGATTTCAAAGGATCCTAAAAATAAAACAAAACAAAAATATGGTAGGAATATTTGTTTCTTGCAAAACTTAAATATCTACTGTCTTGTCCATTACAGACAAAATCTGCCAACTTCTATTGTAGACTCTAGTAGAATATCTCTCTTACCTAATGATGTAATAAAAAAACCACATGTAATTTTCTCTCTATTAGCCAGTATTCTAAAATTTTTAAACATATTAACTCATTGAACCCTCACAACAATCTATTATGATGAATTTTATTATCCTTTTTACAGATAATGTATTTTAAAAGAATCAAGTGATTACATGACTTACCAGAGTCATAAGTGTTAGAGCTAGGATTCAAACCTAGGCATGTGCTCTTTCATTTATGCTCCTTATATTATTGAAAACACTTACTAGAGCCCCATAAGCTAAGAAGAAATTAAATCTGTCCCAGACAAACAATCACTAGGAAAGTTTTTTTACCCCTAAACAGACCTTCCAAAGAGATGCTTAAGGGGGTTCTAAACATGAAAATAAAAGGACAATATTTGCTGACAAACACACACATACACACAAACACACAAACAATACATAAGGACATAGCACAAAGACTCTGTAAAGGAACCACACAATTGAGACTACAAAGCAACCAGGAAACAACAATATGAAAGGAAAAAAGAAAATACACATGTCAATCTTAACCTTGAATGTAATAGGTCTAAATGCTCCACTTAAAAGACACACAATAGCAAATTGTGTATATATACTAGATATATATATATATATATATATATATATATAAAATAAAAAGTTAATTGACATGAAGTCATGAGAGCGCTTTCCTAGTCTCAGCATTCAATATTCTATCAATAATACATATAATACATATAGTGTTCTGGGATGTCATCTAGCATGGTTCCTTGAAAGTTGCATTCAGCAATGCTCTAATATCATGAGTTGAGGATGACAGAACTCTTTTGTAGAAGGATTTAGAAGACTCAGGATTTAGAAGACTCAAATTGCATCTATATATATATAATATAGATAAAATATAGACTATATTATATATTATAATATAGGTTATATATTATATATTTATATTATAATTTGGGTTATATATATATTATAATATAGTCTATATTATAATATATATATATATATGTATATATATAACCCAAACTTAAGCTGCCTTCAAGAGATCCATCACAAATGTAATGACATCCATTGGCTCAAAGTAAAGAGAGGGAGAAAAATGTATCATGCAAGTAGAAAACTAAAAAGAGCAGGGGTCTTCTGTCAGATAAAACAGACTTTAAACCAACAATAGTAAAAAGGGACAAATAAAGGAATTCCATAATGATAAAAGACTCAATTTAACAAGAAGACTTAAATATCCTAAACATATACACATCCAACATTGGAGCACTCAAATTCATATAATGATTAATTCCAGAAACATGAAAAGACTTAGACACCCACATAATAATAGTAGAGGATTTCAACACCCCATTGAGAGCATTAGAAAAATCAAGTCAGAAAACAGTCTAATAAATTCTGGACTTAAATTTGACGCTTGACCAATTGGACCTAACAGACATCTACTCTATCCAACAACAACAGTATATACAATCTTCTTATCTGCAAATGAAATATACTCTAAGAACAAGCACATGCTCCATCATAAAGCAAGTCTCAATAAATTCAAAAAAATTGAAATCATACCAAGCATACTCACAGGCAACAGTAGAATAAAAGCAGAAATCAATACCAAGATGATCTCTCAAAACGACAAAATTACATAGGAACTGATCAATTTACTCTTGAATGACTTTTGGGTAAACCGCAAAATTAAGGCAGAAATTTAAAAAAAATGTAACAAATGAAAACAGAGACCAAACATATCAAAACTTTTGCAATGTGGCCAAAAGAGTGAAAGTTTATAGTGCTATTTATCTACATCAAGAAGATAAGAAGATCTCAAATTAACATTCTAATATCAAATCTAAAAAAACAAGTAAAACAAGAATCAGCTAATCCCAAACCTAGCGTAATTAATGAAAATACAAAAATAAAAGTAGAACAAAATGAAATTGAGACTCCCTCCCCAAAAATATAAAGGACAACAGAATGAAAAGCTGCTGTTTGAAAAGATAAACAAGGTCGATAGACCACTAGCTTTATTAACAAAAGAAAAAAGATATCCAAATAAACACATTGAGAAATGACAACGAAGGCATTGCTTTCAAGCCCACAGAAATAAAAAAGATCCTTAGAGACTTATGAACACTTCCCATGTGCACAAACTAGAAAATCTGGAGGAAATAGACAATTCCTGAAAACAAACAACCTTGCAAGTTTGAACTTGGAAGCATTTGAAACCCAGAACAGACCAATAACAAATTCTGAAATTGAATCAGTAATAAAACCTTACCATGTACAAAAAGCTTTGGACCACATAGACTTGTAGCCAAATTCTACAAAGATGTACAAATAAGAGCTGCACCAATCCTAGCAAAACTATTTCAAAATATAGAGGAGAAAAGATTGCTTCCTAACTTATTCTACAAAACAAGTATCATCCTGATACTAAACTCTAGCAAAGACACAACAACAAAAAGAAACTACAGTCTGATATTTCTGATGAACATAGACGCAAAAATCTCCAGTAAAATACTAACAAACTGAATCCAGCAACATACCAAAAAGTTAATTCACTATAATTAACTAGGCTTTGTTTCTGGGATGCAAGGTTGGTCAATATGAGCAATTCAATAAATGTGATTCACCACATATACGGAATTAAAAAGAAAAACCATATGATCATCTCATTAGACGCAGAAAAGCATTTGACAAAATCCAACATCTCTTCACAATTAAAAAAAACTCAACACACTAGACATCTTATTACTAAAAATAATAAGAGCCATTTCTGACAAACTCACAACCAATGTACTGAATGGGCAAAAGCTGGAAACATTCCCCCTAAGAACTGGAACAAGACAAGGATGTCCACTCACACCACTTCTATTCAACATAGTACTGGAAGTCCCAGCCAGAGCAGTCAGGCAAGAGAAAGAAAGAAATAGTATCCAAATAGGAAACTAGGAAGTCAAATTATCGCTCTTTGGTGATGATATGATTCTTTACCTAGCAAACCCTAAAGGCTCTGAGACATGATAACAACTTTAGTAAAGTGTCAAGATACAGAATCAACATACAAAAGTTAGTAGCTTTCTGTATTCCAATAACACTCAAGCTGAGAGGCAAATCAAGAATGCAATCCTGTTTACAATAGTCACACACACATACAAATACCTAGAAATACATCTAATCAAGGAGATTAAAGACCTCTGTAAGGTGAACTACAAAATATTGCTGAAAGAAATCAGAGATGACACCAGCTAATGGAGAAACATTCCGTGCTCATGGATTGAAAGAATCAATATTGTTAAAATAGCCATACTGTCCAAAATAATCTACAGATTCAATGCTATTCCTATTAATGACTAATGTCATTGCTCACAGAATTAGAAAAAGTATTACAAAATTCATATGAAACTAAAAAGAGTCCAAACTGCAAAAACAGTACTACCACAAAAAGCCCTGGACCACACAGATTTACAGCCAAAACAAAAAGAACAAGGCTAGATGCATAACATTACCTGACTTTAAACTATACTACAGAGTAACAGTGACAAACACAGTATAGTACTGGTAAAAAATATAGACACATACTCCAATGGAAAAGAACAGAAAACCCAGAAATAAAGCCCCACACCAACAACCAACTGATCTTTGACAAAATCAACAAAATAAGCAATGGGGAAACTCCCTATTCAATAGAGAGTTCTGGGAAAACTTGCTAATTAGATGCAGAAGAATGAAACTGGACCCCTAAATCTCAGTATATACAAAAACTAACTCAATAAGGATGTAAAACTTAATTGTAAGATCTCAAACTATAAAAGCCCTAGGACAAAACTTAGGAAATAGTAATCTGGACATCAGCCTAGGCAAATATTTTATGACTAAATCCTCAAAAGCAATTGCATCCAAAATAAAAATTGACAAGTGGGATATAATTAAACTAAAGAGCTTCTGTACAGCAAAAGAAACTATCAACACAGTAAACAGACGATCTATAGAATGGGAGAAAATATTTGTAAATCATGCATTTGACAAAGGACTAATATCCAGAGTCTATATGGAATTTAAACCAATCAACAAGAAAAATAAACAACCCCATTAAAAAGTGTGCAAAAGTTATGAACAGACACTTTCCAAAAGACGATATACAAACAGCAAAAAAGGTCTAGAAGGAGTCTATGATTTCATAATCCACAGAAAACTACCTGATAGAAGTAAAACATTTTACATTCATAAGGAACATTTGTGAATTCTGCCATTAACTAACAAGAGGGGTAGAGTTTCAGAAAGCGTAGCTGTCTGATAGCAAAGGGGGTATTTGGATGGAATCTTCTTCATTAATTATGACTTGTTTTTCTTCCTTAATTTTCCCAGGATATTACACACAATGGCAATTGCATCTGTTTTCAATGATAATATCATTTCTTTTAGGGAATTGTTTTTCTTAAATGTAATAAATTTACTTTTACCAGAAAAAAACAAAAATGCTCAACATCACTAATCATCAGAGAAATGCAAATTAAAACCACAACGTGGTACCATCTTATGCCAGTCAGAATGGCTAATACTAAAACATCAAAAAATAATAGATGTTGTCAAGCTGAAGATAAAAGAGAACACTTTTACACAGTTGGTCGCAATGTAAATTCATTAAGCTACTTTTGGAAGAAGCTTGGAGATTTCTCAGAGAACTAAAACTAGAACTACCATTCAACTGAGCAATCTCATTACTGTGTATACACCCAAATGAAAATAAATCATTCTACAAAAACACATCTGCACTTGTATGTTTATCACAGCACTATTCACAATAGCAAAGACATGGAACCAACCTAGGTGCTCATCAGTGATGGATTTGATAAAGAAAACATGGTACATATATACCATGGAATACTACACAGCCATAAAAAAGAACAAAATCACTTCCTTTGCAGCAATGTGGATGCAGCTGGATGTATTCGAGGTCATTGTCCTATGTGAATGAATGCAAAAACAGAAAACCAAATATTGCATATTCTTACTTATAAGTGGGAGTTAAATTATAGACACACCAATAAAGATAAAGATGGGAATAATTAACACTGGATTCTTCAAAACAAGGGATGCCGGGATCAGGGAAAGGGTTGAAAAATATCCTATTGGGTACTATGTTTACTGTCTGAATGACTCGAGCAATAGAAGCCCAAATGTCGGTACCACACAATATACCCATGTAATAAACCTGCACATGTGCCCTTGAATCTAAAACAAAAATAAAAATTTAAAAAGTAAGAAATCTGGAACAGCAAAGGCTGATACATCAGCAAAATCGTATGTACATCAGCAGTATTTATATTAGCAAAGGAAAATCTGGAAACAACTATAAATAAGTAGAGGGTGACTGGTTAAATAAATTATGTTAAATCCATTAGGTAATATATACTATGATGTTATTAAACATATTTATAAAGATATAACATGGAAAATATTTTTAAAACTTTGATTAGAAAGAGCACAATAAAAATAATTTTAATATTAAAAAATTTATTGTTTGCTTAGCATACTTATGTTGAGGTGGAATTGATGAAACAAAGATATATCCTACAATTTGAGAGAAAATAGAATATGAAAACAAATTTAAAATAATTCAAACAAATAAATGTAAACAAAATTTTCAAGTAAAGCAGCCTCATAGTAAATTTCTTGTCATAAATATTTCTGATATGAAAACACCCATTAAAATTTATAAAACAGGCCGGGCATGGTGGCTCATGCCTGTAATCCCAGCACTTTGGGAGGCCCAGGCTGGTGGATCACGAGGTCAGGAGATCGAGACCATCCTGGCTAACATGGTGAAACCCTGACTCTACTAAAAATACGAAAAAAATTAGCCGGTCGTGTTGGCGGTTGCCTGTAGTCCCAGCTACTTTGGGAGGCTGAGGCAGCAGCATGGCGTAAACCCGGGAGGCGGAGCTGGCAGTGAGCTGAGATCGCTGCCACTGCACTCCAGCCTGGGCGACAGAGCAAGACTCTGTCTAAAAAAAAAAAAAAAAAAAAAAATTATAAAACATGGGAATAAGTGAGGGAAAACAATTCTTATTACCTACCCAGCAATACCATAATCTAGGATCTTGTTTGGTGGGATGCTTTAAACAAAAATTCACTTAATCTCTGTAGCTATAGCTCTATCTTTTACTTATTGTATAATAGACTAAGAATAAATTCAATGTGTAAATCATAATTATGTGTATGTTAATACATTGCTATCTTAATGGAAAAAATCATTCTGTAAGCATGAATGTGAACCTCTTGGGTTTGCAGGCATAATTTGTACGGAAAGTTAATAATTAGTTTAAATATTTAATATCATTGCTAACTAGAAATCCTTGCCTTCCAAGTGGGAAAACGTTCTCTAGGGCATTTATTTCTCTAATCTGTCATGATTTTTTAAACCATACATGCTCTTCTGTTCGGAAGATATAATATGTCAAAAACCCCATTCAAACAACTGAGAATGAGATTTTAGAATGACATGTTTGTCATTCTAAGTTGTTTTGAATGGAGTTTTTGACATGTTATGGTTTGTTATGCTTCTTATAACAAATTGTGTTTATGTGTGTTAAATTTTTTTGCAGAAAGTTTTAATGTATAATTCCTACCATTTATATTGACTGAGTTTAATTTTGTAAGCGACTTTAGAAGTTTTTTTGGAAATACACACATAATAAGCCTAACATAAATAAATACCAGCATGTAAACTGACTTATAATTTTGAAGAAAATGAAAGGGCTTGCAAGTGAAATATATTTGGAAGAATAGTATATAAAGCAACGGATTACAAAACTGCCTAATTAGGAAGTGTCTAATAAGTATACAAGTCAGGCAGTGCTGAAACTCAGCAACTACTTGGTCATTAGATTGACGACAGTGCTATGTTTGAGAGCTAGAATATCTCTAGTTTTGCAGTGCTGCCATGAAAGCAAATCAGTTCCTCGCCGCCCTCAGTTCCTTAATTCCCTCTTACAAAGGTTTTTGTACATGTACTGGTTTTTATCACTCATATATGCCAAATAATTATTGATATATTACCTTCTATCTATTGTTTTATCTTCCCTAATTGATAGTAACTCCCAACTTTCCAAGATGCTTTAAGATACAGTGTAGTGCATTATATTATTTTTATTATCATTTACCTTTGAAAATGTTCTTTGGAGTCAGATGCCTCTAGTATATTCAATAATAGCTTAAGCTCATTGGGGAGTTTATTCTAAGACACACTGAAGGGAGAGGAATAGCAGAGCATGGTTATACGTGAGGGAATATTTTGCATGAGCCATTGAGGAGAGTTCTGAAGAATCTTGCCAACTCCGAAGCATTATTTTTCTCGAAGGCAAAAGTCTTCACAACAAACGAACACAAAATGCCTTGGGGATAATTAAGATTTAATATGTGAGTACCCAGCCCTATCAAGCTTCCTCTGCTCAAGTGTGTCATTGAAATTAGCAGAATCATCAAACTTCAAACCTGAGGGCCATTTAAGAGTCAGAGATTTTTTTTTTTTTTTTTTTTTTTTTGAGATTGAGTCTCGCTCTGTCGCCCAGGCTGGAGTTCAGTGGCGGGATCTCGGCTCACTGCAAACTCCGTCTCCCTGGTTCACGCCATTCTCCTGCCTCAGCCTCCCAAGTAGCTGGGACTACAAGAGCCCGCCACCATGCCCGGCTAATTTTTTGTATTTTTAGTAGAGACGGGGTTTCACCGTGTTAGCCAGGATGGTCTCGATCTCCTGACCTCGTGATCCACCCGCCTTGGCCTCCCAAAGTGCTGGGATTACAGGCGTGAAGGAGTCAGAGATTTAAACAGAGTATTTAGATGAGGGAGCACCAGTGGGCACTGATGCATTAAACCACTGAAACGTACTCATTATTCCAGGTTGGAAGGTAAGACTTAGAGTTAAGTCTAGGTTGATGAGATAAAAATAACTGGGAAAAAATAGATGTAGTCCTCATTTTGACTACACTTATTTTATTTCATTTTATCCACAACATAAGTGCCTGTTTCTTCAACTGAAAGTTCTCTGTACGTGTGTTGATATTAGCTCTTCCTCTTATGTCTGGATTTACACCAGCACAAATAAACAAGTGTCTATCACTCAATAAACATTAGCAGTATTATTAAATTATTATTTTTATTTTACATTGTTTCTGTAAACAGCTTTAAAGTTTCTTCATAATAAGACACAAAATGAACAAACAAAAGCATGAATTTAATTGCCTATAATTTTCCTGCAGACTTTTTAGTTGCATCGACTTGAAAACATTTCATTAACAGCAGTCAAATAAATCAGAATTATAGATGTCTAGTTTTCTGACATTGTAGGAAAAAGAACTAGGCATCAAGAACATAGCAACTTAATAAGCGTAGTGTGACCATTATAAGGTAAATTTTTGGTTGCTATTGTATACTACATTAAAACTGTGTTTTGTGTGATCATCATATAACGTTAGATCTCAGTCTAGAGAAAATAAGCTGGTTTTAGTCTTCTAATTTTTTCCCTCATAGCATGGTTTTCCACTTTTCCAATTTTTAAGCTTGGCTGTTTAGAATCTGTTTTCCTTCCTTTCTGATATGTTGAAGCCTATTCACTGACCTACAAACCTTACTAAATTGCACATATCTTTTAATCACAGACCTAACAATTTTGCTGACACACTATATTCTCAGAGGCATAAATTAGTTAGATGGTTTAAAGGAATAGCTTTCACTAGCAGTGTTTGCTTTCACATTTTTTTCCAAATGCAAAATATAGATAGTTGGTAAGTGTCACAGCAAAAACCCACATCATCAGCATGCGTTTTTAATGCTCTATTTCAAAAGAGCCAGAGGAAAAAGTCGGGGGTTGGCGGGGGGGTGGGAAAGCTAGTTCTACTTCTTTGTTTTCACTCATGTTCAAATAAGCAATTTGTGTTTTTTAAGATAATTGACACCTCTCCAGCATAAGACATTTTGGGGGCATCATCCCAATTCTAGTATTTAATTCCACTGTGGGAGTTTAGAGGACTTTAAAATAGTTTCCTATAGATTAATAGTAGGAAATTTCAGCCACCTCAATAAAAGTTGAGTCTCTTAAGTTTTGAAGTGCCAAAGTTTTGAAGTGCAGGGAGGTGAAGGGACAGTGACATCTCTAAAGATGGCGCCAAGGCACAGCAAGATTGAACCTCTGATTTGGTTAATTAGTGTTCAGTGGAGAACAACCTTCTTTCTTGTCATGGCTTTATGTCTACCTCAACAGCATGTGTACAAATTCTAAGTACTGAAGCTTTTAGGCCGTCCTTTGTAGGGTCATGGATGAAGCTGGAAACCATCATTCTCAGCAAACTATGGCAAGGACAAAAAACCAAACAGCTCATGTTCCCACTCACAGGTGGGAGTTGAACAGTGAGAACACTTGGACACAGGGTGGGGAACATCACACACCGGGGCCTGTTGTGGGGTGGGGGGAGGGGGGAGGGATAGCACTAGGAGATATACCTAATATAAATGACGAGTTAATGGATGCAGCACACCAACATGGCACATGTATACATATGCAACAAAACTGCACGTTGTGCACCTGTACCCTAAAACTTAAAGTATAATTTAAAAAAAAAGACGATTGAGCACTTCATAAATTATTCCTTGCTTTTCTGGCTTTTCATTGCTCTCTTGGTTGTCTTTTTTTTTCCTTAATCATTGTCACATCCATTAGCAGTTACATAGTAAAATTTTAAAATTTTAACAGGAGATGGCTAACTAGCTAGATTTCCCCCAGAAAGGAGTTATACTAAGGGCTTCGGAGGAGAACGGACTCAAACTATTGGCTGCAATGAACTAAGTAGGCTTTACTTCTATGCGTGCCAGTGCTATTGAAGACTACCACAATATATGCTAACTCTGAAAGTTTACAGAACTGGGATTAAATATTTATGTGCTGACTCTATTACATTAGGGGCATTAATTCTAAACTCTTAAATATTTAAGTCACTGAAGTGTTTAGCAGGAGGACACTTAATTATGTTTTGTATTGCGCTTTAGTGATAAGAGATTATCTTTGAAAAAGTGAGAAACATCTGAGAAAATACTGTGCGAGTAAGCACATGGAGTATTTTGCATAGATAAATATGATGTTCATCTCTTCTTTCTACATATTACAATGTTTGAATTATAAAATTAAGAGCACTGCCAGCACATACTACATTTCTAAATTTTTTAATGTGCTACTCATATGCACTAGAAAGAGGTATACTGTACAGACATATCCCATTGCTCACTTACACTCTTATACATGCACATGAACACACGTGCGCACACACCGTTTAGGTGGAGAATCTGTTTGGCATTTTTGAACAGTTCCAGTGTGTTTCTCCACAAGTCAAAGGACGTATATCCAGATAATCAGTTTGGTGTGTTCACTGGGACTCTTTATTGCACATTGTTTGGATCATATCGGAAAGAAAATTGCTCTGGTATTATCTGGTTTTGACTTTAAATCCTTTTCTGTGGGAGGTGAAAAAAATTTGCTGAGCCGTGATGATTTTCAGTCCTCTCACATTAAAATTAGGGTAACAACAGCATCATCATAATTTGAATTAAATGCCCTTATTTATAGAAGTACTCATTGTAGAGCCTGGTATGGAATGACTCACAAATAAATACCTGTTTCCATTCCTGACTTAAAGCCAGTTATAAATAATATATGTTATCATTAAGGGCATGAAAAGAAGTGTGTTTGTGACTATATTGCTGAATATTTTAATATTATTTTATGTAAAGTACTAATGTAAGATTGACCTGCAGAAAATTTGTGTTCTACCTCTACCTGCCTCTTGGAACATTACTACACCAACCCTGCCCCAGCCATAAGAGAGATCTTGTTTAGTGAACTAACCAATCAAATCTTACCCCTTCTGATGATTGATTGTACAATGATTTACCATTGTTCTTAGAATAAAAGCTAACATCCTAATGATTATAGGACTTTGTATGACCAGTGCCTGTCTTAACTGGCCAGCTTCAGTGTGCACCAAACTCATTCCTGATTACTGCTGTCTGGCTTCACTAGACTTTTCTGTTCTTCAAATATAGCATGTTTCTTGCTTTCATATTCAACTTCCCTTATTGAGTATTTCCCATTGTTGCCTGGTTACTGTTTAATCATTGCATACATTTTGCTTCTGTAAAAAAAAAACCACAAACAAAGTGGCCTATAAAAATACAAAGTCATTGTCTTATAGTTCTGTAGGTCAAGAACCTTACTTACATAGAGCTCACTGAGCCAAAACCAAGCCGTCAGCATGTTGCATTCGTTCCAGGAGGCCCTAAGGAAGAATCTGTTTCCTTGCCTTCTCCAGCTTCTAGAAGCCGCTCACATTTCTTGCCTCATGGCCCCCTTACTCCATCTTCAAAGCTAGCAGCAGCAGGTTAATTCCCTCTCATGCTTTAGATCTCTCCTCATTCTTCTTCCACCTTAAGCCTCTGACCCAACTGAGAAAGGCGCTCAGCTTTTAAGGACCTGTATGATTATACTAAGCCCACCAGAGAATTTTAGTTATAATCCAAGAGAATCTTCCCATCTCAAGATAAGTACTTTTAATCTCATCTGGAGAATCTATTTTGCCATGTAAGGTAACATGTTCACAGTTTCCAGAGATAAGGGCATGGACATCTTTGGAGAAACTTATTTTGCCTACCACATTCATTGGTCAAAACTGAGTACGAATAGCAATTTATTATGATAACTTTCTTGCAAGCTAGTTAACTCTCTGAATTATGAACTTTCACAGTGCTCTTTTTTCTCCTCTTGCATTAACGCAATTCTAATTGAACAATTATATGTCTCTTTTATAGTGAAATATAAATTTTAATAAGGGCAGACATTAATTTTATTTATTTTGCTGTATATTTAGAGTCTGTCATACTGTCTTATTCATTTTGGTGTCAAACATATATATATGTGTGTGTGTGTATATATATATATATATATATTTTTTTTTTTTTTAGATGGAGTCTCACTGTCACCCAGGCTAGAATGCAGTGGCACAGTCTTGGCTCACTGCAAACTCCACCTCCTGGGTTCAAACGATTCTCTGGCCTCGGCCTCCCGAGTAGCTGGGATTACAGGCGTATGCCACCACACTCGGTATTTTTTGTATTTTTAGTAGAGAAAGGGGTTTCATCATCTTGGCCAGGCTGGTCTCAAACTCCCAAGCTCAAGTGATCCGCCTGACTCTGCCTCCCAAAATGCTGGGATTACAATTGTGAGCCACTGCACCCAGCCCAAACAAGTATTTTTAAACTGACTGAAGACATGTTTGAGTAATGAGAAACCAAAGATTATCATATATTATAAAGTAAATTTGAGTAATTGAAAGAACATGCGCCAGGCATACGAGAGGTACTCAACTTCTTAGCAGTCTCATTGATAAGGGCTTTTGTATGTCTGAATCACTTAAAATCTGTGGGTCTGATTTCTCAGTTTATTTTTCTTTTTTTTATTATACTTTAAGTTCTAGGGTACATGTGCACAACGTGCAGGTTTGTTACATATGTATACATGTGCCATGTGGGTGTGCTGCACCCATTAACTCGTCATTTACTTTAGGTATATCTCCTAATGCTATTCCCCCTCTCCCCCCACCCCATGACAGGCCCTGGTGTGTGATGTTCCCCACCCTGTGTCCAAGTGTTCTCATTGTTCAATTCCCACCTATGAGTGAGAACATGCAGTGTTTGATTTTCTGACCTTGCGATAGTTTGCTGAGAATGATGGTTTCCAGCTTCATCCATGTCCCTACAAAAGACATGAACTCATCCTTTTTTATGGCTGCATAGTATTCCATGGTGTATATGTGCCACATTTTCTTAATCCAGTCTATCATTGATGGACACTTGGGTTGGTTCCAAGTCTTTGCTATTGGGAATAGTGCCACAATAAACATACGTGTGCATGTGTCTTTATAGCAACATGATTTGTAATCCTTTGAGTACCTACCCAGTAATGGGATGGCTGGGTCAAATGGTATTTCTAGTTCTAGATCCTTGAGGAATTGCCACACTGTCTTCCACAATGGTTGAACTAGTTTACAGTCCCACCAACAGTGTAAAAGTGTTCCTATTTCTCCACATCCTCTCCAGCACCTGTTGTTTCCTGACTTTTTAATGATCGCCATTCTAACTGGTGTGAGATGGTATCTCATTGTGGTTTTGATTTGCATTTCTCTGATGGCCAGTGATGTTGAGCATTTTTTCATGTGTCTGTTGGCTGCATAAATGTCTTCTTTTGAGAAGTGTCTGTTCATATCCTTCGCCCACTTTTTGGTGGGGTTGTTTGATTTTTTCTTGTAAATTTGTTTAAATTCTTTGTAGATTCTGGATATTAGCCCTTTGTCATTTGGGTAGATTATAAAAATTTTCTCCTATTCTGTAGGTTGCCTGTTCACTCTGATGGTAGTTTCTTTTGCTGTGCAGAAGCTCTTTAGTTTAATTAGATCCCATTTGTCAATTTTGGCTTTTGTTGCCATTGCTTTTGGTGTTTTAGTCATGAAGTCCTTGCCCATGCCTATGCCCTGAATGGTATTGCCTAGGTTTTCTTCTACGGTTTTTATGGTTTTAGGTCTAACATTTAAGTCTTTACTCCATCTTGAATTATTTTTTGTATAAGGTGTAAGGAAGGGATCCAGTTGCAGCTTTCTACATATGGCTAGCCAGTTTTCCCAGTACCATTTATTAAATAGGGAATCCTTTCCCCATTTCTTGTTTTTGTCAGATTTGTCAAAGATCAGATGGTTGTAGATGTGTGGCATTATTTCTGAGGCCTCTGTTCTGTTCCATTGGTCTATATCTCTGTTTTGTTACCAGTATCATGCTGTTTTGGTTACTGTAGCCTTGTAGTATAGTTTGAAGTCAGGTAGTGTGATGCCTCCAGCTTCTTCTTTTGGCTTAGGATTGTCTTGGCAATGCAGACTCTTTTTTGGTTCCATATGAACTTTAAAGTAGTTTTTTCCAATTCTTTGAAGAAAGTCATTGGTAGCTTGATAGGGATGGCATTGAATCTGTAAATTACCTTGGGCAGAATGGTCATTTTCACGATATTGATTCTTCCTATCCATGAGCATGGAATGTTCTTCCATTTGTTTGTGTCCTCTTTTATTTCATTGAGCAGTGGTTTGTAGTTCTCCTTGAAGGGGTCCTTCACATCCCTTGTAGGTTGAATTCCTAGGTGTTTTCTTCTCTTTGAAGCAATTGTGAATGGGAGTTCACTCATGATTTGGCTCTCTGTCTGTTGTGTATAGGAATGCTTGTGATTTTTGCACATTGATTTTATATCCTGAGACTTTGCTGAAGTTGCTTATCAGCTTAAGGAGATTTTGGGCTGAGACAATGGGGTTTTCTAAATATACAATCATGTCATCTGCCAACAGGGACAATTTGAGTTCCTCTTTTCCTAATTGAATACCCTTTATTTCTTTCTTCTGCCTGATCGCCCTGGCCAGAACTTCCAACACTATGTTGAATAGGAGTGGTGAGAGAGGGCATCCTTGTCTTGTGCCAGTTTTCAAAGGGAATGCTTCCAGTTTTTGCCCATTCAGTATGATATTGGCTGTCAGTTTGTCATAGATAGCTCTTATTATTTTGAGATACAGGCCCTCAATACCTAGTTTATTGAGAGTTTTTAGCATGAAGCGCTGTTGAATTTTGTCAAAGGCCTTTTCTGCATCTATTGAAATAATCATGTGGTTTTTATCTTTGGTTCAGTTTATATGATGGATTACGTTTATTGATTTGCATATGTTGAAACAGCCTTGCATCCCAGGGATGAAGCCAACTTGACTGTGGTGGATAAGCTTTTTGATGTGCTGCTGTATTCGGTTTTCCAGTATTTTATTGAGGATTTTTGCATCCATGTTCATGAGGGATATTGGTCTAAAATTCTCTTTTTTTGTTGTGTCTCTGCCAGGCTTTGGTATCAGGATGATGCTGGCCTCATAAAATGAGTTAGGGAGGTTTCCCTCTTTTTCTATGGATTGGAATAGTTTCAGAAGGAATGGTACCAGCTCCTCTTTGTACCTCTGCTAGAATTAGATTTTGAAACCATCTGGTCCTGGAATTTTTTTGGTTGGTAGGCTATTAATTACTGCCTCAATTTCAGAGCCTGTTATTGTTCTATTCAGGGATTCAACTTCTTCCTGGTTTAGTCTTGGGAGGGTGTATGTGTCCAGGAATTTATCCATTTCTTCTAGATTTTCTAGTTTATTTGCATAGAGGTGTTTATAGTATTCTATGATGGTAGTTTGTATTTCTGTGGAATTGGTGGTGATATCCCCTTTATCATTTTTTATTGCTCCTATTTGATTCTTCTCTCTTTTCTTCTTTATTAGTCTTGCTAGTGGTCTATCAATTTTGTTGATCTTTTCAAAAAACCAGCTCCTGGATTCATTGATTTTTTGAAGGGTTTTTTTGTGCTCTATCTCCTTCATTTCTGCTCTGATCTTAGTTATTTCTCGCCTTCTGCTAGCTTTTGCGTGCATTTGCTCTTGCTTCTCTAGTTCTTTTAATTGTGATGTTAGGGTGTCAATTTTAGATCTTTCCTGCTTTCTCTTGTGGACATTTAGTGCTATAAATTTCCCTCTACACACTGCTTTAAATGTGTCCCAGAGATTCTGGTATGTTGTGCTTTGTTCTCGTTGATTTCAAAGAACATCTTTATTTCTGCCTTCATTTCGTTATGTACCCAGTTGTCATTCAGGAGCAGGTTGTTCAGTTTCCATGTAGTTGCATGGTTTTGAGTGCGTTTCTTAATCCTGAGTTCTAATATGATTGCACTGTGGTCTAAGAGACAAGATTGTTATAATTTCTGTTCTTTTACATTTGCTGAGGAGTGCTTTACTTCCAACTATGTGGTCAATTTTGGAATAAGTGTGATGTGGTGCTGAGAAGAATGTATATTCTGTTGATTTGGGGTGGAGAGTTCTGTAGATGTCTATTAGGTCTGCTTGGTGCAGAGCTGAGTTCAATTCCTGGATATCCTTGTTAACTTTCTGTCTCATGGATCTGTCTAATGTTGACAGTGGGGTATTAAAGTCTCCCATTATTATTGTGTGGATGTCTGAGTCTCTTTGTAGGTCTCTAAGGACTTGCTTTATGAATCTGGGTACTCCTGTATTGGGTGCATATATATATTTAGGATAGTTAGCTCTTTTGTTGAATTGATCCCTTTACCATTATGTAATGGCCTTCTTTGTCTCTTTTGATCTTTGTTGGTTTAAAGTCTGTTTTATCAGATACTAGCATTGCAACTCGTGCTTTTTTTTTGTTTTGTTTTCCATTTGCTTGGTAGCTCTTCCTCCATCACTATATTTTGAGCCTATTTGTGTCTCTGCACGTGAGATGGGTCTCCTGAATACAGCACACTGATGGGTCTTGACTCTTTATCCAATTTGCCAGTCTGTGTCTTTTAATTGGAGCATTTAGCCCATTTACATTTAAGGTTAATATTGTTATGCGTGAATTTGATCCTGTCGTTATGGTCTTAGCTGCTTATTTTGCTCATTAGTTGATGCAGTTTCTTCCTAGCATCGATGGTCTTTACAATTTGGCATGTTTTTGCAGTGGCTGGTACCAGTTGTTCCTTTCCATGTTTAGTGCTTCCTTCAGGAGCTCTTTTAAGACAGGTCTTGTGGTGACAAAATCTCTCTTGGAACCGCAAATCTCTTAGTTTCTTAATTCCTTTTCTTTCTTTCTTTTCTTTTTTCTCCTTTTTTCATTTCTTTACTTTCTTTCTTGTTTTTCTTTGTCTTTCCTTCCTTTCTTTTTTAATTGCTGAAATATCTTTTTTATAGAGCAACATTTTAAAAGGTTATTTGTTTGCTTGGGCATATAATTTTATATCTAACATTCTTTTTTTGGATGGGGAGAGCATCCATTTCCTCAAGCATTTATCCTTTGAGGTACAAACAATCCAATTACAGTCTTTAAGTTATTTAAAAGTATACAATTCATTTATTATTAACTACAGTCACCCTATTGTGCTATGATATAGTAGGTTTCATACATTTTTTATAACCATTTTTTGTACTCATTAAACATTCCTTCCTTCCTTTTTCTTTCATGTATTCTTACTTCTTTCTCTCCTTCTTTCCTTCTTCCTTTCATTCTTAATGAGATAACTATTAATCAGAAAACCCGCACCAAGCTAATAGTTGGGTTGGCAATCTCCAAGTTTCCTACTAATTATACCATTAAATATTTTTATTTTATTAATTACATTAAAAATTAAAACCTCTATCAAGTGTGCAGTAGTTGCAGAATTTTTAAAAAAATAATGAAATTGGTGTGAAATAATATATTGTAAAATAATATTTCACTCAAGGATGCTTTTGCATGCTTTTCATACACAAGTGTTCACTGTGTGCTTTTTATCCTATCTTATTCCTGAAACAAAACAGAAAGATTCAGTTAACTTACTCATTCCTAGTAACTTTATTTTGATATATATATTCAGGGAGAAGTTTCCAATGTTATCTAATAACAATAACTTTAATAAAAATGCAGTTTGATATCTACCATTTCATTAGGACTGTCATTATAATCTGCCAGAGAACAGAACAAGGCTTCCTTATTTTATCCTTAGTATGCTTCCTATGTATTGATTAACTTTATCATATTAAATAGTAAACATTTCTGAAATAAACCTGAAAACTCAATTTATCTCAAGATATGTTGAGTACCTTCTATATGATAAAACTATTTTGGTTTCAGACCTCCAAATCTAGCAGAATTGATGCTGAAAGTACAGTATCTACCTGTTGGTGAGACACAAGGCTCTGCTACTGAGAACTTTTGATGATAGTGCTGAGCAGAGGTTGAAGAGGCCTTGCTGTGAAGTGCATGAGCTCTAGTTGCTTAGTTGTAGGGAGATTCAGGCAGGTCAATTTTGTTAAGGTAATGGGGAGAAATTAAGAAGTTCACAACCCCAGTTATTTAGTAATTGGCATGGAAGT
This sequence comes from Homo sapiens, assembly GCF_000001405.40. Taxonomy (NCBI): domain Eukaryota; kingdom Metazoa; phylum Chordata; class Mammalia; order Primates; family Hominidae; genus Homo; species Homo sapiens. Next base: position 22,918,334 of record NC_000021.9, on the reverse strand, counting down.
GGCTTAGTGTTTCTACAAGCAATACAGTTCTAACAGAATATTTCTGACCTTCAGTTTTCTCACATTAAAAAAACAAACAGAGTACATATCTTGCTAAATTAGTTCCAGAATCAAATAACATAATGAAAATTAAGCATGCAGAATGAAATTTTTTTATCATTGCTATTATCTTAATCTTTATATTTCAATCTTACACGAAAAGTCTACCTACAATGGTTTTTGTTGTAATTGGTAAATTAATTAGATTAGCATGGAGGCTTAAACAACTGAAAACAATTCTGGTTTTATTTCTGGTTTGTAATATAAAATGTCTAAGTGTTTTATGTCATATACAATATTTTTGTTTATTTTTATAAACAATAGTTTTAGCATCTTGTAATTGTGTTTACTGTAAAATGCATGTTGACTTTTAGCTAATTTTCAGCAATAGTTGAATTATCTGTGTAGGGTATTTGGGTCTAAAAAATTAGGTGTAAGTAATATATTTGCCAATTACCTCCTTTATGATTCAACTTTGCTAGTACTAAGTAACACAATAATGTTTCTCTAGATATTATTAATTAATCATTGCTGTGCTATGCATGAACTGTAGTTGCTTGGTAGTGGGGTGATTTAGGTTGGTCAATTTTTTAGGGTAGTGAGGAGTAATTCAGATCCTCACCACCTCAGCTATTGACTAATTGGTATGGTATATGTTATGGTGTATGAATATATGAAAGTTATTAAAGTACATTAAATCATAATTATTCAGTTTGATTTTGATTGTTTATAAGTCAACATGTAATACTATTGAAAACAAAATAGTATTTTAGCCATATAAATTATCATAACATTTTTAGGAGGTAAGATCTTTAAATTGGGCAACATTTATATTTTAGGATAACATAGTAATATGAATTTCAAGGATTTAGGTGGATTACAGGATCATATTAGATTTGTACTGATATACAAAATTTAATCAATTGCAGTATATACATTTGAGAGAACTCAATGTGTAAAACCCTCTGATTATTACACATCTTTTCATTTAATTTAAAGGTTGGTGCAAACATAATTGTGGTTTTTGCTGTTACTTTCATTGACAAGACCCACAATTACTTTTGCATCAACCTAATATTATATTGTGCTGATGATTTAATCTATTGTCTAGTATATATTTTCATAACTCCATGAAACTTCACCTATTCAAAATTTTTCCATTATAAATAATATTTGTGTTGATTATTAAAACTTTAGACAGGAAAGAAAAATGGAAGAAATAGATAAATGCACTTCTACCACTAGATTATGATTATTGTTAACATTATATATGTTAATTTCCAGTATTATAGTATAGACTATGTTAATAGTTATCTCATTGTGTGATTGTTAGGAACTGAAAGTTGTGTTCCCCCTCCAATTCGTATGTTGAATTCCTAACATTCAGTGTGATGATTTAGAAGGTAGGACCCTTGGGAAGTAATTAAGTCATGAGAGTTGAGCCTGCTTGAATGGGTTTAGTGCCCTTATCAGAGACCCCCCAGAGAGCTGCCTAGCCCCCTCTTCTGCTATATGACAACAGTCTATGAAAGGAAATGGGCCTTCATCAAACATAAATCTGTGGGCACTTTGTAGCTTCCTGAACGTGAGAAATAAGTATTTGTTGTTTAAGCTACCCAGTTTGTGGTATTTTTGTTATAGCAGCCTTAATGAGCTAAGATAGTGATCAAACAGGTTATTTAACTTTGACTTTTTTTTAATAATAAGCAGTTGTTTTTGTTTTAACAAACATTAGTCAGGTGTAGTACTTCTCCAGCTGTTTTGGTTTACTAATTGTAATATATCTGGATTGTCTGCTCATGTTTTTAGTCCTTTTATTTATAGAGATTATAGTCAAACGAGCATTTTGAATTGGTTATGTTATTCCGATAAAGATTCCATACTTTCATTATCTTGATTAATTGTTAAAACATAGACTCATATTAGTGTGCAGCGTGGAGTAGCTGCACTTATCTTGCCAAAGAATATAGCTACTTGTTCTTTTACCAACACTTCATCAGTTACAATATATTTATGAAAGTCATCCTGAATTCCTTGGCAGGAAAGGATGCCAGTGATTACTGGTGGGCTCTGCATGGTTCTGTTAATGGCTATGTCTTCTAGAAGCACCAGTCCCATTGATCCATCTCTCCAATGTTGCAGCTCTCAATTAAGCTCCAACAATTATATTCCCTTTTCTTGTTCATCAGGCCCAAAGATGTTAATACTTTTCTATTTGCTAAGGCTTGAGTGTTTGTTCAGTATCCCTGAGGCTTCCCTTAACTCAGCTCATTCTTGTTAATTAAAATGTGTTTTCAACATTCATGTCTCAGTGTCCTGCTGGAACAATAATGAATAAGATCTTATGGACTTTTTCTTTTCTTATTTATTAACGTCAGTCGACTTTAGCAAAATAATAATCTTTTCCAATTGTATTTGCTAGCTACATCCACACTGCTATGTCCCACCCCTCACGTTTTATTTGCCTTTAGGTTTTAGTAAAATGATTTTTATAAAACAGCCTTTTGCTGAAATATAATTTTATCAAGAGAACACAGAAGATACATGTCTGAGTGACAAAATATGCACGTTAGAAGAGGACAGAACCAGGGTCCAGGAGTCCTATGGTTAATTACAGATCTGTTTCAGGTTGGTTTTTGGAGCAGCAAAAAGTCATTCAAATTTTCTGCACTTCAATTTCCTAAGCTATCAAATGAGGATACTTCTTTAGTTCTGATATTGGCAAATTGTTTTCTGGATCCAAGAATAAATATGTGCTGATAGATGAGGCTCTACCCCTTCTTTGAAATCATTGTTCTATTTTTATTTGTTTACATTGCTTTTGTGTCAATTGTCTTCTTTTGAGTAATGGATTATTGTACGAAAGTATATAGTGTTTGAAAAACACCTGAATTGTATGACAAGGTCCTTTGAGTTCTTAGGCAATTTAATTTATATGTTGAAGCCCAATATGTTGAAGTTTGTATATTGAAGCCCAATCAGCCCATCATCAATATTTAGGATCTTCTTTAAGTTAGCAAATATAAAATCTTCAGTGTAAACATTGATTTATTATTTTTTCAAATGATATATTTCTTTTAGTCACGGCAATGTGTGGTTTCAAACACTTTTAGTTGTGCTCATTTCTTCTGTTATATAAACAGAAATAGGGTCCTAAAATAGTAAGTTATGATCCTTGCATCCACATATGAACTGAAATCCCTTATTTGATATAACTGCAATATAAAACTTCATTTTTCCTCTATAAATTCTGATGAAATAAAAGAGTAGGTACATTAGTGAAAGAAAATTAACCAAGGCCTCACTTTCATGGCAGGAAATAGTCTTTACAATTAAAGACCAAACTGTTGTCATGGCTTAAATTCTTTATGACTTTACAAAAAAGATACTGATCTCACTCAACTGAAATATGGCAAAAGTCACTAAACTACCATTAATAAACTAAATTGTGATGAGTGTTCCTAGTTTTTATTAGGTGCTAGAAATTCTACCAAGTGTTACAGAGGCATTATTTATTTTTGAAAGATTATACTCTTTTCCTAAAGCCATATATTGTATCAAATATACAGTTTTCAACTGGACTCAAAAACTGGCCCCACTAGGATAGTACATTGGAGAGTCACCATCTGCTTATCTATATGTGTAATATTAAATCACTTTGTAGCATTGCTCTATTAAAGTAAAAATAAAAAAAACTATAAGAGTAAAAATATGACAACTATTAGAGTTACAGTTTCACAGTAGGTTCTCATTAACTGGCAGCAATTATTATTATCATTGTTATTTTTATTAGTAGTAATAGTATTGTCATTATTCCTTTAACCATTATAAGTTTTTGAATCTGGAGAGACAAAGGAATGAGAGAATTTAACAAAAATATATATGCTGTTACAATTTGTAGTTCTATGAAGTTGTGGTTCCTAAGCAATCAGGCACAAAGCAGAAAACGTAGGCAAGAGGATTTGAATGAATTTATGTCTTTTTTCTCCACAATTCTTTTTAAAAATGACAATTTACATCTGGCCTGCCAGCGATTAATAATCCTGTTGTTCCTGCAGAGCTAGTAATGTGTTCCATTGTGGAAACCTTCTTAGAAATATTTCTTAAGCTATAGTTAATATTACATTCTAATTATGTGACTGAACATTCAGGTAAGTTGAATGGATTAATTAAAACTAAATAATTCATAACTCCAAACTTTGTGATTATGAGAAGCTTTCTTAGGCAAATTCCAATGTTCTAATTCCATGAATGAACAAGAAAACAGCTACCAAGATATTTTTAGGAACTTCAGCAGAATGGTACCAAGAAAAATGCTAAACTGAATCCTCAATCAACATGATCCACTATAAAATGGCAATACTGATATACCAGTGAATGTTATTTTTTTCTAGTTAGATAATTATTTGCTAAAGCAAATTTTTTCCAAACTAGAGTGGAAGAAATATTAGGTAGAAAACTAAGTCTAATTATATATTTAACTAATAAATGTAACTGAATAATGATTTTTTTAAAAATCATTACTTTTAGAATGGTAATTTGAGGTGGCTAAATATTAACATGTGAATTTAGAGAATACATATAATATGCATGTATTTATGAAGAAAAATCTATGCTTGGAAAATAAATGGTTTAATTAACTTACAAATTTTATATTATAATAAATTCAACAGTGGGAAGACCTAAATATATTCAGTTATTTAAACTATTTGATATTTATACTTGCCATATGAATTGCACATATTCAAATTTAAGGTAAAATAGAGTTAACTTAAAATGTATTTAAAACTTACTAGTTTATAAGCACTTATATTAGAATGATATAAATTATATCACAGAGCATATTGTAACTTTCCTTATGTGAGTACAGTTTTGGCTTATTTGCTTTCATTAGTAGCATGACAAATTTTTACATTTAAAATTTAACATTTAAAGTCTCCAGAGGAAATATTTATTTTTTCTGTAATTTTGGTGAAATATATGTTACTATTCAAATGTCAATTACTAAAGGTAAATTTTATATATATATATAGGAAATTTAACTTTCTATGTTGCAAGAATAAGTTTATTAATCTTGGTTTTCTAGAATAATGTGAGATACTTTAGGAAGATGAAGTGAATAAGTTGTTTCTTCTTTACCAGAAATCCAATGGTTGACTCTTAATTATGTCTCTGAGAACTGATGACTGTGTTACATTGAATGTTCTCAAGATCATGATATCAAAAGTGTTTTCAGGCATTATGCTTCCCTTCTAATAAAAAGTTTAGATAGCGCCTGAAGTTCAATGGAAGGTAAATTGAGTACCTCATTCCAAAAATAATAATGAACAAATGACAATGATAATACATATTGACAGGAAACAATTCCACAAGAATTCCTCACTTCTACTCCATAAGGTGATTAGATAATTTAAGATAATGAAAATCTAATTTGCAGAATTTCTGAAAAATCAACTTCTAAACTGTAAGAATAATTTGGTTTACAATGTCCTAGATTACAGCATCTTCTACCAATATTTAGTGAAAACATTGAATGACACACATATTTGAAAGTCGTAGATTTTTTCATGTACTGTACAAATCGTGTCATTGTCAACTTAGTGTTTACTTTTCCCTAGAAAAGTTTCCTGCTGGAAGAAATGAAAAACATGGCCCCACAACCTTTTCTGTGTCTCACATGGGATAGTCAATATTTTTTTGCACAGAAGGACAAACACCATAAGCAAATCAAATGATTGCCTGTGACATTTCTTCCAAATATTTACAGATGATTTTTCAATGGAATTTTTAAATAAAGGCTTTTTCTTAAATTACTTAAGAAGGAATCAGTAGTGATTGTTAGTTTGGTATATATCACAAAAGTTTAATAGGCTTCTCATATTGAAATAAAAATACTAATATGTCATGCATATGTGTATATAAATATATATCTCAAAGACAATTTTAAAATATTTTTACCATTATTTTTCATTTTTCAAATTCTAAATGACACAGGAAATGTGTTGTGTAAAGATCAACTCATATCCCAACACTTTGAGGTAAGCGTGTAAACATTTTAATGACCATTTATTTTCAAATATCTTGTTATATACGTAATTGGGATAATATAATAAAGTTGATATTTCTTGTAATTACCTGTTTCCTCCCTCCATCATTACCATTATCCATGATCATCACCCAAACAAACAAGGGATATGTGCCCTTTGACATATTTGTATGTATGTACATATATGTCTGCATATAAACATAAATATTTTTCATTGTAGAGATTATTATTGTCTTAAAAAGCAGGATACTATTGTACATATTTTCTGCATCTTGCTTTTCCTACTCAACTCTATCTTATTTAAAAATCCCTCCACATTATCAGGTATTACTTAAATTTTTCTTTTTAGAGAGTGTGTGATATAACACTTTTATTATGACATTCTCCTACTAATAAGCATTTATTTAAATTCTTATTCTCATCCACTGTAAAAAATGCTTTAATAAGCATCTTTGAACATTTTTCTACATCTTATCTAGTAAGGAAGATTCAAAGGATCAAAATTGCATTTATTAATGTAAAAGTATGTTGCTAGATTGCCCACATTAAACTCATGAATTACTATTTTACACTAGCAATGTAAAAAAATACAGGTTTCCTAGATACCTGCCAGGAATGAATTATAAGTTTTCAAATGTTTTGCCTTTCTGCTAGGTGTAAAGTATCATCTCACAGTCACGTTAATATCCATCTTTCTAGAACCAAATATTTTAGCATTTTTCACAGGCTCCTAAGTCATTTTCTACTCATTTTATGTGGCTATTTTTGTTCTGAAGTGCTGACCTTTTCGTTTTCAATAAAAATAATTATATTTCGGAAAAAATGTACATTTTTCCTGAATTAACATTTATCTATTTAATTTGGTAGGGTTTGTATTGGTTTTTTATTTTGTTTTGTGCCAGGAGACTTTATTCTTTTTTGTGCTTTTACTTGATAGCATTCTGTTTAGAAATTTGTCTCCAACCCCCATGATCTGTCTAAAGATATAATCTTCTAGGTACTTTGTAATATGTTTACTCTGTATTTTGTATTTAATTGCCAACCTTTGAAAGTATTTTAATATAAATATCTGTATGCTCTGTTTATATCAGGGTAAATATTCAGTTAATTAAATAATTCATCCTTTTAAAATTAAATGGAATTACCAATTATACATATTCTCAGCTGATATAAACTTAACTCTACTTTTAGATTACTTAAGTTTTTTAATATTTTCATTTATGTTTCTAATACTATACTAATGTTATTAACATCATCTTTTTCTACTTCCTGGTGTCAGGGATCAATCTTCCCTTCATTTTCTTTGCATTTTCATGTTTTCTAGATCTAAAAATTAAAAATAAAAGTTTTGACAATTTTTATAAGTTTTCTTTTTCACATTCTAACTGAAATTATATGAACTGTGTAGGTTAATACAGGGAACATTGATATTTAATGAGATATATTTGCGTATTAATTTATTAATGGAATTAAATTTATTGAGAATTTTTTTACAACTGAGCAGCCAAACTTGCTCATAAAGTGTTATTCTTTTGAAGTTTCTGTAGACTTTACTAAAATTTTTATTTATATATATACACAATTGATCTATATTTTCTTTTTGAAAATTTTTATTTAGTTTTTGTATTAAACTTGTTATAGAATGATAAAACTGTATTAAAATGTTTTAATGTTTTTAATGCCTAGAAGTATTAAAAACATGAACATATTTTTAATACAGCTAAATATCCTTGCTTATATGTTCTATTAATATTAGATAAATCTAACCTGTGGCGTTCATTTTCGGTGATACCTCTCTAAACATATTTCTAATCACATCTATGGTAATTAGTTCATTCAGGTTTTACTTTTATTAAGGTGGAATGTTGATCATTTTAAATGAGCTATTTGTAAGTGTTTTCCTCAAGGTATTTATATATTTCAGCCATAATTTAATGTATTATATTTTATTATTCAAATAATATGTTCTACTTACGGTTCCTTTGATATTTCCCATTTATCTATTTTTATTCTTCATTTTACTTAACGAGAAAAATCCCCTGCATAGTCTTTTTAAGGCATGGGTTTTGGATATATTTTTACTTTATAATTTTTTTTTATTTTTTGTCTTTTCATTTCTAATGTTATGATAAATATCCTCTTTCTTTTTTTTATTGCTATCCTTCTAAAAAATTCTTTTTAAAGACATCCCTTCAATAGCCTTTTATGACTTAGAAATGCTATAACGTATGTCTATCATGAATATTAAATTTTCATGGAAATACAACTTTTGTAGTCCCCTATAAAGGTTAGTGTAAAGTGTTCTCTTTCTTTAATTTTGTAGACAGTAATAGCCAATTTAGTAATCAAATATATGATTCAAGGGTTTTTTTTAAGTATTGCTTTTTTCCAATCATCTTTGGGTTTTTGAACACATAAATATTGCTTATTCCTAATTTGATTACTCAATGAGACACTATATCCTTTAAGCACCCTTTTTTTTATTATTATACTTTAAGTTTTAGGGTACATGTGCACAATGTGCAGGTTAATTACATATGTATACATGTGCCATGCTGGTGTGCTGCACCCATTAACTCGACATTTAGCATTAGGTATATCTCCTAATGCTATCCCTCCCCCTTCCCCTGACCCCACAACAGTCCCCAGAGTGTGATGTTCCCCTTCCTGTGTCCACGTGTTCTCATTGTTCAATTCCCATCTATGAGTGAGAACTTGCGGTGTTTGGTTTTTTGTCCTTGTGATAGTTTACTGAGAATGATGATTTCCAATTTCATCCATGTCCCTACAAAGGACATGAACTCATCATTTTTTATGGCTGCATAGTATTCTATGGTGTATATGTGCCACGTTTTCTTAATCCAGTCTATCATTGTTGGGCATTTGGGTTGGTTCCAAGTCTTTGCTATTGTGAATAGTGCCCCAATAAACATACGTGTGCATGTGTCTTTATAGCAGCATGATTTACAGTCCTTTGGATATATACCCAGTAATGGGATGGCTGGGTCAAATGGTATTTCTAGTTCTAGATCCCTGAGGAATCACCACACTGACTTCCACAATAGTTGAACTAGTTTACAGTCCCACCAGCAGTGTAAAAGTGTTCCTATTTCTCCACATCCTCTCCAGCACCTGCTGTTTCCTGACTTTTTAATGATTGCCATTCTAACTGGTGTGAGATGGCTCTTTTTTAAAAAAGGAAATCATTGACTTTTTGACCCAATGCATATCCATGTTGATTTTGTAAGTGTTCTACGGACGGCCAGGTGCGGTGGCTCATGCCTGTAATCCTAGCACTTTAGGAGGCTGAGGCGGGTGGATCACGAGGTCAGGCATTCAAGACCAGCCTGGCCAATATGGTGAAACCCCGTCTCTATTAAAAATACAAAAATTAGCTGGGTGTGGTGATGCAAGCCTGTAATCCCAGCTACTCGGGAGGCTGAGGGAGGAGAACCTCTTGAACCTAGGAGGCAGAGGTTGCAGTGAGCCGAGATCGGGCCACTGCACTCCAGCCTGGGAGACAGAGCGAGATTCCGTCTAAAAAAAAAAAATGGTACTTAGTAACAGTGTTGTTATTTTAAGAGGGAATAAAATATAACAACAGTGGAAGTGTGAAAGATAAAACACAGATGTGTGTCATTATATAAACTTTAATACTGAAATACAATGATATGAATTTCACAAACTAGACATGAAATGCTGTCTTCTTACTTTGCAGTCATATCTAGTAGCCAGTGGAATTTAATGTCAACTTTATTCAGAGACTTAAACACCCTCCATAGTTGTTACCACTCACCCATGTCATTTAACACAAATGTCACAGACAAGAAAACGGTAATATATCCTGTACATAAAAGGGACCTGTGTATGACTTTTAATTAAAATAAAATTATCCACACATATATTCTCAACCTTCCTTTCTTCCATTTTCTCTCTGAGTCTTACTAATAATGATGTTTTTTTCTGCATGTAGAGCTGAAGATGTTAAAATTTTTCCTATTAAAGTGACATGACTTTGATTTATTCACATCTTCTTTTTCTGATCAACAGACATGTATTTGCATTTTTCTACACAAAGACTGTAGAAAAGTCTTAGCACCCTGAAATTACTTGACTATCTCTATTTGATATTCTTTGGTCAGACCAGGACAAATCCACGAAGCTTATTTTCAATACCTACCTCCCACTCCTTTAGGATTTCTTTCAACTCAAATATACCACCCTCTGGTACATACTTTTCTGACCTTCTCATAAGCCCTTGAAATCTAAACTAAAGGCACATAGAATAGAATGGATTGGAGTGGAATGGAAATGGAGTAAATGGAATAGAATAGAATAATAGAATAATTCCAACTACTTATGATTTCAAATATCTCTCTTCCCAATGAAATGATAACATGAGGCTATTTTTTAAACATGAGCTGGGACGTAACGAGGTAAAGTATATATTCTATATGACTAATTAGGAATATAACATTACAGAGTATCAAATTAATGAGAGATATGTTGTCATAATATGCAAAGTAGAAAGTTTAGTTTATGTGTATGACTGGGTTCAGTTAGCAAATGTTAGCTGTAATGTGAAATATTATTCTAATTAGTATCATTTAAGCTTATAAATTATTGCTTACAATGTAATAATGTAATTTACTTTCAATAAGCACCTTAGTGTTTTCTCTTTCTTTCTCTGTGTCTCACTCACTTTCTCTCTCCCTCTGTGCCTTCTTCCCCTCCTTCCTCTCTTCTTGACCACTTTCTCTGTACTGAAATTATGGTATTATTAGCTCCTGGTGGGGAAATCAGACACAATGACAAGTAATTACACTGTATTATCACAAATGTCATGAATGCAAAAAGATTGGTGTGACAAATCCATACTGAGAAAGTTGGAAAACCATGTTTAATCCGGGTCTGTAGGGACTGTAAGAGTGGGTTGTATTTTATTAGGATGACAAAAAAGAACATGAAATTTAAACCCAGATACTTGTAACAGAATCTTGTGTTTGAGAAACTGGAAATTCAGTACAAATAGATCATCTAAAGCATGAACCATGGCAGTAACAGAAAATGGAATTAGAATGAGTTCTCAGAGACATTTCAGGAACTCCCTTTGTCCTTCAGTGATTAGCAAGTCCATGATCTCCAGTAATTTAATTTTTCAGTTAAAAGTAGAAGAGTGAAAAACAAATAGAGAAGAATGGATAGGGATGATTATCTATTAAAATAGTCATAGCATGAGATAAGGACAACCAGATACTAGTCAATGGCAGTGGGAATTTAGAGAATCAGGAAATACTTAATCGAGACTTTGGACTGAAGACAGTGGTTGCTGCTGCTTCGTTCTATTAGATCACTGTGTTAATAACTAATAATAAATAGATACATTCAGGAAGTATAGCACACTGAACTATTACTGGCATTTATAATTTATAAAACAAAATATTTTATAAAATTTAAGTGAATTTTATTTATTTTTATTGCATATACCTCAAATAATATGTTGCTTAATTATAGCAACATTTTGAAGCAGGCATTATTACCAGTTTGGTAAATGACCAAATAAAAAGTTCAGCAATTTTAAATTGTTCATCTTCACACCTGAGAATGAAGTTTCAAATCAGCTTAGGTTTGCCACAGTGTCATTTTTTTTAATTCAATCAAACAGTTCTAAATTGCTTAAATATCTGTATGTCTTTCCTATACATTAAGTAAGCAGCCACAGTGTGACAGTATTGAAGCAGTGAGGCAGCTGAGAGACAAGAGGGATCATTGGTGTAAATGCTGAAGAGGTGTTAAAATTAACTTGTTTGGTTTCAAAAGTCAAAACAGGGTGATAGAAATAAATTGTATCTACCCTTACCCAAAGATTAACGGACATATAAAATATTTATATTTTTGTCATGTATAAAACATATTATCCCCAAACCTTTGCAAACAGGAAAAAAAGTATATAAGGGTTTAATTTCACTTGTCGTGGGATTTAAAGGTAATACTGTGGAGCAAGAAGGCCTTTTTTGTAATTGTCACATTTTACCACAGGCAACATCTGGAATGCCAGCACTGTGAAGCTCATTAAGTCTCAAGGACAGATATGAATACAAATTGGTGACACAGAAAAAAAAAAAATATATATATATATATATATATGTCAGAGGATCTTTATCATAACTTTAATTACAGATCTAAAGAAATATGTTTTGATTTCAGCATGGACCTACTTGTATTATTGCAGCTGGCCAAGGAGCAAATATAAATGAAACCACAGAAATATTAAAGTTAATGAGTTTCTAAAAGTCATTTATTCATGCCTTCTCATAATTTTCAAAAAATAAGAAGGCCTAGAAATATAAATATCCTGCCCTAGTCAAGCTTTTAATGACATCCTAAATTACAGTTTAGGATTTCTGGTGTTCCATTACATGCCCCTTCACAAAGCCAAACAAATAATCTTGTTATAATGTCTTAAAATATTATTTTCATACAACAAAGCAGTGGCTTGGTCCTTTACGAAGAGAGTGAAAGAAATAAGCAAAATTGGACTGGTAACCTGAAGAAAACAAATTAACTGATTTTTTTTTTTTAAAGAATGATCACCATCAAGGAAGGAAAGTTTAATTTATCTTCATCTCCATTTATTTTTTCTTGTTATAATTTTATTTTTTCTATTAAAAAATGGTATCAAAGAATTCAGCCAGGGATTTATTGAAGTGAATGAAAGTGTATTGGCAGGAAACACTATCTTAAAGGCAATTGGCAGATGGATTTTCATAATTGCTTCTATCTACCCTTTAGAGCAGAAGGGTTGGAACATTTTTTCTTTTTTTTTTTTGTTCTTTTTTTTTTATTATACTTTAAGTTCTGGGATACACGTGCAGAATGTGCAGGTTTGTTACATAGGTATACACGTGCCATGGTGGTTTGCTTTACCCATCAACCCGTCATCTACATTAGGTATTTCTCCTAATGCTCTCCCTCCCCTAGCCCCCCACTGCCCGACAGGCCCTGGTGTGTCATGTTCAGCTCCCTGTGTCCATGTGTTCTCATTGTTCAACTCCCACTTATGAGTGAGAACATGTGGTGTTTGGTTTTCTCTTGGGATAGAACATTTTCAATTGCTCTGTATACCACTATCTCAATTAGACAATAAGATTTAATTAGAATACTCGAGCAAAAAGAGAGTTGCTTACATGGCATCCTAAGACAGAGGTCAAGATGAAGCAGGTGGACTAAAAACACTGCAGCATGTCAATGAGAAGCAACACTTCGGTGACCACCCTACCTATAGAAAGTAAGCAAAAGAAGATAAATGCAATGAGATTTTGAGTGTAGCAGTTTCAATCCTGTTAATTAGGCTGCATTCACGCTTCAGTGAGGCAGCAATTATGCCACTCCATCGTTCTATAGCCCATTGTGCAAATGCTGCCGTGATGTTCCTGGTAGATATAAAGGAGTTCCATCTGAGCCAAATGCTGAGATTTCATTACAATACTGTCCGCTTAATGGTGGGACTCCTAAAGTTTATATTTATTTGCCTTACAAATCAAATATATTAGTAAAATTATTACTGGTGTGTTTTGTTATTGTTGTTTCGAGAAAGGGTCTCACTCCTTCACCCAGGCTGTAGGGCAGTGCCCTACATGACTCACTGCCACCTCATGACTCTTGACTCACTGCCACCTCAATCTCTTGGGCTCAAGGGGTCGTCCCATCTCAGCCTCCCAAGTATCTGGGACTACAGGTGCATGCCACCAAGCCAGGGTAATGTTTGTATTTTTTGTAAAGATGGTTTTCTGTCATGTTACCCAGGCTCGTCCTGAATTCCTGGGTTCAAACAATCCTCCCACTTTGACCTCCCAAAGTGCTGGGATTACAGGCATGAGCCACCATGCCGGGTCTTTAAATATTAACTTTGTAATTTTCATATGGTTTCTGCCATTGAGGCCTTATGTGTCTGGAATCACCTAGTGATCATTTTAAACTTTTTATAAAATTAGAGACACACAATTTTTACATATAGTGCCACTTCTAACTTTGATCTTGATGGTATTTTTTATATTGGTGATGATTAATGTGCATTCATCCACAAAGAATCATAATAGTTTATATCTTACAAAAAGAAAAACAATGTTACAAGTGGGAAACAAAAAGTAAAGCACAGTTAGGCATTGCTTAATGATGATGATATGTCTTGAGAAATCCATCCTTAGGGGATTTTGCAATTTTGTGAACATCACAGAGTATACTTACACAAGCTTAGAAGGTATAGCCTTCTACACACCTAGACAATATGATATTACAGCCTATTGCTCCCAAGCTACAGACCTATATAGCATGTTACTGTGCTGAATATTGTAGGCAACTATATTCCTATCTATCTATCTATCTATCTATCTATCTATCTATCATCTATCTATCTATCTATCTATCTATGATACAGTAAGGCTGGGTATGGTGGCTCACACCTGTAATTCCAGCACTTTGGGAGGCCGAGGCAGGTGGATCATGAGGTCAGGAGATAGAGACCAGCCTGACCAACATAGTGAAACCCTGTCTTTACTAAAAATACAAAAATTAGCTGGGCATGGTGGCGCACACCTGTAATCCCAGCTACTCAGGAGGCTGAGGCAGGATAATTGCTTGAACCTGGGAGGTGGAGGTTGCAGTGAGCCGAGATTGTGCCACTGCACTCCAGCCTGGGTGACAGAGCGAGACTGTGTTAAAAAAAAAAAAAAAAAAAAAAAAAAGAAAGAAAAGAAAAAAAAGAAAAGAAAAAAGGGAAGGTACAGTAAAAATACAGCATAAAAGATGAAAAAATGGTACCCTGTATAGGGCACTTACCATGAATGAAGCTTGCAGGACTGGAAGTTACTTTGGGTGAATCAGTGAGTGAGTGGTGAGTGAATGGGAAGGCCTTAGACATTACTATATACTACTATAAACTTTATAAATACAGTACATTTAGGCTACACTAAATTATAAAAAATTTTCTTTCTTCAATAAGACATTAACCTTAGCTTACTGTAACTTTTTACTTTATAAAAGTTTTAATTTATTTAGCTTTTTGATTTTTGTAATAATACTTAGCTTAAAAATTAAACACATTGCACAGCTGCACAAAAAATATTTTATTTATATCTTTATTCTACATTTTTTTCTGTTTTTCTTTACTTTTTAGAATTTTCAGTTAAAAACTAAGACACAAACACATACATCAGCCTAGGCCTGTACACGGTGAGGATAATCAATATCACTGTATTCCACTTTCTTTTTTTCTTTTTTTTTTTTTTTTTTTGACACGAAGTCTCGCTCTTGTCACCCAGGCTGGAGTGCAATGGTGTGATCTTGGCTCACTGCAACCTCCGCCTCCCAGGTTCAGGCAATTCTCCTGCTTCAACCTCCTGAGTGGCTGAGATTACAGGTGCTCCCCACCACTCCTGGCTAAGTTTTTCTTTTTCTTTTTTTTTTTTTTTGTATTTTTAGTAGAGACGGGGTTTCACCTTGTTGTCCAGGTTGGTCTCGAACTCCTGACCTCAGGTGATCTGCCCACCTTGGCCTCCCATGAGTCATGGTCAGACTCATGACAGGCATGAGTCACTGCACTCGGCCTCCACTTTCACATCTTGTCCCACTGCAAGATCTTCAGGGGCAATAACAGGCATGGAAATGTCATCCTCTGATAATAATACTTTCTTCTGAAGCACCTCCTCAAGGACATGCCTGAGTTATTTTATGGTCAACTTTTTTTAATAAGTAGAAGGAGTATACTGTAATACAAAGATAGAAAATATAGTAAATATTTAAATATATAAATCAGCAACATAGTCATTTATTATCATTATGTATTGTACATAATTGTATTGCTACAAGTTTATACGACTGGAAGTATCCTAGGTTTTTTTTACATCAGCATCACCACAAACGTGAGTAATGCATTATTTGAGGACAGCATGATGGTTACACTGTCACTAGGTGATAGGAATTTTTCAGCTCCATTGTAATTTTATGGTACCACCATCAGATACGTGTTGCCTTATTTACTAAAATGTTCTGACAGGCTCAGCCTGTATTATGTTATGTATGTTACATACATGCAACATACATAATATTCTTTTATGTCCTCTTTCAACAACTTAATGATGAACATTTGCCTTTAATGTCCATATGTGTGTATTCACACACACATAGACACACATATATAAGTACATCTACCTATTCATGCTAGTACAAAAAGCATATTATATATGAACTACATTACATTTGGTTTAGTTTTATAAAAAGTACTCTGGATCACTAAGTTATTCTAATATAGATTTAAATAACTGATTTGAATCATGTCATCCTAATGTTTAATTAACGTGATATCAAAGCCCATCCAACCCTTATTTTTGATGTTCGGTTTGTCATCAATGAGAATGCAACCACAGTGAAAAGTATACTCAGTCACCTCTGAATACCAGCCACTTGCTCCGTTTGACAACATTTTTACAGAATTGTCAAGGCTAGTTTGTCTCTTCCTGCCCTCTAGTAAGCTAACTATTTTTTCAACTCTAAATGCCTGCCATTTAACCAAAACAATAGTAGCTAACAGCATAGGATTTATTTATTCTGCTGTTATTTGGACCAAAGATTTTAAATTCGTCTGGAAAGTAGACAGTCATCCCTCAATATCTGCAGGAGATTGGTTCCAGGGCCCCTGCAGACACCAAAATCTGTGGGCACTCAAGTCGCTTATATAAAATGGCATAGTGTTCACATATAAGCTACACACATCCTCCTTTATACTTTTTTTTTCGAGGGGGAGTCTTGTTCTGTCGCCCAGGCTGGAGTGCAGTGGCGCGATCTCAGCTCGCTGCAACCTCCGCCTCCCGGGTTCAAGCGATTCTCCTGCCTCAGCCTCCCGAGTAGCTGGGACTACAGGTGCCTGCCACCACGCCCGGCTAATTTTTTGCGTTTTCAGTAGAGAAGGGGTTTCACTGTGTTAGCCAGGATGGTCTCGATCTCCTGAGCTCCTGATCCGCCCACCTTGGCCTCCCAAAGTGCTGGGATTACAGGCGTGAGCCACTGCACCCGGCCACCTTTATACTTTAAATCCTCTGCAGATTACCTACAATAACTAATGAAATGTAAATGCCATGGAAATAGTTGTTATATTGTATTTTTTATTTGTATTGGCTTTTATTGTTACGTTTTTTTATTTTTATTTTTTCCTGAATATTTTCCAGCTGTGGTTGGTGGATACGGAAAGTCTACTGTAAATATATTTTTGCTTTCTTTTTTTCCTTGCCTGTTTTAAACATACAAAATTCATCCACTTTTTTTTCTTAAGGACCCAGAATGAATGAGCAAGGTGCCCTCTTGTTTGGTGAAGGAAAACAGCCTCTTTTCTTCTATGAGCTCAGAAAACTCTCCTAGGCTAATGGACATTGACAGTAAATGTTTTTTCAGGCTTTAGTCTGGATTGTGTTGATTAAACACTTCAGGAAACTTTACATCAGTTGTTTTTTTTCCTGTCCTACCGTGACTCAGGAACAGGCTCTGAATATCGGATTAGGCAAGAAGGAACTGACCTTTCAGAGTGTTTCTGTTTTATAATGTGATTAACATAGTCCCCAGATTCCTGACTCATGTGGTCATGTGAAAGAATTTTGCTGATATATTAGAATAAAATTGGTAATTATAGATATACCTGAAAATAGACTCCACACTTCTATAGTCTCCTAAAATGAAAATGGTATAGAGTTGCATAGATAAAATGAGGTGAAAAGGAAATTGCCCACTGTTTTTCTTTTCTGGTCTTAGCCAGAGACATTTTGACATGAAGGAACAGCTATTAGCCTGAGGACTTTTGTGAAAATGAATGAACCTGTTAAAAATGTGCAATAAATTATTATTAAAATTGGCCTGGTGCAGTGACTCACGCCTGTAATCCCAGCACTTTGGGAGGCCAAGGCAGGTGGATCGCCTGAGGTCAGGAGTTCGAGGCCAGCCTGGCCAACATGGCAAAACCCCATTTCTACTAAAATATTGGTTTTTGTTATTATGGCAGGAATTAGTTTTAGAGAAAGATTACACATGTCCATTTAGTAAGATGACAATTCAAACAAAGCTAGTATATATACAATGGCTGAAGTAGGAAATTATTTTGTTTCTCTCACAGATTCTACACATATAGATAATATTTCAAATTCCTTAATTTTATCATTTTTTAAATAATTTGAAGAGGCATATAGTTGGTTGTTTTGTCTTGGCCTAAAGATTAGTATTTGACTCATGACTTGACTTAGTGTTATTATTTGTGAGGATAATAAAAAAAAAATGGTTAAAATGCAAAACAAAATCATTATGAACAATTAAGATAGGTTTATTTTCTTGTTTTATCAAATGACCTTCTTTTACTTTTGGAGTCTTTATTGACTTGGGAAGTAGTGAAACCTATAAGAGTTTTACATGGAGTTGATAATGTAACTTGGTGATAACCGACCATGTCAGTGTCTTTTCCCTCCATTTGACAGGCTTCACTTGTTTTATGCTCTTTCTGTTTTCATCTCTATTGTAAGTAATATGTAATTTCCCTCATGGGTAAAAAATATAACCAGGAGAAATTTAATAACAATTTAATTTGGATGGGATGCCATGTTAGAAATACAGATCTCCAAATCTCCAACAAAGTCATTATAGTTGGTTTCTTCAGAGAAACAGAACCAATTGGATAGGTAGATAGATAGATCGATAGATAGATAGATAGATAGATAGATAGATATATAGACAGACAGACATACATACATATAGATATAGACATAGATACAGATTTATTATTAGGAATCGGCTTATGAATTAAGTGGAAAGTTCATTGTCTACAGTTGGCAAGCTGGAGACTCAGGAGAGTTCATGGTATAGTTGCAGTCTGAATCCAAGCCCGAAGACAGAAGACTGATGTCCCAGTTTGAAACAGTAAGGCAGAGAGAAATAATTCTTTCTTACTCAGCCTTTTATTCTATCCACGTCTTCAACAGATTAGATGAGGCCCATCCACATGGAGGAGGACAATCTACTCAGTCTACTGATTTAAATGTTAATCTCACCCAGAAACATCCTCACAGACACATTCAGAAGTAATGTTTAAGCAAATATCTGGGCAACCCATTTCCCGGTCAAGTTGACACTTTAAAACTGATCATCAGAGCAGCTCTCAAGTGTGAGTTTTAAAGTCACTGGTAGATTACTGTTTTCTGTACAATACAACCTGTAATTGCCTTGCCATCTTGTCAGGCCTTGTGAATTTGCCATTTTTTCAGGCACTTGAGCCCCTGCAAGTTTGTCCACCTCTGATTTGAATAGGCAATCGCTGTCATCTGGCAATCTGAGTAACACTGTACTATGCTCTAAACATAACACAATTTATCCCACCATACGTTATCCTCCAGACATCTTTTTCTTGAGCATTTTTTCATAGCACTTATAACATACTCACTTTTAGAGAATGTAAATATTTCATATGCTTTTTCACTAAAATGTAACCTTCCTAAGGGCAGAAATATTTGTCAGTATTGTTCTACTAACATATCTTGCTTTAATAGCAGGTACTTAATAAATAGCTTTCAGTGTTTCATAGGCCAAATTTGCCTCCAGAAATTGTTGCCAAGATTATGCCCCAATCAAAACTATCACCTATGCACTTTCTTCTCATATTTACTGGATCCTGTTCACACATATTTCCCAAATTCCTGATAGGTTCCACTTTTTATCATTCATGCGCGTGCAGACACACACACACACACACACACACATATAGTCATCCTCCCTTAGTGGTTCCTCTTTTCATGGTTACAGTTAACTGCAGTCAAATGCGGTCTAAAAATATTAAATGGAAAATTCCAGAAATAAAAAATACACATTTTAAATTGTAGCCTTTCTGAGTAGCATGAAGAAATCCCATGCCATATCACTATGTCTTTCCCAGGATCTGAATCATCCCATTGTCTAGCATATTATGCTGTAGACACTACCTACCCTTTAGTCACTTAGTAGCCAACTTGATTACCACATCGCAAAAGAGTATTTACATAGTTTGATGCTATTCGCCATTTCAGGAATTCACTGGGGGTCTTGGAACATATTCCTTGCAGATAAGGGATACTTAGTTATGTATCCATTATGTGCCAAACACTTTGGTAGTTTCCAGGGATATAACATTGTCTTAGGGACAAATTCATTAAAAGCATAGCGTGAGACATCATTTGTTAATGGAATATCCTTAGGAAAGGAAACATATGTAAGGGAGTAAAGAAAACATCCTAGGTAAGAGTATTGAATTGCATGGTGTCCCTCAAAAATTCATGTCTACCCAGGACCTCACAATGTGACCTTATGTGGAAATACGGCCTTTGCAGATGTAATTAGTTAAGATGATGTCACACTAGATTAGGGTGGGTCCTAAAATCAATACTTAGTGTACTTAATAAAAAGGGAAGAAGAGACACAGAGATATGCATAGGAAAGAAGGTCATATGATAAGAGAGACAGAGATTGGAGTTATTCAGCTACAGACCAAGGGATACCGATGATTGCTAGAAGCCACCAGAAGCTAGGAAGCTTGGAAGGATGCTTCCCTAAAGCCTTCAAAGGAAGCATGGACCTAGCAACACTTGATTTCTAAATTTTGCCCTGCAAAACTGTGAGAGAACAAATCCCTGCTGCTTTCAGTCACCTGGCCTGTGGTAATTTGTTACGCAAGCTCCAGGGATTTAATATAGCAGGGAATGAATCTAAGCAGAGAGATGGTTATGGCTGAAGTCGAGAATTCCAAGATTTGGCATGTAAACAGCATCAATATTCTTTTTTATTTGTTTATTTATTTTTAGTTATTAATGCCTTTTTGTCCTACCTAAGGTTATAAGAACTTTTTCCTATGTTTTCTTTCAGTAATGTTTTAGAATCAGCTATTATATTTAACTTACACGTAAGCTACTTTTTTAAAAAATGTTTTGTATAAGGTTTATAATTTATACACACAGACAGACACACACACACACACACGTATTTATATATATTCCATTTGGTTAATCAGTTCTTTCAGCATGATATTTTGGAAAACCTATCCTTCTCTCTTTGAATTATCTTGGTATCTTTATTAAAAAACAATTGGCCAAATCAACTCTGTACAAGTGTCTATGAAGATACAGATCTTACTTATGAAGGGAAACTTGGTTCTAATTTTAGTGAAGTTTCAGGGTAGTGGTAGAGATAGAAAATTATCTGTTGAGTTAATTTAAAAACTGAGTGAGAGTATCTGACTTTATTCAAAAAATATATAAAGTAAAATATACTTTAGAATAGTTTAAGCCCACCTGTCTTCATTAACTCTTGAAATGAATTTTGTATTAACTATTAAAGCCAGGTAGTATAAATCCTCCAGCAACTTTATTTTTCAAAAATACTTTGTCTGCTTTGGCCCTTTGCATTTTCACATAAATTTTATAGTTGTCCATTTCAACTAAAAAAGAAACGTCTCCTAGGATTTTGATTGAAATTGCTTTGCATTCATAGATGAAATTTACACAATTGAAATTTTAACAACAGTATGCTTCTAACCTAGAAAGCATATCTCTACTCTAATTTGTATTCTTTTTAAGTTTCCCCAGGGAAATGTTATGGTTTTCAGTGTACAGTTATTACATATACTGTGTAAAATTTATTTGTAGTTATTCATATTTTATGGTATTAAAATTTTATATTTAGAAAGTATTTTCATTTTAATTACTAGCTCATGGGCATACAATTGTTATTTGTATGGTAATTTTGTATCTTGCAAACTTAAATTTTAACTGTTACTAGATTGTTGCATCAATTACTTAGCCTTTTCTACATACACAATAATGTTTGTAAAAAAAATATGTTTTACTTATTTTCCAATCTATATGCATGTATGCAGGATCTCCCACATAGTAGTGAATTAAAGTGGTAGTAAGTGTTCAGTCTTTCAAGACTAGGAGGGTGTGGGTTGTATATAGGTTTCCCATTATCAGGGTGAGGAATTTCTCTTCTATCTCTAGTTGCTGAAAGTTTTTATGAAGGTGTTGAATTTGTTAAATTACTCTTCAGTATAAGAACTTATTATGAGAAAATGAGATTTTAGTGAACAATTGAATGCATGTTCTAATAAAAAGAGCCCGCATTGCCAAGACAATCCTAAGCCAAAAGAACAAAGCTGGAGGCATCACGCTACCTGACTTCAAACTATACCACAAGGTTACAGTAACCAAAACAGCATGGTACTGGTACCAAAACAGAGGTATAGACCAACGGAACAGAACAGATCCCTCAGAAATAATACCACACGTCTACAACCATCTGATCTTTGGCAAACCTGATAAAAACAAGAAATGGGGAAAGGATTCCCTATTTAATAAATGGTGCTGGGAAAACTGGCTAGCCATATGTAGAAAGCTGCAACTGGATCCCTTCCTTACATCTTATAAAAATTAATTCAAGATGGATTAAAGACTTAAATGTTAGACCTAAAACCATAAAAACCGTAGAAGAAAACCTAGGCAATACCATTCAGGGCATAGGCATGGGCAAGGACTTCATGACTAAAACACCAAAAGCAATGGCAACAAAAGCCAAAATTGACAAATGGGATCTAATTAAACTAAAGAGCTTCTGCACAGCAAAAGAAACTACCATCAGAGTGAACAGGCAACCTACAGAATGGGAGAAAATTTTTGCAATCTACTCATCTGACAAAGGGCTAATATCTAGAATCTACAAAGAACTTAAAGAAATTTACAAGAAAAAAATCAAACAACCCCATCAAAAAGTGGGCAAAGGATATGAACAGACACTTCTCAAAAGAAGACATTTATGCAGCCAATAGACACATGAAAAAATGCTCGTCATCACTGGCCATCAGAGAAATGCAAATCAAAACCACAATGAGATACCATCTCACACCAGTTAGAATGGCAACCATTAAAAAGTCAGGAAACAACAGGTGCTGGAGAGGATGTGGAGAAATAGGAACACTTTTACACTGTGGTGGGTCTGTAAGCTAGTTCAACCATTGTGGAAGACAGTGTGGCAATTCCTCAAGGATCTAGAACTAGAAATACCATTTGACCCAGCCATCCCATTACTGGGTATGTATCGAAAGGTTTATAAATAATGCTTCTGTAAAGGCACATGCACACGTATGTTTATTGGGGCACTATTCACAATAGCAGACTTGGAACCAACCCAAATGTCCATCAATGACAGACTGGATTAGGAAAATGTGGCACACATACACTATGGAATACTATTCCGCCATAAAAAAGGATGAGTTCATGTCCTTTGTAGGGACATGGATGAAGCTGGAAACCATCATTCTCAGCAAACTATCACAGGGACAGAAAACCAAACACCGCATGTTCTCACTCATAGGTAAGAATTGAACAATGAAAACACTTAGACACAGGAAGGGGAACATCACACAATGGGGCCTGTCATGGGGTGGGGAGAAGGGGGAGGGGTAACATTAGGAGATATTCCTAATGTAAGTGATGAGTTAATGGGTGCAGCACACCAACATGGCACGTGTATACATATGTAACAAACCTGCACGTTGTGCACATGTACCCTAGAACTTAAAGTATAATAATAATAATAATAATAAAAATTGAACCAATGAATTCTTTGAATCAAATTCTTTACCCAGCCAAGGCTACGAGTAAATATTACACAGGCTGCTGAGACAAATTCTGAATAATGAAAGCAACAACGTTGATGATTATGATGATGATGATGTTGATTACTTAATTTTGAAATAGTATAATTTAAGGAAAAGCTTCCCAACCACAACTAGGGAAGTAGACATAAAGGCAGCTCTAGGAATCTAAATGAGAGTGTCTAACTAGTGTGCAGCTCTTTTAGGGCATTACAAGTGATATGAATCAGTACTAATTATGTTCTCTTTACATGCAACTCCACTGATAATACAAATTCCAGGCTGTTGGAACTGAACAGAATAAAGAGACCATTAATTAATTAAATATTCAATACTGTGACCATTTGTTCTTCATCCACTCAGATATTGCAGCACACGGATTAAAAGGAAATGTATTAGTGGATGAATTGGGAATAATTTTATGTTAATTAATAGGTATATAAAAATTCTTTGCTGTGTATAGTTGTAAAGCCTGTAAGCCTGGGAATCGCTGTGTAAGTTGTTATACCTTTGTTAACCTTGATATATGTTTAGTATAGTAAACATATATACTAAATATATATATATATGCTACATGTATTTAAAATTATATAAAAGCAGTTGGCAAGGACACTGCCATTTGTTTATATTGCTGTGGCCATATGACCGTACAATGGAACAGATAGTCTGGTTAAGACTAAAGTGAGACTTTCTCCTAGCTGCTACACCAGCTTCTGAGCATACACTGCCGTTAGACTTTAATTCTATTAGAAGAGTGGCCCCTTGGCTCTTTCTCACAATGTAGAGAGCCTAAAAACAGAAGCAAAAATGGCTAATAATAAGATGTACATTGCCTATGCAATTCCAGCCTTTCCTTTTGGCATACGCAATTATGAGATCATGGAATTCTCTTCCCCAATAACACCATAACTATTTCCATTATCTGTGCAAACATATTTTCTTTTTCTCTCCTTCACATCAGAATACACCAGTGTCCACATCAGAATACACCAGTGTCCACATCAGGAGTCCAAATGGTGGCCAAGGGACAGACACTTAGATGGATTTTTGACAAGCAGACTGAGATGTATACATATGCCCACACAAGACCCATTGTAGGAAAAGGAGAGCAAACTGAAAAAGGTTGATGGAACACAGGACTGGTTTGTTCCACAATGCCTTGTTCTGGCCTAGAACAAAAAAAAATACATGAAATCTAAGTTTAAATCTGACCATCTCTGTCATTTTAAAAATAAACTTGTGAAAGTGGAGGGAGGACAGAATCCATATTGCTTAATAGACTGTTTAATACACATTTAAAATAATAGGCATGCATACAGACATACATTTTTATTCTTGACTGAGGACATCCAAATTTAAAGCTTTGGGCTTCTGTTTTATTCCACTTCCATGTTAATGACCATATTTTTTTAAAAGAACTACATGCAACTGAAGTAGAGTAATAAAGGTTCAAGTGAACACCATTATATATTGAATTCCCTACTGAACTGATGTCTCTGAAAGAGGTTAGTAAGTCTTTGTTTAATGGATAAAAATATGTCACTAGTGCATGGCCTGGGGTCATAAATTAAAAAGAATATACTAAACCTAAGTGCTTGGAAATACGTCAGAAAAAAATACATATGCCTTTGACAATGTGGTTGCAACAAAGTATGAGTAAATTAAATTATTTTAATCCACACTGACTCAGCTAGTATACCTAATACTAATGCACCAAGTCTAGGAGACTACAATTCAGGCTACTGGTATTATCACTTCTGTGACTTGATGGAGTTAAATGCAAATGTGGTGCTTTGAAAGCTTGAATTGTTTCCTCTAACTGATAGAAACACTAAGTAGGACCCTTGCCCTCTGCTACTTCCTCCCTGGGGACCTAACAGAGAAGTCACCTTAACACAGACTATTGTGGAATTTAAGATTCTTTATTCCAGAAGCTAGAAGTTACTTAATGGTTACCACATTGGCTCTGCAAATTCCCTCCCATTCCTGCTGAGATGAGAGAGTACATTTCATTTGCAGTATCTTCAACTTACTTTCCTGGTTTGAAGTACCATTATGAATCTTGTCAAACTGCAAATTTTTGGAATTTTGGCTCCCTGCACCAACTAGTACACCAAATACAGACACACATTACATTTTACAAACCCACATAGATATTTAAAAAATATCTGAATCCACAGTTCAACATTTTCTTCCTTGGCATGAACTCCAGGAAGTATTTCCGACAATTCTGACAATATAAATCAACAAAATCCAGCAATTCTTTCTGGAAATACATCTTGTCTTACTCACTAAGGTTGTTTTCATTCTACCCCACAAGAAATGCTGATACTGATTAGTATCTGATTACAGCGTTGGCACATAGATATGAGTGAAAGAGGGGGATTTTTTCCTTACTCTGGCAAAGAAAATTGAAAGGAAGATGTTTTTCTAGGGGCATTAGGTCAGGGATTGGCAAACTTTTTCTGCAAAAGTAAAAATAGTATGTTAGGCAAATTATTCTGTTTTCTTTTGCACAATTCATTAAAAAAAATGTACAATTCTTAGCTCAATGGCTACACAAAAAGAGGCTGTGGACCTATCTGGCCATGGACATTAGTTTACTAACTCCTGGTATTCAAACTTTCTATAACCTTGGAGATATGTCCAAATCAATGGTGTAGGTATCCCTCTTTCCCATTCCAAGCCATACCTTTCACTTTCAAGAACTTGGGAGACTCTAAATTCAGTCAATGAAGCTCTTCAACACACATAGTCGATCTCCAATTTTTGGTTTATCTTGTCCTTACTGCTAAAAGCAGTGAGAAAATAATTCAGATCAGGCACAAAAAAGTGATTCATTATGTGCAATGACTTGAGGTAAGCATTTTAATTATTTAAAACTGACACTCTTTCGGCTTATTCAGTGCTACAGTTTGAATTTCTCCTTCAAAACTTGTGTTGAAACTTTATCCCCAATGTGATGGCATTAATAGGACACCTAAGAGGTGATTAGATCATAAGTGCTCAGCCCTCATCAATGGATTGATACAGTTATTTCAGGAGTGAGTTCATTATCTCAAAAGATCAAATTATTACATGATTACAGGATTATCTGTGCTAGAGAATTCCAGCATTTGCCTGTGGGCTCTAGAGTGCTACCAGTTATTACTTCCTTGTTGCTTCTCCTACTGACCATTCGAATTAATACCTGTAATAAATTGTGTCATTTTTACATCTATTTTTTTTTTCTTTGTGAGCATACCTGCATGAATTTTTGCTTAGTGGTCAGGAACTCTTTTTTAGGAAAAGATCATTGTTTGCTCACGTAGGGTTCTTCTTAGCACATAAGCACATGCATGTACTAAGCACACAATGTATGTAATGTGTACATGTTGCCTCAAAAGTTGACAAATATGGGTTTCTTCAATGCCTTTTCAGCATATAAAGCATAATGGCAACCTTTACTTACAGTAAATTTAGGTTCCAACTTTGTCTAACCTCAGTTGTCACAAATTGCTGTCATAAGGAAGTTGACTAAATTATTCCACTGAGAGAAGAAATTATTTTTTTGATAATAAGTTAATTTCCAATTTCGAATTACTCTGTTTTACAACATGCCACCTGTGTTATACTATATTTGCCTCAGTATCATTGATAGAGATAGGAGACAACCAAATGCCACCCAGGTGATTCTGCACAGAGGGCTTGCCTATACATGCCCATGGTGAAAAATTCTGTCCCTTAACACATGTGCAGTAAGGGAAATAAATCAGTGTGGAGTGGCTCAGACTAAGGGCCCACCTGCAAACTAGAAGAATTGGGTGGAACCACTGGGAATTCTTGCATGATGCAGCAGGGAGGAACCTGGTCTTCAGCCCATGTGCGGTGGCCTGCTATTCAATCTGTGAGGTGGGGGCCTGTTGGCAGGAACCCTCTCTTTTGCTGAGAGCTTTCTTTCTTTTTTTCTTTTTCTTTTCTTTTTTTTTTTTTTTTGAGATGGAGTCTTTGCTGTGTCACCCAGCCAGGCTGGAGTGCAATGGCGCTATCTCGCCTCACTGCAACCTCTGCCTCCCATGTTCAAGTAATTCTCCTGCCTCAGCCTCCCGAGTAGCTGGGATTATAGGCATGCGCCACCATGACCAACTAATTTTTGTATTTTTAGTAGAGACAGGGTTTCACCATGTTGGCCAGGCTGGTCTCGAACTCCCGACCTCAGGAGATCTGCCCACCTTGCCCTCCCAAAGTGCTAGGATTACAGGCGTGAGCCACCGCGCCCAGCCGAGCTTTCTTTCAGTGAATTCTGCTCTCCTCACATTTCAATGTGTCCACGTGTCTAATCTGTCCTGGTTGTGTAACAAGAATCTGGATTTTAGCTGAACTAAGGAGCATCCTGCATTATCATGAACTATAAAATTAAGCTGCAAGTAATCAAATACTAAAATATTTTATTTTGCAAATGCTCATATTGGCATAAAATGGCAGGTTCTAATTCCGGAATGCATTTCTGTTAACATCATTGTGAAAATTTCTTTGTCTTAACACCTAGCATAACTGTTGGAGTCATCATAATTTTATCTCTCCCTTTTAAAAGCTAGACTGCAGTTTACAAAAGTGACTATTCTGGTAGCCTTTTGAATATGCTAATAAAATAGAGCAGCATTTTTTTCTTCAAGTAGTTAATTTATATATCATATAGAAGAGAAGGAAAACAAGTCTCACATACACATACACAGACACACACACACACACACACACACGAAACACATTAAAGATGCATAAGTTATTCTCTTGAGTACTGTTTATTTTATTCATTACCTTATATTTTTTCTTCATAGCAGTGATTTCCACAAGGATTGGCCTTGTGCATGCAGCATCTTACTCACTCATAACTCATTTCTGTGAGCATGGCACCAAGCCATTCATGAGACACCTGACCAAGTGACTTGAAAACTCCCCATTAGGCCCTACCTTGTACATCAAGGATCAAATTTCAACATGATGTTTAGAGGAACAAACTTCCCAACTATAGCATCAATCTTATACCAAACCTGGCCCTGTAGTTTCTCAGTGGATGAGCTTATTACCTTGCAATTGGGTTGTCCGTGGACTTCACATTCTGCCTTACAAACCAACAGATGTAATAAAAGCAACCCCCTTGCCAATAATACAACATATTAAAGTTAAAAAAAAAAACAGATGTAGAGAAAAGGGAACAATTATACACCGCTCGTAGAAATGTAAAGTTCAGCCACTCTGTAATGCAGTTTGGAGGTTTCTCATAGAACTTAGAACTACCACCTGACCCAGCAATCCCATCAGTGGATATGTATCCTCCAAAATATAAATCATTATTTCTACCAAAACTACACATGCACTTGTATGTTTATTGCAGCACTATTCAAAATAGCGAAGACATAGAATCAACCTAGGTGCCTATCGACAGTGGACTAGGTAAAGAAAATGCAGTACATATACAGCTTGAAACTATGCAGTCATAAAAAGAGTGAAATCATGTCATTTGCAGCAATATGGATGGAGCTGGAAGCCATTATCCTAGACAAATTAACACAGGAACAGAAAACCAAATACCAGATTATCTCACTTGTAAGTGAGGGCCAAACATCAAGTACACGTGGACTCAAGGAGGGGAATGATAGATAATGGGGATTACTTGAAAGTGGAGGGTGGGAGGAAGGTGAGGGTCAAAAAACTACCTATTGGGTACCATGCTCAGTACCTGCGTGATGAAATCACTTTGTGTACCAAACTCCAGTGACATGCAATTTACTCATGTAACAAACCTGCACATGTACACCCTGAATCTAAAATAAAAGTTGGAAAATAAATAAATAAAAATTGAGAATACAATCAAGGTTAAAAAAATTTAGTATCAAAAATCATAATAACATTTTATATTTTCTAGTGTTTTAAAATATTATTTGGTTCTCACAAACATATGAGGAGAGCAGATTAGATACTACTAATGATGGTCATACATTTCTTTTGGGGGGCTTTATCTGTATAAGAAGACAACCTTTGTTCACAGTGAAGTTCCACTCCTCACCCTCCCACCACCTTCCCCAGAGCTCAGAGGAACTTTGTCCCAGGAATGTTTGAGTTCATTCATTTCCCCTAAAAATAATTTACTACTGCTCTAAAATTACATACAGCTGCCCACTTTCCTCTCTCCGGTGGAAAAAATATTTAAGCCTCTACCATCTGCCCCTTCTTTGAGTATCGTATTTGTGGGATTCCCTTGTCCATATGCATGTTAATAAATCTGTGTGCCTTTTTCTTCTAATAATCTGTCTATTGACAGTCATTTTAGTGAAACTCTGATGAAAGGAGAGGAAGCTTCCCCTCCACCCCTACAGATGCAATACTATTAATAATGTAGTACAAATTGTTCCAATGTCTCACCATTGGGAGCTCTTTCAGTTTTACCCCCTATCCCTTTGACATGCTCTCTTTCTTTTTATTTTGTGGTCACTTCTCTTCTTTCTGGTAGTATAAGATTATCTAGACTCATATATACCCTGTCCAAGCCTTAAAATTATAGTCCTTGTTACTTTTACCATGAATGGTATTTAGAAACAAGTTATATTATTTGGGTGTGTTCATTGTTTTTGGGTTATCACTGTTGCTAGACTGACTCAGTAGAAGTGTTGGGGTTCAGGACACTATCCCAAAATACTCTTCTTTGCAAATTGATTATTAGCTAGTTATTTTGAGAAACTGCGAACACATGGGTAGTTCGGAAAAGCTGCCCTTTTGTAAAGAAAGTTTGTATGTACAAAAACTGACTATACCAGGAGGAAAACGGCTCAGAGGCAACTTTTATTACCTGAGAGACTCTTATCAGAATATAATGCAATCTTATTCACCATACATTTCCTCCCCCTACCCTTTTATAGTGCTTGACTCCAAAATCACCCCCAAAAGCTTCATCAAACCCTTCTTTCTTTCTGTAGCTAATGAAGCTTTATAATCCTTATTAATCTGACCATTCTTTGAATCTCATACTTTTTTGGGACTCCCATGTATACATACACAACTAAATGTAGCTTCACTCCTTTTAATCTGCCTTATGTCAACTTAATTCACAGCCTAAAGAACCTAGGAGGGCAGAGGGAAGCCATTTTTTCCTTCCAGAAATAGGGATGCATGTCTATGAAATAAAACATTTATACAAACATCTATAATTTGTTCTATATCCATCTGTGTGTATGTTGTATATGTAAATATAATGTGTTTGCATATACTCAAATGATACATATGTATATAAATACATATGTTTATGTACACATTTTGAACATACGGAGTGTAGTTATAATAACCATTTTAATGTCTTTGCAAATTGTAGCATTTGTGGCCATTATGGGATTATTTCCATTGATTGAATATTCTCATTATGTCTTATGTTTTCCTGATTCTTTGCATACTAATAATCTTAGAAAACAATTTGAATTTTACCTTAATAGGTGCTGGCTATTTTTGCAAATATTAAGAACTTCTGAGCTTCATGGGAGGATTTAACTAAGTAATTTTGAAACAGTTGGATCCTTACTGGTATTGTTCTGAATGTTTTTAGGTAGATTAAGTGCAGTCCTCATTCTAGGACTCATTATTCCCTAATACTTAGATAAAACTTGTTAAGCAGTCTACCCAATGTCCCATGAATTATGAGATTTTCTAGCCTGGCTGATAAGAAAGGTACAGCCCTGTTTAAGCATTGGGCACCGTTTATTCTAATGTTTTTGGGTGGTCCTTTGCAAAAATATCCATTAAAAACAATGAGGTAAATATATATATATATATATAAAAATCATGATAATACAATTGCATGGATAAATTATTTCCAAAAAACACAGAGACAGCTCCAGCATAAACAACTTGTCTGCTTCTAGTCGACCTTCTCCTTTGTCTTTAATATAGTCAACTTTAGCATTGCCTTGACACCCTGGATCCCTACTGGCTTGCATCATGCTGGCAATTCTACCCCCTGCATCCAATTCAAGGGGGAAAACACAAACTTTCAATAGACTAATCAAACCCACTTCCATGCTCTCTAGGAGAGCAAATTAAGTTGATTATTTTCATTGCTCAAATGCAAATGCTATAGCACTAGAAATTCATGACACACAATGCTTAGGTTGCATTCAGAGTAAGAATTTTAATATACTCTTATAGAAAAACCCACACAGTGTTTAGAAATTTACACATAATTATAGAGAATTATATGATTAAATTTTAGTGTGGAGCTATTAAGCAAAAACCAAAAAAGTCTTAAGTAACTGTAGACAACTTTTTCAGTTTTAAAATGCCATTGGATATTTAAAAAATGGTTTATGTTATTTCTGATATAATTTCAAAACACACACAGTGGAAGAAGCAATGAAAAAAATATGTACTTTAAAATGGACACATTACCATTTCATTTACAACTGTCTTTAGTACTCAAGTAAATCATACACATCCATGTGATGCAGGGCAACACTTCAAATTATACACATCAAATTACCATATGTTGCAATTGCACCTTATAGAACCTTTATGCTAAAAGTAGAACCCCTTTGAATAAGATTTAGACATACACACAAATATGATATAACATTTATGGAGGGATAAAAATATAATATCCAAAAGTTGTATTTGTAATCCTCCCAACATGAGATAAAAGAATGTTAGTGGTTTGAATTACATTCCAATGCAGTACATGAAAAAGTCCTTACAAAGGCAGATGTGTAATCATTGACATGTGAACACAGTTTCTAATAGCTTGCTTGGTATGACATATACTATCCTCCAGATTTACATTTGCTTTATAAAAGAATAAATAAATGATATGAGTAAGTTAAATATTTTCTATAATGAAATTATTTGCCATATTATCATTCATTTTTTCTTAAAACATAAATAGCCTTGTGTATATGTATGTGTGAGTGTGTGTGTTTATATATGTATGTATTACCGTCAAAACACAAAACTACAAATGTAGTTTTAGATCAAATTGGCTTTTATTCTTGATTCTTGAATCAGGACAGCCTCCATTATACAAAATAGTATGAGCCTTCCCTCTGTGCAATGGCAGAAGAGTAGGTATATTTTTGGTGGGGACAGTGAAACAGAACAATAAGGAAAAAACAAACAACAACAACAAAAACCACCTAACTGGTTAACATCAGGTTATATCAGGTTTCTTTTTTATGAGGATTAAAGCAGAGGGAAATTCCGTAAACCTGACTCAGGTAGATTGGAATCTCCTGTATTCGGGAAAACCTGCTTTGTTTGGGGATCTATTTGCTTTCTTAAAGTTTCAGTTTGATTATGTGGCATTTAGCGTAAGTAATTTCATTTTGGTTTGGTCTGGTATGTTGAACCCTAGGGCGGGAGCTTAGTCCAGAACAATGACTTCCCATAATTTTGTTTAACTGTATGTATGTATGTGTGTATAATAATTATGCTCTATGTTTTCTAATAGGAACTCTACCACGTGAATAATCATTTAGAATGTGTTTATGTGTACTATGTTTTACATTCTAAAACATCTTAACAGATGATATAACTACTTTTCAAAAAGAGTTGTTTTACATTT
The DNA here is from genome assembly GCF_000001405.40 of Homo sapiens. Classification (NCBI taxonomy): domain Eukaryota; kingdom Metazoa; phylum Chordata; class Mammalia; order Primates; family Hominidae; genus Homo; species Homo sapiens. The sequence goes on along the minus strand of NC_000021.9, from coordinate 22,884,968 downwards.
TATATTTAAAAGATACATGTAGGACAATTTCATTATCTAAAGTCATTCTTTCATAAAGTTAGGGAGATTCCTTGGAAATTCTTCGTGATGCATTTGTAGTTATAGCTATGAACAAAGCAATCATGTAATATAAATCTGTAGGTTTATCTGTCAATAGAAAAGGCCATTATTATAATATTTAAACAGCTTAAGAGATGTTCTGATTTTTTTCACATGCTCTGAGGTGGTTGTACTCCCAACATCTCACAGCATGTGAAGGAAAACAGAACATCTCTTCAACTGTTGGAGGTACAACCATCTCAGTGCATGTGTTCTATTTTCAATTCTTTATGTGTTTTTCAAATATAATTAACTGCCTAAATGTAACAGAATAACTGTTCACACTTACTCACTTTAGCCAAGTTGGTAAAAAGGACCTCACTTCAAAAGCTTCCTGGATGTATGAGTAATTTTATAAAATAATTATTTATCTCCTTTCTTTTGAGAAAAAGTAGAATAAAATGTCTTTAGTGTTCTATAATAAAAAAGGTGGTAACTACAATGTGGCCTTTTCAGGACTTCATAATTTCTTGTAAAAATGGGAGAATTTTATTTTCTTTTGTTACTGACTTTCTTCAAAATAACTCAAACTTGTAGATTTTCACAATATTCAAGTAAATGTAAACAAATAACCCCATTTTTGTAAAGATACAAGAACAACTTTGATGCTAAAGTTAAGTGAAAATGATGACACAATTTTGAAATATATCATAAATAACTTTTTCTCAAGCATAGAATAACCAAAAATGAATGAGGAGAGAGACACTACAGAGTTATACAAGATCACAATACATAGGAAAAGAAAAAAATAAACAATTCTAGAATGTGAACTAAAGCTTAACAGTATATTTAAAAGCACACTATAAACTGAAAACACTTTCCTCATCTACTGTTTACTAATATTAACATTTATGTAAATCTTTCATTATGTACAGTAAGAACACTCTTGATTTCTACGTATTGATGAAGTACATGGTTGTCTTCTAGTCTCAATACACCATTCTCCAGCAGAACTGATCCTTTGGAGAAAATAAACTCTTCCCACTATTCACAATAGCAAAGACTTGGAACCAACCCAAATGTCCAACAATGATAGACTGGATTAAGAAAATGTGGCACATATACACCATGGAATACTATGCAGCCATAAAAAAGGATGAGTTCATATCCTTTATAGGGACATGGATGAAGCTGAAAACCATCATTCTCAGCAAACTATCGCAAGGACAAAAAACCAAACACGGCATGTTCTCACTCATAGGTGGGAATTGAACAGTGAGAACACATGGACACAGGAAGGGGAACATCACACACCGGGGCTTGTTGCGGGGTGGGGGGAGGGGGCAGGGATAGCCTTAGGAGATATATCTAATGTTAAATGACGAGTTAATGGGTGCAGCACACCAACATGGCACATGTATACATATGTAACAAACCTGCACGTTGTACACATGTACCCTAAAACTTAAAGTATAATAAAAATAAATAAATAAATAAGTAAATAAATAAAACTCTTCCATTCTTTGCAAAATTATTTGAACATTCCTTGTATTAAATAGCAAACTGCAAAAGTACGATGGACTTAAGGTCATTGGAAACTGATCTATACAGATGACCTGCACAAATACTAGATATGCCAAACAGGCCATAGAATCTGCTGTTTATCTTATTCTTCTTTATATTAAAAATAACCCTAAACCTCTTTTTCCTTCTATAATTAAAAATCACTTTGTGGGCTAGGCACAGTGGCCCACACCTGTAACCCCAGCACTTTGGGAGGCCGAGGTGGGCAGATCACTTGAGGTCAGGAGTTCGAGACCAGCCTGTCCAACATGGTGAAACCACGTATCTACTAAAAGTACAAAAATTAGTCAGGCGTGGTGGCAGGCACCTGTAATCCCAGCTACTCAGGAGACTGAGGCAGGAGAATCACTTGAACCTGGGAGGCAGAGATTTCAGTAAGCTGAGATCGTACCATTGCACTCCAGCCTGGGTGACAAGAATGAAACTCCATCTCAAAAATAAAAAAATAAAAAATCACTTTGTGGAAAGGGTCTACAATTGCTGAAAACAAACAAACAAACAAACGAACATTTTTTTCATGCAAAATACTTTCAATGATCATTCCCAAACAGTTCAAGGAATTGTGCTGGCAGCAAGGGGAATTTCTATCCTTTGAAACAAAATTTTGGTAATCCATCCTTTCAGCTTTTCTGTTTTATTTTTCAGTGAGTTTTCTTTGTCATCAGTGACTTCTTCCACAAGAGGTTTGTGAACTCTCTTAAGGCTTACAACATTGACAAAGACCACAGTTATCTTTTTGTATTTGTTGTTTTGAGAATGAAACAAAGAGACCAAAACCAACATGAATTAGAAAATTCAAAGATGTTTTATTCAAAAACAGTTTCGTTCCATTGAATGTGAAGTTAGAATCTACAAAATTATGAAAATAAATGTGCTATGAAATTTCAGAAGTGATATCAAAGTTTATTTATTTAAACTCTAACTAGAAGCAATATCTAACAAGTATCCTATTGCACATTTTCAAGGATAACCCAATAAGGCAGCATGTCGTGAATCCTACATTTTGGCTTTTTATGAATGACTGCATTGTTTTAGAGTAGGATACTGTGTTTATAAAAATAATGCCCTTTCTGAAGGAAATTAAATGTATGTTTTATTTAAAAATTCTGTAGGGAACACTTGTTTTTTCAGGATGGCATATCTTGTTGTTATATTCTGTCTCAATGGCCACAGTCAGGTTCCCTGCTGCCATTATAAATGAGTATGAAGCCACTTCTCTGGTGGAAATAGCTCTAGGACTGACATTTCATTACAATGCAGGGTGCTAGTGTTCTACCAAACACAACAAAACTAAATGCTTCCCCTCCTTCACTTCTCGTATTAAGAATCTCAAAGGGGATAGAAACAAAAATGCAGCTTAGGTTAATGTAGGAAAATTCAATTGGTAATTTTAACATTTTTGCATCTATTTTACATCATTGTTTATGGGCACCTAATGACCTTTATACCTAATCATCACTAACATTACAATATTTGTCAAAGATCCAAATTATTGCTGGAAGTTTACATAAGCAAATCTAAGTCAAAATATTTTCTTCTTAGATATGATTATATGGTTTACGTATCCCTGACTGACACTATACAGAGTACATACTATGAACAATGGGAGTTAATTTGCTAAGGATTTAAGAAACAAAATATTTCTCACTGATTAGGTTTTAGTCTCTGTAGTCATTTGACCTTACAAACTACCTTTCTAAATTTACTCTTTTTACTTATTATTCATGTACTTCACTAAGCTTGAAAGACTTATTATTAATCATAGAAAATGACCCAGGCAACTCTCAATCATTTCAAGGGGTTAGTCTGCCAAGGTTAAGGATGTACGCAGAAAAAGAACACAGAACCACAGGAGAAATCTGTGTTCTGTGCTTTTTTGGAAGAAGGGCTGAGGACCTCAATATTTAAAGGGAAAACAGTTTGTACTGGGGGAAAAAGGAAGAAAGAAAAAAAAATGTGGGTAGATAAGAAGCAAGCGGTTGCATTCTTTTGAGTCTTTGATCAGCATTCACTGAATACACATTTTACATGTGAGGGGAGATAGAGGAATAGTCACTTACGCATTTGTCTTGCACTCAGTGAATCTGCATTTTTACATAAGATAAACATAAGGCAGATACTTCAATATAATATGCGTTTGGTTGAGGTGAGCAGAGGGATGACTTTTTGTTCTGACCTTTGTCCCACACCTGTGAAGATGAGCTATCAATTTACACTATCAGAATAAAATTCAACAGAACTGTTTTAGGGTAAAGAACTTGGGGCCCACAAGGAATTTCCTGGTGGGCAAATTGTGATGGAGGTGTATAGCTTTCTTATCTTTGTAGCTATCTTATATAGGAGCAAAACAGAAGGCAGGTTTTCATGATGCAATTCCCAGCTTGACTTTTCCTTTTGGCTTAGTGAGTTTGGGGCTCTGGGATTTATTTTCCTTCCATAGACTCTATCTTCTTGTCTGTTATAGAGGCAAATGTTGCTTTAGTAAGTGTACTGTTTCACTTGCAGTAGTGCAATGAGAAGAAAGATACTGTATTTTTTTTTTGTGGTTTCCAGGAATTGAAAGTGGCATAATAGAAAACCAAAATTATTTTCTCGGTTTGTTGTAGAAGCCACATCTGAGATAGGGTGCTTTTGCTTTCATACTTTATCCAGTAGGGCTCATCATCATTTTTTTCCTGTTAATCAATAATTTTTGCAGTGTAGTAAAAAACATTTATTTATTCAATCAATAGTTATTGCATGCCTTTATGAGTAGGTGCTACATAAAATAATCCATCGAAAACTGTGAGCCTTAAGAGACCTATCATTAATTACTCTTATGTTTTTGTCAATTCAGTTCTAATGAAGAATAATAGAAAGCATATTTGAAAAAGATAACTAAGTGATTTTCAATGGTAGATGCTCGTCATTTGATAAAGTTCATCAGGTAAAGCATTCCAGCAAACTTACAAGATGTCTTCTCTATTTAAACTTCGTAAGTTATTTATTAAATAAAGAAATTTTTTTAACTGTGTAATGAAAACAAATACTGTTTGGAATGGCCTCTAACTTTGTCTATATACTTTCAAATAAAAGTGGCCATATGCACAAAATTTTGAAAAAAAATTTCTTTAACAAGAAAACATGAGATGGACTTGCCTGATTAAACAGAATTTCCCCAGAGAGTTGAAACGAAGTTATAAAATTTGATATTTATAAGGCAATCATTTTGGAAGATTGCAAGTAAATCCATAGGTTATTTGCACATCCATATTTAGTTTCATGTCATTATATTCAACTTGATTTAGTGTCTGATTTTTACTGTTTTTACTTAATACTTAATTTCATACTTTGCCTGTCCATCAAGGAAGTAACACAAGATCAAATTTGCTTCTGTTGAATAGCTTTTGGTGAAAAGATTCCAAATATTAATCTATTGTCTTGGACAGATTAAACTCGTCAAAAACATGGAGAATTAAGGCTTTATTTCTTGGCTAAATATACATGAATACATTTAACACCAGCTATAAAAGAGTAGTTGAAAAATTTTGCCCTCTGCTCACTGTATAACTTACAATGTAGAGGGAGCATATTTTCTATGCTGTGGCAAATTGTCATACCACTTTCTAAGGTTAGATCAACTTCCAATATTTTGTTGTCATAAAATATCTTTGAGAATTCCTTTAATGTGAAATTTTGACTAGCATCATTTCCATTGAAACATCATCTTTTTTTTTTTTTTTTTTTAACAATTACTTTCCTAGGCCAGGTGCAGTGGCTCACGTCTGTAATCCCAGCACTTCTGGAGGCCGAGGTGGGTGGATCGCTTGAGGCTGAGAGTTCAAGACTAGCCTGGCCAACATGGTAAAACCCTGGCTCTGCTAAAATACAAAAAAAAAAAAAAAAAAAAAATTAGCTGGGCATGGTGGCACGTACCTACAGTCCCAGCTACTCAGGAGGCTGAGGCAGGAGAATTGCTTGAACCTGGGAGGTGGTGGCTGCAGTAAGCCGAGACTGTGCCACCTCACTCCAGCCTGGGTGGCAGAGCGAGACTCTGTCTCAAAAAAAATAAGTAAATAAGTAAATAACAATTACTTTTTTCATTTTGGGAATTGGGAAGGAGGAGTAGGCAAAGGAAAATTTGCTGTACATCTTCTCTATGTTCTTCTATCTATCTAGAGTCTTTCAAACAACCAGTGCCAACACTGCTGTGGGCATATTTCTTCTGTGCTTCTATCTATGTTATATGAGAATTTCACTTCCAGGGTTATCATTTTTATTTTACTTTGCAGAACTCTTATCTTTGGCCATTTCCCTCTTCCAATTATGCATTTTTGTGAAATGTCACTTGGATGTATCAGTGGGAGACATAAAGGCAACACAACTACATGCTTGCTGTTTGAATGAACTGAATAAAAGATCCTCAGTGGCCTGTCACCATCAGACTATGAAGTGTCTGATCATCAGTGATCATGAGGAATAGGTTATTTATGGAGTGACTTGTGGACAGAAGCGCTAGCAGTGAAGTTTTTACTTTATACAATTAACTACAGTTAATACACCTTGTGATATGGTTTGGCTGTGTCTCCACCCAAATCTCATCTGGAATTGTAACAACCCCCAGCTGTCAAGGGTGGGACCACGTGAAGATAATTGAATCACCCGAGTCCTTTCCCGTATATTGCTCTCATGATAGTGAGTGAGTTCTCACGAGATCTGATGGTTTTATAAGAGAATTGCCCCTTCCTTCGGCACTCATTCTCTCTCCTGACGCCCTGTAAAGAGGTTCCTTCTGCCATGATTGTAAGTTTCCTGAGGCCCCCCAGCCATGCAGAACTGTGAGTCAATTAAACCTCTTTTCTTTATAAATTACCTATACTCAGGCAGTTCTTTATAGCAATATGAAAATGAACTAATACCGTAAATTGGTACCACAGAGAGTGGGGTGCTTCTATAAAGATACCCAAAAATATGGAAGCAACTTTAGAGCTGGGTTAACAGGCAGAGGTTGGAACAGTTTTGAGGGCTCAGAAGAAGACAGGAAAATGTGGAAAAGTTTGGAACTTCCTAGAGACTTGTTGAATGGCTTTGACCAAAATGCTGTTAGTGATATGGACAATGAAATCCAGGATGAGTTGGTCTCAGAGGGAGATGAGGAACTTGTTGGGAACTGGAGTAAAGGTCACTCTTGCTATGCAAAGAGACTGGTGGTATTTTGCCCCTCTCCTAGAGATCTGTGGAACTTTGAATTTGGGAAAGATGATTTAGGGTATCTGGTGGAAGAAATTTCTAAGCAGAAAAGCATTCAAGAGGTGACAGAGAATAAAAGTTTGAAAAATTTGCAGGCTGACAATGCAGTAGAAAAGAAAAACCCGTTTTGTGGGAAGAAATTCAAGCTGGCTGGAGAAATTGGCAGAAGTAACAAGGAGCCAAATGCTAATCACTAAGACAATGGGGAAAAAGTCTCCAGGGCATATCAGAGACCTCCATCCCAGACCCTGAGATGTAGAAGAGAAAATCGGTTTTCTGGGCCAGCCCCAGGGCCCCATTACTGTGTGCAGCCTTGGGACTTGGTGTCCTGCATCCCAGCCATTCCAGCCATGGCTAAAAGGGGCCAACCTACAGCTCAGGCTGTGGCTTCAGAGGGTGCAAGCCCCAAGCCTTGGCAACTTCCATGTGTTGTTGGTCTGGTGTGTGTAGAAGACGAGAATTGAGGTTTGGGAACCTCTGCCTAGATTTCAGAGGATGTATGGTAAACACCTGGATGTCCAGGCAGGGGTGTGCTGCAGGGGTGGAACCCTCATGGAGATCCTCTGCTAAGGCAGTGTGGAAGGGAAATGTGGGGTGACAGCTCCCTCACAGAGTCCCTACTGGAGCATTGGCTAGAGGAGCTATGAGAAGAGGGCAACCTTTTTCCAGACCCCAGAATGGTAGATCCACAGATAGCTTGCACTGTGCCCTGGAAGAGCTGCAAACACTCAATGCCAGCCATGAAAGCAGCTGGGAAGGGAGCTGTACCCTGCAAAGCCACAAAGGCAGAGCTGCCCAAGGTTGTGGGAGCCTACCTCTTGCATAAGTGTTTCCTGGATGTGAGATATGGCGTCAAAGGAGATCATTTTATAAATTTAAGGTTTAATGACTGCCCTATTGGATTTCGGACTTGGATGGGGCCTGTAGCCCCTTTGTTTTGGCCAATTTATCTCATTTGGAAGTCTATATTTACCTAATGCCTGTATAGCTATTGTATCTAGGAAGAAACTAACTTTCTTCTGATTTTACAGGCTCATAGGCAGAAGGGACTTGCCTTGTCTCAGATGAAACTTTGGACTTGGGCTTTTGGTTTAAGGCTGGAATGAGTTAAGACTTTAGGGGACTGTCGGGAAGGCATAATTGTGTTTTGAAATGTGAGGACATGAGATTTGGGAGGAGCCAGGGGTGGAATGATGTGATTGGCTGTGTGTCCACCCAAATTTCATCCTGAGTTGTAATAATACCTGTGTGTCAAGGGCAAGGCCAGGTAGAGATAATTGAATCAAGGGGGTCATTTCCCACATACTGTTCTCATGATAGTGAGTGAATTCTCAGAAAATCTGATGGTTTTATAAGGGGCTTCCCCCTTCGCTTGGCACTCATTCTCACTCTTGCTGCCTTGTGAAGAGGTGACTTCCACCATGATTGTAAGTTTCCTGAGGCTTCCCTAGCCATGCAGAACTATGAGTCAATTAAAGCTTTTTTCTTTATAAATTTCCAAGTTTCAGGCAGTTTTTTTATAGCAGTATAAAAATGGATTAATACACCTTGATGACAAATTTCAACCATGTTTTGTGGGGACTGATTTTAATGAACTAACAGTAGTAAGTAAATTTTGTAAATATCAGAACCATGCAAAGTGAGGATTGCCTATGTATAATTTCAGACAAAACCAATTTTAAAAACTTAGGATTTTTATGTAACTGTATGCACTGAAGAATTACCCACGGACAACAAATAAAGAAGGATATTGTATTTCTCCATTTAACCAAATGAGAGTTTATGGACAGCAAATATTTTCTCCACGTTTCTAACTATAGCCATGCCAAATGTATTACACTGTGCATTCCAAATATTGGATACATGTAAATAACACTAATCTTTGAGGAAACCTTATCTTTCAGTATTCTTATTTTTAAAAATAATTGAACTCTGTGCAATTTTTGCTTATTTTTTATAAACTCACACAGGTCCAATGTTTGTTTTTCAGTGTTCCAGTAGCAAAACAGCACATGCTTTCAATTTTAATATACATTTTATCAATGTCTTGATAATACCCAATCTGTTTCATTTTATATGAATGTATGTATAGCAGAGCTTTATGATTTAGGGTACATCACAGATACTCTTGTCAGTGTCAAAATGGAAATGAAAGAAGGCAATAATTCTGCCACTCATACAACTGTATTTTGTTCTTATACCATTGCAAACAATCACTGGGAAATGTAGTTGGTGAAGAAAATGTTTGTTCCTGGTGGGAACAGATTTTTTTATAGGCAGAGTGGCTTCAGTCATGAGTTAAAAGTACTGTCCTGAGAGTTAGTTGATTTCATGTTTTAGCTGGGTTCAATCACACAAAGTGTGAAAAAAGCAGAGAGGTCATCAAACTAATGTCTGGCTAGAAAACGTTTGACAGTAATCTAGTGGCATGCTGATATCAAATGCAGGAGCAAGCAAGGCAGGCATTAAGGAGCACAGAGAGGTAAGGACAGGAAATGTTAGCTCTCAAGCACACACAAGTTGGCAAACTGGCCCACTGGGGACAAGCAAATTTGACTACAGTTCCCTACAGCAAAAATCCCCATGTTTACTATGTATTCTGCATTTTGCTCAAACACTGTCTTTTTTTACCCCTAAAGTATTAATGGATAATGTTTTCACTGCTAATACTTCTAACACTCCAGGAATGTTAGAAATAAATAATCTCAAAGGAGAAAGATTTGTGGTAAAGGCAAAGATTACTTTAAGGAAAGAAAAATACTTATTCAATGAGACTTTTTTTTTTCTTTCCCTGCTCCTCCTCCCTATTTCTGAAATTATAAATGAAATATGCACTCACTAAAAAGGGTTATGGTGGTAAAAACATAGTGGACTATATATTGAAATTAACAATCTAATCCTTCTCATAGTAACTTTCTTATTTTATGTTATTTCTTTCAGACTTCAATAGATTAGTATATAATGGGATGTTGATTAAGCTTTTCCTGTTACTCTGGATTTGGGATAGTTGACAGAATTATTAATCAGAAGCCAAAGCTAGAAAAGAAAATAGTTGTTGAGTCCCCCACCTTCGAAAGAGAGGCAAAAATAATTTGGACAGGTATTAACCATGAGTTTACTAAAAGAGGGAAAAAATGTTCCTATTACCAAGTGCTGGATCAACCACTGCTTTCCAACATAAATAAAGTGAATGGAAAGTAGGATACATGCAAAAAACCTAGGAATCTGGGGTCCTTTTCCTCCTAGGTAAAACTGCTGTGGCTCTTCAGAGCCATAAAACAGAGGAAAGTGCTTTTCCTCCTTTCTGGTTCAGTGGAGGAGAACCTGGCTCTAAGAGAGCCACTATGAAAAATGAGTATTATTAAGAATTTGAAGCTAAGGTTTTGTTTCCTGGTTGGATTTCTATAATGGACTCCACAATCCAAGAGACTAGAATTCTTGGGATATCTTGATATGTAAATCTTGGATTTCGGCAAAGACTTTAAACATAAAGACTGATGCCTGGGCCTTCCCAAGATATGTGGTTTAAAGAAATAACTCACATGTCCTGGCTTGGGCTTTGGAACCTTGGGTGAGTCACCCCCACCTCCCAAGCCTGGCCTCTCTCCCCAGCAGGGACACTTTCCTTACTTCACTGGGGCTCCAACAACCAAGGGTAGCACCGAGATGTCCTCTCTCAAGGGTATTGTTCTGAGACCACTTGGACTAACTGGTCTGCCGCCATTCTGTGTGGAAATTTTTATCATTCAGGTTGTTCTCTCACATCATCTCTGGACTACCAGGAATCCACAACCAAATTTATACTACCTTCAGCATACACAAGATATTTCCTTCTATGTACTTTTGTCTATATTTGGTATTGATAAAAATTTTAATACAATAATCTGATACATGAATGCTGGGATCTCTTAGGGTTTCAATTTGCAGTTCTTAATTAAGAAATAGCTTTCATACATGTGTTGGATATTTATATTTCTTTTGTATGAAATATTAGTTCATGGCTGGGCATGGTGGCTCATGCCTGTAATCCCAGAAATTTGGGAGGCCAAGGCAAGTTGATTGCTTGAGTTCAGGAGTTTGAGACAAGCCTGGGCAACATGATGAAACCTCACCTCTAACAAAAATACAAAAAAAAACAACAATAGCCAGGTGTGATGGCACTCAGCTGTGCTTCCACCTACTCAGGAGGCTGAGGTGAGAGGATTGCTTGGGCCGAGCAGGCAAATGTTGCAGTGAGGTGAGATTGCGCTACTGCACTCCAGCCTGGGTGACAGAGCAAGACCCCTTCTCAAACAAAAAACAAACAAACAAAAAAAGAATAATTATAAGTTAATGTGTTTGTCTTTCGTTAGGTAGAAATCTTTTTATTATGTTATTATGTTGATTGCTAACTATTATAAATCTTTTTATTAAGTTAGCCTCTATCTGTCAGATGTGATACACTTTTAAACTGTTTACTTTCTTTTTTATAACCAAAGAAATATTTAATTATAATGCAGACAAATGTACGTAAATAATGTATATTTCTAATTTTGTGGCATATTAGAAATGCCCTCTCAGACCACACCTTTGTATGCCTAAATTTGAGTAAAACGTGAGTATAATCTAGCACTATGATAAAAGTAGTGATAAAACTGTCATCACTATTATTATTATTTCCACATATCTAATAACTTTTCCCAACATCATACATAATGGTAAAACTAACTTCTACTGGTATCCATTTCATATCTCTTATAATAAATTATCTCGTGTTTGTATTTATTTCAGATATTTTTATTATTTTTATTGACTCATCTTTTCTTCAGTTAGTACTATAAATGTTTCAATTACTATATTCTATGTTTTATTGTCTAGTAAAACTATACCCCTTGTCAATCTCCCTTCCCCCAAATTCTCATAGATATTTGCATTTATTTCTCACTCTCCTATTTTACCAGATAAATTTTAGAATCATCTTGTTAACTGCTACCTTCCTCAAAACGTCATGGTTTATTTTTATTGCCTTGATTTATAAAATAAAGGGAACTTACAATTTTATGACACTGAGTTATCATTTTTTTAGAACAGGCAATAACTAATCATTTATTTATTCAGGTCACTTAAATTTTCATCTGTTATATTGCCTTTATGTCTGTCCATTTTGTTTCTTAAGATAATGTATAAAAATTTTCAGACACTATAGAGAAAGGTTGGCAACAGATAGTCTTATGTATACTCAGTGGTTATTTGTTCTCAACAAGTATTTAAATGTGTTTCTGGGAAAGAACCAAGGCATTGGGAGGCTGTGTTCATGTCCTTTAAGAAGTGAAGGGAAACTCAGGTATGCAAGAAAAACAAGAACAAACCTAATGAGAGAAATTTGAAAACTTCAGAAATGAATTCGCAGAAGAATGATTAAATTTACCAATGAAATTTCATTGATAATTTACCTCCATTATAATCTAAGGAGTGCAAATGAAGTAAAAACTTAAAATATATCTACCTTATAGAATTCTTAAAAAAATTCATACTCTCTAATGGCAAGATTTGGAATTGTTTACAATGACAGTTTTGTTTTCAAATAAAAGACACTGAAAACTTGAAGTATCAATTTAAATAAATGATAGTTCACACATTACGTGGCTTTAAATAAGCCAAGCATGGGTTTAATTATACAGGCTCACAATCCAGACTACCAAGCTTCAAATTCTCACTTTCAAATTTACTATTAGTAGTAGGCTGAGTTCTTTTCTTGTCTGTGACTCAGTGTCTTCATTTGGGAAAGAGAATAAAATGATAATAATGTTTGATGATCATGTTATCTCCACCTATCTCAGAAAGTGTGTTAAAAGAAAAACTCTGGGCAAATTAAATCTAGCAGAATTTAACAGAGCAAAGAATGATCGGTGAATCAGGCAACCCTCAGAATGAGAAGAGCTTCAGAGAGCTGTGGCCTCCAATGTGGGCAGGCAGCATTGATGGACAGACAACAAAAATGAGGTCTAAAGGCAGCTTCATTGATTAGAGCCCATCAGCTACCTTATTTGAACATGGTCTGATAAGTTGGCTGCCTGTGACTGATTGAATCTTGACTGCTGTGATTGGCTGAGCCTCAGCTATTTGTTATAAAAGTATACTCTAGTTAGGCTCTCAGACAGTTGAAATGCTAAGTTAGGTTGCAGTTCATTACATAAGGTCTCAAGTAGGAGGCATCCTCACACCAAATTTAGTTTAACAGATGGCTCATGAAGAATAAATGAGATAACACAAGTCATGGCTAAGAACAGTTTCTGACTCATTCTTAACACTCTGGAAACGCAGGGTGGAGCAAAATGGCAAAATAGAAAGCTCCACCCATCTCGACGCCCCCGCAAAAAGATACCAAGTTAAAACTGTCTACACAGAAAAAAACACCCTCATACAACAAACCCCCATGACACAAGTATACCTATATAACAAACCTTCACATGTACCCCCAAACCTAAATGTTAAAATAAAATGAAAGTTAAATAAACACACCCTCGTTAGAAGCAAACATCAGGTGAGCACTCATAGCACCTGGTTTTATTTAACACTGTAAACTCCATACCGCTTCAAGAGGCACTGAAGAGATGCAAACCACCACTGCGAGCCAAAATGCTCTGTGCCTCCAAGAGAACTTGAAAGGCAGTCTAGACCATAAAGACTGCAACTATTAGGTGAGTCCTGAACTAGGCCCAGAGACAGTGGACTGAGGGGCATGTGACATACTGAGGCACCAGCTGGGGTGACTAAGGGAGAGCTGGCATCACCCTTACCCTAACCCCAGGCTGCACAGCTTGAAGTTCCAAAAAACACCTTTTTCTTCTGCTTAAGGAGAAGAGAAGGAAGAGTGGGGAGGACTTTGTCTTGGATCTAGAATACCAGCCCAGCCACAACAGGTTAAGATACTGGTTAGAGTTGGGAGGGCCATTGTTCCAGGACCTAGCTCCAAGATGACATTTCTAGACATACCTTGGGCCAGAAGGGAACCCACTGCCTTAAAGGAAAGAACCCAGTCTGGGCAGCATTCAACACCTGGTAATTGAAGAATCCTTGGGTCCTGAATAACCAGCAGCAATACCCAGGTCCTAAATCGAGCGCCTTGGATGAACCTCTGACTTGATGGCTTCAAGTGAAATTCAGTACATAGCTGGCCATAGTGGCTACAAGGCAAAACCCCTTCTGCTTGAGAAAAGCAGAAGGAAAGTAAAGGGGACTTTATCTTGAACCTTAGGTACCAGCCTAACCACAGGAAGGTAGAGCACCAAGTGACCTCTTTGGGTCCCTGATTCCAGGACTTGAACTTTTCATGGAACTTCTGGACCTTCCCTGGGCCAGAAAGGAGCCTGCTGACCTGAAGGGCGAGTCCCAGGCCAGGCATCATTCACAACAAGCTGACTTAAGAGCCCTTCCTTGAGCCTTAAGGGTACATCGGTGGTAGTTTGGCAGTACTCCTCACAGCCCGGAGTTGTAGTGGCTATGGAGTGAAGCCTCTCTGTCTTTGGAAAGAGTGGGAATGATAGTGTCCTGTGGTTTGAGTGCCAGCTCAGCTACAATACAATAGAATACAAGGTAGACTTCTAAAACTTTTGACTCCAGTCTCTGACTCCTGGATGGCATCTCTAGACCCACTCAGGTCTTGGATGACCTTGGAAGTGGTATATATGTGATTGGGCTTGAGCAGGTCCTGAAGGCACAAGTAAGTTACACAAGGAAGTGGCTCAAATGCCCATGGTCTTCACTCCTGCCACCTTGCCTTCTCTCCCCCAGCCTGCACCGATGGCCTCATGGGGAGTTCCCTATGATCAGTTGACAGAGGAAGAGAAGACTAGGGCCTGGTTCACAGATGACTCTGCATGATATGCAGGCACCACCCAAAAGTGGACAGCTGCAGCACTACAGCCCCTTTCTAGGACATCCCTGAAGCACAGCAGTGAAAGGAAATCCTCCCAGTGGGCAGAACTTTGAGCAGTGGACCTGGTTGTGCACTTTGCGTTGAAGGAGAAATGACCAGATGTGTGATTATATACTGATTCATGGACTGTAGCCAATGGTTTGGCTGGATGGTCAGGGACTTGGAAGAAGCATGAGAGAAAAATTGGTGACAAAGAAATTTGGGGGAAGAGGTACGTAGATGGACCTCTCTCTGAGTGGTCAAAAAGTGTGAAGATCAGCCAGGCGTGGTGGCTCACGCCTGTAATCCCAGCACTTTTGGAGGCCAAGGCGAGTGGATCACCTGAGGTTGGGAGTTCGAGACCAGCCTGACCAACATGGAGAAACCCCGTCTCTTAAAAATACAAAAAAATTAGCTGGACATGGTGGCGCATGCCTGTAATCTCAGCTACTTTTGATCAGCTAATCTGATCAAAAAATTGTCTAAAATATTTGAATAGACATTTTTTAAAAGAAGACATATAAATGGCAAATGGTCATATAAAAAGATGCTCAACATCACTGGTCATTAAAGTAATGCAAATCAAAACTACAATGATATATTATCTCACCCCAGTTAAAACGGTTTATTTCCAAAAGACAGGCAATAACAAATACTGGTGAAGATGTGGAGAAAAAGAACACTTGTACACAATCGGTGGGAATGTAAATTAGTACAACCACTAAGAACAGTTTGGAGGTTCCTCAAAAATCTAAAAATAGAGCTACTATATGATCCAGCAATCCCAATGCTGGATATATACCTAAAAGAAAGGAAATCAGTATATCAGAGAGATAGCTGCACTCCTATGTTTGTTCCAGCACTGTTTACAATAGCTAAGATTGGAAAGCAACCTCAGTGTTCCTCAATAGATGAATGGATAAAGAAAATGTGGTAATATACACAATGAATTACTATTCTGCATAAAAAAGAATGAGATCATGTCATTTGCAGCAACATGGATGAAACAGACACAAAGAAAATTACAATAGAAAGAAATAAAATTAAATATATGTGAGTAAACCAAAGAAGTAAAATATCTCATTAATGAAAACTATAAAACACTAATGAAGGAAATTGTAAAGGACACCTAAAGATATTATTATGTTAAGTGAATTCAGCTAGCCATGGAAAGACAGACATCACATGTTCTCACTTATTTGTGATATCTAAAAATCAAATCTATTGAACTCATGAATACAGAGAGCAGAAGTACGGTTACCAGAGGCTGGGAAGGGTAGGGAAATGTTGAGGGGCAGTTGGGGATAGTTGATGGGTTAAAAAAAAAATAGAAAGAATGAATAAGACCTACTACTTTATAGCACAATAGGGTGACTATAGTCAATAATAATTTAATTGTATATTTTTAAAAAACTCGAAGAGTGTAATTGGATCAATTGCAAGTCAAAAGATAAATGCTTAAGGGGATGAATACTCCATTCTTCGTGATGTGGTTATTTCACATTGCATACTGTATAAAAACATCTCATGTACTGTGTTAATATATATATACACCTCCTATGTACTAAGAAACATTTATAAAAATAATTTTTAAAAATTAATAAAAGAGCAAACAACTTTTAAAAAATTAATACATATAAATGGGAAAAATCACTCAGTGTATGTTATCTATTCTTTAACTTGATGCCATATATATTCTTTATTGCAAGAAAAATGCATTGGTACTTATTTAGTGAAAAAAGCAGCATAAAGTGAGTTTTGTAACTCATTTTTAAATGTCACAACAAAAATATTATAGAAAATTATCTCTAAAATATAAAATTATAGGCTAGTTTTATTGTTTTTATCCTTACAAAATGAATTTCCGTCAAACATATAACCTAAGCACACTAAAATTGTGAACATGGTCCAAATAATTAAAGACAAATCTTTAATACTTAGAAAGTAACAATCTTAGTTATTGTCAGCTTTGTATGTATGAACAAATGAAACATAAATATAGATTTAAAATTAAAGTTATAATAAAACCTCTTTTAAAAAATCTAGAATTACCTAAGTAAAATAATTAACCAGACCTGTGCTATTCCAGTTTCACACTTCATGATATCAGAACCCTGTGGTACAATTAGTAATAATAATCAGAGTGTATTTTCTCTGTCAATCTCTGCACTCTAAATTTGGGGGGAAAATGAAAGCCAAAGTATCTAAATAGGAGGACAAAAATTAGTTATTGTCTACTAAGAGCCTGGGTCTTAGTAACACCTTTTTGCTTGTCTTGCATATCTTTATCTTAATGTCTAATTCTTTTCAGTAAATAATGACCAGAATAATTCATATTATAATAGAACCCAAATTCACATCACTATCATGCTCAACAATTCTCAGACTGCAGAGTAAGGTCAAAATGTGTGTTACCTTATACTCACATTATTCGCTGTAGAATAACTCATGTTAGCTTGCAAAAGAAAGAATGAAGGAAGAAAACTAATGCAATGGGTAAAGAATTTCTTGAGAGGTGATAATCAGCACTAGACTAAATCTAGTGCAGTTCGGTCATGACAAAGAAAAGTGAAAAACTATTCAAAACACTTTTGCTCCCTTAAATGGTCAGCCTAAAAATTATTAATAGGCTGGCATGCAGTGTACTATAATTGCCTCTCTAAATTTATTGTACTATTAAATATGATTTAGAATTATTTCTCAAGATGGAATTTAAGTATGTTTTCTATTTAAAAAGCACATTTTTATACTATTTCTTTTATTTTCTACACAGTAGTTCTTTTCCATCAAGCTTTTTCATGTAAATTTCTGGCTGCCTATTATTTGTTGTTATAGCTGTTTTCCTTCTTCTTTGCTTCTATATATTCTTTTGTTGCACAGTACAGGAAAAAGGAATTATAATAACTTTGATTGGAGCCATATTCTTCATTATTGTTTTTAAGCTAGTGTCTCACATGCTTTTATATAGTATTACAGTTTACACAGGCAGTTTTTAAATTCTAAAAATATTTTAATAAGTACTTAAAAAGTTTCTACTGTTTTACAGAACTGTTTGGTTTTAGATAGAATATTTTTCCCATGAAGTTATAGTTTTAAATTTTAATTATTTATTTATTTGTTTTTATTTTTTATTTTATGAGCAGGGTTTCACTTTGTTGCCAAGTCTGTACTAGAATTCCTGGGCTCAACTGATCCTCTTGCCTCAGCCTCCCAAGTAACTGAGACTACAGGCACGTACCACCACGCCTGACAGATTAACTGCTTTAATGTAATCTTGCCATCCTACTGTACAAAATGGTGTAAAATCAAAGTTTGGTCAAAGTTTTATAAATAGCTCTGCGTTTTTCTTCATATTGAAAGGAAGACAACAAACAGTTTCAGATGATGTTTTTCCCTATAAAAAATTAAAATTCACAAAGTATGTATATATTTTAAATATAAAACAGTGGTGTTTAAAATTAAATAATATAATATCATTATGATAAATATGCCTTAAACTCTTTATAAATTGCTTTAAATATATTGATTCTTCAAACCTCAGAAAACTCTGGGCATTAAGCACTCACTGGTATTTACCACATTTTAAATAAAAGCAACTGAAACTTAGAAATGGCAAGTGATTAATGTAAGGCCATGGCTGAAACATGGCAGATTCCAGGCAGTCCAGCTTCAGAGAAAACAATGTATAATTGTCATCACTGTTGCATTCCTTAATAAGGAAGAAAAGAAAATCATTAGAATTGGACATATTCAGAATGAGCACTCTTAAGAGATAATAAAAACTAATGTTTATTGAGCATGTTAGTACTATAACTGTTTCCGTTATATCACATTACATTAATTACATCATTTGAACAGAGGTTATTTTCATCCCTATTTTCAAGATAAAATACCTGTTGTTCACTGAGATTAAGTAATCACCCAAAAGTCATGCAATTTGCAGGGAAGGATTCTAACCCAGGATTCTAACTCAGAAAATCTGACTACAGGAATCATAGTTGTTAACTAGAAATGTCAGTTCTACCTTTCTCAGTTATAATGGTTTGTTGTTCACTGGTCCAGATTTGAATAAACAATATTGAATGTTGAACCCAGATTTACTTATTTTTGCTTTCTTTTGCATTTTTATCAGCTTTATTGAGGTATTATTGATATACAAATAACCTCATATATTACTGTATACAATTTGGTAAGTTTAGACACATGCAAACATTTGTGATACTATCATCACAATCGAGGTAATACACATGTCCAGCACTTGTCAGTTTTCATGTGTGTACTTGTGGTAACAATACTTAACATGAGATCTGCCCCTTAAAATTTTAAAGTGCTATACTATACTGTATCGTTAACTAGGAGCACCATGTTGTACAGCAGACATCCACAACTTATTTGTCTCGTATAACTGAAACTTTATACCCATTGAACAACAACTATGGAAACTTTATCCTTAACAAAGACTCTTCTATGTAAAGAGGTATGAGTTATTTACTACTAGAGTTATCAGAGTTGTACTAAATAATGAAAGTAATTCTAAAAGAGAAGCAACAATTATCCAATTTCAAGACTTTATAAATGTTAGATAGACTCAAGATAAAATTTCATAGCAGGGGATATTACTAAGAAAAAAAAAATGTCTGCATGCAAATGCTAGTTAGTGTCAACATAATCAAAGACATATAAATGTAACATCGTAAATTATATGTTAGGTGTATATGAACTATATGTTTACAAGTAAAAGTCATTTCATACTTAGAAACTCCAAAGAACATGATGTCTTAACCATTGATGTCGATGTACGTCTGTCTACACTATCTTTATTTTGCACCATCCTACCAATCCTACCATTTTAACAGAATTTAACTTTTTTTTATTTTGGAACCAGGTCTCACTCTGTTGCCCAGGCCAGAGTGCAAAAGTGTGATCAGGGCTCACTGCAGCCTCGATGACCTGGGCTCAAGTGATCCTCCCACCTCAGCCTCCCAGGTAGCCAGGACTACAGGCGTACACTACCATTCCCAGCTAATTTTTGTATTTTTTGTAGAGATGGGTTTTTATCATGTTACCCTCTTTTCTCGAACTCCTTGGCTCAAGCAGTCCTCCCACCTTGATCTCCCATTGTGCTGGGATTACAGGCGTGAGCCACCGTGCCCAGCCAGAATTTGAATTCTTATTCTTCACCTTTGGAGGCTATGGCTTTACAATGTTATGAACTTATGAGTAGCCAGAGTTTAAAGTTTGTAAATATAAACCATTTTTAATTTAAGCAATATGTCAGTCTCTTCCTAAGTCAACACAATTAAATATTTCTACTTTAAATAAAACTTCTGCTGTATTCTTTTTGGTATGAATAATTAAAAATACTCTTAACTCTATAAAATACTAAGAAAAATTTCCTTAATAATTATTTAAATCTGAATGCTAACACGAAAATTAAAACCTTGGTTCTCCGTCATTCTTACATGACTGAACATACCAATGATATCTATTCACTCGTGTTAAAAAGTGATTTTATATTACAGTTTTTTATTGTTTAAATTCACTAAAGTTAAGATCTCTTTCATATAAGTCTATATTAATCATATTAAAATTGTATAAATCGTTGATTGAATTATTAATGTTTTTCAATACTAAAAGAAAGAATGTCTAAAACTGTCAAATATGTTTATACTCATGTAAATACATAGTATTACCAAAACATAAACCCGCTCATCAGGGCAAAACCCTTCTTGTAAAAATTATGAAATATGTGTTTCAATGAGTTTGTTACTTCTTGTTTTCCTACAGGAATTGATCCTTCTGTGTGAATGTCTTTAAGATGGTGAAAATATCTAAATATAAAATATATGTTACAAAAAAGTGGTCAAACATATTTGTATTTAGTTATTAACTTTATAATAGTACATGAGTTTCTTTCAGTCATCAACAAGTATGTATCAAGTGTTTCCTGAAGTACATTTCTCTAGTCTAGGCACTTTGGAGAGCAGAAAATAGTTAAGAAGATTGTACTTCTCTCAAGGAATTTTTAGGCAACTTACTTTTCTGATTTTTACCTAAAATATCCTTAGCTAAGAAGCACAATCTTCCATGAAAACATTTCTAATCATGTTGTCATAATAATAATACATGTATTTTAAATAACATTTATCTATTTGAAAAATCTAATAGGTTAAATTTTCAATCAAAATGATTTTTATATTCTCTATTAAAAGATGTTTTTAAAACCCTATGTTATTTCTTGAATTGAAACTCTAGTAACTTAAGTATGCTCTCTGAAATAGGTTTTTATTTTTATTTTTTTTTGAGATGGAGTCTCACCCTGTCGCCCAGGCTGGAGTACAGTGGCATGATCTCAGCTCACTGCAACCTCTGCCTCCTGGGTTCAAACGATTCTCCTGCCTCAGCCTCCCAAGTAGCTGGGACTGCAGGCATGCCACCACACCCAGCTAATTTTTGTGTTTTTAGTAGAGACGGGGTTTCCCCATGTTGGCCAGGATGTTCTTGATCTCTTGACCTCGCGATCCACCCACCTCGGCCTCCGCTGGGATTTCAGGCGTGAGCCACCACGCCTGGCCTGAAATAAGTTTTCTTTGCACAATTACTTTCAAAGATGATTTGGGAAGTACAAATTCTGGATATCAAAATATCTTGTATCATAATTTATAAGATTACCATATTTTTAATAAAATAAATTTATTCCACTATGGTAAAAATTGTTACCTAAAATCATCTGACTCATGTTTGAGGCCCTACAGTTCTAAAAATTATGGCCATTCTTCTTACTATGAAAAGGCTGTGAAATTAAGTAAACCCAAACCATTCTACCCCAACAGATATGCTGTAATGGAAAATATTTCAAAAATTTCGTCAGTCATTTTTCCTGTGCCAAGGCCAAAAATTATACATTTACATATCTGTTGGCATTGCTATCCTAAGCAAAGCTCTATTATAATGTCTCACATCTGTGGGTATTGCTAAAAGCATTTTGATATTCCACTTCAACATTGTAAATTTGTTGACCGTGAAAATGTAACAGAGGAACTCTATTTTATCAAGATGAGAACTTTGGGTACTTCTATTCCACTTAGACTAAAATTCAAGAAGCTAGAATTTTACTTTCTTTTACTTTTATCTACTTCTTTAACAACCAAAGTTTAACTTTAATAAGAGGACCATTTTCCTTTAACTTTCAAATATATCTAGAAATAACATATTTTATAAATTTCCTACCCTGCTTATCACCTGCTGTGATATGTTTCATTTGTGGGTTTGTAGTTGCTTATGAAATGCAAAATTCCTCAAGAGAACTGGAAAGCGCATTATTATATCTGGACTGAGAAATATTTAAAATAATTGAGAACCATCTTATTCTAGAATTCTAGATTAAAATAGAAATACAACATGCTTTACTTGTACATCTTTATACTCAAAAAGAGAGAATGCCAAACGTGTTTATATTAAACACTAAGTCAATCAAACTATCAGTTCTATGATATAGGGAAAAGAAAAATAAGAAAAAAAGGAATGGTAAGGTAAAACAGAAAGATTAAGAAAGAGAAGCATGGGAACCCATGTATGTGTTGGAAAACATGAACACACATCCAACACGTAAAACCACCAATGTATGATAAAGTTGTAAGAAATGCAGCTTATTCAAACAATTTCTATTAAAAATGTGTTCTGTTCTGTGTTTAGAATATTTGATTCTCCAAATATTAATATTTGGATCATGGAAAAAATGAATAATGCCACTGATTGGGAAAAACATTCACTTAAACATTTGAGGTAAACAAGTAGTAAAACAGGGTTATTTCTGCTTATAGTTATTGGTTCTGCATTTTTAGCAAAAATAGGATTAAAGGTACCAGATAGTGTCAGACATGAACCCTGACCATATCCCAAGAATATGTTGGTGTGCCTTCCTTTCCTATCACGCCAGCAGTACAGCCATGGAGAAACACAGAAAATGATCCTAACATAAGCTACAAAAAATGTTTAAAATCAAAGCTGAACATTACCTCTGGTAATAAGTAGAATCGTTCCATATGCTGGCTAAAGCAAAAGGGAATATGGAGAGGGTTATAATATGGAAATTCATGAAAAGCAATCTCAGAAGATAACACATTACATAATAAGTTACATGAAGACCATAGCCTGTGCTTATAATCCCATCTTTATACTGTCTGTGTGTGTATGTCTAGGCAAGCATATTAATTTATCACTTTTTTTACTTGTATCATCATTTTTACTTTTATTTTGCATTAACATTTTATGTAGATGTCTTTATGAATACATTTGCCTTTTAGTTTACTTTGATATAATACCGAGACATTGTAGGAGATGAGAAAAGCACTATCTCTATGTCCTAGAATGCGCTAAATAGAACACATCACATTGTATTTCTGTGGATGGGCAATGAATGTAAACTCAGTCAAACAGGCATTGTTGTTTGGCAGGTTAAATTTTGAAATAAATTAATGTGAAGAATGGTTTCTGGGTGTCGAGCAATCAAAGAATAAAATATAGTGGATATTATATTTTCCTGCCTTTTATATATGTGATACACATATATCATATATGATATCTATTCATATATGTATATTCATATATACCATATATGTATAGTCATATATATTCGATTCTATTCCTATTTATATTCTATATGTGTGTATGAATATATATACACACACACATATAGTCTATTCAGAGTAGCCTAATTTTCCTATGAGGACAACAAAACTCTTTGCACAATATGTATTCTTAGAGGAAAGGTTATTCAAGTTTCTGTTCCATTGCTGGTTTGGCACCCACTTCAGGTCTAAGAAATGCCCTTTTGCTGTTTCTGTGGAAAACACTGAAAGAATTGAAAATAAGAGTTATCCGACTGTGGTCGTTTCTTCTTCTTTTTTTTTTTTAATTATTATACTTTAAGTTCTAGGGTACATGTGCACAATGTGCAGGTTTGTTACATATGTATACATGTGCCGTGTTGGTGTGCTGCACCCATTAACTCGTCATTTACATTAGGTATATCTCCTAATGCTTTCCCTCCCCGCTTCCCCCACCCCACAACAGGCCGCGGTGTGTGATGTTCCCCTTCCTGTGTCCAAGTGTTCTCATTGTTCATTTCCCACCTATGAGTGAGAACATGCAGTGTTTGGTTTTCTGACCTTGCGATAGTTTGCTCAGAATGATGGTTTCCAGCTTCATCCATGTCCCCACAAAGGACATGAACTCATCCTTTTTTATGGCTGCATAGTATTCCATGGTGTGTATGTGCCACATTTTCTTAATCCAGTCTATCATTGATGGACATTTGGGTTGGTTCCAAGTCTTTGCTATTGTGAATAGTGCCACAATAAACATACGTGTGCATGTGCCTTTACAGAAGCATTATTTATAATCCTTTGGGTATATACCCAGTAATGGGATGGCTAGGTCAAATAGTATTTCTAGTTCTAGATCCCTGAGGAATCACCACACTGTCTTCCACAATGATTGAACTAGTTTACAGTCCCACCAACAGTGTAAAAGTGTTCCTATTTCTCCACATCCTCTCCAGCACCTGTTGTTTCCTGACTTTTCAATGATTGCCATTCTAACTGGTGTGAGATGGTATCTCATTGTGGTTTTGATTTGCATTTCTCTGATGGCCAGTTATGTTGAGCATTTTTTCATGTGTCTCGTTTCTTCTTTAGGGAAGGTTGGTTTGTTTGGTCAGCCAGAACCCTTGGCTTCCTTTGTTCAGGGTCTTTTCTCTTCACCCTGCTAAACTATGACACCATAAGCATGAAAATATTTCTTTTTTTCTGCCTTCATTATTCTGAGAAAATTTCTATTCAGTACAACGAAACAAATAAAATATTTGAGGTTTTCTTTTCTATCAATGCTCATTGGATTCATACTTATTTCTTAAAATGACAAATCAATAAAAATAATAACATTCTGAAATGTGAAGAAAAACAGTCTCACTGCACAAACACCATATGCAAAGATCAAGAAAATTAGCTTAATAGTAGTTTAGGTGGCAGGACGCAATGGCTCACAGCTGTAATCCCAGCACTTTTGGAGGCCAAGAAGGGTGGATTGCTTGAGCTCAGGGGTTGGAGACCAGCCTGGGAACATGGTGAGACTCTGTCTCTGCGAAAATACATAAAAATAGCCAGGGGTGGTGATGTGTGCCTGTGGTCGTGGGCAGTAGGGTGGGGAGCAGAGGTTGCAGTGAGCCAAGATTGATGCACTGCACTTCAGCTTGGGCAACAGAGTGAGACCCTATCTCAAAAAAGAAAAAAGAAAAAAAAAAAAAGCAACTTAGAGGCTGGGTGCGGTGGCTCATGCCTGTAATTTCAGCACTTTGGGAGGCCGAGGCAGGAGAACCACTTGTGCCCAGGAGCTTGAGACCACCCTGAGCAACATAGCAAAATTCCATCTCTACAAAATGTGAAAATTAGCCTATAGTCCTAGCTACACAGTATGTTAAGGTAGGAGGATCAATTGAACCTGGGAGTTCACGGCTGCAGTGAGCCATAATCACACCACTGCGCCCCATCCTGGGTGACGGAGTGAGACCCTATCTCAAAAATAAATACATAAAAAATAAAAAAAAAATAAGCAGCTTAGAGATGATTAGCGGTACCGATCTCTAGAGCTATCTCACTGCCACCCAGGACTCCCTGATATGTAAGTCCTGATAAACTCATCTACTCAACAACAACAACAACAGCAACAGTCTCCAATTTCTCCCTACATGAGCAAAAGCAGATGCTTCTAGTTTCTGCTTTATGGTTGTTCATCACACCTTTTTACTTTCAAGTTTTCCAGTTAAAAGTTTGAGTTGCATGTGATTGAATATATTTACATTCTTCCAGAAAGCTTAATTGAACGATTTCCTAAAATAAGCTGTTTAATTCAAATCTAATTTTTTGTGTTTTTAAAGAAATATTTCTTACAAATAAGTTTGTCATTTTACAAACATTTTAAATGAAATTATTACATGTGAGATGGCATCACTTGATTGTAAATGGAGATACATGTGGCAGAATCCTTCAAAACCATCAAGCAGTCATTCTTCCTTTCTTAGTTTTCAGAACTCCAGTTTTCTTTCAGCAGCAAAGTGCCTACTCCAGGCCTATTATTATAATTGAATTCCCTTTTGTCAATCAATTGATTTAGAGAAGGTGTGTGAACACTTCTGGCTAATGAGATGTTCATGGAGCTTTGTTAATGTACTTCAGCAGAAGAGTTTATTTTCTGATTTAAAGATTGAAGCACGTGAGAAACAGTAACCTGCATCCTTACCTTGTTTTCTGCTCTCAGCTGTTATAAAGCAAGTAACAAAATACTCCAGATTTTCCTTTTTTATGGTTGTGCACCTTGGCACTGCCAAAACCTAGACAGCACCATTCTTAGTAGGGTCTTAGTTTGTGACTGCTGTGGATCTTGATGAGCATGTGTCCCTGCTATTATAGAAGGTAATAATCCATATGCCTGTGGCACATGTATGCGTTGGCCTAAATAAGTGAGATAATAAATGCATTTACTGTATATCATTTTTATTGCATAAATCTTGTGTTTTTAGTTAGAATATTCATATACAAAACAATCTAAAGAGTATATTATGGTTAGTTATTTCTTTTGCAATAAACCACTGTAAATGTGAATAGACATTAATATCTTAAAATATGAATAGTCATGAACAATGAATATCATCCATGATTAAAGAGGCAATATTGAAATTAAAAGTGGGACACCTATTGTTGCCGGCAATGAATTCCTAAGGGTCTGCAGCAACCTCAACTTTTGCCTCCTCAGAAGAAAAAA
This sequence comes from Homo sapiens, assembly GCF_000001405.40. Taxonomy (NCBI): domain Eukaryota; kingdom Metazoa; phylum Chordata; class Mammalia; order Primates; family Hominidae; genus Homo; species Homo sapiens. Next base: position 22,858,399 of record NC_000021.9, on the reverse strand, counting down.
ATTCAACTGAGGGGTAAAAGGCAGAAGAGACCAAGGCAAGTTAGAGCAGAAGTGAAAGTATTCTAAAAAGCTTTTTAACAGGAATGAAAGGAAGTGAAGTACACTTGAAATAGGGCCAAGTGGGTGGCTTGAGGGATTAAGTGCATGGTTGGACCTTTTGACTTGGGTCTGTATATGTTGGCATGCTTCTGAGGTCATGTGTTTCTTCTCCCCAATTCTTCCCATGAGGTGGGCTGTCTGCAGGTGCAGTGGCCTGCTCGCACTTGGGAGGTGAGCATGCACAGTGTGTTTACTAGAGTTGTACACATGTTCACTTAAGGTGTCTTGTTTTACCAATCAAATGTCCCCAGAAAGTAGTATACCACTTAAACTCCAACATTTTGCCTCTTAGTACACATGCTGGAGCCCATTCACCCAACTCCTGACATCTTATCAGGAAGCTGCTGATCACCAGCTTCAGGTGTTTCTGTTTATTGGGAGACTGCTTGCCCTTGTACTGGTTATATTTCAGAAGGACAGTTGACTGCCTGACTACCATCTGATGGCCGCCTAACATTCCCAGTGTGTGTATACCTTGCTCATGTCTGACTAGCTACCTACTGTAACACTATTAGAATAGCCCAAACCAGAACACTGACAAAACTAAATGCAGGCAAGGATGTGGAGCAACAGGAACTTTCATTTATTGCTGGTGGGAATGCAAAATGGTGCAGTCACTTTGGAAGATAGTCAGTTTCTTTCAAAAGGAAACTAACTCTTAACATAGGAGCCAGTAATTGTGGTCCTTGGAATTTACCCAAAGGGGTTTAAAACTTACTTTCACACATAAACCTGCGCACAGATGCAGCTTCACTTATAACTGCCAAAACTTGCAAGCAACTAAGATGTCCTTAAGAAGGTGAGTAGGTAAATAACTTATGGTACTTTCAGACAGTAGAATATAATTTAGTGCTAACAAGAAATGAAAAACATCTGCCTTAAATTCTACATACTGTGTGATCCCAACTATATAATAATCTGGAAAAGACAAAACCATAGAGACAACAAGAAGATCAGCGGTTGCATGGTTTAAGGGAAAGGGGAGAGTAAATAGGCAGGCAACAGATAATTCTTAGTGTAGTAAAATGATTCTGTAGTGTAGTAAAATGATACCATAATGGTGGATACATATCATGATATATTTGTCCAAACCCATAGAATGTATAACACTAAGACTGGACACTAATGTAAACTATGGACTCTGGGTAATGTTGATGTGTCAACGTAGGCTCATCAGTTGTAATAAAGGTACCACTCTGGTGGGGGATTTGAGAAATGATGAAGGCTTTGCATGTGAAGGGGAAGGGAGTATATGAGAAATTTGTACTGTTTCTGCTCGCTTTGTTGTGAACTTAAAACTTCTCTAAAAGATAAAATATATTTTAAAAAGTAGACTAAGCATAAGATTTAACTACAATATTAAATTTTTTATACTTATTTAATTACTGGATTATATCTAAGTTTATAGGCACTTTAGCCAAATTTCATTATTATTTTATATTAAGTAATTCATGTCATTATTCTGCTTAATAGGAAATAATGAATTAGTTATGCTATTGTTGATCCAGAGTAAAATAATCATGTTTCTAAGGATGCTATTCTGGTTGCAATCTTTACACAAAAGAATGAGTCTCATGAAAAAGAAATGCAAATTTAAATAAAAATAAAAATGAAAATGAATCCAGAATTTATAAATTACAAGTGAGATATAATAAAAATGTAATGAAAACCTCACTTCCTAATTTAATTAAGTTAAATGTATGTAAATACTTTTGATATTAGTTTAGGAAATATATAATTTTTCAGTTTGATTTAAATTATATACCAATATATTCCTTAATTTAATTTTATTTGGAAGTTTCTGTTTGGGGTAGTTCCAAAAGAAGTTAACATCATAATTTACGGCAGACATGGTTTTACTTTCAGCTCCAAAGAAATGTTTTATATTAAAGCACTTTTCAGACCCCAGATCACATGGGTGTTAATTATACCTGCTTTCTTATAAAATAATATAAAGCATTGAAGTTACAAAAGAAAGAAAGAAAGAAAGAAGCCACATACTGTTAAAAAGAAAGTGCTTTTGCCAAGTCTGACTTAATTAAATATGAACCAGTTTGCAGGGCTCAGCAATCAAGGATACAATATATCCAAGATATTTAAGGAGCTAGGTTATTGTTTTACTTGCGTTCTACTTTATACCACCTAGGAAAATTAAAGACTGACATGATTGCCTTTATCAGGACACTTTATATTTCTCTCGAAATACTTCATCCCCCTCCTAATGCTGCTATAAGTAGGGTCAATGCAAAAGTAATTAATTAATCCACTATGCAACCAAAGAGAAATGCACTGTGCTTACTTTGACTTCTTTTAGTGTGAATTAGTTCACAATCAAAGCTATTGGAAACCGTTAACTAGTTTAACACTTAATTGACACATTAATTTCATGGAATGCATGTCTACCTACTGTGGTTCTTGGGTATACAGTAAATGTGTTTATTAAATATGTGCAGTACATAAGAGAGGTTGCTGAGGAATGTTTGTTAGGTGTGTTTGCATTATGACTGCATTTGCACTGTGACTCATGACTTTGTCACACTGCTTACAGATCTGTAATCATGCAATTGATCATGAGAAGTTTATTTCAGCTAGGATTAGGATGTCTACTCTACAAAATATTTTTGCACTATAACTTCAGAACATAAAGAATATTGGCTAGAACTAACAAATTTCAACAAGTGTGTTTTGACTTAAAATATTTGGCAATTTGAATATTTTCCTCATATGAAATGTTATCTTACTAACATTAAATTTTTGTTGAATTTCTCCAAAAGATGCAAAAATATTACCAATTTCAGTTTTTCTGTACACCTGAAAATTTTCAACACAATAGCCATAAAGCTCTAATAGCTTTTTTTGTGACTGGGTAAAAACATATTTTCATTTTCTAAAAATTGTCAAAATTGTATTTGCATAATATTTTGACTATTGCTTTTTTTATGTCAATAGTCAAATGCATTAGAAATACATTTCTAATATATTTGCTTTTTTAGTTTGAAGAAGTTTTATTTTGCTCTAAATAAGAGTAATTCAGGTGAACAAATGTGAATACAGAACACTAGCAAGATGATGTGAAAAGCAGGGAGATAGAAACATTGGAAGGAGTGAAATACCGACTCTGTTTGGTTATGTTTATATTTTCTGCTTTCAAAGCAGAAAAAAAGGCATCCCAGCAGAGTTTGCTAAAATTTCTATTTCTTCTTTCTCTTTTATTATAGGAAGACTCTATAAACCTGCAGGTTTACACTTTTTTTTCCCCTTTTCTCACATCTTTTTATCACCAACTCCTCAGAACTGTTAAGTCTGAGTATCATTGTCATGATTAAACAATCCTAGTAAGAATCAGTTGGTTTGCATCGAGTATTAGTATCATTTTTTTTTTTTTTGAGATGGAGTCTCCCTCTGTCACCAGGCTGGAGTGCAGTGGTGTGATCTCAGCTCACTGAAACCTCTTCAAGCGATTCTCCTGCCTCAGCCTCCCGAGTAGCTGGGATTACAGGCGTGTGCCACCACACCCAGCTAATTTTTGTATTTTCAGTAGAGACGGGGTGTCACCATGTTGGCCAGAATGGTCTGTATCTCCTAATCTCGTGATCCGCCCATCTCAGCCTCCCAAAATGCTGGGATTACAGGCATGAGCCACCGAGCCTGGCCCAGTATCATTTTTTTTAAGTGCCTTTTATTACTAGTAAAAAGAAAAGACTTGGGAGAATTTTCAAAATCTACTTAAGATCTAAAATCATTTGTCAGATTTTTGGGTAGATAAATAATAGACGATTGGAGACAAAAATTAAGGTGGATATACAGTTAAGAAACTGTTGAAATACTACAAATAAAAGTTAATTGATACTGAACCAGTTTGAAAATAGTGGGCATGATGAGAAGTGATTGATTTGTTGATATATTTGGAAAGGTAAGCAGAAAAGATTTCCTGAAGGACTCAATGTAGAATGTAACAAAAGGAAAAGAATCAAGTGTGTTCCAGTATTTTTGGCTTAAATAACCTAAAAAAAAAAAAAATGGAATTGTTACTCATCAAGATAGGGAGACTATGAGAGAAAAGTTTCTGGGAACAAAGAAGTAGTTCAGTTTGTGGCTTGTTAATTTGCAAAGATCTAAGAAACATCTATGTGTTAGATATTTTGAATGGGCCATTGGACAGATGGAGCATTGTTTGAAGTAGAAGTCCAGGATTGAGATGTAAATTTGGGAGTCTTCTGACTGCAGACTTATATAACTTAGTGATCACTTAGACAGTGAGAGAATATGGAGAGAGAAGAGGTCCAATAACTGAGTCTGGGTCCAATGGCGAAATTTAAATGTCTGGAAAATAAGCAAGAATCAGCAAGAAGGTAAACCATGGTTTCTCAATCTCAGCACTAGTGACATTTGGGGCCTGATAATTCTTTGATATGGGAGACTATCCCATACATTGTAGGATGTTTAACAGCATCATTGACCTTTACCTACTAGATGCCAGAAGCATATCCTGTCCCCAGGTGAGACAAAACTGAAGGTTTCTTCAGATATTGCCAAATATCCCTGACTGGGCTCAGCCAGAGTGGGAGTGGAGGCAGCAAAATAACTCCCCTGAACTAGACTCCTGGGGAGGAAACTAGGTAAATGTTATGGCTTGGGAGGCTAAGCAAAATTTTAAAAATTGTCATAGAGGAGTGAGTGATCAATTGTGTCAAAGAGGTGAAATAACATGCGGACTCAAAATGAATTAACCATATCATGGTCATTAACATCACCATATGTCGACATCTTCCTGGACTAATGCAATAGCCTCATAGCTAGTGTGCCTGCTTCTACTCTGATTTTTCATAGTCTGTTTTTAACACAGAATCCTGAGTGATCCTGTTAATATGCAAGTTTGATACCTTCCTTTTTTATTCAATGTTAACAAAAAGTCTTTTTGAGGTGACAGTGCCCTGTATCATTTGGACCCATACTACCTCTCCGATCTTATCTCTTAACACTTTATCTTCCTTATTTTTCTGAAGCTTTTCCTGTGATATATGAGGAAGATATCACCTCAGGCATTTGGAACTTTTTTTTCTATTGCCTGGGATTATCTTTCTTTAGATGACTATATGATTCACTCCTTCATTTCCTTCCAGTCTTTGATCAAATGTCAGCTTATGAGACAAGGTTTTCTTATGATCTTATTTAAAATTGCAAACACTTTTCCACCTGGCCACCTTATTTATTTACTGTTTTATTTATCATTATAACACTTGGCATTTTCTAACCTATTTTATGTATTTTTAAAGTATATGTTCACTAACAATTAGTTTAATATCAGCAATGCCTTTTCATTTGCTTGTTTCGCAGCTATTCCTTACAAGTAGAATATGCTGAGCAATATCAGGTACCCCATAAATATCATTGAACAAATTAATAAACTAATAAGCTAAAGAATATTTTCTTCACTGTAAATGCAGACAATCAGCTTTTAGAAAGTATTATTAGAAACAGAAGCAAGAGTAGGACAGTAGGCTGGACAAAAGGCAAGGTGAAGTTCTATTAGCGATATCACATCCATTTATCTGAATGGAAGTTATCAAGTAACATTTATATCAAAGTATTTGGGGATGTAATGCAAAAATCCTTAAGTTGTGCACTCAACTCAGAAGATGGTTGTAATAATTAATTTTATATGTCTATTTAATTGGACATGAGGTGCTCAGATTAAATGATTTCTGGATGTGTCTGTGTGTGTGTTTCAAGATGAAATTAGGTTTTGAATCTATAGACACAATAAAATAGATCGCTCTCCCCAATGTAGATGGACATCCTCCCGTCTCTTTAGGGCCTGAATGGAACAAAAACTGGAGAAAGGAGAAACTCACCCCACCTCCTATTTTTTCCTGCTTTGTGGATTAAACTGGAATGTCTCATCTCATATTTTAGGCTATCAGACTGAGAGTTACACCATTGACTTCTCAGGTTCTCAAGCATTTATACTCGAATTACACCACTGGCTTCCCTGGGTCTCCATCTTGCAGAAAGGAGATTGTAGGACTTCTCAGCCTCCACAACTGGGCAAGCCAATTCCTCATAGTCTCTCTCTCTCTTTTTCTCTTCACTCTCTTCAAGAAACAACTGGGGCTATTTGTCTAGAGAAACTTAACCATTACAACAGCGTTTTCAGCTTTAGAAAAATTGATTTTCTATGTCACATATAGAAGATAAAATATATATCAGTTAACGAGTATGTGTTTCATCATATTTTTGACATAATTTTATTTTAAAATTTTATGTAATTTTTTAAATTATAAAATCAATGTATTCTGTCTTAGTCTGTTGTGTTCTGCTATAAAAATATGTTAGATTGGGTAATTTATAAAAAGCAGAAATTTATTTGTCACAATTCTGTAGTCTGGGAGGTTCAAGATCAAGACATCCGGCATCTGGTGAGGACCAACTTGCTGTGTTTTCTCATGATTGCAGACAAAAAGGGCAAAAAGGGGAAGAGTGCTGTGTCCTCACATGGTAGAACATGAGGAGAAAAGGAATCCACTCCTGCTAGCCCTTTTTACAACAGCATCAATCCATTCATGAGAGTGGAGCCCTCATCACCTAAACACCTCCCCAGATGCCCTACCTCCCAATACAGTTGCATTGGAAATAAAATTTTTAACAAATGAATTACAGGGAACACATTCAGACCATAGGCTGTACTCATAATAACATGTGAATATTTTCACATCCCTAACTTTTTAAAGCAATATTTAAGCCATGAAAGTGTCAAATAATACGCTGAGTATATCCATGCATTGTTATATTTTAATTCTTATAACTACCTTACGAGATAAGATTTTCTCAGGTTTACATAGTTACTGAATGCTGTTCACTGATTCAAACCTATCACCATTCCAAGACTATGGCTAACACACTATGTTCCATTTACCCCATTAAAGTTTCTTAGAAGAATGGCTGTCATCAAATTGCTAATAGTATTACTCTTAACATTACCCAGTTTTATCAATTCTAAAACATATTTTTGCACATTTAACATTAATAAAATGGAGACGCATCTTACAATTTGATAGTGCTTATAATTGCCGTCAACCAGGGAGCAATCATAATTAAATCATGTCAAATCCCTCCTGTGAAACCTTCATGTAAGGAAGAACTCATTAGCACTGGAGTCTTAGAAAAGATGATATGAATAGAAGCAGTGTTTCTTTTACAACAGTATTATAATTGTCATTTATTGTGTGCTTACTCTCTCTGCAAGCATTTTGTAACCTATTTGCATGCTTTAATACTTGTAACAATTCTCAGGACAAGAATTTTGATCCATGTTTTGCAGATGTGTATCATTTGTATAAATTTCTCACTGTTTCTTGGTAATGGAGTCCACATTGGAACCCAGGTATTCTGAGATCTCAGTGCTATTAGGTGGAAGAGTTGAAATTTTAACTAATCTGTGTTTTCAATTGTTATAACATTTGGTTTTTAATCTATGTTTGTTGTTCCATTTTTGTTTACCAAGTACAGTGCCTGTACACAGCAGGTATTTAATTATATTTTATGGTCAATTATTAATACATTACACAAGGTATAAGTCAAATGCCAACTGTTCCTTATATTATGCTATATCTTTTCCATTTTTGACCCCAGAAAACTTTGTATGTAATTGTGAAATTGCATTTAACTATTCTTAGCTTTTTCGATTTTAAGAGATAGAGGTTTACAGAAATAAGAAACATTTTTAATTCACCTTTATATTCCCAAACAATTTTTATAGTACACTAAACATCAGAAATGTCATTGAATTTAGTATTTAAAGCAAATTAATGTATTTTAAGTTTAAATCTTATGGCAGCTCAATACAGAAAACAGACTAACTTGGGGTAAAGTTAGGTAGATAATTATAATTCCTTGAAATCTTTTTAAAATTTCATCTCACTGTGACTCAATCGCAATAGTTGAATCTTTAAAATAGGCTCCAGCCTTAAAAATTCTGATCCAATACAACTTGTAGCTGTATTACAATATGAGCTTTAAGGAATTCTGATCCTGTTACATACAGAATTCAGTTCAAGAAATGTCTTCATCTTGAATTCTAGGGTTCTGCAGATTGTTATTTTTTTATATATTTTGTTTTTCTTTATTCATACATTCTCTCTCATGAATGCACTTCTATGTGAATAATTTATGTAATCTATATGCAAATACATACATACATACTATATTCCAATAAATAAGAATTTATTCCAAATTTGTGAAAATACATATGGAGGCAATGATAGAATCAACTTGCATATTTTTATAACTTGTCTTACTCTGAAAGTGTTTTTTAAAATAAATAATGCTACAGATTTATCAACAAAGAGTAATATGGAAATAGAAAAAAAATTAATATAATTGAACCTGATCATCTCTATTAGCATTTATTTTACGTTTTAGGTGCAATGATGTTACCTAGAATTATCTAGATTTTCATCACTCCACTTCGTATGGTCACAGCTTAGAAAAAGTAAACTAGGGCCAGACACGGTGGCTCACTATCAGCACTTTGGGGGGCCGAGGCAGGCGGATCATGAGATCAGGAGTTCGAGACCAGCCTCACCAACATGGTGAAATCCCGTCTCTACTAAAAATACAAAAATTAGCCAGGCATGTTGGCGTGCACCTGTAATTCCAGCTACTCAGGAGGAGACTAAGGCAGGAGAATTGCTTGAACCTGGGAGGCGGAGGTTGTAGTGAGCCGAAATCGCGCCATTGCACTCCAGCCTGGGTGACAGAGAAAGACTTGGGGGGGAAAAAAAAAAAACACCACCACTAGACATTTTGGGAGAAAATTTCTTAATAAAATTGATATGACAGTGCTTATAATACATCTTAGTTTTATTCTCTTTTAACCTGAAATGTAACAGTATAGGCTAAATATGTGTGAAAGCAAATTTAACTGTCTGAATTTATCAGCATAATGAATTAACAAAGTTTGAAATACTTCACATGATGCCTTTTTTGAACACCTCTCCAGTGTAGCATCCACAATGGTGTTCTCTATGTAACCGTTTTTATTTCAGCTAACAGTATATGCTATAAAATGGAACTAAATTATGTATTTGCATAAAATTGTATGTATTTCATGTCAGAGTAATCTTTCAAATTTGTCACTTTCCGAAAGACTAATGAATCAGTGGAAATATGTGATTTTGCTCCATTATTCAAACATAATGGGAGCATTGGAATAGGTTAAATACATTCAGGTGAAACATGATTTATAACTTTTGGATAAAACTTACTGATAATGCCATCTCAATATTATGCTTCTTCATCTGAGTTATTTATTTTAAAATGTATTCCATATTTCAAAGGGAGGTAGCATATTCTTATTTTAGTGATGGAACATTAATTGTACATTCTTGCATAAAATGTGATTTCACCAAATGTCTTCTGCAGAATTTCACCTGTAAATTTGTTTTCTCTGTATGAATAGTGATCCACAAAATGATAGCATACAATCTTATGACCGATAACATTAAAGTGTATAAATAAGTATCAAATAAAAATCCAGGATAACACGGAACCTTTTTTAAATGCTTTATAGCCAGAAATACACCTTAAAAGTGATTGGCTTAGCAAAAGTATGTTTAGCAAGGTCCTGGAAGATATGTGCCACTGAACATTTCACCAAAATGTATCGATGATGCGAGAGGGATATTCTCTTTGTGAATTTTCTTAACCCTCATATCGATAAAGACAGGAGACAGCCAAATCCTGCCCAGGTGATTGTGCACAGGGGGCTTGCCTAACCATGCCCATAGTGAAAAATTCTGTCTCTTAACACATGCGCAGTAAGGGAAGTAAATCAATGCGGAGTGGCTCAGACTGAGGGCTTGCCTGCACACGGGGAGAATAGGGTGGAGCCAGCAGGAATTCACACCTTAGGCAGGTGGGAGGAGCCTGGCCTCTGCAGCTCGCAGTGTGGTGGTGGCCTGGTATTCAGTCTGTGAGGAGGGAGCCTGTTGGCAGGACCCCTTTTTTATACAGAGACCTTTCTTTTATTAAATTCTGCTCTCCTCACCTTTCAGTGTGTCTCTGTGCCTCATTTTCCCTGGTTGTGACACTAAAAGCCAGATTTTAGCTGAACTAAGGAGCAAAAAACCCTGCATCATTTTGGTGGCCTGTACAGGGACATGATGAAAGATGAGTAAAGTGTGGACCAAAAAAATCTTTTCCCCTCTCATTTCTGAGCCTTCTTGTCCTCAGACTTCTGAGGGTAGAGAAAGCTGCATCCCCCTATCCCAGGGTGTTGCTCTCAGGGGTCTGATATCAGCCTCGATCTGATCCAGTCTTTTCTATGGCATTCTCCTTTATTTCAGGACTGTAATGGCACCTATCTTTTCATTTGCAATATTGACAGTGTTCTGCCAAAATTGGCAGCTTCCCAATCTCTTCCCTGCCAGGCACGGCTGAGACTCATGGCCCAAGGGCCCGATGTGGCAGGCTGGCCAGCATTCCTTGCCATGTGCCCACAGAGTCTTCCCCTTGCCTGACCGAGAGGTCCAGCTCAGTTCAACAGCAATTAAAAGTTTCTCTCCCTATTGGAGGAACCCACTCACATAAGAATAAGAGGTTCAAACCCCAAGAATCCTTGCAGCCCTGCAATTTAAACTTTTTTTTTTAACTTTTTTTCCACCAGGTCAGGAGTTGGTGTATTGGTGCAAAGCAGTTGTGGTTTTTGCCATTACTTAGATGGCAGGGGAGGTGATTGCTTTTGCACCAACCTAATAACACAGCCCTGCAAGTAGAGAGGGCTCTCTATGGCAGAGGCTTTTTTCCTTTTAGAAGATGTTTTACTAGGCCAGGACCCCAACTATCACTGTTTATATTCTCTGCAAAGTTTTGAGTATGAAAAAGGATTTGTGAGGTTGGTCTTAGACTTTAACCAATCTGATGTGCTTTGCATGTCTTCCTGTATGGTTCTGTCAAAAAGACAGGTACCTTAGGATGGGATGTGGGCCTCGGACTCCATAAGCCCTCTGTTAAAATTAGCCTGGTAAACTGGTCAGTAGCAAACTTTGCTGTAGGCCTCTAGCTTGTTTTATATCCTTGGGAGAACCATGTGGTAGTGCTTTGTTTTAGCCTCTGCCATTTTACAGTGGCAGCCAGTATTCAATCCTGGCCTAAGGAATGAGTCCTTTCTGGTTTGATATATGCATGAACTTTGCCATTTATTGATTTTCTTCCCCTCCATGAACCTGGGAGGGTTCTCTGAGCACCTGGGAGGTTACCTTTGGTAAAATGTGAAAGCCAAAAATATTGTCCGCTTGGCATCAGCTAAAGTGGGGTAATAAAGGTTTTAAAAGTATTTTCTTAAAGAATGATCAGCTTAATTAATAGTGGGTATCCAAGTTATAGGTATATTTAAAAGGCTTTTATGTTTTTCTCTTCTTGGATCTTGTTTTGCTGGAAAAAGGTTTTTTTCTCAGTTGACTGAATTATTTTTCTCCATTTTGTCTTGGCGCTCCTAATGCACACATTAGGGACCCTAAGATAATTTCTGATGGCTTGGGACTCCTTGGGAAAAACAGAAAAGGCACCATGGATTCCTTTGTGAGAGACCTCTGTTTACCTCATGGAGCCCCAGGAATTAGAGGCAGATGGATTCTTCTAAAAATTCGTGTTTGTCTTCCAGCTATACTTGTGTATTGGGCCCTAGAAACTGCATACTTTCCTACCCTTACAGTTAAAGGGCTCCACCTGGAAGCCTATAATCCAATTAGGAGATTGGCAAACAAAAAATCTTATCGCAACTGGATCTTCTTCTGTCTGTGTAGTTACATATGTGTTGTGTGTGATGTCTATCAAAGGAGCTCTAATTAATTGGCTTAAAAGGAAAATAAGTGCTTAGCTCAAATACTTTTTAAATGGAAGATAAAGCTGTGGTACCTGTTGGTTCAGGTGACTTTAATCTTCATGAAATAAAAGCAAACTTAAAGATTATTGGTAAAATGTAGATGTCACCAAAATGTAAATTTTTGCCTGGGGTTAAAGAAGTTTTTTTAAGTAGATAATATAAAGCTAAAAGTTTAAACAAGATATGGAAAGTTCCTTAAGAAATTAATCTTGCAAAAGAAATTCTGTGTGTGAACGTTGACTAAATTTAAAAGGCTTATAAAATGTTTTTGTTTTTTAAAAAAAAATTTGAGTCATCATTTTGGCAAAATAAATAATTTCTGGTAATCTGGAATTCTATTTCATAACATCAAGTCTTTTAAACCTCTAACATGTTTAACAGGCTTCCTCAAATCAAACTTCACTTTCAAAATTGTCTTTCCAGATGCTTGGCTTGCTCTCAAGGGTCTGATATGTCAGCCTTGATCTGATCCAGTCTTTTCTATGGCATTTTCCTTTTCTTCAGGACTGTAATGGCACCTATCTTTTCATTTGCAATATTGGGGGTGTTCTGCCAAAATTGATGGCTTCCCACTCTCTTCCCTGCCAGCCATGGCTGAGACTCATGGCCCAAAGGTCCCACACAGCAGGATGGCCAGTATTCATTGCCATGTGCCATGTGCCCACAGAGTCTTCTACAGAGAGCCCCTGGAGGATCCAGAAAGGAGCTAAACAGGATTACCTGACATGTTTAAGTATTTGGGGTTGCCAAAATGAGGTTTAATTTTCCTGAGGTCATATATATATATATATATTTTGTTTTTGAGACAGAGTCTCACTCTGTTGCCAGGCTGGAGTGCAGTTGTGCAACCTCTGCCTCCCCAGTTCAGGTAATTCTCCTGCCTCAGCCTCCAGGTTAGCTGCAACTACAGGTGCACACCACCACACCCAGCTAATTTTTGTATTTTTAGTAGAGATGGGGTTTCACCATGTTGGCCAGGATGGTCTCGCTCTCTTGACCTCATGATCCACCCGCCTCAGTCTCCCAAAGTGCTGGGATTACAAGCGTGAGCCACCACGCCTGACCTTCTTTCTCTCTCTCTTTGCTTGGCTTCTCCAGAGTTTGGAAACTAGTTGTGAATATTCTTAACTTATGGCATACAATTGTTTGCATCAGTGCAATAAGAATCCACCTTCTTTTGTAACAGGACGCAATTGGAGAAACTGGTCATTTTATGAAGGCTTTCACTGGAATGATATGCTTCCCTTTAAGGAGTCAAGCTCTACTTGCAGAGCTGATAAAAGCCCCTTGGGAAAACTTGCCTCATGCTTTGTCTACGCATTTCCCATACATGGTTTCTAAACCTGTGGTGAGTAAAGTATGTCACTTTCTAAAAGGCCCAGGAACCCCATGTTTTTGGCACCTCAAGAAGAGAGGAGTTCACTCAATTCACAGGTATTTGAGGGTACAAACCCATGTCTGGGCTCCACTTTAGAAAGTCCTATCTGAGATCCCTTCTAGAACAGATTTCCATCAAAGCCAATTTTAAAAGCCTATGTAGAAATAATTATTCTTGCTGCACTTTATGCAAATAATCAGGCCAAGTATAAAACTAAACTCTATTTTCCAAACAACTCAGTCCTGTCATGATTTGTTTTTAACAGAAATGAGGACTGAAGAGAGAGAAATTATGTTTCAAAACTTACCATACATTTGTCATTAAATTCTTAACTCATTAGTTATTTTTAAGTTTCTTGCCTACATTTTAAACTAACCCTGGTTATTCCTATGAACAAACCAGTGATCTTTAGCTGCAGCTCAGAAAGAATGAAAGGAATTGGTAATGTAAAAATCTGGATCAATATTCTAGTTCTGAGCAATTATCCTGCAAATCCTGTGAAATGATGGAAAAAAACAGTGTGCCAAAATCCTGAGGTTACCTTTTTGGGAAAGTAAGACTGAGGGAGCTAACCAAAGCCAAATCCCATGCACCCAAATCTTAGCAAGCATAACTGTAGCCACCAGTCATCTGTGTGTGTCAGAAGACATTTTTTTTCTCCTTTGTTGGAGGAGGACTCAATTCCACAGCTTTACCTTAGCATTTGGCTTATAAGGAGTTCATGCAACCCCCCTAAGACACAATTTTGTCCCAAACTCAATTCTAAGCTTTGGGTTGAAGCCCCAGGGGCGGTTGGGTGGAAAACTGGATCTGAGGGATCCCGAGGCAGATGATAATGGAAGTTAAAAGGCACAGTGCAGGGAGCATTACTAATTCCTGCCAATTAAGCCAAGCCTCCCGTTTGATGAATAAAGGTAATGCTAGTACCTATGGCATAAATGAGGTCTAGGGAACTCGAAGATTATTGACAGCAGGGGAGACAGGGTGTACGTGGGTAAGAGCAGATATTCGAACCCCATGGCCCCCTATTAACATGGGTGAGAGCCACTTTGACACCGATGGGTGGCACCCTGTCATGGTTACTGGGACTAAAGGAAGAAGGAAAGAGGAATGCCTTAATTTCCCTCCTTCATCTCTGGAACCTGGGATGACTTGCTCCCCTCTTTCTAGATGAGTAGCCCCTCATCTTCAGTCTGTACCCCTTTCTAAGGCATCCTGAACCCCTGGGACTCCTTTGAAAAAAACACCTTCTTTTTCCTCCTTTGCCCTCTCTTCACAGTTAGGTAATTGTGTCTCTGTACTATGGGACACTCCCCTCAGATGCATCCTCCAAACTGGGAAAAGTTAATTTCCCAAACCTTAAACTGGTTGGTTTAGGATTGGGCTCAGGGGAAGGGAATCCAGAAGCTTAACATGCCAGCAAAAGGGTAAACTGTTTTTTTTTGTTTTTTTTTAACCAGTCGGGCTCTTGGCCTTCCTCTTAGTGTGCAAATCGGTAAAAGGCCTTGATATTTTTTAGCTGTCTCTACCCCCCTTGTTTCTTTCTGATACGTGTTTTCTAATAATGAGGTTTGTCTCTTGTCACCTTCAGGCCATCAAACTCCAGTCATGCAACCGGAGTCTGCAATCAGAGCCTCAGACAATGGCTCCTTTTGCAGGAGAAAGTTAGGCCTCTGAGGGAGCTCTGACTCCTGTGTTCCCAAAACAGCACCCCCTGTCATCAGATCATTCTTCATCTTTATCCTTATCTTTATTCTAACAGCAGTTATATGCACTTCTTTTGAGGGGCAAATGATAGAGGCAGGAGACAGCCAAATGCTACCACGTCATTGTGTACTGGGGGCTTTGCCTAATCATGCCCATGGTGAAAAATTCTGTCCCTTAACACATGTGCAGTAACAACAATAAATCACCGTGGAGTGGCTCAGGCTAAGGGCCCACCTGCTGCTGGGAGAATGGGGTGGAGTCCCTGGGAATTCAAGTCTTCTGCAGGGAGGAGGAGCCTGGCCTCTTCTGCTTGCATGTGCTGGCCTAGTATTCAATCTGTGAGGTGGGAACCTGTTGGCAGGACCCCTTTATTTCACTGAGCTCTTTCTTTTAATACATTCTGCTCTCCTCAGCTTTCAATGTGTCCTTGTGCCTAATTTTTCCCGATTATGACACAAGAACCTGGATTTTAGCTTAACTAAGGAGCAAAGAATCCTGGAACAATGTGATCCCAGTGCTTCCTTTAAATCTTCATACCCATCACTCTGAGTTTTTTGAAAACATTCAGCTTAAAAAATATAAACAGTGATAGCGCTCACTAACTTTATTTTTCACATAATCTAATTAAAAGACAAGTAAAAAATAAAACAGTTGTTAAATGTATTTGAAGATTCTGTTGTTTGGAATAAGTACACTACACTACGAAGCAGTTGCTTTTGAGCCAAAGTGTGTAGACTAGAATCTTTACTCCAGAACCTACTAATGCTTTGACTTTGGACAGGTTATAGTGAAGAAATCAAGTAAAAGTACTTATAGCATAAGATTCTTGTGACTACTAAATACATTTGCACATGCGATGTGTTTCAAACAGTACTTGAAATATAGCAAATATAAAATTAATACTAGAACAATTATATTTCCTGTCTCTTTGGATATATGCAGTTCACCCTCTTTTTTACTTTTTTAATATGAAATGAGTTAAGAAGATGCCACCCTAGAATATGCTGCTCTGATGTGTTGAGTAAAAGCCCCTGTTACTTGTCGCATTTTTGTAACTTATTACTCCTTGTCTAATTCAGTATATAAGTGATCAGCTGTAACTGTCTTTGGATCTTTTCCATCTCCCATTTCCTTATGAAGACTCCTGTGTCACATAAAACCTATATTAACTAGATTTGCATACTTTTTACCTGTTGGTCCGTCTTATGTCAGTTTAATTCTGACACTCAGCAAAAGAACTCTAAGAGGAAAGAGACAAAATTTTGCCCTCCCCTGTGATATATATTCACTAGCATTGTTTTATGTATATCTAGTAGCAATCTTCCTTTCTTTTAAAGTATTCCATCATGTCTTTAACAAGGAATGAAATATTCGTTCTATTAAAACTTTATTAATTTCCATTGCTATGTCCAACAGAAATTTAGTCATTATGGTGGTCAAGAAAAACTCGCTTCAACTTCATTAACTCTCAGATAGAAAAACAATATAAATGAAGGCAAAACACTGCTAATTTTTAAAAATTAGTATTTAATATTTTGGAGTGCTGAATTAGAACATTTAAATTTCTCAGTAAAACAAAAATTTAATGTTAAAATCAATTACCCTTTGACAACCTACCTTTTTTTCTTACTTAAAATGTACTTTCAGTATGTAAAGAAAAATCTACGAGGGTTAAGCAATAAATAAACTCAAACTTAAGCTTTAGTTTAGTAATACTGGATGATTAGTTTATCAAATAATGTTTTGTTATATTTTAACATTAATTATTTTATATTTCAGTTTGTGCATGTTAAAAATTAAAAGTGGTTTAGGCAATTATTGATTTGTTTATGTGTTGTGAAGGTGCTTATGCACATTTAACTTTTACTTTGTTTATAATTTTTATTGTGTAATTTAACTACTTATTGTCTAGTTGAAATTTTATCTATGTTCTTAGAGACAAACTTTACATTTTTATTGTGCTAGAGCTAGAATGTCCTGCTATTTACAAAGCATATATTTTGTATGCCCTTTTGTATTTCTTAATTGTACTTTACTATTCTACATATTTCTTCAATTTTGTTTATTTATTTGGAATCATATACAGTATATTATTGATATACTTACCAAGATTTGTTTTCCTTTAACAGATTTCATACAAAACATTAACATGAATTGAAAAATGAATGTTTATGTATTCTATGCAGTATAATGCTGGATAACCTAATAAATATTTTCTATCAAGAAGGCTATGTTTGAATACATAATAAAACATTGTTGTTTTCTGTTGTAAATCACTATCAAGTAGAATAAAGGAGATGTAAAATGGACATTATAATGGATTATTTTAGATCCACTGTCATTTTACAAATCTCATAATGTTATTCAATTTAACTTCCATCTTATAGGAATACACATTGCATGCATAAAAATTACGTATGTATGTATAATTTTGCAATAAATGTTAAGTCTCTAAATACAAGATTCTAAATAGCTATCCAATTCATCGCAAATTTTTTGGTACAGCTTTATTTATATTAAGTCAGACATGAAAATACAAACATAAATAGCTCCCTATTATTTTAAATGACAATGGTAATTATGTTGTTATGGGAAGATACACAATGTAAAACTTCGGAAAATTTGTTTTGCTGATTTGTTTGTTGTGAAAACATTAGTAATATGTAGGATGTGCAGTTTCTAAAGCCAGATCATAGAAAGCATAAATATAATCCTTGCTTCCTTTAGAGACTTCTGTATTGACATCATTTAAATTCTACCTTGATGCTCAAACATGATAGAAACCAGCGTGTGTAAACCAAAGTTTCCCAAATAGTATTCACAAAATTGCATTTAAAAATTGTACAGCTTTACCCTGTTTTTGAAATAATTTTATCTATCTGTTCATATATGTAGTGGAACAGCCTGATTTCTTGTACTTTTTTCTATGAAAATTAATAGCAAATAAATATTTTAAATTCTACACTTCAGGAATACAGCACAACAGATTGTATTTTTTTGTTGTTGTTTTAGCTCATGAAATGTCTTCACAATGAGATTTCATTTTTTTTAGTATATATGTAAAGCTAACCCAAATCTTCTCTAATATTAACTATTCAATACAAATATTTCACCAAGCCAGTATGGTGGCTCACGCTTATAATCCCAGCACTTTGGGAGACCAAGGTGGGAGGACCACTTGAGTCCAGGAGTTCAAGACCAGCCTGGACAGCATACTGAGATGCTGTCTCTCCAAAAAATTTAAAAAGTAGCCGGGTGTGGTGGCGCACATGTGGCATTTCTAGCTAATGGAGAGGCTGAGATAGGAGGCTCACTTGAGCCTGGGATGTCAAGGCTGCAGTGAGCCATGATCATGCCACTGCACTCCAGCCTGGGTGAGAGAGTGAGACTCTGTCTCAAAAAAAAAAAATTACTTTCACCAAATTGTCCGTAATATTGTAATATCTCTACTACAGGATATTATTAAAAAATAACTATAAAACTATCCTCCTTTCCTCAGACTGGGAGAAATTATTGATAAACCACATATCTGATAAAAGGTTATTATCTAAAATTTTCAAAGAACTCTTAAAATTCAATAATAAGAAAATAGGAAACTAGATTAAGAAATGGAAAAGACTGCCAGGCATGGTGGTTCTTGCATGTGATCATAGCACTCTGGGAGCCTGAGACAGTAGGGTCACTTGAGATCAGTCATTTGAGACTAACCTGGGCAACATAACAACACCCCATCTCTATGCAAAATAAAAAAAAAAATTAGTCTGGTGTGGTAGAATGCACCTGTAGTCAAGAATTAAGAAAAAATGGACAAGAGTTCTGAACCGACACTTCACCAAAGAAGACGCAGAGATGACAAAAATTTTATGTGAAAAGATGCATAATGTTACATGTCATTTAGAGTTGCAAATTAAAACAATAAAAAACATTCACTACATACCTATGAGAATGGCAAAAATCCAGAATACTAACAACACCAAGTGCTGGTGAGAATGTCAAACAACAGGAGCTCTCATTTATTGTTGGTAGTAATGAAAAATGGCACAGCCACTTTGGAAGATAGTTTGGCAGTTTCTTACAACACTAAGTATACAGTTACCGTAAAATTCAGCAGTCACACTCCTTGATATTTATACCCAATGAGTAGAAAACATATTCTCACAAAAATATGCACATGGATGTTTATTGCAGCTTTATTTATAATTGTTAAAACTTGGAAATGACCAATATGTCCTTTAGCAGGTGAATAGATTTTTTAAAGTGTACATTCATACGATGAAATATTATTCAATGATAAAAGAAGCAAAAAGACATAGAGAAACCTTAAATGCTAAGTGAGAACTTATACAGTAGATATTATTCAACACATCAAACCATAAAAAATAGAGAAATCTTATATACTAATCAGAAACCTTAATAAGACAATCTGAAAAGGTGACATGCTATATAATTTCAACTACACGATGTCCTAAAAAAAGACAAAACTATGGAGATGGTAAAAATATTCATGGTTGCCAGAGGTCTCGGAGGAAGGAGGAATTAATATAGGCAGAGCACAAATCACAACTGGAAAGTTGATTTTGATACACTCAATCAGACTTATGAATCTTATTGAGTTTTACATGTAGTTATTTATGTGTGTGCATTTAGTTCAATGCAATTTTATAATGTATAAGTTTACGAATATACCACCACAATTAAGATACAAAGGACTTCTGTTATCACAAAGATCCCTTGTGCTGCCCTTTCATAATTACATCCACTCCCCTGCAAAATTCCTAACCCATAATCTGTTGTCCATGCTGAAAATTTTGTCACTTTAAGAATAATATATGATGGAATCAAACTATGTTGCTTTTGGAGGTTCATCTTTTCACTCAGCATAATTTTCTAGAGATTCAATCATGTTTTTACATGTATCAAGAGTTTTATTTATTTCTGAATAGTATTCCATTGCACATTTTTTAACAACTCGCCATTTCTTTCTTTTTAAATTCAACTTTTATTTTAGATACAGGTGGTACACGTGTAGATTTGTTACATAGGTATGTTGCATTATGCAAAGTTTTGTTGCACAACTGGTGTCTTCACCCAGATAGTGAGCATAATACACAATAGGTAGTTTTTCAACATTGCCCCCTTCCTTCCCTTCCCCCTCTGGTAGTCCCCAGTGTTTTATCCTTCCCATCTTTATGTCCTTGTGTTCCCAAAATTTAGCTCACTCTTATAAGTGATCATGTGAATTTGGTTCATGTAGTGAATCCAATTTATTGATTTGTGTATTTTGAGCCAAACTTGCATCCCAGGAATAAAGCTTACTTGATCATGAGGAATTAACTTTTTGATATGCTGCCGGATTAGATTTCCTAGTATTTTGCTGAGGATTTTGCATCTGTGTTCATCAAGAGTATTGACCTGTAGTTTACTTTTATATTCTTTAATTTAAAAATTTTATATTTATTTTTGTAGGTACATAATAAATATACATATTACAGAGTGCATGAGATATTTTGATACAAGCATAAAGTACATAATAACCACATCAGCGTAAATGGGGTATCCATCACCTCAAGTATTTATCCTTTCTTTGTGTTTCAAGGAATCTAATTATATATGTTTAGATTTTTTAAATGTATGATACATTCTGTTGTAACCATCCCCACTTTCCTCACTCCCACTACCCTTACCAGCCTCTGGTAATAATCACTGTACTCTCTATGTCCATGGGTTCAATTGTTTTAATTTTTAGATCTTGCAAATACGTGAGAACTTGCAAAGTTTGTCTTCCTGTGCCAGGCTTATTTCACTTAACATAATGATCTCCAGTTCAATTAATGTTGTTGAAACTGACATGATCTCATTATTTTTATGGCTTAATAATACTCCATTGTGGATATGTACCACTTTTTTTTTTTTGGGGGGGGGTGGAGACAGAGTCTTGCTCTGTTGCCCAGGCTGGAGTTCAGTGGTGCAATTTCAGCTCACTGCAACCTCCACCTCCCAGATTCAATCAATTATCCTGCCTCAGCCTCTGGAGTGGCTGAGATTACAGGTGCATGCCACCACACCCAGCTAATTTTTGTATTTTTAGTAGAGACAGGGTTTTGCCATGTTGACCAGGCTGGTTTTGAACTCCTGACCTCAGGTGATCTACCTGCCTCGGCTTCCCGAAGTGCTAAGATTATAGGCTTGAGACACTGAACCCAGCCAATGTACCACATTTGCTTTATCCATTCATCTGTTGATGGACACTTCGGTTACTTCCAAACCGTGGCTATTGTGAATTGTACTACAACAAACAAACATGAGAATATACATATCTCTTCAATATCTATCTTGATTTTCTTTCTTTTCAGTATATGTCTAGCAATGGGATTACTGAATCACATGATAGTTCTATTTTTAGTATTTTGAGGAACCTCCAATCCTCCAACCACCATTCTCCGTAGTTATTATACTAATTTACATTTCCCCAATTGTGTATGAAGTTTCCCTTTTCTCCACAACTTTGCCAGCCTTTGTTTAGTGCCTATCTTTTAAATAAAAGGCCATTTCCGTGGGTATCCTGTAGTTTTGATTTGCATTTCTCTGATGGTCAGTAATGTTGAGTACCATTTCATATGCTGGTATGCTATTAGTATGTCTTCTTTTGTAAAATGTTTATTCAGATTTTTGCCATTTTAAATTGGATTATTAGATTTTTTTCTTATAAAATTAGTTGAGGTCCTCACACATTCTGATTAGTAATCCCTTGTGAAATGGAAAGTTTGTAAATATTTTGTCCCATTCTGTTGGTCATCTTTTTACCTTGTAAATTGTATTACTTGCTGTGCAGAAGTTTTTAAACTTGATGCAAACTCATTTGTCCATGTTTACTTTGATGTTTTGTTTTTCTGGGCTATTACTAAAGAAGTCTTTGTACTGTTCAATGTCCTGGAGAGGTTCTCCAATGTTTTCTTTTAGTAGTTTGATAGTTTGAAGTCTTAAATTTAAGTATTAATCTGTTTTGTAAGTTTATATTTTATCTACTTTGTAATTACATATTTTGTAATTCTATATTTTATGTATTTTATAATTATATATTTGAATATATTTTCATTTAAGTATTAATGTATTTTGATTTAATTTTATATATGGCAAGTCATAGGAGTCTAGATTCTTCTGCAAATGTGTATCTAGTTTTGCAGCACCATTTATGGAAGAGACTGTCCGTTTACCAATGTACGTTCTTGCCAACTTTGTCAAAAGTGAGTTCACTATAAATGTATGGATTTATTTATGGGTTCTCTATTCTGTTCCATTGGTCCATGTGTCTGTTTTCATGCCAGTATCATTCTGTTTTGGCACTATTCCTCTGAAGTATAATTTGAAGTCAGGTAATGTGATTCCTCCAGTTTTGTTCTTTTTGCCTAGGATAGCTTTGGCTATTCTGGGTCGTTTATGGTTATGAGTAAATTTTAGGAATTTTTTTCTATTTCTGTAAAGAATATCATTGGTAGTTTGATAAGAATTGCATTCAAGTAATAAATTGATTTAGGTACTGTGGACATTTCCACAATATTGATTTTTCCAATCCATAAGCATAGAATATCTTTTCATTATTTTGTGTCCTCTTCAATATCTTACATAACTATTTTATAGTTTTCATTATAGAAATCTTTCACTTCTTTGGTTAACTGAATTCGTAGATATTTTATGTGGGGCTACTGTAGATGAGACTACTTCTTTATTTCTTTTTCAGGTTGTCCACTGTTGATAGATAGCAATGCTACTGATTTTTGTACATTGGTTTTGTATCCTGTAACTCTTGGTTTGGGTATGTTGTGTTTCCATTTTCATTTGTTTCAAGAAATTTTTAAGTTTTCTCTACACATTTTCACTGATGCACTGGTCATTCAGAAGCATGTTGTTTAATTTCCATGTACTAATATAATTTTCAAAGTTTCTCTTGATATTTATTTCTAGTTTTATTCCACTGTAGTCAGAGAAAATATGTGATGTAATTTCAATTTGTTTGAATTTTTTAAAACTTCTCTTGTGGCATAATATATGGCCTATTTTGAGAATGATTCATGAGCTGAGGAAAATAATGTGTATTGTACAGCTACTGAATGAAGTGTTCTGAAAATATCTCTTAGGCCCACTTGGTCTATAGTTGCACACTAAGTTGAATATTTCTCTGTTGACTTTTTGTCTGTATGATCTATCTAATGCTGGGTGGATGCTGATGTCTCCAGCTATTATTGTAATGAGGTCTGTCTCCATGTTTAGCTCTAATAACATTTGCTTTAGTGCATACATATTTACGATTGTCATATCTTCTTGCTGAATTAATACCCTTATCATTATATAATGACCTTCTTTATCTCTTCTTGTAGTTTTTGTCTGGAAATCTATGTATAGCTTTTCCTGCTTTTTTTTTTTTTTTTTGGTTTCTGTTGGTTTGAAATATTTTTTCCAACCCCTTATTTTTAGTCTATGTATATCATTATAAGTGAAGTGTTACTTACAGGCAACAGATCATTGGGCCTTGTCGTTGTTTTTTCTATTCAGCCTCTCTGTGATTACAGTTGTGAGCCATGCATGCGCAGCCAAGCTCTTAATTCTGTTTCATTGTTCTGTATATCTTTCTTTATCCTAATACCATACTGTTTTGATTACTATAGCTTTGTAATATGTTTTAAGTTAGGCAGTGTGATGCCTCCAGTTTTGTTCTTTCTTCTCAAGATGACTTTTTATATCCTGAGTCTTCTGTTGTTCCATATGAATTTTAGGACTATTTTTCTATTTCTAAAAGAAATGTCACTAGGATTTTCATGGGAATAGAATTCCAATTCTTTGTGTAACATAAATATTTTCACAATATTAAGATTCCAAAATATAAACATTATACTTATTTCCATCTGTATGTGTCTAATTTCTTTCACTAATATATTATAGTTTTCAGTGTAAAAAAAAAAAGTCTTCTACCTCCTTGGTTAAGTTTATTTCTATTTTTAATGGGATTAATTCCATTATAAATGAGGTTGATTTAATATCCTTTTCAGATTGTATGTTGTTAGTATATAGAAATACAAATGCAATTTTTTGTAGGTTGTATGTTGATTTTGTTTCTTGTAAATTTATTGAATTTGTTTATTCATTGTAAGTTTTTTGTTTTCTTTCAGATTTTTGCAGTAGTTTCAGTAGAACTGGTACCAGCTCTTCTTTGTATGTCTGGTAGAATTTGGCCATGAATCCATCTGCTTTAGGGTTTTGTTTTTATTACTGATTCAATTTCAAAGCAAGATATTGTTCTGTTCAGGATTTCAATTTCATTCTGATTAAATATTATGAGTTTGTGTGTTTCCAGGACTTCATCCATTTCCACTAGATTTCCTAGCTTGTGTGCATAGAGATGTTCACAGTAGTCCCTTAGGATCTTTTTTATTTCTGTTGTAATGCCACTTTTGTCATGTCTGACTGTGCTTATTTGGATCTCTCTCTTTTTTGGTGTTAATCTAATCTAGCTGTATTGATCTTGTTTATCCTTTTAAGGAAGAAAATTTGGGTTTATTGATCTTTGGTGTGAATTTCTGGGTCTCAATTTACTCTATTATCCTCTGATTTTAGTTATTTCTTTTCTTCTGCTACTTTTAGGGTTATTTTGTTATTTTTTTACTAGTTTTCTCTAAGGTTCAATGTTTGATTTTTAATTTGAGATTCTTCTAACTTCTGGATGTAGGTGTTTAGCATTAGAAAGTTTTAACACTGCTTTTGCTGCATTCCAGAGATTTTGGTATGTTGCATCTCTATTTTCATTAATTTCAAGTAATTTTTTATTTCTGCCTTGACTTTGTTGTTTACCCAAAAGCAATTTAAAAACCAGTTGGTTGATTTCCATGTAATTGTGTGGTATTAAGAGATCCTCTTAGTATTGATTTATATTTGCATTCCACTGTAGCTGGAAAGTATGCTTGGTTTGGCTGCAATTTTTAAAAAAATTATTGATACTCCATGGCCTAGCATGTTTGGTCTTAGAGTATGTTCTGCATGCAGATGAGAAGAATTTTACTCTGGTTGATGCATGGATAATTTTATAGATCTCTATTAGGTATAATTGTTCAAGTGTAAAATCTTCATCCAGAATTTGTTATTTTTCTGCCTCAATGATCTAACACTGCCAGTAGGGTGATGGTGTTCCCAACTGTTATTGTTTGTCATCTACAATATTTCATAGGTCTGAAACTACTTGTTTTATGAATCTGGGTACCCCAACATTGGATGCATATATATTTACTGTAGTCAATTTTTTCCTGTTGAATTGAACCCTTTATTGTTATGTGATGCCCCTATTTGTCCTTTGACCGTTGTTGGTTTAAAGTCAGTTTTATCTGATATAAGAATAGTGACGGCTACTATTTTTGATTTCCATTTGTGTGGTAGATCTTTTTCTAGCCCTTTACTTTGAGCCTATGTGTGTCATTACTTATGAGTTGGGTCTCTTGAAGACAGTAGTTGGATGGGTCTATTTTTTTAATCCAACTTTCCACTCTGTCTTTTAAGTGGGCTATTTAAGCTATTTACATTTAAGGTTAGTAATTATTTGTGAGGTTTCGAATCTATCATAAAGTTACTAATTGGTCGCTTTGTATTCTTGGTTGTGTAGTTGCTTTAAAAGGTCTCTGGGCTGTGTGCATATATTTATTTTTGTGGTAGCAGATATTGTTCTCTAATTTCCATGCTTAGAACTACCTTAAGGATCTCTTATAAGACTGGTCTGGTGGAATTCCTTTAGTTCTTGCTTGTTGGAAAAAAAATTTATTTTTCCTTCACATATTATAAAGTTTAGTTTGTTGAGATATAAAACTCCTGGTTGGAGTTTCTTTCCTTTAAGAATACTGAAAATAGGTCTGCAATCTATTCTACCTTATAGTGGTTCTGCTAAGAAGTCCATTGTTAGCCTGACAGGGTTACCTTTGTATATATTTGGCCCTTTTTTCTGGCAGTCTTTGATTTTTTTTTTTTCTTTAGTGTTGACCTTGTGTAGGCCTTTTTTTTTTGTTTTTTCTTCCTGATTGTCTTTAAGATTTTTCTCTTTAGTGTTGACCTTGAAACCTCGTGACTACATGTCTTGGTGATGTTCATTCTGTATAGCCTGTCCTAGGTTTTGTCTGAATTTATTGTATTTGGATTTCAACCTCTCTAGCAAGATTAGGAAATTTTTTCTTGAATTATTCCCTCAAACATATTTTCCACATTGTTAACTTTTTCTCTCTTTCTTTCAGGAATGGCAATAATTGGTAGGTTTAGTCACTTTACATAACTCCATTTTTAAAAAAACTTTGTTCATTTTCTTTAATTCTTTTTTCTTTAATTTTGTCTGAATTTGTTTGAAAAACAATTTTTCAAGATCTGAAATTTTTCTGCTTGGTCTGTTTTACTGATAAAGCTTTCGATTGTATTTTGTAATTCCTTAAGTGAGTTTTCTAACTCTATAAACTCTTACTGATTTATCTTTAATGTGTTCATCTCTTCTGTCATTTTCTGGATTGTTTTAATAGTTTCTTCGTGTTGATTTTCAGTCTTGTCTTCACTATGTTGAACTTCCTTGTCATCCATGATTTGAATTCTTTATTTGTTATTTCTGAGTTTCCCTTTTGGTTGGGGACCAGTGCTGGAGAGATAGTTTGATCCGTTAGGGCTGTTACAACATATACATTTTTCATGGACATGCTGGCACTTCTAATTTGTGTAATCATTTTCATGCAGATACGATTATTCCCTTTCTTTTCCTATATTACTGTTGGTTTTTCTTTCCTCTTCCAGGTGGTGTGACTGTAGAGTAAAATGGGTGGGGCTCTTTAGTTTTGCTTCTATGGCCCTATGCACCTCTGTCAGCAGCTCTTACATTGGGATGTGCCATTTGACCTACAGGCCAATAGATAATGCTAACCTACGAGAGCCAGCCATGATACAAGCAGATCAGTACATATCTCATCTTTTAATTTTACTGTGAGGTACTCTCTGTTGTTTCAGGTGATGGGTTGGATAGTGGTGAGCCCGGTGCTCTTTGCTTCTTGCTCTATGTTGGTGGGAGGACAGAGTAGGGCAGAGCTAAAGTCCCTGCTTGGCCCACAATTACCCCTATGGCAAGCACAGGCACCAGCCCCAACGATTGTGGCTGGGGGAAGCTCCTGGTGAATTTTGCTGAGGCCTTTGCTGGAGTATGGGGGAGCTGCACCAGCTCCTCATCATAGGGAGTCAGAAATGTGGACTGTTGCCCTATCACACCCCTGTTCTACAGCTGTGACTCTTAATTTAGATCTTACAATGTGGATGTGAGACTTAGGAAATGTCTGATTTGTGATTCTCCTTGAGAATGGTTTTGGGTCAGAACTTCATCACTCAGCCTGATTCAGATAAGTTTGTGGCTCTCCTGTTCTCCAATGTGGCAGTACTGCTTCTTCATGTAAAGCAGGGCCTCCACCTTTGCGCTTGCGCAAATGTGGTTTGGTAATAGTAATGGCTGCCTCAGCCCGACCCCAGGTCCTGAGGAAGGTGGTCAGGTGCCAGCAATGTTGGAGTGGGGTGGGCAGTTCTCTAATTCTCCGGTCCCTAGATGTCCCACTGGACTGTGTGTATGTACTGTGTGTATGAGTCCAGAATCAGCCTGATGGGAAAGAAAGGGTTCAGGTTAGCCCAGGGCTCTGGTGCTGGCCATGATGGGAAGGAATGGGCTTGTCCCAGGGTCACAGGCTGAACTCTCAGGCAGGGGCAAGCAGAACACTTAGGCTATGGAAGTGAAAGAGAAGACCATGAGTGCTTGAAGGCTGGGTTTCCAGAAGGTCTCTGGGCCACAGCTGAAATCCTCAGATCAGGGAAAAGTGGGTGCACTGAATCCAGAAGGAAATAAGCCACAATTACCATTTTTTTTTCTTTTACTAATAGTCCTTTTGGTTGCAAGTCTAAAAACTCTTTGTTTAATTCTAGATACTAAAGATTCTTTATTAATTTTTTCTAATATTTTAAATATTTTATTGTGTTACATTTTACATTTAAGTCCATGACCTATTTTGAGTTAATTTTTATGTAAAGTATGATGTTTAGGCTGTGGTTCTTCTTTTAAATTTTTTTCTTTTATTTTTTGCCTATTAGTGTCCATATGACCCATATGATGATGAAAAGTCTATCATTTTTCTATTTAATTACATTTACAACTTATTAAGAAAGGCCGGGCGTGATGGCTCATACCTGTAATCCTAGCACTTTGGGAGGCTGAGGCGGGCAGATCACGAGGTCAAGAGATGGAGACCATCCTGGCCAACATGGTGAAACCCCATCTCTACTAAAAATACAAAAATTAGCTGGGCGTGGTGGCACACGCCTATAGTCCCAGCTACTCAGGAGGGCTGAGGCAGCAGAATCACTTGAACCAGGGAAGCAGAGGTTGCAGTGAGCTGAGATTGTGCCACTGCACTCCAGCCTTGTGCCAGAGCGACACTCTGTCTCAAAAAAAAAAAAAAAAACTTACTAAGAAATTAATTGGTCATATTTGTTAGGGTCTATTTCTGACCTCTCTATTATGCTTTATTTATCTATGTGTCTATTCCTTTCCTCAATATCATATACCCTGTCTTGAATACTGCAACTATATAATAAATATGTAGTATTTATAATCTGTACTATATATTCATATTGTAATGATATGTATTATTATAAATATATATTTATGTTATAACAATATGTATTATATGTAACATATTTATATTATAACAATATGTATTATTTACTATGTAGTAAACATACTACTATGCATATAGTTAATATGTGTGTGTGTATATCTATTATACATGTATATGTAATATAAAGTGAGGACTACTTAAAAATCATGGTGTTATTTTAAAGTTAGAAGAGAACATAGTATGAGACATTTTTGGGGATAATATAGCAGAGGAAAATATTTTTACATATTATGTAAAAGTTATTTAAAAATTACAAATAAATGAACTCATGCATTTAATAAATTCCAATTTAATGTTGAATGATTATGTTCTATTAATATTGTTATTCAACAATATTATTAAGAATATTTTGTTAAAATATTCTTAATATTTATTCTTAATATTAATAAAATATTTTATTAAAATATTCTGATTTTACATGTTTAATAACATTATTAGTGTTCTTTTCCATTTTGCAGAAAATAAGATGATCACAAAAGTAGCTGTTATTATTATTGTTAAATCTAAACTCAACTGCTTTTTTTAATGACTACTGCTATTTAAGCTTTCTGTCTTGAATTATACACCACTGCCCACATGCAGTTAGCATCCATTTCTTTAGTAGATAGATTTATATATCCCTTTGGCTTCTTTAATAAAGATATAATAAAGAGATTTAAAATATCTTTAAATAAAAGTCTTATAAATGATTTACATGTGGAGACTCGCATGCCTAGTATCATAGAAATATTTGAATCAATATACTAATGAGCAAGGTACTCTAGACGATTAAGATATTCCCTAGGGACTCTTTAGGCACTTCTGAAAACAAGTTTACAATTTTGAGGACACTTTTGGACCATTTAGTGCAATGAAGCATTAGTTATTTAAATGATACCCTCAGGACCTAAAATAATTAAGTGGCATTAAACTACTTTCCAAATTTTCACATATAAATTTTAAGGACTCCTATAAACAAAAAGATCATATACATGTTTTATGTCAGTTGTTGTCATCAACTAAGTTTATATCATTGTTATTTTATATTACAAAGTGACAAAAACCTGGGAAGAGATTCTTTAAAGCCATCTACTTGTGTTCTCAGGAGTCTACATATTTTCCTTCTGTTGATTCATTAAGATAAAAAAATGCCAAATTCTCTGTGATATCTCACAGGTAATTTATAGTTTATTTTCAGATAGCCTTCAATACGATTTCTTATTGGCCAGTTTAAATCCTTTATTTCAGGAAAATTGAGATAAAGTGATAATGGTGTTTAGCATATTGCTACCTAATAAATAAGACAAACTTCAGAATTCGCTTATTTTTCTATTAATATTAGTTCTTATCACTGTAAAACTCCTTTGTAGATCTTCTAATTACATTAATACTTTAATAAGCCACTGGTTTCCATTGAGCCCTTTTCAAGTTTGTTCTGGAGGTCAGAAAAAGGTAAATTAACCAGACTCTGACCATGAGTCTGATAATATGCATAAAATGGCACTTAATTTAATAGCAAATAAAAAATAAATGTCTGTTTAGCAGATGAATGATTAAGTGATTGTACACTTTGGCAGTTCAGTACAGAGCCAAGCAGAATGAGCTTGACCTCAGCTCTGTGATCTTAGCCTATGTAAGCCTTAATTTCTTCTAGTAAATAGCTTTGCTAAATGTAAATATGTTCTCTTACATATTTAGATAATATCACTCCATGAGAGTATATCATCGTTTTAAAATAATCTTAATAAAAGAAAAAAGTGAAGAATATAAATTCATATGCAGCCCCCTATATTATGCAGAATAATTATGTAGATCAAGGATCTGCAAACTCTAGTCACTCCCCCAAATTTACCTCACTGCCTCTTTTGTAAATAAAGTATTATTAGGAAATGGTTATACCCATTTCTTTTTACATAGTCTATGGCTGCTTTTGTGCTAACATGGCAGAATTCAGTATTTGAAAGAAACCTTATGGCTCATGATATTGACATGATTTACTATCTGACTCTTCACAGGCACACAAAGATGTTAGATATCTGATGTAAATTATACAGAAGAAAAGATATGCAGAAATAAATGCAGTACTGAATAGATTTAAATTACATAAAAAATAAGTTAGCATTCTGATTTTTTTTAAATGTACAATATGTCAAAGACATTCACATCTACAACTAAAAGCTGATAAAATCAATGTTTCTTTAAAATTTGTTAGAGGCAGGGCACGGTGGCTCACGTCTATAATCTCAGCACTTTGGGAGGTCAGGACTTCAAGACCAGACTGGCCAACCTGGTGAAATCACCTCTCTACTAAAAATACAAAAGTTGGCCAGGTGTGGTGGCACACGCCTGTACTCTCAACTACTCCAGAGGCTGAGGCAGATTGCTTGAACCCGGGAGGCGGAGGTTGCAGTGAGCTGAGATTGTGCCACTGCACCCCAGCCTGGGTGACAGAGTGAGACTCCCTGTCAAAATAAATAAGTAAATAAATAAAAATAAAATCTGTTAGGCTTGCTCTGTGAAATATTAATATGTTTATAATTTGGGGGGATATTAGTGCAAGTAAAAGAGTAGATGTTAAATCCAGAAGATATTTAAATAATAAACAGTGTTGAACACTGCATTTTGACGTGCAAATAGCAATGCATATTAATATTATTTTAAAACAAAAAAGAGACTATGCAATCATCTCCAAAACAGATGCATTTACAAAAGTAAATGTGTATTATGTCACAAAGCAAACCTCAACATATCCCATGTAGTAGAAATTGTAGTTTTTGTACAAACTCCACAAAATAAAAAAGCCTAACAGTGAAAGCAAAACAGCTATAGATATTTACAATTGAGTTTTAAATGTCTAAAAATTATATACTCAAAGAATAGTTCAGGAAAAAAGTTACACATTTTATTAAGAATAGCAATAGAAAAAACACAGTATATAAAATCTAGCCAAAGATGTAATAATAAAATGCATGCTCTTGGACCTTTTTTCTTACAAAATAAAATAAAATTTATGAAGCATCAAATGAGGGGAATAGCTATCACATTGAAACTACAACAAAATAAACAAGCATGTAAATGCCAAAATTAATTAGAATTCAGTTGAAAGCAACATAATTGATTATAAAATTCAAGTATTCTTTCTTGGATAAGGATTTTTAAGACCACAAGCTGATTTAATTTGATGTAACCTATTAAATGATATATAGAATAAACCTGAGAGACAGGTAAATCATTATAACTGGGAGGTGATACATATTTAATAATTAATTAGTTCAATAGATGGTTAGTTTCAAGGAGATCTAAGGTATTTTAGAATAGGGGAGAGGATTAATTATGATTGATGAAAGGGAAGTGATAGTCAGAAAGTGAAAGATTTAAAGTTATGTTTTCAAAAGTGTTAATGTATATTATATCTACCTTTTGAGTTCACTGGGAATTAAAAGGACGGGAACTTAGCAAAGAAAAGATATCAGTGCTTCTCAAATTGATCTTCACACTTAATGTAATTCCTAGCAAAATTCCAGCAAGAACATTTGTTGACACAAATTATATCTATCATTTATTTGTAAAAGTATGAGCCCCAGGATTGCTAAAACAATCTTCAAAAGAATAAAGTAAAAGGGGTCATTCTATTTTATGTCAAGCCTTATTACATAATTGTAATAAGACAAAGTAGTACTGACAGAGTAGAAACAAGGATCAATGTAGTAGTATAGAAAACCCAGAAATAGACACATTTTTAAAAAATTCCCACATTTATTAAGGTATAATTTAAATTAATTATTATATATTAAATATGATGTTTGATGTATGTATAATGAAATTATTAAACAAAGCTGATTAGCATAATCATCTCACATACTTGTGTGTGTGTATAGTTAGAACACATAAAATCGACTCCCTATGCAATTTGAAGTATATATTACGTTATTAACTATAGTCACAATGCTTTACAATAGATCTTTAAAACTTATTTATGCTAACTAAAACATTGTACCCTTTAGCCAACATCTGCTGATGTACTCCCCCACCCACTGATGCCCTCAGCCTCTGGCCACCACTATTTTACTCTCTGCTGCTATTGAATCTACTATTTTGGATTCCATATGTAAATAAGATAATACAATATTCACCTTTCTGTTCGTGGTTAACTTTACTTAGCATAATGTCTTCCAGGTTCATCCATGTTATCACACATGAGAAGATTGCCTCCTTTTAAAAGTCTGAGGACTAATCAGTTGTGTGTGTGTGTGTGTGTGTGTGTGTGTGTACACTACATTTTCCTTATTCCTTCATTTATTGATAAACAGTTGGATTTCATATCTTGGTTATTGTGCATAATGCTGCAATGAACACAGGAGGACAGAGGACAGGAATGCAGATATCTATTCAACATACTGATTTCATTTCATATATATATATATATATATATATATATATACCCAAAAATGGAAATGCTAGATCATATTGTAGTTCTACTTTTCTTTTCCTTTCTGTAAATCTCCATACTGTTTTCCATTATGGCCATACTACTTTACCTTCTCAACAACTGTGAGTAGGGATTAATTTTCCTCTATATTCTCAATATTTTGTCTAATAGTCATTCTGACTAGGGTGCAGTGATATCTCATCATGGTTTTATTTTTCATTTCCCTGATGATTAAGAATATTGACCATTTTATCATATACCTGTTGGCCATCATGATCTCTTCTTTTGAGCAATGTCTGTTCAGGACCTTTGCCCATTTAAAATCCAGTTATTGGTTTCCTTACTGAATTGAGTTCAATGTGCTATTGAAGTTATACATTTTGAATATTAACCACTTATCAGATGTATGATTTCCAAATATTTTCTTCTATTTTGTAGGTTGTCTTTTTATTCTGTTTATTGTTTCCTTTGCTGTACAGAGCTATTTAATTTTGTGTGATTTCATTTCTCTATTTTTTACATTTGTCACATGTGCTTTTGGGGCCATGTTTTAAAAATTATTGCCCAGATCAATGTTAAGAAGATTTCCCCTGTTTTCTTCTAGTAGTTTTACAACTTCAAAACTTTTAAGGATTAATCTATTTTGAATTGATTTTTGTTCATAATGTCAGATAAGAATTTCATTTCATTCCTGTCCATGTGGATAGTGTATTTTCCCAATACTATTTATTGAAGACATTTCTTTCTTCATTGTGTGTTCTTGACATCTTTATTGAAGATCAGTTGACTGTGAATGCATGGATTTATTTCTGGGCTTTCTATTCTGTTCCGTTGGTCCTATGTTTATCTTTATGCCAGTATCATGCCAGTTTAATTATTATGGTTTTAGAGCATATTTTAACATCAGATACTGTCCTGTCGCCAGGATTTTTTTCCACTTTGACCATGAAATGGTCTTTCATGGTGTTATATAAAATTTAGGATAGTGTTTTCTATTTCTCTGAAAAATTTTATTGTAATTTTATTAAGGATTGCTTTTAAAGCTGTAGATCACTTTGGGAAGTATGGATCTCTTAACAATAATGAGTCTTCAAGTTCATGAAAAGAGGATACCTTTCCATTTGTTTATGTCTTCTTCGATTTTTTTCATCAATGTTTTTTGGTTTTCAGTGTAAAGATCTTTCATCTCCTTCAAAAAATTTATTCCTATGTATCTTAACTTTGCAGCTTTTGTAAGTGGGATTGTTTTCTTAATTTCTTTTCTGAATAGCTTGTTGTTACTGCTATGTAAATGCTACTTATTTTTGTATGTTGATTTTGTATTCTGCAACTTTATTGAATTTGTTTATTAGTTTTAACAGTTTTTTGTTGGAATCTACAGGGTTTTGCATATATAAGATCATGTTATCTACAAATAGGTAATTTTACTTCTTCCTTTCTAATTTGAATGCCTTTTATTTATTTCTCTTACATAATTGCTCTGACTATGCCTTACAGTTCTATATTGAATAGAAGTGATTAAGAATGAACATTCTTGTCTTGTTCCTAATCTTATAGAAAAAGCTTTTAGCTTTTCACTGTTAATTATTAGTATTAGCTGTGGGCTTATCATATATAGTACTTTCTTTATTGAGATAAACGTCTTCTGTACCTAATTGGAGAAGAGGCTTTTTTGTGTGTGTGAGAGAGAGGATGTTAAATTTTGTCAAATGCTATTTTCTGTGTCTATTGGGATGATTGCATGCTTTTTATCCTTGATTCTGTTGAATTGATGTATCATATTTATTCTTTTGTCTATGTGAAACCATCTTTGAATCCCAAGATAAATCTTAATTTATCACAGTGTATGATCCTTTCAATGTGATATTGAAGTTAATTTGCTAACTTTTGTTGAGGATTTTTTGCATTCATTGTTGTCAGGGATATTGCCTATAAATTTTCTTTTCTGGGCTATCTCCTTGTCTTGGTTTGGTATTAGACTAATTCCATCCTCATAAAATGAGTTTAAAAGTGTTCCTTTCTCTTTACTTTTTTGGAAGAGTTTAAGAAGGATTGATATTAATTTTTGTTATATGTTTGGCAGAATTTACCAGTGAAGCCATCAGGCTCTGGGCTTATCTTTGTTGGAAGTTTTCTGATTACTGATTTGATCTCTTTACTCATCATTGTTCTGTTCAGATTTTCTAAGTCTTTATGATTCAGTTTTGCTAAGTTTTATGTTTATATGAATTTATCAATTTCTTCTAGGTCATCCAATTTGTTGGCATGTAATTGTTCATAGCAGTCTCTTATGATCTTTTGTGTTGCTGTGGTATCATTGTGCTGTCTCTTCTTCCATTTCTAATTTTATTTGATGTAATCTTCTGTTGTTCTTTTTTAACTTTAGCTAAAGTTATGTCAATTTTGTTTATCTTTTTGAAAAATTAGCTCTTTCTTCAATTTACATTTTTGTAGTTTTTCTAGCGTCAATTTTATTAATTTTTTTCTCTGGTCTTTATTATTGTCTTTCTTCTGAATCTTGGCTTAGTCTGTAATTTCAGGTTATTTGAGATATTTTTTCTTTCTGATTGTAGGCATTTATCATTAAAAACTTTTCACTTAAAACTGCTTTTGTTGCATTCCATAAGATTTGATATGTATTTCAATTTTCATTTATCTCAAAATATAATTTTAAAAATTTTCCTTCTGATATTTTTGATCCATTGGTTCGATCAGGAACATATTGTTTTAATTTTCACATATTTGTGAATTTTCCAATTTTCTTCCTGTTGCTGATTTCTAGATTCATACCATTGTAGTCAGAATATAAACTTGATACAATTTCAATCTTCTTGAATTTGTTAAGACTTGTTTGGTGGACTAACATTTGGTCTATCTTGCAGAATGTTCAGTTGTTCCTGAAAATAATGGGTATTCTGCTGCTGTCGTATGTAATGTTTTGTATACTTTTGGACTATAGAGTTATATGGACTACAGAGTTATTGGTGTTCACTGTTTCCTTATTGATTTTCTGTCTGGATGATTTATCTATTGTTGAATGCTAAAGTTCTCCACTATTATTTTATTGCTTCTGGTTTCTGCTTACATTTCTGTTAATATTTGCTTTATATATTTAGTAGTTCCAGTGTGGGCTACATACATCGTAACATTACGATATCCTCTTAAGAAACTGACCATTTTATCTTTACATAATGACCTTTTTGTTACTTTGGACAGTTTTTAACTTAAAGTCTGTTTTGTCTGATAGAGGTATAATCTTACCTCTTCTCTTTTGGTTACTGTTTGCACAAAGTATCTTTTTCAGTCCCTTCACTTTCAGCCTATGTGTATCCTTAAAACTAAAGTGAATCCCTTGTAGACAGCATAGAGTTTGATCTTACTTTTGTTTGTTTTTTAAATCAATTCAGCCAACCTATGTCTTTTGATTGGAAAATTTGTTTCATTTATTTTAAAGTAACTACTGATAAACAGGCAAGGGCTTACCAATGTCAGTTTGTTAATTGTTTTCTATTTCACAAGCCATTTGTTTTACTCTTCCTCTGTTGCTGTAGTCTATTGTGATTTGTGGTTATATGCTTCATTTCCCTTTTCTTTATTTTTCATGTCTCTACTCTTAGGTTTTCTTATTTCCTTTGTGGATATTATGTGGCTTATGTAAAACATTTAATAATTGTGATGGTCTATATTATGCTGAGAACAACTTCAACTATGTACAAAAATCATCTACATTTTAACTTCCCTTCCCCTCACATTTTATGTTGGTGATGTCTCAATTTACATTTTTATATCATGCATCCATTATCAAATTATTGTAACTATAGTTATTTTAATCCCTTTGTCTTAAATACTTTTGAGGTTTAATTGGACATTCATCATGTGATAGGAAATGTCACTTATTTACTTCCTTCAAATCAACCGACTGTACCTTTAAGTTCCATTAATAAAATCCCTTCAGTTATTTTACTTTCCACAACAAATAACATTTCTGCAATTGGCAAGAATTCTTTAGCACTCAAAGACTAAGGTCTAAGTTCAAAGGCTAAAGTGTCCCTTGAAAACTCCTATATTTACCTTTGTAACATCATCTTGCTTTGAAGATATAAAATACATCTTTGAATGACTATATTTGTGGAAGTTTCCTGACATATTTGCTAATGGAGATTCTTGACAAAGTTAACTTGGTCAATACTTATTGACAAGTTTGACAGGGATTTATAATCTTGTCAAAAGTCTAACAGCTGTCAATATATGACAGAGTAAGTATTATCTGAATATTAGAATTGTTTCAATATTTGTTTTCTCTGTGAGCTTTTACATACCATTATGCTATTTATTAAAAATAAACATTTTCTGGCATTGACATGCAATAATGACAGCACAAGCAGAATGCTTATAAATAACAGCTGAGGGCCAGAAAACTAGAAAGATTATTGGCACCTCATTTATTCTGTTTAATCAAACAAATGCGTTTGCCTCTGTTGATCATATTGTGCATCTGGACAGGCACAGACATTACCAACCTAAGGCAGAGCTGCCAGCATGGAAGGAAAAGAAGGGTCTTCAAATATGAAAATGATTAAGGCAACATTCCCATTCATCTTCAACTGTGGTAGAAAGAGAAACTGCTACAATTCCAAGCAGTAATGGAAATGAGCAAGATAATTATCCTCTTTGCATAACATATACATAATTTAATTGAGCCCAGTTTTCCTCCTAAATTCCAAAAGGGAGGTCCTTCTTCATGTCACAAAGTTTACCCTGGGAAATTCTTCCCTATTCAGTATATTCCCTGGATGCCAGGAATTACATTGACTGTAAAAATCTCACTTATTTTCCAAACATCATTTTAAAATGTTCCATTAAAAATCATTTTACCAGTTAGTACTTCAGTTTGTTTTCCTACCAAAACTGAGATAAAAAAAAATCAAAGCTATGTTTTCAATCCATTTGAATGTTTAATAGTATACAGACTAAAACATGCATGTGCGTGCACAGGTGCACGTATGGAACCATACACACAAATAAAACAATGATAATAATAAAAAAAGAAAAAGTTGTGATCACCAATCATTGTTAAAAAGGGATTTTGGGAAAACAAACAGCTACTTATTTCCTTGGTTTCCTTAACATATTTTTAAGAAGATATAAATAGGGTTGAGTTCAAAATCCATACATGTATTTCTATTCCAAACTTTTGATAATACAGACATAAATGCAAAATGATTTTATTAGTTATATATTTATTTTAAAGGCATTTATTTTTATATGAAATAATAATATTCTCTACTTCCCAAAAACTTTATGTTTAAAAGTTATTTGAATGTCATTTTTTGGAAACCTCAGGTAGTTATCAATTATGAAACAGTATGAAGAAGCTATGCCTAAGATATTAATATATTTATTGGCTAAGAACCAATTTTTGTCCTATGAATGTATGAATCTATTTATTTTCTATAAACTCTCCTTTTTTCCTGAATTTCACAACAATATGTGTTCAGCATATAAAATTTGAAAAGTACAGTAAAGCATAAAGAAACCGCTCATAGCTACTTATGATTTCAATGCCTTCTCAAAGAGAGAAAACTCCTGTTGAATTTGATTTGCAATTCTCTTTTTTAAAATATTTTAAGTAAAATATATGTTTCAGAAAAATAACTGTGATAATTCCCCCACATTCCTGCATAAAATAACATAGTGAACTACTCCACCAAAATGTTCACCCATTGGAGGAAATACATACTAGAAGATAGTAGTATTGTTTGGACATTTGTCTCTGCCCAAATCTCATGTTCAAATGTTCAGAGGTGACAGCGTGCTGGCAGTCCTCACAGCCCTCGCTTGCTCTTGGCGCCTCCTCTGCCTGGGCTCTCCCTTTGGCGGCACTTGAGGAGCCCTTCAGCCCACCGCTGCACTGTGGGAGGCCCTTTCTGGGCTGGCCAAGGCCGGAGCCGGCTCCTTCAGCTTGCAGGGAGGTGTGGAAGGAGAGGCGTGAGTGGGAACCAGGGCTGTGCATGGCGCTTGCGGGCCAGCTGGAGTTCCGGGTGGGCGTGGGCTTGGCGGGCCCCACACTCGGAGCAGCCGGCCGGCCCTGCTGGCCCCGGGCAATGAGGGGCTTAGCACCCTGGCCAGCGGCTGCGGAGGGTGTACTGGGTCCCGGCGCTGCGCTCGATTTCTCACCGGGCCTTAGCTGCCTTCCCGCGGGGCAGGGCTCGGGACCTGCAGCCCGCCATGCCTGAGCCTCCCACCCTCTCCGTGGGCTCCTGTGCGGCCCGAGCCTCCCTGATGAGCGCCGCCCCCTGCTTCATGGCGCCCAGTCCT
Organism: Homo sapiens; assembly: GCF_000001405.40. Classification (NCBI taxonomy): domain Eukaryota; kingdom Metazoa; phylum Chordata; class Mammalia; order Primates; family Hominidae; genus Homo; species Homo sapiens. Next base: position 22,818,884 of record NC_000021.9, on the reverse strand, counting down.
ATCGACCATCCAAGGGCTGAGGAGTGCGGGTGCACTGCGGGGGACTGGCAGGCAGCTCCACCTGCAGCCCCGGTGTGGGATCCACTGGGTGAAGCCAGCTGGGCTCCTGGGTCTGGTGGGGACGTGGAGAACCTTTATGTCTAGCTCAGGGATTGTAAATACACCAGTCGGCACTCTGTATCTAGCTCAAGGTTTGTAAACACACCAGTCAGCACCCTGTGTCTAGCTCAGGGTTTGTGAATGCACCAATCCACACTCTGTATCTAGCTACTCTGGTGGGGACTTGGAGAACCTTTGTGTCTAGCTCAGGGATTGTAAACGCACCAATCAGCGCCCTGTCAAAACAGACCACTCAGCTCTATCAATCAGCAGGTTGTGGGTGGGGCCAGATAAGAGAATAAAAGCAGGCTGCCCGAGCCAGCAGTGGCAACCTGCTCGGGTCCCCTTCCACACTGTGGAAGCTTTGTTCTTTCGCTCTTTGCAATAAATCTTGCTACTGCTCACTCTTTGGGTCCACACTGCTTTTATGAGCTGTAACACTCACCGGGAAGGTCTGCAGCTGCACTCCTGAGCCATCGAGACCATGAACCCACCAGAAGGAAGAAACTCCGAACACATCCGAACATCAGAAGGAACAAACTCCAGACGCACCAACTTAAGAGCTGTTAACACTCACCGCAAGGGTCCGCGGCTTCATTCTTGAAGTCAGTGAGACCAAGAACCCACCAATTCCGGACACAATGTGATCCCCAGTAATGGAGGTGGGGCTAGGTGGGAGGTGTTTGGATCATGGAGGCACAGCCTGCATGGCTTGGTGCTGTCTTTGCAATAGCGAGTGAGTTCTCATAAGATCTGATTTTGGTGTGGTACCTTCCTCACCCTGTTCCCCCTCTCCCTCCCTTTCTTTTTTTTTTCTCTCTCTCTCTGTTGCTTCTGTTATGCCTGCTCCCTCTTTGCCTTCTGCCACAATTGTAAGCTTCCTGAAGCCTTCTCAGAAGCTGAGCAGATACCAGAACCATGTTTTCTGTAAAGCCTGCAGAAGCATGAGCCAATTAAGTTTACTTTCTTTATAAATTACCCAGTTTTGGGAACTCTTTAGTAATGCAAGAATGGCCTAACACAGACAGTTATTTTTTTTTTACATGTTTCTTCTGTTACCCTAAGGAAAGTGGAGAATTTAACACTTTGTGTAGGATGGTGAGAGCATGGTGTTCACCAGCCACATTTCCCTATTGAGCAAGTTGAAAGCAACAATTATCAACCCCAATGAAGACCTTTCATTGACTACGTTGTATATTCAGACACAATAGATACTGTTACATTTATTTTCCATGGAGAAAGCAAATAAGTGGAACTTGCTTACCGATTCCCATTATTTTCTATTCTATTTGGTTAGGACTCGATGACCGTTGGTTACTTGGCCATCCAAATGGCTAGGTTTTGCAACTAAAGTAAATAACAAAGAGACCTGCATGTATTAGATATTCATGGACAATTGCCCTCTCATGTTAAGGAAACCTAGTACTTTTATATATTGACGGGCAGTCCTTGTGAAATTCTCAAGTAAAATGTCCAGTGATGGTGGGAATAGCAACTGTAACTCCAAAACATAATTATAAAGAAACCACAGGTAAAAGGTGCTTCCACTCTTTTATCACATTTATCATGTTTATAAAGCATTTACTGCATATCTGGGAATGTTCCAGTTTCTAGAGTTTTGTTAGTGAACAGCATAATAATAGTATGTATTAGCAATTTTCCATTCTTTTTAAGTTATCTCTGTGATCTTCATTTTTTTAATGTAACACACCATTCTTGGCTAATGTTTTTTCCCCCAGTTTTTCCCTCTATTATCAAATACGCTGTGATAAACTTTATTTATATCCAAATTGCCGCAGTGACAGAGTCCCATCTTCAATGTTGCTATGTTAAAGAGTATGATAGAATTGCATAGTCTCAGTGACACGTTCCTTCAAAATCTTTATTAATATACATGATATAGGCAGTGTTATCTGTTATTTTAAATTGTCTGTTCAACACATCCTTATCAGCACCGAGGATTTCATTTTAACATTTCTTTTTGCTAATGTGAGACACATAAATGATAAGTTTTAAACATTTTACCTTCCGTCATGAGCATTTCATCTATTGTGAACATTTTGTTGATGTCCTTGATTATTTATCTTTTGGGTGAAAAATAAGGAAAGAAAAAAAAGATGAATAGCATGCTAAATACTTCAAGATGATCCATCCAAAGATCCTGTGCTCATCGTGATGTGCTCCTGGATGGGTCCAAGCCTCACCCATCTAAGTAGAACTTCCAGCAAGTCATGTTTCCATGAATACCATGATAGCATTACATACTTCTGTTTTCAAAACATGTTACAATTATATTTTTCTTTTAATAAATGTTTTAGCTTCCTTACCATACTAACGATGTAGTTTTCATCATTTCCTAGTATTTTTTAGTTTTTACAGTGAGTGCAATTCCCTCTGTTGCATTTTATATTTATTACTACCCTAACAAAAGCATTATTGATTTTTGTTTCTTAACTACTGATTGACTTATTAATTTAGAGAGTTTTCATTTGATCAAAATGAATGTTTAAATGTTTTTGGTTTTATTTGTTTGTTTGTTTGTTTGAGACGGAGTCTCGCTGTGTCGCCCAGGCTGGAGTGCAGTGGCGCTATCTCGGCTCACTGCAAGCTCCGCCTCCCGGGTTCACGCCGTTCTCCTGCCTCAGCCTCCCGAGTAGCTGGGACTAAAGGCGCCCGCCACCGCGCCCGGCTAATTTTTTGTGTTTTTAGTAGAGATGGGGTTTCACCGTGTTAGCCAGGATGGTCTTGATCTCCTGACCTCGCGATCCACCCGCCTCGGCCTCCCAAAGTCCTGGGATAACAGGCATGAGCCACCGCGCCCAGCCTAAATGTTTTCATTGAAAGAAACAGTATAATCTGCACGCCATATGTGAAATATTAGTTTGAAATATTAGTTTTTTATAAACAGTATTCTTTCTTTTTTATAAGGGCATAAGATATAGGAGAAAATGCACAAAAATATTCTGGAAAATCATGTAGTTTTAAATAATGGGCATGTTATAAACAAGAGGTGGAAAAGTTCCATAGCTTGTGTTGCAATAACCTTTCATTCAGTTTTATTGTAAGAGATGGAATCGTACATGTTGGACATTGTAAAAAGAATACAGTACTCTTAACAAATATTTATTGAGCACTTACTACGTATCTGGGAATGTTTCAGTTCCTGGGATTTTGTTAGCAAACAGAATATAAAAAGAAAGCCACAGCCATTATGAAGTTCATAGTCTAGGAGCAATTACTAATCCGGAAAAAGAAACTAAATTGTTTTAACCCATTCATAGATTATAAAGATGCTCCAGATTGGAAATCTAAATGTAAACTCTCAAATATTAACAAATTAAATGGGGATAAAAATGCATTAAATAAACGTATTCTGGGGGTATATGTTTATGTTGCTGAATACAATGGTTTTCTTTCCCCAAGTACATGAATACAGTTTTCTAAATGAATTATAACAGTCTCAGATATAAGTGGTGTTTGGTAAGGTTTTCTTTTGTTTTTCTTTTGTTTTTTTTCATTTCTCTTTTTCTTGCATATGGACTGTGATAAAAAAAAAAACTAAAAAATAATTTTTATGCTACATTTGTTCCGGTTTTATTTTCCATGGCCTGTGTGCTTTAAAAGATAATTAATGATATATTTTATAATCACCACCACCAACAAAGACAGTTTGCTGTATAATTGTAAGGCTCAATTATTATTTTTTAAATTGAGTTTTATTTTCTCATAGATATTTAGACAGCTAATTTAAGAAATAAGTTTGGCTGGGCTCAGTGGCTCACACCTGTAATCTCAGCACCTTGGGAGGCCAAGGCGGGTGGATCACGAGGTCAAGAGCTCACAAGACCTGCCTGGCCAAGATGCTAAAACCCCCTTCTCTACTAAAAGTACAAAAATTAGCCAGGCGCTAGTAATCCCAGCTACTCTGGGGGCTGAAGCAGATAATTGCTTAAAACCGGGAAGTGCAACTTGCAGTGAGCCAAGATCGCGCCACTGCACTCCAGCCTGGGCGACAGAGTGAGACTCCATCTGAAAAATTAACTAACTAACTAAATAAATAAATAAATTTTAAGAATGCAGAGCCTACGAGAAAAACAAATATTCCATGAATATATTTCACAGGGGAAGGTCAAACATATACATAAAAGACAACTGGCAAATTTCTAAGTTATGATAATTAGTACAGTAAATTATGTAGTGAAACCACTTCAACTCTGTTTAATAAACATCTGAAAAAAAATTAGATGTTTTGGTTGCCTCAGTTAACGAGTACTGTATTTCGCTGCTGTCTTGAGGAACAAAGAAGATATGACCGTACCTCATGGTGAATGGTAGCAAAGAAGGAAATATATGCTTTATTGGGTTTATAGATATGTTTCCTTTTAGTACAGTCATACAATATTTAGTTATGTAAGTTTGTGTTTTCATTGCTATAATTTGAAAAAATGAAATTAAGGTTGGATATTTTTCATATCATAAAGTGTCTTGGTTTTTAATGTATTGCTTCCAATACGTTATTGCATACAAGTGACTTTGAAGTAATAGCAAAGTGATTAATCTCCCTTCTAATTATTCTCAAGTTATATAGTTATGTCATTGGAGAAATCAGCCTCATATATGACACATTCAGTAACTCCATCATATTGTCTAGCTTAACATTCTGAGAAGGAAAGGTATAAAATGTTTTGTGAATTTTTGCACTGGATCTGAAATTGCCTGCTCATTACCATTGAAATCATTGGCAGCTTAACAAGTCAGCTCCAGTGATGATAAAGAAACATATGTTGTCATACTGTACATATTGTTGTGCTTGGACAAAAATAGCATTTTTACACATAAGATACTAAAGGGAGTATTTTCACCGTAGTTTACAAAATTAAGTTCAAAGTTAATTCTGTCTTGTTTACTAAAATTAGTTGTATGTTTTTCATTAATATGTGATTTATGTGTCTTTTTAAGGCACACATGCATTTCTTCTTTTCCGAATATTACAGTTTTGTAAATATTCAATAATAATTTGGTCGTAGTCTAGAAAATCATAATCACATAGCATCAGTGAATGTATATAAGTTCTCATGCACAATTGAATTAAAATAGATACCGTGAAAGAATCTCATGGATTAAATCATTGTGGTAAAAGTTGAACAAACGTTTACATTAAAGTTTATAATAGAACAAAACAAAAATAAATTGAAGTAAATAACTTGTGTTATAGATAAAACAACATACTATATCAAGAAAAACTTTCTCCATAATTTTGCTCTGTAACACTGTGTACTAATCTTGTGCCTTGTGATTTCACGGTAATCATGTTGTTCAGTTTTGTGATTTGTTGTCTGTCACAAAAGACCTTTTGTTGTTCGACAAAAAAAAAGTCCTGGAGAGGGAATCTATGAATGAGTAACGCATGGCAATCATGTTGTCTTTAAATAATGTCTTTATATAATAAATATATTCTGAACCTCAAGAACCAATTATGTGATTCACTGATGAAACTGAAAGGGATTTTGTTCCCAGAAGTTTGTGTTGTTTGCAGCATTCCAGAAGTAAAGGGTTGAATCTGACTGAAGTGCCCCATCTTCAAACTCAATTGTCTTTGATGACAATACAAAGAAAAAACAAAGGAGAAAAATTTATAAAACTCTCCAACTTTCCAGAATGCTATAAAGGACCAGGATTCGAGGAGTTAAGTTATGTCAGAAATGTTAGACTGTGACTGTTGCAGTGTGCTACAGAGTTCTAACTGCTATTCCTAGATGCGTCTCTAAAGGCATGAGACGGACTCCTTAGAAGTTTGTTTCAACTGAAGTGTCTTACTTATGTTGTGAACATATTCAAGTGAACTGATATCATTAAATGTCAAAATACATCTCAGGAAATACTCTTAGTAGAGATTCTAGGCTAGATCAAGGACTCAGTGAAATGACTTAGGCTTACTGGTACTCACTACTTCTCAAGCGAAGACAAATTAATGATCTTTTAAAGTAGATTTTACCATTTACAGATATGAATCTGAGGCTGTTCAGAAGGGAGTCAGCCAAAAACTTTTATACTTGTGTTCTTTTGATTGAATAACCATACTTCTGTACATTTTTATATAGAAGAGTTTGAGAGGAAACTGCCAGGCAATTATTTTTGTGACCATGCGGTGGCATGGAATGCGAGCTATCTTATAGTGTCGTATATTTTACAGAAATTGAAAATAGTATTACTCTTTAATTCTAGAATGATGAAAGGCATTGCACTCTCTGAAACAACTAGAAAATCGATAGGAGGATAATTAGGAGCATGTCTGCAGATGTTGCATTTTAATGAGAACATAATTATTCATCTGAGTTTCTCTAAACAAAAGTTTTTGCATATGATATGCTGAAATCATTGAAGAAACATGGTATTTTAAGAAAAAAATGAAATGATATTTAAATGAAGGGTTAAGTGCCACAGTAAAAATAAGACATAAATTTTGAAAATCTTAACTCATTGACATCTGTAATAATTGTATTTGTTGTATCATTAGGCAAATGATATTTTATAATATGAATGAAATAATTAAAATATGTTGGCTCACAGAAGAAAAAAGTTATCTATATAAACAAGTTAGTAAATGTGAAATCATAACAAGGAAACTTAATCTTAGCATATAGGTTAAATGCCTTAAAAATACTTATTTAAAAAACTGTTGCATAGTTCTCAATTTCTGACATTAACCCTCTTCTCATAACGAGCGTAATAAACTTCAATGACTTTCTATGCAACTTTAAATAGAAATATTCATGATAAAAAGGCAGCCTATTTTAATTCATTCATTTTTCATAAGATTTCTTTATATTATTTTATTTTAGAAAGGAGAGTAAAAATTCGAAGCAGCTATGAAAATTTTTATATTCTCCTTCCTAGAATCAAAGGAACCTAGAGCCTAAATCAGAAAGCCTAAAAGAAACTTCACATATTTTACCATTTTTTTAATTTAATGGGAAAAGTATCTGCAAAGAAACTCTTCAGCTTGAATCCATATCATTTTCCCACAAATTTTGAATTCTCAGCTTGCAAACTAGGTAGTAGGGTCAATCAGAAAATTTTTGTGTGAAAAAAACAATCTGTGAAGACAGCTTTAAAGGAAGAAAGAGATACTAGAAGTGAAATAAAAATGCCATTAAGTTTGCATGTCATCTGATGAGAATTGTTGTTTGCTGTGCTCTCTGTATTTTCATTTTTAAAAACATTTTATTTATTTCGTTTTTGGAACAGTGTCTCACTCTGTCACTCAGGCTGGAGTGCAGTGGTGCAATCATGGCTCACCGCAGCCTTGACCTCCGTGGCGTGAGCAATCCTCCCACCTCAGCCTGCAGAATAGTTAGGACTATAGGTGTGCCACCACACTCGCCTAATTTTGTTTATTTTTTTGTAGGGACAGAGTCTCACTATGCTGCCCAGGCTGGTCTCAAACTTCTGGGCTCAACTGATTCTCCCGCCTTAGCTTCCCAAAGTGCTGGGATTACAGGTGTTAGCAACTGTGCCTCGCCTCCCTAAGTATTAATATTTTCATAATTGATCCGAAAGGCTACAAATGAGGTAGCAATAGGTGACTGGGATGAACTGAAAGTGTTATTGGGTTCTGCCTCAGAAACCACTGTGGTTTGAGTTCAGAAGATAAGTAGGAGAGAATTTGGGAGGAACTGAGATCCTTCCTTATGAACAAAATTGTAATCATCAAGACAAATCAGTTAACATATCGATGCTTCTGAAAAATATCTTCCTTCCTTCCTTCCTCCCTTCCTTCTTTCTCTCTGCCCTCCCTCCCTCCCTTCCTTCCTTCTTTCCTTCCTTCTCTCTCTCTCTCTCTTTTTTTCCCTTTTGAGACAGGGTCTTGTTCTGTTGCCCAGGCTTGAGTGCAGTGGTGTGATTATGGCTCATTGCAGCCTCCACCTCCCAGGCCCAAGATCCTTCCACCTCAGCCTCCTGAGTAGCTGGGACTACAGGCATGCCCCACGACACTGGCTAATTTTCGTATTTTTGTAGAGATGGGGTTCCACCATTTTGCCCAGGCCGGTCTCTAACTCCTGAGCTCAACTAATCCTCCTGCCTCAGCCTCCCAAAGTGCTGGGATTGCAGGCATAAACCACCATGCCCAGCTGGAATATACTATACTGTCCTTCATTTCTCTTCTTCTATCTTCTGAACAATTGCCCACCCCATTTTTCTTTAAACATTACATATCATTATAAGAGTCTTAGTCTGCTGTGGTTGTTGTAACAAAATACCACAGCCTGGGTGACTTACAGGCATTTATTTCTCATAAATTTGGAGAAGGCAAAGTCCACCATCATGGTGCTGGATCATTTGGTTTCTGATGAAGACTTTTTTTCTGGCTTGCAAATGGCTACATTCTCTTTGTGTCCTGACATCATGGCAGAAAGAAAGAGAGCTCTGATGTCTGTTCCTTTTCTTATAAGCACACCAGTTACAGCATGGGATCCCACCCTCATGGTATCATCTAGGCCTAATTACTTTCCAAAGGCCCCACTTCCAAATACCTTCCCATTAAGGGTTAGGGCTTCAACATATACATTTGAGGGATGTAAAACACCCAGTTCATAGCACATAGGGATTGTTATCTTTGACTACATATTCTCACACAAGAATTTTCTCTGAAAACAATCTAGTTGGAAAGTTGTCAGGAAAAGAAATGCATAAGCAAAATATACCTTTTAAATTGTAGATTAACCTGTAGGTTTCCTGGTACATTTCGTTGTCACCATCATTTGTAAGATTATAGCAAGTAATTTATTTGTAATGATAAGCAGAGTGATGCAATTTATACAAAACTTATTCATGAAAAAGAACATATATATAATTTTTTCAAATAATGTTATTCTTAATTGCTTTCTATTACCTTTTATTAAGTTGGAGAGGAAATGGCTTTAACTGGGAATTTGGTGTCAACTAACATCTAGAGTTTGAATGTTACAGCTATACAGAATGACTTAAAAATATAGTAAATAGTTGGTTGCAATATAAAATTCTATAGTGATTTTTCTGCCGTAATCTCTTTGACATGAGAGTGTGTCTTGCATGTGAACCTCATAATTTCAGGCCTTGGATGCAGAAAAAGAAATGAGACTTACTAGGCTTATGGTATTAGCATTATTTTTGTGCTGTCTCTTATTTGGATTCATACGTGTGTTTTTATAATATTTATTACAAAACTTTATCAGCTCCCAGTTGTAACTATGAAATTTGTCGATCCAAGTAGCTACAAATTGTCTGAACTTGTGATTATATCTCTAGTTTAAAGAATTATTTTATATCAAATAAGTTATTAAAATATTGGGAACACCAATATTTTTTAAACATTATAGTAGTTAAATAGTAAGAAAATTTTAAAATCTAATTAACTCATTTTAAATAGATCAGAGTTCAGTTTCTAAAATTCTTAAACAAGTTGGTCAATGGGGAATACTTGAATCTTCGTAGGTTATATTTTAATAAGTTTAACTTCAAGGCTTTAATAAGTTGGTAAAAAGTAAGATGTTAGAGGGAAAAGATATCCTATTAACACACATACATTATTACCTGCTTTGTTCTGGTAATTATCCAGATTCATGTGAGCAAGTAAGTTCTCATGTCTCATAGAGTTTGTGGTACTGAATAAGTCATTTCCAATATAATTGACATTACAGCAGTGTATTCATCTATTCTTGCACTGCTATAAAGAGATACCTGAAACTGGGTAATTTATAAAGAAAAGAGATTTAATTCGCTCATGGTTCCACAGGCTATACAGGAAGCATGGCGACTTCTGCTTCTGGAGAGGCCTCAGGGAGCTTTTAATCATGGCGGAAGGCAAAGAGAGAGTAAGTCGTCTTACCTAGGAGGAGCAGGGGGAAGAAAAGAGAGGGAGGAGGTACTACACACTTTTAAACAAGCAGATCTCATGAGAACTCACTATCGCCACAACAGCAGCAAGAGGGATGGTATTAAACCATGAGAAACCACTTCCGTGATCCAATCACCTCCCACCAGGCCCCACCTCCAACATTGGGGATTACAATTCGACATGAGATTTGGGTGGGGACACAGATCCCCACTGTGTCAAGCAGAGTTCTCTTATTTACACACCTATTTTAGCATGTCTCAAGCAACAAGTAAGTCAAATGAATGTAGTGGAAGGAAAACATGAGAAGAGTATTCTAGGCAGATGGAACATTATGTCTTTAGTTTTTGTCTGAGAGACAGTATTGTATATATGATGATTGAACAAGAGGGAGAGTGATAGACAATGAGACTGAAAAATAGGAGCTAAATCTTGAAAGAACTTTCAAGTCATACTAAGGAGTTTGGATGTTATCCCAGGTACAATGGAAGTCCATTAGGAAATTATACACAAATATATAAAATTAATCAGTATTTATTTAGAAAGGAAGATTTTGGCTACACCTGAGCATCTCACAGGTAAACAAGAGTGAAACAACTGTATTAATTTGGAAGAAAGGGATGATAATGACTTAGATTAGAGTGACGGTAAATTGATTTGATAGAATAACCAGGTTTAATAGACATACGGAGATGTAACCAATAGGACTTGGGTTTAAATTTTATGGACTAAAATAATGAGAAGTTGTATGGTATTATTTTATCCCTATAAATGTATTCAGTACTGTTGAGAATTCAAGTTGGTAATGGACAGGAAAGTTCAGTGGATTTAGAAACAGGAATAATTTTGGCAACAGGAATATCTTTGGCAACCTTTGCACATTTAAACACACACACACACACACACACACACACACACACCTGCTACAGCACGTGTGGAGGAGTTATATATTTTCCTGACAAGTATGTCTGTCAGATTTTGGTGAAATGATAATCTCAGAGATTTTCTTCTGGAGAACATAAGTGAAATAAACCTACTGAATTCAGTGGGATTAGGAGCATCATAAGATGGTAGATCCTAATTGAGAACATTTAGCCACCAAAACCTGAATTGGCATAATTATGGTCAACATACATAACGGCAAGGCAAACTTAATAAGCAGTTACCTGCAAATGGTCTTCTATTGCCTTCCCATAGTTCTCATAATCATTACTTGTGGCTCTTGTGAAAATATTCATAGAATTTAGCAGAAATGCTACATCAGGATATTCCATGGTGAACTTAGAAATATATGTTTTCCCAGCAGTTTCTTAGGATGAGGTGAATTAGAAAAATATTGGTATATTTCATAGAGATCCCTTGCTATGTATAATAAGTAGGTATATAGATATTAAACTGATAGAGCCAGTAAAATACAATTCAGTTTATATAAAGAGAATCTATAGCTGGTAAGGGAAGTATAATTTCAGCTAACTATTCAGTCTCAAGCTCACCACAACTTTTTTGTACAGGCTAGATGGTGGACATTTTGGGCTCTGTGGGGGCCATGTGATATATATCAAAATTACTCAATTCTGCTATTGTAGTATAAAAACAACTTTAGATCATTTGTAAATGACTGAATGTGCTCCAATAAAACTTTATTTTTAAAACAGGCATAGAACTAGATTTGGTCCATAGGTTAACATTTGTCACTGTTGGATTTACAGTATAACAGCCACCTGCGAATTTTCCAAAATGAGTCAGTTCTAATCTTCAGTGTCCCTTCACATTGCAACATTGTAGACTATCTGTGCTGTATCACTCTATGTATATAGTCTGATCACTCCTCCATTTCTTCCCACCTCTGACCTTTGAGTATTTACCTGTATAATTATGCTGTAAAAAATCATTATTATTGGTGAATCTTTAAAAATATACCAAATAATAATGCCAATTTCAGGGACCCAAGATGCTAACCAGGGCTAACGCGCAGAGATGTACGTGTCTGGTGATAAACCCATTTTTCACTAAAAGGACTATACTAGTCCCCGCGTTTATTCTTCCAGACCGTGAACCATGAAGTAGGACTTAACTATTTTGATAGATAGAGTTCGGTAAAAATCACTGGAATTTCTCCTGCTTGCCTAAAGAATAAATTACAAACAACATCAGGTCTGTGTGTGTGTTTGTCTATGTGTGTATTGGTGGTATCAGAGCCATTATTAAATATTAGAAAGATGCATAGATGATGATGTTTCCAGCACCCAATTATAGTTGTTTTTACAGATATCTTTTTATACCTAGATCAAAGCAATTCAGTCACTGGAATCAGATAACCAGCAATTAATCTTGAATGTCTCTTTTCCCTTATGCGAATAAACAAAGAATAGTTTGCGTTCACATGACAGGGACAAAAACAAAATACAAAAAACCTGCCACAGGCATGTGACAGCTCTCTAGATCCATGCCAAAAGGATGTCAACCTTCTGAATATAACAAAGAAAATTATTTCAATTACATTTACGGTATGCTGAAATGATGTGGAGAATAGGAAATTGTGGGTTACCATGAAGCAGTTCATTTGAAAGTGACTTTTCAGTCAGGCAGAGTGGAGAGAGCTTTCCTTCTGTGTATCCCTCTCAGCCATTTTGCCCCTCTGACTCAGTAGAGAAAGTGCAGAGCCTGTGGCGTATCTACATACTATATAGAGGCTAAGCAAATTCTAATGGGAGACTTTTGGGACAAAGCCAACATTGTCTCAGGTAATCATTAGACATTTGTGAAAACGTTATTTTTAATGCTGTAGGGCCTCAGTTGAGATGGAACATCTTGCTACCAGACTTCAGATGACTGCAATTTAGAATGTGCATGAGGAGGCTGATACCATATAATCCTCCTAGTCACAAAATAGGGCTTCCTCTTCAGCATTCTCTGATAAGTTGGGTATAGTTTAGAGGCAACAAATGTTGAACATAAACTACAGTTCTATGAACATGTCACTCGCAAGGCTATTGTTTAGTCTTCTATGTCACTGCTAGTTTACTCCCAGCTAAAATTATTTCATTCTAAGTTTTTTTGTTTTTACTAGAAATAAAAGAAAAAATATCATCAATTACAGATGGTTTTGAGTGATGTGCTGGCACTAGCTAGAAGTGGATCATTCCGGAATCGTAGCAAAAGAAAGAAATTCTACGTTAGCCATTTTTGTCCACTATTTCTGATGTTGTTTCAAATCTTTTTATCAAATTAATGTTTTTGAAAATGCCCCCATAACTAATATAGAAATGCAACTTTCTAAACTGTACACAGTAGTTCCGTCTATAGTAATGATATATTCCAATTATAACATCTCCAAGTAGCACACAGAAATAAATAAACCAAAAAATATGTTGAGACTTCTGAGGCAATAGTCATGAATGTTCCTTGTTTAGGCTCATTTCATAAATGTAGAAGTTGGTAGAGAGTGAGAGTGGATTGGAAGGAAACACAGAGGAATTAGTAGTGCTTCTAATTTGTTTTTTGCCCTGATACTAAACTATATGGATCTTTATGTGTCGTTTTGCTTTTTATTGCTTATGATTAGGTGTTATGGCTTTCATGGACAATATAGTTGAATGAGCAAGCACTGAAGTAAACTACTTCTAAGTTATTCAACATAACCTACATAACTACTTCTAAGTAGTTATGTTATTCAACATAACATAACTTATGTTGAATAACAGAAGTTACTGGTGTAAAAAAAAAGTCATTTTTGCTGCAAAGGTGTTGCAAACATATTTGAGTTGTTGCTTACATGTCTGTTCTGGTTATTTCCTACATGCTTTTGAGTTGGTGATGACAAATTCCTACACATTTTTCCTCCAAAAGAAGCATAAATATTGTTTGGAGAAAGTGGTTGAGGAAAAGCCACTGCAAATCATAAACTGACAGAGTTAAAGATTAGACTCCATTCTGGATCCTAGCAAAATCATGGAATGATTTTCTATATTTCTATTTCCAGTGTTATAATCTGTTCACTTATGTCCCACTTTATTTGTGGTGTTTTAAAACAAACAGCACAGTTTTATAAAACCACAAATTTTATCACAGTTATACAAAAATAATGAAAGAGAAAGGGAAAAAAATGGCAGAAAATTTTGTATCATAAAAAAGACAAATGTGTAAGAAAAATAATTATTTTGCATTATAATTAAAATAAAACACATGCTTTTTGTATAGCTTAATCAAAACAATGGTTTTATTTTGGAAAACATAAAATTGCAGAGCTTAACTTTTTTTTTTTTTTGCCCTAATTTATGACCGTGCATATTTGCAAGGAGACAGGCCAAAACACTAACTGTGGGTAGGGCCAGAACATTTCTCAGAAAACTCCCTAGGATTCTTCCAAGCATCTCAGTCATCTGTTAAATAAGCTGGTGAGTTTTGTTATGGGTTTTATTTCTTCTCCAGCTTTAGCATTGCATTGGGTTGGCTTCAGAAACAGTATTTGATACAAGAGCTGTCATGTATAAAGCTTAATTAGGAGGTGGATTCAGGGAGCAACAACAGGGAATGGGAAAGTGAGACAGAGGAAGGAAGAAATCCAATAAAGAAGACGGTAATGACCAGTTTATTGCTATGGTTAACTGAACCTTTTTTTTCCACTGGGACCTCTGGGAGACAGCATAGATCTGTCCCACTCCAGATTCCAGGAAGCAGAGGTAGTTTTTCAGCAACTTCAATGCATTTTCAGCTTAATGCTATCCCTGGAGTGTTAATTACCGGCAATGCTCATCCGTCCCACCCCCACACCTGATAACTGCACAGAAATGTATTTGAGTTTCATTCTAGGATTTTAAATTATGTTTTTCTTAGTACTTTGAAAATTATGAATCCTAATTGTGAAGGCAAATTTTTGTCCATTTGGAAGCTGATTTTTACAGACTTTATCTGATCCACTGTGACTTGTGATGAAATATATTGGATTCTATGTCTTCAACTTTTCTACTGCAAAATGAAGCTGAAAATGTATTAGCCACAAATTGATTTTTTAAAAATTTTATCATGACAAGGGATACTCAAAGAAATATAGAACAGCAATCAGTTAGATAAATAAAGAACACAATAGAGAATTAATCCAGAATAGATATTATAAAATGTTCATTTTATATAAAATTATTTTATGACTAAGATATCATTAAAACATCATAATAGGTTTTTGTTTTAAAATCATTTATATTAATTTAAAGTAATATTAACACTGAAGTAAAATGTATATGATGAAAATTGTACATATAATAATTTGTATAGCTGGATATATTACCACAAAGGCAACACACAATTTGATGAACACTCACACGAAAATACACAACATTAATATTTCCAAAACCTCAGAAGCACTAATCCTGTCTCATTCCAGTCACTAGCACATAATCATAATTTGATTTCTACAAACAGGTTATTCCTGCTTGCTTTTGAAATTTATGTAAGTAGTGTATGTGTATGTATTCTTTTGCAACTACTTTCATTCAATAATAATTTTTTATGGTTCATGCATGTTATTGCATACAGATATATGTCATTGATTGTCATTGCTATTCAGCATTTCATGATATAAAAATATGTGTTTGTTTCCTCTTTCAGTTGTTGAAGGATGAAAAGAATACCTATCTATATTTTTGTTCATACACTTACGAATAATGCTGCTTCAGACATGTGGAACATTTGTCTTGGTTGATATTTATAACCATTTATGTTGCAAATATACCTAGAAGTGAAATTACTGGGTCGTTAGTAATGTTAGTATTGATTTAAGTGGATACCACCGAACAGTTTTTCAAAGTGGTAGTAGCAATTAATACTTACATCAACAATGGACGTGAATCCCAGTTGCTCTGTAATTTAGCTAATACTTAGTATCATCAGTCTTTTTGATTTTAAATTTTCTGATAAGTACTTGGTGACATTGCATTTCTAGGGGTTAACAAAGTTGAGCAACTTTTCAAATGTGCTTATTGGTCTGTTAGATATCCATTTTTGTAAAGTACCCATTTAAATATTTTTCCTATTTTTTTGAAATTAGGTCATATGTCTTTAAGTAGTATTCCTTTACATATATTATATACACATCTTTTGTCAGATGCATATTCACAAATGTATTCTTTCACTCTCTTATCTTGTTACTTTCTTAATGGTGTCTTTAGGAAAAGAATTTCTTAATTTTAATCTTAACTTTCACTTAACGATTTTAAAGCAATCTTTAGTTTTTTTCTTTGATAGTAAACTCTTTTTCCATGCTAAATAAGAAACCTTCATCTTCTGTAATGTCATAAATTGTTATGGACTGCATGCTTTTGTCTCCCTTCACCTTTATTTGTTGAAAACTTACCCCTTAATGAGATGGTTTTAGGCTGCAGGAACTTTGAGATGTAACTAGGCTTACATGAGGTCATGAAGGTTGAGGCCCTAATGGGATTAGTATCCTAGAAGAGAAAGAGACTAGAACATTCTCTCTCTTTACTACTCTGTCTCTCTCTGCAATGTGAACATATCAAGAGAAGACAGGCTTCTGCAAGTCAAGAAAAGGGCCCTCACTAGAAATGGTATATGCTGGTACCTTGATTATGATCTTCCCAGAACTATGAGAAATATATGCTTGTTATTTGAACCACTCGATCCATGGTATCTTTTTATTGTAGCCTTTACTAAGACATAACAGTATTCTATGTTTTCTTATAAAAGCTTTATTTTTTTACAGTTTACATTTAAAACTACTAAAGGTTCTTAATTGATTTTTATTTATAGTGTGATGCTATGAGTAAGAATCATTTTTGTCCAAATTCAATTAACCAAGCACCATCTATTGGAAGACTATCACATTTGGGAAAAAAAAAAAAAAAGCTGGCCATCTTTGTCATAAATCAGGTGACTACACATATATGGGTTTATTTCTAGACTTACTATTTTGTTGTATTGGTCTACTTGTATATTTCTATAGTTGTACCTCAAACAATCTTTATATGTCATTCTCACATTACCCATCCTCTCTATATAGATCTCTTTTACTGAATACAAATTATTTACTCTCTAATTCAACAGCGTGACCATAATAAGCCCACAAGTTGTGGTATTATACCTACTAAAAGACACTCAAAGAAAAATAATGTGAAATTATTTTTGAAAACTACATACAAAATTTCAGATTTCTGAGAATTTGCTAACTTAATAATATAGTTCTGATTTAATTCTCTGCCACTCAGACAACTTTTTGACATGTTTACATGATTACCTGTATTCATATTATTGTCTGCATACTTTTTGACTTTTGTAACTATTTCTACATGTCTATATCTCAGTCTACATACAAGTTGGGAGTTTTAATCCCCTTTGAAAATAAAGGGGAGAAAAAAATTGCAAAGATTAGAAAAGAAGAAATAAACTATCATTATTACCAAATGACATAATTGTGTATGTAGGAAAATCAGACTATAGTTGCACTATTATAATTAATAAATAAATCTAGAAAGGTAATTGGTTATAAAATCAATTTAAACATAATATTTTTCCATATATTAACAATAAAATATGAGAAATGTTATTTCCAAAATAATATGACTTGGATTAACATCAGCCTTTACATTATCAAATACTAACACAAAAAGGGAAAATATTAAGAAAAGATAAATTAGAACTTTATGCATTAAATTAAATACATTACTGAGAATAATTAAATAAATCTTTGCAAATATTAAATATACCTTGTTCCTGGATTGATTGAGCCAATACTGTAAAAACTATGTCTCCTACCCAGTTTTTCTATATTCAGTAGTGTCATTCAACATCTCAGTAAGTTCTGAGTATAAAATTCAACAAAGACATTATAATCTTTTCATAGCAGTGCAAAGGTTCTATAATAGAAAGGGAAGCTTACCTAAGGTGGAAAATAAAACTGGAGAATACAGAGTACTAAAGAGTATGCTATTTTCTAGAATAATTATAATGTTATCATATTAACAGTGTCTTAACACTAATACACTATCTAACAAAGATAGGCAAACAGAAAATAATTCATTCAAGGGTTAAATATAGGTCCAAACACAAACCCATAAATATATGACCACACAGTTTATGATAAAAGTGATACTTCAAGGTATCCCAGCACTTTGGGAGGCCAAGGCGGGCAAATCATGAGGTGAGGAGATGGAGACCATCCTGGCTGACACAGTGAAACCCCATCTCTACTAAAAACACAAAAAATTAGCCGGGCATGGTGGTGGACGCCTGTAGTCCCAGCTACTCAGGAGGCTGAGGCAGGAGAATGGCGTGAACCCTGAAGTGGAGCTTGCAGTGGGCTGAGATCACACCACTGCACTCCAGGCTGGGTGACAGAGTGAGACTCTGTCTCAAAAAAAAAAAAATATATATATATATATGTATATATAATTCTTTTCAACAAATAGTACTGGGTCAATTAGATATATACATGGAAAAATTAATCAGAACCCTACTGTACACCATACAAAAATGTCAATTTGTGGTGAATTACAGATCTTAATCTGAACATTAAATACTAAAATTATTGTCAAAAATGTCAAAAATAAGATAAAATAAAAATCCAAAATGTCAGGCAAATATCCACAAGTCATATAAGACAAAGGACTTGTATTAAAATTATATGTGTGTTTGTTCACACAAGTGTATATACACAAGAAATAAAATATAAATTAGAAAAAGAAAGTTCAACGGTAAAATTGCAAACTCTTTTAACAGTTACTTTAAAAAGTGTATAATAAGTAGCCTATAAAACATTGAAATCTGTTTACAATATACATCAGTGTTTATGCAAATTAAGGCCACCATAAATTACCATTATACATATATATATGGGAAGGGCTAAAATAGAATGAAATTCATGAGTTGGTAAGACTTTGAACAACTAGATCCCTCTTATATTGCTTTGGGAGACTTAAATTTTAAATTGTTAAATTACTTTGAAAAATTGTCTCTGTTTGCAAATAATGAACGACATATATCTTATGTCACAGCAATTCTATTGCTACTTTATATATATAAAACAGAATTGGAACTATCATTACCAAAAGACATCAGATACAGCAAGAACATTTATAATAATATAAATCCAAAAATAATAAATGTTTTATGTTATAATGTCAAATTAATTTTGATATATCCACACAATAGAATTCTGTACATTGATGAAAGAATACTAAATATTACCAAGCCAAATTAATTTTGATATATCTACACAATGGAATTCCATAAATTGATGAAAGAATACTAAAACACTTGTAAAGTCATGAATAAAAAAGAAGCCTAGCACAAATGTGTGAATATTATATTGATTTCACTTCTTCAGACAAAATAAGTTTATGATATTAGATACAAGGATAGTGGTTTCAATTTGAGGGTTCTGTGAGAATTCAAAAGCATGATTAAAATTTGAGGCAATAATGAATGAAAGATGACTTCTATTATAAAATATGCTATTTTTAAATAAAAATGAACGCGGTGGCTCACGCCTGTAATCCCAGCACTTTGGGAGGCCGAGGCGGGCGGATCACGAGGTCAGGAGATCGAGACCATCCCGGCTAAAACGGTGAAACCCCGTCTCTACTAAAAATACAAAAAATTAGCCGGGCGTAGTGGCGGGCGCCTGTAGTCCCAGCTACACGGGAGGCTGAGGCAGGAGAATGGCGTGAACCCGGGAGGCGGAGCTTGCAGTGAGCCGAGATCCCGCCACTGCACTCGAGCCTGGGCGACAGAGCGAGACTCCGTCTCAAAAAAATAAAAATAAAAATAAAAATGAAATGTTTTAAATGTAGTTAATTAATTTACATGAATAGGTTTTATCAAAAGAGCTCAAAATAAGGCAGCAACAGCAAACAGCTCCATGTGAGAAAATAGTCACAAAACTTTTAAAAGACACATATCCATGATACACAGAAAATAATCAAAAAGAAAAAAACAGGCCAATTGCCTCAAAAATGGGCAAAAGATTTGAATAGCTATTTTACAAAAGAGTATATACAAAATACCAATAAGCACACAAAGAGTTGCTCAAACATTTTAATCACTAGGACAGTGCAAATAAAATCATTCTGACATAATACCACATGTCCAGCAGAATGATTAAAATTAAAAGCTAAACCAAAATTTGACAAATGTGAGAATAAAGAGTTGTATAAAAGGTATTCATCATGAGTGCTCTGTAGCCTGTCTCAGTGGTATATTCACTTCGGAGAAGTTGTCAATATCTACTAAAACTTCACATGCAGGACCCCTCTGATGCTTAGTTGCATATATTATTTTACACTCTACAGAAACATGTATTTCTTTGTTATTAATGGTTAATGAGACTTGGAAGAATTTCCTGTACTTGACAATGTAGTGATAAATAACTACATAAAACACACACACACACACAAGACTAAAAATAAGTAAGTAAACAGAGTCTAAGGGACTTGTAAGGCAGTAGTGAAGAATCATGTTCAGAGTTTTCAGTTCAGCTTCATGAAAGGAGCAGGTAAAACTGCATCTAATCTGTTTTCTTAGAAGTTTCAATTTCTTTATTTTTTTTGAACCACCTGTATGTAAGTTGCTGTCTTCATAACACAACATCACTAACTAATTCATGAATTACAGAATGATGATAAGATTTTCATGTACTATTTTCACCTTGAGATATTTTCATTAATTAGGAATTTCATCAAGTATTTAGTTCATATTATATTTTCTAAATTATCTGAATAATGCCTTCATTTCTTTGGTTTTAATTTATCATTTATCAAAAGTCATGTGTTGCAATTAGTATTTCTTTTTATTTTAGTTTCAGGGGGTACACATGTGGGTTTGTTACATGGGTATATTGTGTAATCCTGGAGTTTAGGCTTCTTTTGAACCCATCACCCAAATACTGCACATAGTACTCAATAGGTAATTGTTCAATCCTTACACACTCTCATCCTCCCAACTGCTCTTTGGGAGACCCCAGTTTCTATTGTTTACATTTTTGTGTCCATGCCTATCCATTTTTTTTCGGCTCTCACTTATAACTGAGAACATGTGGTATTTGATTTTCTCTTTCTGTGTTAATGCACTTAGGATAATGGCCTCCATCTGCATCCATGTTGCTGCACAGGCCATTATTTCATTACTTTTTTTGGCTGCATAGTATTCCATGGTATATATGTACCACATTTTATCCAATCAGCCACTGATAGACACTTAGGTTTATTCCTAAGTGTGAATACTGCTGTGTTAAATATGAAAGTGCAGGTGTCTTTTTGCTAGAATGATTTCTTTTCCTTCAGGTAGATATCCTGTAATGGGATTCCTGGGTCAAATAATAGTTCTATTTTAAGTTATTTGAGGAATCTTCAAACTGTTTTCCACAGGTGCTGAACTAATTTACACTCCTACAAACAGTGTATAAGCATTCGCTTTTCTATGCAACCTCTCCAACATCTGTTATTTCTTGACTTTTTAATAGCCATTTTGACTGGTGTGAGATGGTGTCTCATGGTGCTTTTAATTTGCATTTCTCTGATGATTAGTGATGATGAGCATTTTTTTTCATGTTTGTTGGTCATTTGTATGTCTTCTTTTGAGAAGTATTTCTTTATGTCCTTTGCCTACTTTTTAATGGGGTTATTCGTTTTTGTGTTATTGATTTGTTTAAGTTTTATATATTGGATATTAGTCCTTTGTTGCGTGGATAGTTTGCACATATTTTATCCTATTCTGTTAGGAATTTTCTATTTTATGAAGTCTTCTAAGTCTCATCGGAGTCACATTTTAATAGAAAAATATTCTCCTGCCCAGGCCTGGTGGCTCATGCCTGTCATCCCAGCACTTTGGGAGGCCGAAGTGGGCAGATCACCTGAGGTCAGGAGTTCGAGACCAGCCTGCTCAACATGGAAAAATCCCATCTCTACTAAAAATACAAAAAAATTAGCCTGCGTGGTGGCACGCGCCTGTAATCCCAGCTATTCAAGAGGCTGAGGCAGAAGAATCACTTGAGCTCGGGAGGCAGAGGTTGCAGTGAGCCAAGATCGTGCCACTGCACTCCAGCCTGGGCGACAAGAGCAAAACTCTGTCAAAAAAAAAAAAGGAAGAAAGAAAGAGAAAAGAAAAGAAAGAAAGAAAAGAAAGAAAGAAAGAAAGAAAGAAAGAAAGAAAGAAAGAAAGAAAGAAAGAAAGAAAGAGAAAGAAAGAAAGAAAGAAAGAGTTCTATTTATACAAGAGGGTGACAGGAAGTGCAGGGAAGGAAAGGGCGAGGTCTCTGGCTAGGGCTTCACCCCTGCACCTGTGCCCATGAACCTATGTGAGAACAGGCATTTCTGTTTTCCTGCCCAAATGTTGCATTTCCCAAGACCACCCTGGCCCACCACTCCCTGCATCCTGTGCCTATAAAACCCCCAGACACTAATGAGAAGAGACACAAGCAGCTGGACGTCAAAGAAGATGGCAGAAGTTAGACCAGCAGAGGAAGACACAAGGAGCTGGTCATCGAGAGGAACACACCAGTGGGAAGAGACCCAAGCGGCTGGGTGTCAAGGGGCATGCACCAGTGTAAGAGCACAGGTATAGACGTGGCAGGCCAGCAGGCCATCCACCAGCGGAACGACGCGGGAGTTTGGGTAGGAGGGGAGTCAGGGCTGCTGAGCAACCCTGCTGCAGGGGAAAACCACCCTCCTACTCCATCTCCCTTCTGGTCTCCCCATTTGCTGAGAGCTACTTCCACTCAGAAAAACCTTGCACTCATTCTCAAAGCCCACGTGTGATCTGATTCTTCTGGTGCACCAAGGCAAGAAACTCCGGGATACAGAAAGCCCTCTGTCCTTGCGATAAGGCAGGGAGCCTAACTGAGCTGCCTAGCACAAGCTGCCTACAGAAGGCTAAAATGAAACAGCATATTGTAACACACGGCCACTGGGACTTCAGCTGTAAACGTTCCACCCCTAGACACTGCTGTGGGGTCAGAGCCCCACAACCTGCCCATCTGCATGCTCCCGCTAGGAGCTTGAGCAGCAGGGCACTGAAGAAGCAGCAAGCCACACTCCCATTGCATGCCCTGCGAAGGGAACAAGGGAACTTTTCCAGTTTCACTATTGCCCTAGGTTGTCTGTTTACTCTGTTGACTGTTTCTTTTCCTGTGCAGAAGCTCTTTAATTTTAATAAGTTTCATTTGTCATTTTTGTTTTTGCTGCATTTGCTTTTGAGATTTTAGTCATAAATTCTTTGCCTAAGCTGATGTCCACAAGTTTTCCCTAGGCTTCCTTCCAGAATTTTTATAGTTTAAGGTCTTATATTTAACTATTTTAATCCATCTTGAGTTAATTTTTGTATGTGATTAGAGATAGGAGTCCAGTTTTATTCTTTTACATGTGGCTGGCCAGTTTTTCCAGCACCATTTATTAGATACATTTTCCTATCCCCATTGTTTATTTTTGTCAACTTCGTCAAAGGTCAGCTGGTTGTTAGGTGTCTGATTTTATTTCTGGGTTCTCTATTCTGTTCCATGGATCTATGTGCCTGGTATTTTGGTACTGGTACCATGTTGTTTTGCTTTCTATAGCCTTGTAGTATAGTTTGAAGCCAGGCAATGTGATGCCTGTGACTTCATTATTTTTGCTGAGGAAGCAATTCGTATTTATTTATCTTGATTTCTTTTAGACCAGACCACACCCCAACCTCAACCCTACCACTCTGTTTCTTTGATTGTTTGATTTACATGGCATACACTCTTTTGACACATCCAAGTCTGTTTCACCATAGATCAGTCTATAATTTTAAACTGTTGTGATCATTTCCACACATAGCAAACTGATTTTTTTTTGGGGGGGGTGGGCAGCTGGTGAGAATACTAAAGTAATGTGTGAATTTACACATTAAATTCATTAAAGGGTGTATTGTACAATTGTTTCACTGTTGGCAACGATAAGTTTCCTCAGTTGAATAAGGTGGTAACTGTCATATTCCTGTATTGTAAAGTTACACTTACATCTTTTATTTATTTTTATTTATTTTCTTCCTTCCTTCCTTCCTTCTTTTTCTTTCTTTTTCTTTTTCTTTGTCTTTCTCTCTCTCTCTCTCTCTATCTATCTCTCTCTCGTCTCCTTCTCTTTCTCTTTTTGATGGAATCTCGCTCTTTCACCCAGGCTGTATAGTGCAGTGGCGTGATCTCGGCTCACTGCAACCTCTGCCTCCTGGGTTCAAGCAATTCTTCTTCCTCAGCCTCCCTAGTAGCTGGGATTACAGGCACTCACCACCACGCCCAGCTAATTTTTGTATTTTAGGAAAGATAGGGTTTCACCATATTAGCCTGGCTGGTCTCGAACTCCTGACCTCAAGTGATCTGCCCATCTCGCCCTCCCAAAGTGCTTGGATACAGGTATGAGCCACCACACATGGCCTACAGCCTTTTAAATTAATTAGTTTGGACAATGATGCTTTGTAATGACTATAGGTATTGTTCCTATTTTTTATGTCATTTTCTAAGTCTCATCAGAGGGACATTTTAAGAGGTAAAAAATCTTTTTATTTGATCACTGCAGCTGCTGAAGTGAAAGCCCGTTATCCTTCCCACCTGTCATCCATCAGCTTAATGTGATACACAGACACACCTTCAACTTCAACTTGTCCACACTGAATTCATTTTCTTTCTTCCTTTTACTCAAATATGCTCCTTTTCCTATATTTATCTCTTTAAAATCTTATTTCCCCATCATTTATGAAAGCAGGATTTTGGAAACGATCTTTCAAATTAAATTCAAACTTCCTATCTGCCCTCTGTGTCCCTCCATAATCTGGTCCCTGTTTCCTTTTCCTCATTAACTTCCTTTCTCCTGCCCATTTGCCTGCTCACTTAATGTGACCCTTCTCTCTTTACAGTACCTGAAGCCTGGAAAACCTTTTTTCTCTGATGCTTGCCTGCTTTCCCTTTGTCTAGATGCTTGTTCTCTGGATATTTCATGATTGTCTCTTTCCCCAAATCCAAGGCTTTCCATTTTTATTTTCTCCTCTTCTTATGTGTGACTCTGTGTTCCAAATAAAATTAATTTCAGGAGAACAAAGACTGTGCCAGTTTGATCCAACTTTTCATTGTAGCACCCCCACCTCCTAGCACACTGGATTACCCTTAGAATATGCTCTCTATGTGTTTGGTGAATTGATATATAAATGAATCAATGTGTCTTTGATGTCTCCTTTTCTTATGCTATCATTCTGGCACTGATAAAAAGCTGTACAGACAGTTCCTGACTTACAATGGTTTCACTTATAATTTTCTACTTTACGATGGTGTGAAAGTGAAAAGCCATACTTTGAATTTTGAATTTTGATTTTTTCCAAAGCTAGTGCTATGTGATACAGTCTCAGGATGCTGGGCAGATACAGCTCCTCATCAGTTATGCCATCATAAGGGTAAACTGATACTCTCCAGTGTACTGTCTACTATGTTGCCAGATGATTTTGGCCAATAATACACTAATATAAGTGTTGTGAGCATGTTTAAGGTAGGCGAGGCTGAGCTATTTTCAGTAGGTTAGGTGTATTGTATGCATTTTTGACTAAACAATATTTTCAACTTATGATGGGTTTATTGGAAAATAACCCCCATTGCAAGTCAAAAAGTTCTGTACTTGCTATAGAGAATGATTATGCTGGGTGCAGTGACTCATGCCTGTAATCCTGGTGCTTTGGGAGGCTAAGGCAGGAGGATTACTTGAGCCCAGAATGTCTAGGCTGCAGTGAGCCATGATGGCACCACCGCGCTCCACAATGAATTTTGTATTGCAGCTATTTTGTAGCAGAATATTGATTTTTGATAATGTAGTTTTTGTATAATTGTTTTAATCAAAAAACCTCATCATCTCGTGTCCACTATTAAAGGATTCATGTTTAATGATTATAAACTGAATGCAGATCATTCCTAATTGATAAAATATAATCTAATTATTTAAACTAATTATTTATTTAAATGATTAGGTCATTCATTTGATACTAGAAAGGATAGTCACTCTACATGTATGGCTCAAACATCTTGAAGATATTCTACAATCACAAAATTATGTCCATTATTATATAATACAAACACAATGAACATGCACACACAAACACACACACACACATACACACACACAGAACCACCCATAGAAGAGAAGTGAAAAAGATCAATAATTTATCAGATAACATAACATAGATATAAAGAGATTCCTTGAAAATATTTTTCTATTTGTTTCTTTTTGTTCTCCTCTTCAGCTTAATGATCTCAAAAAATACTTTCTTTTAAAAGATTAATTGCATTTTTAATATTCAATTTGATTATCCATTATGATTAATGTAGTTAATTTTGAGTTTCCATCATGTGGGTTACATCATGGAAAACATATTAAATTTATTACTTTACTCAAATAGTAGGTAGTCTAAATGAAGTATTCATAAATTGAAAGATCTTTAAATTAGTCACCATATTCTTCACAAGAAAATATTCATTTTCATCTTCACTGCTTTTATGGAAGTTATTATGTTGAAATTTTATTTTCTGAACAGCCATCTATGCTTTGTTATTAAGGGTTTTAATCTTTTAAGGTGAAGGTAATAAAGTATAACGTGGTTAAGAGTAATTTCATGAAAATGAAATAATTTTGATAATTATTTAACTGGTTTAACTGTAAAATATTCAGCCATCAGCCTCCCTTGATCAGCAGGATCTAAGAATACTTGGAGGAGAAAATATTGCCCTTGAGCCACACCATGAACCACTAGGTGGCAGTATACCCTTTCTTATTTAATAAAAATAGTCACCGTTTCCATTTATTCTTTTAAATATTTAGTGGTAAAGAATGATAGTACTTTATTTGCAAAGACAAGTTTAGTACTGTTTTATGTTTGTATTGTTATTTCATTTTTTTGATTTCGGATTTTTCCAATTTTCCATTTTATAAATATAAGAAGCTACAATAATTTCTATTGTTGAGGGTTCTGTTGTCCAGAATACATATCAATAGTGTTTCTTAATTTATAAAGAGAAATTTAAGTATTTTTTATCATCATATATTAAAATATTATTTGTTACAGTCTATATTTTGAATACATAACTTTTATTTTATAGGAAAAATCTCTCCATCCACACACAAAAAATTATGGATATAATTGTTTTGTTGTAAATACTATTATTAATGAGAAGCTATTCTCATTCAATACTTCAGAACTCTCAGGAAAGCCAAGAGGTCAATTAAAAATAATGTGTTCTTTCAAAGGTTATGCCACTGAGTAATTAATTCCTTTTTTCCTCTGTTCCCCGCCCCCCCCAAATAGTCCATTGTAACCCTGTAAGAGCAGATTAACTGCATGTGGTTTTCAATGTTTTCAATGCTTGTGGTAATATTAGCATAAATTTTATATAGGCAGCTGCTTGAAAATGTTACCACTTGTAATTGGTATAGGTTGGTGTAAAAGTAATTGCGGTTTCCACCATATAAACTAATGGCCCAAAGTACAATTAATTTTGCAGCAACATAATAGATGTATCCATCAAATAAGATGATTACTAATTGCTACAAATAAATAGAGAATTGGACCTTCTCATATGCTATCGCTAGGGATCAAAGTTGGCATAAAGGCTATTTTAAAATACTTTGTAAAACAGATAATCATTGACATGGAGACCATAGTTCTAGAAATGTGTTTGAAAATGTATTTATGAAAATGTGCAACAATTAAGCTACAAAGATGTTTATTACAATATTATTCATAATAGTCAAGAATTTGATACTGTCTACACAATAGTATCCAATTTTAGAAATCATTAATGACAACTCATATAATAGGAAACTAAATAAATATATGTTTCTATATTCAGGTGGACATTTACAGAACATTAATTCACATGGCAAAAAACAAATGTTACATTCTTTAGTAAAATGGTAGGTAAAAAATAATATTGGAATCCAGGTCATGTATGTAAGAAAAAACTGATAAGCTATGTGCCTTATTCTGCATATATTTCTACAATTATATTTGTATATATATCATAATCCATGTACTAAGGCAAAATAATCTATATTTCTGCAGCACTGGAGTAGAGAATAGATCCATATTCAAATTCTATATTTAATTTATGTTAAATGCATAAACTTTTACAAGAAATTAATAATATATACAAACTGTACTTTAATGAAAATATTGACAAATACATATTATTCATTATTATGTGAAATGAAAAATATAGGTTTCATGTGTTTCTTTTCATTTCTTAATATAACAAATTTAAACATATAAACAATGAAAATAACAAATACTAGTAGTAGAACACTTCACAAAGCCTTTTCAAGTGAATTAAATTATGTAAACTTATGAGGTATAATTTATATAATAACTGTGATAACTAATCTGGACTCCATGGGCTAGTGAGTAAAAATGGGCTACCCTGGGGCGTGTGTAAAGAAATTCTCCTCCAGATTTTTTAATATAATAAAGTATTTAACAATAATCATACTTGAATGAAAATAGGAGTGCTGAAAGTTCTACAAAAAATCAAATGTATATACATATTAATGTAATTATATATAAAGAAAAATGCATTTCTTTATATTTTCAGTAAGGTCAATGCTGATTTTCATTTTTAATTATTCATAAAATATTAGATTTTAGTCAATATATCATAGAGCAAATCAGAAATCTAAAATACATCAAATTAATCAAATTCCATTAAACTATTAAGTATAGAAATTGTTACTTAGATGTTTATTACTGGGTTATAACTATCATTTCGTATTTTATTTTTTGTTTTTCTTCTATTTCAATCGTTTTTGGGGTATTTTGGTTACATGGATAAGTTCTTTAGTAGTGTTCTCTGAGATTTTGGTGACCTGTCACCAGAGCAGTTTGCATTGTACCCCATATGTAGTCTAATTCCTCATCCCGTTTCCACCCTTCCCCACAAGTCCCCAAAGCCTAGTATATCATTCTTATCCCTTTGCATACTCATAGCTTAGCTCCCACTTATAAGGGAGAACATAAAATATTTTGTTTTCCATTCCTGAGTTACTTCATTTAGAATAACGGCCTCTAACTCCAACCAACTTGCTGCAAAGGCCATTATTTGATTCTGTTTTATGACTGAGTACTATTCTACGGTGTATATATACCACATTCTCTTTATCCACTCATTGGTTGATGGGCATTTAGGTTGTTTCCATATTTTTGCAAGTGCGATTGTGCTGTTATAAGCATGTGTGTACATGTGTCTTTTTCATATAATGACTTCTTTTTCTTTGGTTAGTACCGAGTAGTGGGATTGCTGGATTGAATGGTAGTTCCACGTTTAGTTCTATAAGGAATCTCCACATTGTTTTCCATTATAACTGTCTTCCTCTTAATCATATCACTAAGGAGTTCTTATTGAGCTCCTCTTGACTATAAAGCAAAATTCTAATTATGATTGATTTATTTATTGTATTTGCAATGTAAGTTTTTCTAATTATTTTCAATTTTCTATAGCCTCCCTAGAAGTCACGAACAGAAAGCTATAGCTCAGAGGAGGTGCACAAAAATCTTGAACTTTTGCAGATACAGGAGGAGAGAAAAGCAGGAAGGAACAAAGAAAATAATAATTTCCATTAATACTTATATTAGAATGAATTTTACTTATTATATAAAATTGTATATTAGTTAATCTATATATTATATATGTATATTCACTTATTTCTTCATAATACAAATCATATTTAATAAGATACAGAGGCAGATAATGAAAAAATATATATGTATACATTACGCTTAGATATTAATTAGAGAAAAACCAACACCTTACCAACAATGAGTCTTCTGATTCCTAAACATAGCATATCTCTTCATTTCTCCTGTGTTTTTAGTTTGTCTCATCAGTGATTTATTACATGTTTATATTTTAGCTGATTTAATTTGTTAAATTTTTTCTTAAATATTTCATATTTTCTGTTGCTATTATAAATGATATGTACTTTTAAATTTTGATTTTTAACCCTTGCTCCTGAAGTACAGAAACATAATAGATTTGGGTTATTGACTTTGTACTTTACACAGTACTAAACTCACTTATCGGTATTTTTGAAAATTTATTGAATTTTTTCATGTAAATGTTCCTGTGTCTGCACATGAATACAACTTTGTCTCTTTCTTTTCATTCCGTTTTTGTTTTACTTATTTTTTTTTTTTTTTTTTTTTTTTTTTTGCTTCATTGTGCTGACTGGGACTTTCAGTGTAATGTTGAATAGAAGGGATATCCTTATTGTCTCCCTAACCTTGGGGAAAAGTGGTCTGTCACCCATGGTTAATTATAATTTCTATTAATATAGGTCTGCTGGTGATATATTTACTCATGTTTATTTGTTTGAAAATTTTTTAATGTCTATACTTTAAAAATATTTTTTGCCTGGGTGCAGAGTTATAGGTTGACAGTGGGATTGTTTTGGCTATAGTAACAATGTCATCACATTCTCACATTCTCTTTTAACCTGTATCATTTCGGATTAGTAGCATATTTTTATTCACATATTTGTTTCTCTGTGCCTA
Source organism: Homo sapiens (assembly GCF_000001405.40). Taxonomy (NCBI): domain Eukaryota; kingdom Metazoa; phylum Chordata; class Mammalia; order Primates; family Hominidae; genus Homo; species Homo sapiens. The sequence continues at coordinate 22,788,373 of NC_000021.9, read as the reverse complement.
ATGTTTTTTATATCTGTCTATTTTAAGATTTCTCTTTTATTACAGGCTTTCAGCTATTTGATTTTACGTACTTTGGTGTAGTACTTTATATGTTTATCTTGCCTTGGGTTAATTGAGACTTTAGGGTCTGTGAGTATAGAATTTTGGTAAAATTTATAATATTTTAGTAATTTCTCTGGTACTCAAGTAACATATAGGATTGAGTGCTTGATATTTTTCCAGCATGTTAAGGAGAGTCTGCTTAGGCTTTCAGTCTTTCTTTCTTCCTCTCTCTCTGTCTTCGTTTTGGATATTTTCTGCTTTTATATCTTCTACTTAATAAATCTTATATTCAATAGTGCCTAAAGTTCTCTTAAAATTTAGATGTCATTTTACCGTTAAAAGTTCAGTTTGGTTCTTTTTATATCCTTAATTTCTTTCTCATTATATTTATAATTTTGTATATTGAGCAGATATGCATGAGTATATATGGCAAAAATATACTGGCTTTTTAAATATACTAGTCTACTGATTTGTTAGTTCTGTTTCTGTTTCTATTGAGTGACTATCCTCCTGGTTATTTTTTTTCTACTTGTTTATTTGTTGCGGGTATCAGATATTGTTAATTATACAGTGTTGAGTGTTGGATTTTGTTTTACTCATTTAAATAGTGTTAAAATTTTTTCTGAAAGTTATATTCTTGAAGATCAGTTTGAATCCTTAAATGTATATTGGTAAGTGCTCTTAGGACAGGTTCAGAATAGACTTTACTCTTGGGTTAATTAACCACACTTCTTAGGTATGGCCAGTTAGAGATCTCTGATGAACACACTGTGTATTTAAAATGGTCTTTCATTACTGACCGTCTTCGTGTGAACTCTTGGAATTTTTTTTAACTTGTAGCTCCCTGAGAACTAATTGTTCTTCTCCTAAAAGATGCCCTGTCTAGGCCTCATAGTATTTCACCAATGCATTCTCAAATAGGTGGGCAGCTGAAAAACCCAAGGGGATTCTTATTCATATTTCCAGATTCCTTCTCTTGGAGTCACCTCATCTAAGAAACTCTATTCCACAAATTATTAGTACCTTAGTCTTTTCATCTGCTGATCCTTGTTTCATCAATTCATTGAGAATGTTGAGCCCTTTTTGGCTTTCTCCCTTCCTGAACTACAGAACATCTGATCCCTACACCTTAAAGCCTAGGAGCCCCACCTGATTTGTTTTCCTTCTCCTGGATCACAGTTCTGTGCTGCCTGTTCTACAATGTCAAAAATGGATGCTTTCTATATTTTGTCTATTTTTGTAGTTGTTTGTGTTGCTTGGGTAATTTAAGGCCATGTTACTCTTTCAATCATAATATCAGTGTCAAGAAGCAATGCCACATGAATTTTTTATTTTTTTCACCTTCTGGAATTTGAGTAAAAAAAAATCCCTGGCAACTAAGGTTAAAGGATGAGTTAGTGAGTTCAAAGTTAAGAGACTGCGTATTTCTTAGTAGAGGTTTACAGTTTTTCCTTCCCTGGGGCCACATGTTTACATTTCAAATAGTAATGAACTTAAAGATTTCCCCCTCTGATCCATAGTAAGGATTTATTTTAGGAAGATAAGGTCTTTTTCCTTTTTCTGAGGACAAAATGGGAGTTGTACAGCCTGCCCTACATAAAATGTGAGATTTGTAATTTCAGAGTTTCCTGTGATGCAAACCCCCATATAGGATATGTATGTGACATCTGAATCTCATTATGTTATTGAGATATTGGGGCATGAGGACTGTCATTAAGATATTATGCAAGTAAATAATCTTTCTTTGATCCAGAAATCTTATGTTTACTGTCAAAATAGTTATTTTAATAAATACAATATTAAAAACATCAAACAAATGTCACAACATTTTATTTTAGGATGCCATTATCCTTATGCTTAAACCATAGTTTTCATCAAGGTAATATGGTTAGTCATGTATAAAGGAGAAATTGCAGTTAAAGGTAAGATATTGTAGCAAATATTTCAGAATGTATTTCCAGGGAGTAGTCTATCGTTCTAGTTTATTGTTAAAGGAATTACTAGATTACTTTCTTACTTTAAGATTTGATATGGCTTTTAAAATAAAATTTTGTAAACCTCATAGCCTTATTTAATTTTCAAATACATACTGTAGTCATGGACTGCATATAAACAGAACAGTCATTAGCAAATGTAAAAATTTGATGCTTTTAATTTACATTTTAAAATAGACTTTATTATTGCTTGAATCACCTCTGTGATATTTGTGAAAGAATATTTGATTTTTTTATAAAGCAGTATTTTAAAATTAGGCCTTGTTGTCCCAGGAAAGATACTTCTGAATATTACAAGTAGCTATGACTTATGTATATGTACACATCATAGTTTTAGAACAGTGATACTTCTAAGAAATATTTTTCAAAATAAGTGCTCTAGAGCTGACATTGGATTGTTTTAGGAGGGTAATTAATGATTTTGCTAAAAGCTGCTTTTTGTAAGGCAAATGCCCAGTGTTGCTTTTTCACCCAGAGACTTGGGTATTTTTAAACTGCCCTTGTTAATTAGAAGTCTTTGTGTACACACATACACAAAGATGAGTTTTGTTCCTTAATATTTTCAAATACACAAGTATTTTGAATTAGAATTTTAAGAGAAAATACTTCCCAATACAATCTTTGTTTAAAAATAAAAGAACCAAGAGGTATAAGTACTGTTTAAAGCCCAGTCATTTGGAAGGTAAAATCATTTGTATATTTTTGCCTTATTAAGACATTTGTATTCTGGAATTTAGTTTAAAACTCAAATAATCGATGAAGTAGATACCAAGTTAAAACCACAGCACTGGCTGGGGGCAGTGGCTCATGCCTGTAATCCCAGAACTTTGAGATTCCCAGGCGGGTTGGTCCTTTGAGGTCAGGAGTTCAAGACCAGTCTGGCCAACATGGTGAACCCTCATCTCTACCAAAGTACAAAAATTAGCTGGGCATGGTGGCGGGTGCCTGTAATCCCAACTACTCGGAAGCTGAGGCAGGAGAATCGCCTGAGCCCAGGAAGTGGAGGTTGCAGTGAGCCGGGATCGTGCCACTGCACTCCAGCCTGGGCGACGGAGCAAGACTCCGTCTCAAAAACAAACAAACAAACACAAAAATAAAATAAAACCACAGCCCCACCTATCCTGTATCACAGGCAAGTACTAAATTGTGTTTGGAGGGGGAGCACCCTGAAATAAGGCCATCCTGCCTCCCATAGCACTTTTGCACATAGTATGTACTCAATAAATGATTATAATTCATTTATTGAATGAAAGCAACCCTGAGATTTCATGCTTGTCTTACATTAGAACATTCCAGATTTTAAAAATTTGTTCTTGAATTATCCGTACTGATGAAATTGGTGCACTTTTTTAATAATGATGAATTACCAGGATGGTCCTAGCCAGGCATTCTGATCTCCAAGGGTAAAATAGTCATCATATGTCTTCAAGGCTACCACTGACTTTCCAGAACGAATGTCACTTGAAGCCTCACCAATTCTCTTTCCTGAGCAACTTCACTCTTCATTCTCTAATAGTCTACCTTCCATCACCGACAGTTTTCTTATAGCTTTCATTTATTTGAAGCTTCCTCAAGCTCTTAAGTATTTGTTTTTCAAAGGCATCTGATCATCTCCTCAAGACTTCATTCTTTTTCCTTCACATTTTATCTTTTTGCTAAAAAAAAGATAAAGCTATTAGTAATTCATGGTCAAATATACAGGAAACAAAATAAGTATGTCATTTATCAATACTAATACATAAATTCCTTAGAAATTATAACCCACTGAAAATGTAAAAAAAAGATAAATCATCACAGAATTTAACAATGGAGTAAGGTTTACACTTAAATATATATTTAATAACTCTTTGCTTATTTTATATGAGTTCAGTAAACAAGTAGTTAATTCTTTTTTTTTTCCTTTTTTTTTTTTTTTTTGAGATGGAGTCTCACCCTGTCACCAGGGTGCTGGAGTGTAGTGGTGTGATCTTGGCTCACTGCAACCTCCACCTCCCAGGTTCAAGCAATTCTCCTGCCTTAGCCTCCCGAGTAGCTGGAACTACAGGTGCATGCCACCATGCCCACCTAATTTTTTTTTTTTTTTTGTATTTTTAGTGGAAACGGGGTTTCACCGTGTTAGCCTGGATGGTCTCAATCTCCTGACGTCATGATCCACCTACCTTGGACCCCCAAAGTGCTGAGTTTACAGACATGAGTCACGGCACCCGGAATGTAGGAGTAATTATAATAAATTTCTGGCCGGGCGCCGTGGCTCACGCCTGTAATCCCAGCACTTTGGGAGGCCGAGGCAGGCGGATCATGAGGTCAGGAGATTGAGACCATCCTGGCTAACACGGTGAAACCCTGTCTCTACTAAAAATACAAAAAATTAGCAGGGCGTGGTGGCAGGCACCTGTAGTCCCAGCTACTCAGGAGGTTGAGGCAGGAGAATGGCGTGAACCAGGGAGGTGGAGCTTGCAGTGAGCCGAGATCGCACCACGGCACTCCAGCCTGGATGACAGAGCAAGACTCCGTCTCAAAAAAAAAAAAAAAAAAGCAGCACAGATAATTGCAGATTCACATACAAAGTTAGAACATAAACAGTTAATAGACACTGGCCAACAGTAAACAAAATGCTTTTGAAATGTCGGATAATATCAAAAGGTATGACATTTGTAAAATTGGAGTCCCCGTAAGAAGTGAATGTAGAGAATGAAGCAGAGTAATTATTTGAGGGAAATAATGCTAGAATTTTTAGAAATTAATAAAAGACAATAACAGGCATATTCAAGAGGCTCAGTAAAACACAAAAAGGATACATAATAATAATAAAAGCAAAAACCCAGATAGATGAAAGGCTTAACAGTGGACCTAATTCACTAATAAAAAGGATATAAAAGCAGAAAAGAACTAAAAAAGAAGCAGGTATGATAAATAGAAAACGAACATCAAGATATTTGACTTAAAATATAGTATGCAACTATGTTAACAGTAAAGGAATAAACAAGTTCACTTAAGTGGTAAAGATTTTCAGGTTATACTTGAATATAAAATCTAAGTTTGTATTGTTTGCAAAAACATACTTCAAAGGTTGAAACAGAGGTAGGTTGAAAATAAAATGTAAAAACATTAAATAAGATATATCAATAGTACAAAAATATTTAACTTAAGAATGGTATCTTAATACATTAATATGTTAGGCTCTATTAATATCAGACTATATTAGTCTGCTTGGACTGCCATAACAAAATTCCACAGACTGGGCGGTTTAAACAACACACATTTATTTCCTTACATTTCCTGAGCCTGAAAGTTCAAGCTCAATATGCTCATAGTGTTAGTGTTTGGTGAGACTTCTCTTCCCGGCTTGTAGTTGGCCAACTTCTCATTGTGTCCTCACATGGCCTTTTTTTTTTGTGCATGTGCTGAGAGAGAGAGTTAGTTCTGGTGTCTCTTTCTCTTACAAGAACACTAGTCTCATCAAATTAGGATTGCACCTTTATAATTTCATTTAACCTAAATTATCTTCTTAAAGACCCTATCTCTAAACACTGTTACACTGAGGCTTGACTTCAACATATGAATTTGGAGGAAACATGATTCAGTACGTAACACAAAGTAGAATTCAACATTAGGTGTATTGCCAGAGTTATTTTATAAAGATTATAAAATTTTGTTAAGAAAACAATTTTTAAGTATGTTTACATCCAATAAAAATATGTTATTTGAACATAAATGGAAAAGTCTTAATATGTTAAACAAATATTGACAGAACTAAAGGAAGAAATGCAGATAAATCCACAATTATAGTTGGATATATAAACATGACACTTGCAGTAATTGCTAGTGAATGCAGGAAGAACAATAGGGAGAATATCTAAGCACTGTGGACTGAGCTTGACCTAAGTGACGTTCTTTTTACATGTACATAGAATACTCACCAATATTGTCTGTATAATGTCATATTCTAACCCATGAAATGCCTCAGTAATTTTAAAATAAAACGTAGTTTGTTCTACTTTAACAGCATTAAAAGAGAAATCAATTACAGCAAGTTATTTGTAATTTGTAAATCCCTAACATGCCAAAATGAAATAACCCACTACTAAACTTAACATAGAGAAGAAAACATAGAGGAAATTAGAAAATATTATAATGATAGAAAATTTAAAAGAAATATCCACTTTGAAGATGTAGCGAACATAATGCATAGATGAAAATTTATAACTTCACATGACTATGATAGAAAATAGTATATATCAATGATCTAAGTATTCTCATTAAGTAAATAAGGAAAAGAGAAATGCAAATCAAAACCACAATGAGATACCATGTCACACCAGTTAGAATGGCAATCATTAAAAAGTCAGGAAACAACAGGTGCTGGAGAGGATGTGGAGAAATAGGAACACTTTTACACTGTTGGTGGGACTGTAAACTAGTTCAACCATTGTGGAAGACAGTGTGGTGATTCCTCAAGGATCTAGAACTAGAAATACCATTTGACCCAGCCATCCCATTACTGGATATATACCCAAAGGAATATAAATCATGCTGCTATAAAGACATATGCACACGTATGTTCATTGTGCCACTCTTCACAATAGCAAAGACTTGGAACCAACCCAAATGTCCATCAGTGACAGACTGGATTAAGAAAATGTGGCACATATACAACATGGAATACTATGCAGCCATAAAAAAGGATGAGTTCATGTCCTTTGTAGGTACATGGATGAAGCTGGAAACCATCATTCTGAGCAAACTATCACAAGGTCAGAAAACCAAACACCGCATGTTCTCACTCATAGGTGAGAATTGAACAATGAGAACACATGGACACAGGAAGGGGAACATCACACACCGGGGCCTGTCGTGGGGTGGGGGTAGTGGGGAGGGATAGCATTAGGAGATATACCTAATGCTAAATGACGAGTTAATGGGTGAAGCACACCAACATGGCACATGTATACATATGTAACAAACCTGCACGTTGTGCACATGTACCCTAGAACTTAAAGTATAATTAAAAATGTATATATATTAAAAAAAAGAAAATAAGGAAAAGAAACACTAAGTCAACCAAAGTAAGAAGTAAGAAGGTAGAAAATAGTAAAAGAGTAGAAATCAATAAAATAGAAAAAGTCAACAACAATTAGAATTTGTTTTTTGGAAAAGATTAATAATAGTGATGACACTTTATAATGGTAATGTAAGAATGACATACAGAATAGTGTATACCAATCTTTGAGTGTGAAAATGCATGGAAATGATGGTAAGATAATATTATAAACAACTCAATGCCAATAAGTTTATCGAAATAGATGTAATAGAGAAAAATCTTGTAATACACACAATATCTTGTAATACACCACTTTACTTACACTAACCCAAAAAGAAATAGGATATTTGAGCACTTTTCTATTTAAAAAAGAATTTGTAATTCAAAACTACTGTTCCTCAAAGAAAATTTCATACCTAGTTTACATCACTGCTAAATTCTATTAAACATTGTAAGAAGAGATAATAAAATAATAACAATCTCAGGAAATCAGTAATGAGAGTTCCACTCTGCTCCTTTTATATGCCCAGAAAACACTGATATTAGAACCTTGCACAAATATTAGCAATGAAAATCTGAACACTTTAAATGAATAGTAAGGCATTAAACATAAAAATCTATAAAAACAATGCTTCATAGAAACAGAGAAATTTAAAATATACGTATAATTGTATACTCATATATAATTATATATATATAACTATTCATGATTCTAAAAAGATCTCCAGAAAACTGGGAATAGAAGTTGTTTTGGTTTTCCAGGACTGCCTTAGGAAGGTATCATAAACTAGGAGGCTTAGAACATCAGTAATTTATTCTCTCACAATTCTGGAAGTCAGAGGTCTGAAATCAAGGTGTCAGTAGAGGCACTCTCCCTTGAAGATATTAGAGAAGGATCTATTTCAGTCATCTTTCCTAAATTCTGGTGGATTTTTGGCTTCTGGGAGAATAACTGCAGTCTTCACATGGTGTTCTCCCTATGTGTACATCTGTGTCTACATTTTCCTTTTTATTTTAATTATTATTATTTTTTAAGACAGAGTTTCGCTCCTGTTGCCCAGGCTGGAGTGCAGTGGCGCGATCTCTGCTCACTGCAACCTCTGCCTCCCGGGTTCGAGCGATTCTCCTGCCTCAGCCTCCCGAGTAGCTGGGATTACAGGTGCCCGCCACCATGCCCAGCTAGTTTTTTTTATTTTTAGTAGAGATGGAGTTTCTCCATGTTAGCCAGGCTGGTCTCGAACTCCTGATCTTGTGATCCACCCACTTCAGCCTCCCAAAGTGCTGGGATTACAGGCGTGAGCCACTGCACCCGGCCTACATTTCCCTTTTTATAAATATACTAGTTGTAAACAAATTAGGGGCCAAACCTAATGCATGGGACCTCATTTTATCTTAATCAACTGTATCTGCAATGACCATATTTTTGAATCAGGTCACATTCTGAGGTACTAGAGATCAGAACTTACGTATTTTAGAAAAATATGATTCAATCCATAACAGAAGTAAACTTCTTCATTCTATAAAAAAATAGCCTATGAAAAGAAATGTTAGTTATATCCTAGTTTGTGGTGAAACTCTAAACAACATCTTCCTATGAAAAGGAGAAAAGGGGGCCGGGCATTGTGGCTCACACCTGTAATCCCAGCACTTTGGGAGATCGAGGTGGGTGAATCACTTGGGCCCAGGAGTTCGAAACCAGCCTGGTCAACATGCTGAAACCCTATCTCTGATTAAAAAATACAAAAACTAGCTGGGATTAGTGGCATGCACCTGCAATCCCAGCTACTCGGGAGGCTGAGGCAGGGGAATCACTTGAACCCAGGAGGTGGAGGTTGCAGTGAGCTGAGATCGTGCCACTGCACTCCAGCCTGGCAGACAGTGCAAGACCCTGTCTCAAAAAAAAGGAAAAAAAAAGGAGAAAAGGAAAGATATCCATTATTAATGTTTCTAGTCAACAATTGTTCTGTAAATTCTTGCCAGTAGAGTAAGGCAAGAGGAAAAAATATTTCATAAACATTGGCAAAGCAAGAGTTACAATATCTTAATTCATTCACAGATATAATTATTAATTTATGAGGTCTTAATGAATGCTCAAAAACAAGTAGAATTAACAAGAGAATATAACAATTCCACAGAAGCAAAACTCATTAGCATCTTATATAATGACAATAAACAATAAAAAATTGTTTTCTTTTAAATAAAACGTTCACTGCAGCTTCAAAGATATAAAATACCTGCTGTGGTCTGAATGTGTCTACCCAAAACTTATATGTCAATACTTAATACCAATGTGATAGTATTAAGTGGATGAGCCTTTAGGAGATGATCAAGTCACAAGGGCAGAGGCTCCATAGATGGCATGAATGCCCTTATGAAAGGGCTGGAGGAAATTAGGCAGGCCCTTTTGGCTTTCTGTCCTTCTGCCAAGTGAAGACACAGCAAGGTGACTTCTTGAAAACCAAAACTAGACCTGGCTATCACCAGGCTCTGGGCCTGCTGATGGCTTGATCTTGAACTTCCTAGCTTCCATAACTATGAGCAATACATTTGTCCTGTTTATAAATGACTCCGTTTAAGATAGTTTGTTATAGCAGCAGGAACAGACTAAGATAATAATACCCATAAGTACATATAACGTATAACGTACTGCAGTTCTACCTCGAAAGACAGAAAACATCACTGTAATAAACTAATGGAGACCTATATCAATATAAAATTATACCGTATTTATACATTAGAGAACACAATCCAATTGATATATCTGTTTTTCCCAAACTGATCTATTTATCCATCATAATTCCAATTAAAATAATAGCAAATAACTTTCACTTTTGGCCAATATGGAGTAACAGAGAGCTGATTTGCCTTCCTGCCTGAAACAACCAAAACCAAAACAATGAAACAAAGGAAATTAAAATAAAATACATGAACCAATGGCTTAGAAGACAATGGACATCACGCAATGAATGACAGTGATTGATAATACAAACTAGATGAGCTCTAAGATTGCTCTTACTTAACACCTTGAGGGAGCAGCACTTGGTGATGGTAGTGGTGGTGAGGGCAGGGGAGGTGGGAAGGGCCAAATTGGAGGTTCACTGAATCCCTACGTTGAAGGGGAATAGCTGGGTGTTCTGGAAATAAGAGAGGTGAAACTTCACAGGATAGGGTAGGAGAGAGGAGACAGCTGCACAGAGAGAATCCCAGAGATATTCAGAAATTCCCCCTCAAGGACAGACCAGAGTACTTATCAGTGTATCCCTGTGAGGAAAATACCTGTCTTAAACATCATGCATTTTAATTTACAGCTTAATTTTACTCAAAAGTAAGCTCATTCTCTGGCAGTTCACTATTCCTCAAATGAGTAAACTGAGAGTTAGATCAGATGGCTAGTCTTAATATCATAAACTTATTCTCCAATGGGAATACAAAATAAACTAGATTTAATGCATTAAAGTTAAATATACAACCTCGTAAGAGCCTCAAATATATGGCCAAATATAGATTCTTTAAGTCACCCTAAGGAGAATGGCGTTCCATCAAAGTATGTGTTGTTTTATGTGGCAAGAGTTAAATAATTATTTTAAAATCATTTTGCAAAATGTCATAGATAATTTAGTATCTTGATCATGATGTATAATACTCTTATCTACAAAGGGAAGAAACCAAAGAAAGGCAAATGGGATGTTTGGATCAATATTTCATTATTATTTTCAACCACATTGAAGAGGTTCAGTCAACCACTTTAAAGCTGTGGTTTTTTAACTTCCTCCTAGATTGATCTCTATCATTATTCATGCTCTGGTGTAGCAAAAAGAAATCACTTAGAAGTCAGACAAAAATTAAGAGCAGTCAGGCCAAATTTTGAAGAGACAAAAATTAAGCACATGAACACTTACCTTAGCTTGTTTTTCCCCACAGAAATTATGAAATGGTGGATAAACCCTACTAATATCATCAGAATAATTATTAAGTGATAAAAGAGATTATTGGACAAGATTTACTCTGTGTAGGTAATTATAAAGTGGAAGGAATTTATTATAAAAAATTTCTCATAATCTACATACAAGTTGACATCTTACAAAATCACAAGGTTTTATTTAGTTATTAAAAATGCATAATTATTTTTAATTAAGTGATTTCATATATTTTTATATTTTACATGCTCCTGTGATTTTTCCCCATTACAGAAACATTCACAATGTCTTAGATAATGTTATTAAATACATCTGTACTTATCCAAGTAAATTTCTTATCAAATTTATACATCCTGATCTCCCTCATTTCCAAACTACAATCATCTCCTGTAACTGAAATACTGCATGTAATAAAAACTCTACACTGTAACATAAACATAATTTAAATTGAGAAATAATGACAATTTCCATTCAGATAAAGTTTTGAACTATCATATCCCTTTTTCCCATGCTTCTGTTAGAATATGGCTGTGCAACTCCAAGTACTCATCTATGGAAGAAGAAAAATAAATAATATATGTGTGTATGTGTGTTACATGATACATATGATTTGGGAAATATAATTAAAAACAAAATATCCTCCCAACCCAGAAACCTTCTTCACATAGGTAGACCAAAAGAAAATAACTTAGTATTAAGATATTATATTTTAATTTTAAAGTATTTATTTCTTACTAATTTATCTTTTTTATCATTAGATTATTAATGTATTTTCATTATTTTAATTTGTATTATAAATTATTAGTAGTTTCACCATGTTGGCCAGGCTGGTCTTGAACTCCTGACCTCAGAGGATCCGCCCACCTTGGACTCCCAAAGTGCTGGGATTACAGGCATGAGTCACCATACCCAGCTGAAATCTCCAAATCCTTTTTGGGGAATAATCCTTAATCTCTGTAGTTTAACTTCTGAGAATTATTAGTAGTAATAATTCATTACTACTAATTTAATTAGTAATATAAATTATTAAAACAATTTTATTACTGAATAAGCATTAAGCTAGAATGTAAAGTACACCATACTAAACTCACTGGGAGACTGCAAAGAAAAAAAGGGTATCTCACTCTTCTACATAGCCATGCAGAAACAACCCATTAATATATATTCTAAGATAAATAATAACTAGCCCTCAATAAAAGGAAGGGATGGCACCATTTGTCACACACATCCTAAATTCATTTGACAATTGGAGTAATTATCTGTTTAGCTAAATGGTTTAATTCAAAGGGAAAATAAACTTCTCACATTTTTATGGCAAGAAGTAGTTTTGCAACTTGGAATTAGGTTTCCACCTCCGTTAAGCTACTATCCTCCCACAGAAAGTGGGAGATTACTTAAAGTATAGAAAATAAAGTGTTGACTCAATATTTTGTGATTCTAACTTCATTGTATTTGAAAACATTGCTTCAGAAACTGTGGCTGAGGCTCCAAGCATCAAATATTCACTAAACTTATGCCATACACATTCTTACATTTTTATATTATTTGCAGAAATTATCCAATTAATTTGGATAGCTGATTTAAAGGCAGCAAATATGTGTAATACAGGTATATTAATTGCTTTAATGTCCACAAATGGATACAACAGGAAAAACAGTCATGGAGAAATGTTTTTACCACAAATACATGGATGGAGAAGAGAAAAAAAATTGTATCAGTGTGCAGCTTTATTTCTTGCTAAATTTCTGATTGCCATACTCTTCTCTTAATATGTTTACTATATTCTGCTAGAAAATGAGGTGTCTTTTAAATATCTCACCACTTTGGCATACCTCTGCTCATTTTAAATGAAAGCATCCTATTGCTTATCATGGGAAAATGATTTGAAACCCTTGTATCATACTAATGTTAATGCTCTTTGATATGTAGCTTTCATATGCCTGAATTTCTGCCCTGTCTTTAAAAGCTTCCCTTTAGAATTCATAAGTATCTGTTCCAAACCATGCCCCTCTCGTGTGATCTCAATTTCTTTTTCTTTTTTTCCCTCCTGTTCCTACTTGTCTCAATCTTCTCCTTGCCATAGTCTTCTGACATAATTTCAATTTTGTTGCATTTTGAATCTCTTGAAATGGATGTAGAGATATGTCCTAACTCATTTCATCCTAAACTAACCTCTTTGCACCCCTGTCATATTTTCAACTATTACTGGTATTGACTTATAAATGGCATGACTTCAAGTGAGATTTTTTTTTTCCACAACAAAATTCTCTTAATTCAATTTTATAATGTAGAGATTCTGGCATTTCCCAAATGCCATAGCTGAAAACTTCAAGTACATCTAATTCTATCCTTCTCCATGGCTGCTAGTGCTAATCAGTCACCTATAAATTCGTTGGTAAATTGTTTAATATGTAATTGTTTGGATCATATAATGCTATCATTTTATATTAGGTCCTTCACATCTCAAAATCATTAAAATCTGTAAACTCAAATTCTCAAACTTTACTCCTGTTCCTGTTTCTACCTGACATATTTCTACCATTCCTAACACCGTATTAACTCTCCTTAAACATTGCTTTAAATGCAATGTTGAGATCTCCATTTGTTTATTTATTTATTTATATTTTTGAGACAAAGTCTCACTCTGTTGCTCAGGGTGGAGTGCAGTGGCGTAATCTTGGCAATTTCTGCCTCCCGCTTCAAGCAATTCTCCTGCCTCAACCTCCCAAGTAGCTGGGGTTATAGGCACCTGCCACTATGCCTAGCTAGTTTTTGTATTTTTTGTAGACACAGGGTTTCACCATGTTGGCCAGGCTGGTCTGGAACTCCTGACCTCAGAGGATCCACCCACCTGAGACTCCCAAAGTGCTGGGATTACAGGCATAAGTCACCACACCCAGCTGAAATCTCCAAATCCTTTTTGGGGAATGATACCTAATCTCTGTAGTTTAACTACTGAGAGTTTCTACAATTTGGCCTTCACTTTGCTTTCCAACCCCATCTTTCCTAAATGTACTATGGATAGATACTTTATGACAAGATAAGTATGAAAAAAATTCTGTTTCTAAGGAATACATTTCTCTTTCACTATTTTCAAAATAGTGGTTCTGATGCTGAACTTTATCCTGAATGCATGCTCACAATTATACATAGATAAAAATCAACCCCTTTTGTTTAATTCTTAATATTCTCCATTTATCCTCCAGATCCAATCTCCACAATCTTTACCCTTGTCCAAACTTTTATGTGCCCCAGTTAGTTAATACTTTAAAGTCTCAATTGCTTACCAATAGCTGTATTTATCTGCTGAAGACCTCAGCTTCTGATAGGCAGTTCTTATATCCAGCACTACACGACAAAAATATAGCTTCCTCTGCTTTTCAAGACTGGAGGTGATGAATGCTTTCTGATGTTACTATTCCTGGATGCCTCAGAATCTTCTCTCTTCTCTTAACTCTTCCCACACATTTGTAAATGATCCTTTTATTTACTCTTTTTAATCCTTGACTGTGCCAACCCTTTGTTTTTAGCATCCTTAGTAATGCAACTGGCAACACTAAGCTCTTTATGAAGCCAGAAGCATCCCACCCGCTGTAATAATATTATCCAGACACTGCCAGTGTTCTCCAGCCAAAAGACCACTAGAAGCACACTTGTATTTAAACAAAGTTGGGCATGGTAGTTCATTGCAAGGAAAATCATAAACCAGAATTATGAGACATCTCACTAAAATTTTAGGAAATACTTATGGAATTTGGGGTTGTGTTTAGTGATTTGGAGGATGGTTCCTGAAAGCAAGATTTTTTTTCCTTTCAGGAAGGAGTAAGGCCAAGATTGTGTATCCTATCCATCAGATCTAGAAAGATGAAAACTTGAAATGAGGTTGAAGTTTTCATTGGAAGAAAGCAGCAGTAAGCTGAGAAATGGAAATGTTTGATAATTTGGGGGTATGATGAGTGACCTTCTTTTTTTTTTTTTTCTCTAGGCTTAGCTTTTTGTCTCCTTTGTAGTACACAATGTGACCTTGTCTAATACTGGTTTTCTGTGAAATTGTTTACTTTCAACTGGAGGTCATCGAAGGATGACTGTGCATGCCAGATAGCTCCTGAGGACACCACAGTCTAGCAGTGAGAGTCAGATCAGTGCCCGGCTACCTGGAGCTGCTTATTCTCTTACCACTTAACCTCTGTAACAACATTCTCTTCATATGTTGATGTTCAGTTCAAACATTGCCCACTTTATTATGACATACAGACTTGATTATAATTTTTTCTTAGACATACTATTTCTTTTGCTGCTCTTTTATACCACAAATTAGCTTTTATGAACATCAACACTTTATATGCTTATCTTGCTCCCCTCAATTAGATGATAAATTCATAAAAATTAGTAACTGATTTTATGTTTTATTTTCCCTTCCAAAAAGCAGTGTTTTATATGCAGCATATATGTGTGTGCACGTGTGTGTATATTAATAAATAAGTTTTAAATTAATACTGATTGTACACATTAAAAAGTTGCAGATGGCTTCAAAAAGAGGGGACGCTGGCCTTTAGTGATGAACATGTTTTTACAAAATGTTCTTGATAACATGAAATATGTAAATTTATTTCTCTCATACACTAAATTGATTAGTGAATTTAGAGAATTAAAAAAAGATGTTTTTCATTTGACTACTACATCTTCCACTATATATTGAATTTCTAAGGATACGATTCTCAATACATTTCTGGAGTAGTACTGCTCAGCCAATATGTTAATTCTTTAATATTTTGATTTTAACAGAATGTAGGCGTGTAGCATCTTATGGAGAATATTGTTCTCTTTAAAATTGTTAAGATAATGAGCCTGAACTAATAAAAATTATACTTAGCATTATGGTGATACTTTCTGCAAAGTATGCAAGTTAATGTTTGCTATTTATAAATATGTACATATGGTTCACAGCATCAGCACCCAATTAAAACCCAAAGGGAAGACACAAATGCATTGGCACTCATGTCTAAATAAGTGCTTAATTATATTTACATGGGTTTCTGTTAATGAAAACTATATCATTCATTCCTTTCTACTTTCATGCCTAAACCATCTTATATGGTTGTCTGTTTTGACTAAGGCTTTCCTAGAGGCAAGTGATTCCAATTGTACTACATAATTTGGTTATAAATATTTTATCCCATTCCATATTACCAAATGTTAGAAATATTACATATTTATTTATAAATTTTGGTTTTGAGCCTCCAGTTTTTTCTTTTGTTCTACACACTAGCTTTAAAGCCTACAAAAGCAGAAAAAGAAATCAGCACTTTTTCTCTTAGAGGACACTATTTTGAGTATGAAAGCAAATAAAAGGCCATGGAAATCAGGTGAGTTTCCTGTTGATTGCTCTGCGATACGAAATTTAATATAATGTTTAAGAGAAAAAATAGAGCCCTATTTGCAAATATGATATGTAATACTCCCAGTGAGTTCTTCCCAAGCTCATTTTCACCTCCAAGCAAAAGGGGAATTAAAAAGCAACACTAGGCCGGGCGCAGTGGCTCACGCCTGTAATCCCAGCACTTTGGGAGGCCGAGGCGGGTGGATCATGAGGTCAGGAGATCGAGACCATCCTGGCTAACAAGGTGAAACCCCGTCTCTACTAAAAATACAAAAAAAAATTAGCCGGGCGCGGTGGCGGGCGCCTGTAGTCCCAGCTACTCGGGAGGCTGAGGCAGGAGAATGGCGTGAACCCGGGAAGCGGAGCTTGCAGTGAGCCGAGATTGCGCCACTGCAGTCCGCAGTCCGACCTGGGCGACAGAGCGAGACTCCGTCTCAAAAAAAAAAAAAAAAAAGCAACACTATTCTCCAAAGTGTGTCCTTCTGAAGGTGGAAAAACGGAGAAGTTCTACATGGGAAATGTTAACACAGGTTCACTATATTAAAGCAAACAGTATATCTGGGCATGTTGTAATAAAAATCCTGGATTAAACATGAATCGACTAGAAATAAATAATATGGCAAATATAAAATCTCATGACAGAAGGGTAAGTAAATTTGAAAAAGAAGGATTAAAAATGTAATACTTTCAAAAATAAGTGACCAAAAAATTCCCTGAAGTGTCTCATATGATAAAATTAGAACCTTTAGCTAACGTGAGCTCAAGACCTCAAAGATGTGATGACTAAGCAGGTAAATGAGTTGAAAATAGAGACTGAAGCGCAATTAGAAACCATGAGGCACACAGAAGTCACTGATAAAAATCTAATCAGGCCAGGCGTGGTGGCTCACATCTGTAATCCCTGCACTTTGGAGGCTGAGGCAGGTGGATCACTTGAGGCCAGGAATTTGAGACCAGCTTGGCCAACATGGGGAAACTCTGTCTCTACTAAAAATACAAAAATTATCTGGGCATGGTGGTGGATGCCTGTAATCCCAGCTACTTGGGAGGCTGCGGCAGGAGAATCGCTTGAAACCCGAGGGGCAGAGGTTTCAGTGAGCCAAGATCACGACACTGCAGTCCAGCCTCGGCGACAGAGTGAGACTCTGTCACACACACACCAAAAAGAAAATCTAATCAATATATGAAGGGGAACTTTTATATTATTATAATTAATGTGGAATAAAAATTAGAAAATAGACTAGGAAATTAGAAAAATAATAAGTAATATGGAAGATAAAATATTATCCAGTATAATAACTTCTATAGAAATAAAATTATTTATTTCTAATAGAAGAAAAACATCAAAAATGAAAGTACATCTTATAGCATACTTTTTTTTTACTTGAAAAAATTCACAAGTATTTACTATCAATCCATGTTAATCTTTAAACTGGATATGAGTGATGAGTTCATTATTAACAGGTTTACACAAAAGGATGAAAAGAGAAGTAGAATTTTGCTGAAATAATTTACAATTCATTAGAAATTTACAATAAGATTAATTACTAAATGTAGGCAGAAGGTGGATCACCTGAGGTCAGGAGTTCGAGACAAGCCTGGCCAACATGGTGAAACCCCCGTCTCTACTAAAAATACAAAAAATTAGCCAGGCATAGTGGCAGGCGCCTGTAATCCCAGCTACTCAGGAGACTGAAGCAGGAGAAATCCGGGAGGCAGGGGTTGAAGTGAGCTGAGATCATGCCATTGCACTCCAGCCTGGGCAATAATAGCAAAAGTCTGTCAAAAAAGAAGGGAAGAGAGAAGGAGAGAGAGAGAGAGAGAGAGAGAGAAAGAAGAGAGAAGAGAGAGAGAAAGGAGAGAATGAGAGAGAGGGAGAGAGAAAGAAAAGAAAAAAAAGAGAGACAAATTCTCAAATATGAAAGAGTGTGTCTCTGGCTGTGGAAAACAGGCATGTTTCCGGCCCTGCGTAAGTCTCAAGCATTGTTCTCTCTAAACTTTTCAGGTGGTTTTCTCTGGATTTTGATAGTTTCCTCACACACACGCACTGATTTCTACTTAACTGAATATTCTGGACGAATCTTTTGAGATCTCTGGATTTTATTTTATCGCAGTTTTCCCTTCTCCTGTACTCTTTTTTATGAACTCTAGCTATCTTGACTTCTTTGAACTTCTAGCTGTGTCTCCTCACTTGGAGTAGATTTCCTGGATTTCCCAGTCCTGTGCCATGGCCTATTAACATTCTCTAAGCAATAAATTGGGGCAGTCATTAGGCTTACCTTGTCCATTTCCCTAGTCGACTGAGACAATGAATTATTACTATCAAGAAAAAATGAGTTGTCAATACACAATGTAGGCAGGGAGAAATACACTTAAAACTCAGAATATAATCAAGGTTACTTCTTACTACTCTAAAGCTTGTGGTAAAATTAATAGAAAATTCAAGAATATATTAAAAGCATGATTGTTAATAACACAAATTCTCCAGGAATAAAGGTGAGAAATCACAATTATTTGACATGCTTGCTGAGAAAAAAGCAGATATGGATTGTGCAGTCGTAAAAAAAAAAGAATTTATACATACCTACCATGAACATCTGAACAGTTTTATATTATTTGTAAATATTAACTGATGCCTTTGAATTGGCTCCCTTTTTAACTGCCAAAAATAAAACATGTTAAATAAAATAATGCTAATAGTAGTTAATCCTATATCTCAATATTTAATTTCAAAATATTAATTTTTAAAAGAGAATTATATGCCAGCTAAAACAATGAACATCATTTATAGTTCATTACCAAGATGAACTATGTGGGATGTTTTACTGTTTTGAAGAGAGGATTAGTATGTCTGTCATTGTTGTGTAAGCAATAATTCCCTTATGCTTTATGGAATCATGATATTGCTATTGTCTTTGGAAGTTAAATAGATTTAAAAGATTAAATATAAATGATGACTTTTTACTGTTGCTTCACTGCTGAAGAATGAAACTGGGTACGTTCTCTAAATTCTCATTTCTATATGGTCCAGCATAGATTTAGTCTGGTCATTGCAACTCTTGTTGCTTGCAAGAGCTTTGGAAGAAAGAAGTGAAGCAGTGACTATCATTCTTAGAAGTTTCTGGTCATTAGACATGCTGCTGATGGAAAGATATAGATGGCATTTAGGGCCCAGTTTATCCTCTCTTTCCTTCCACTCTATACTCATGTCCCAGAGTGGTAGCTCAGCAGAGGTGGTGGCCTCCCTGGAAACTTGAAATCCCTCCCTTTGGAGTTCACCTTTTGAATTAACTCTTCTCATAACTCCATGTAAAAATTTAAATATTTACATGGCAAAAATTCAATGTAAAAAACAACACTCCATAATATATATCATTATCTAATATGATTTATATTTTGTGTATTAATGTTACTTATTTTCTGTCTCTCATTTTAGAGACCAAAATGTATGTCTCTAAGGCAGGGATTTTGGCCTCCTTTATTTACTGACAACTTCCAGTGCCTAGAACAGAGCCTGATACACAGTCATTATTCACCATATTTTTAAGTATGCATATATAAATATACATAATAAGGAACTAGTATTTATTATTTCAAAAACAAAGTATACTAATATCTTATAAAAAAGAATGTATGGCCAGGTGCAGTGGCTCATGCCTATAATCCCAGCATTTTGGGAGGCCAAGGTAGGCAGATCACAAGGTCAGGAGATCGAGACCATCTTGGCTAACATGGTGAAATCCCATCTCTACTAAAAATACAAAAATTAGCCGGGCATGGGGGCGGGTGCCTGTAGTTCCAGCTACTTGGGAGGCTGAGGCAGGAGAATTGCTTGAACCTGGGAGGTGGAGGTGGCAGCGAGCCGAGATCACACCACAGCATTTCAGCCTAGGTGACAGAGCGAGACTCCGTCTCGAAACAAAACAAAAACCAAAAAAAAAATTATACTGTATCTGAAACCAAATAGAAATAAAATATTTTTGTTGAATTAGATATGAATGAGTTGCTAAGCTAAAAAATCATAATGAGCTCTTTTTTTAAATGTTTTATGTAAGTTTGGTTCTTCTTTTTTTGTTTTCTTCCCATTGTCCTCATCCATTTAACTTAATGAAGGCCAAGTAGTTTTTAATAGTTCTTGTTAAAAAGAGATTAGTAAGGCAGAGAACGGCTCTGCTCCAATCAACGTAAGTACTTTTCCCTGGTCCTACTTAACATCTCCTAGGAAAGTAACTGAATGGTAATTTGACCTTAAAGAAATAGCTCCAGATACAGTATTGTAAAATGTGTCTTAAAATGGTTATAATGTTTATTCATATTAGAGTATTTTGAATAAATTTACCAAAGTTTGGCACCAAATTAACATGGCTACCTTTTTTGTTATCTCATGTAACTGAAACTACTAACTCATATTTTATCCTTTTTAATATAATTAATACCAGAAATTCTACCAAAATCATTTGTTTATGATATTATACATCAATAGCTCACTTGTGACATTATATCTAAGTATATTTGGGTTTGCTTTTTCTGGTTTAATTTCGTTCCTTAAAATTTACCAAAATTGTATCAAAAAAGGGTATAAATGACAAATGCACATGGGAAATAACACTTAACATTATTTATCACCAGGGGAAATTCAAATTAAAACAATAATTTAGATCTATATATGTGTCCACATTTTTAGAGATTGATGGATCTCAGGAAAGAATTCCAATTCTGACAAAGGAACCTAATTGCATTACCAATATTGGAAAGAAACTCACTGAAACTGGTTAGTGAAAAAGGTATTGATCTAAGTAATATTGGAAATGAGTTGAGTCTGTAAAACACATTGCAAAAGGAACTGTATGTAACACTGTACTGTAGTTTGAAAAGTTCTCATGGTGGTACAGGTTGACAATTCTTATACCAAGACAGATTTATAATAAGATTTTTAAAATAAAATAAATGAATGGTAGATAGAAGGATTCAAAATTCTCACTGTTGGAGTGGAAAATTATAGACAAACCAGGAGAAAAAGCTAGAATGACCCATGTGGTAATAGAATAAATTTGGAAGCATCAGAATATACTCCCGTTTAGCTTAATATACACACAGATTTGTGTGTGTTTGTGAGTGTGCATGTGTATAGAGATAGATACTTTATTGATACAAATATATCTGTTTAAAAAGACATACACAACACCATCTCAGCTAGGTTGTCCAGGTTAATATCAACGCTGATTAAATCATGCTGATAAAACACAGCCTTGTGATATGATGAAAATGATGCTTTTCCTCCATGACGTTCCACTCCAAAAGTCAGAAACCAAGTATAATAATGAGAAAAAATCATGAAAATTCTCATTCTACAAAATGTCTGACTAGTCTACACTAAAACTATCAGTCAAAAATAAGAAAAGTTTGCAAAACTGCCCCAGTCAAGAGGCGGAGACATCTAGAGAGACATAACAAGTAAATGTAATGTGTGTCTTACTTATCTGGGGCTGCTATAACAAAGTACCATAGACTAAGTCTCCCCCAAACAAGGAAAAATGATCTGTTCTGGAGGCTGGGGAGTCCAAGATCAGTGTGCTAGCATGGTCAGGTGCTGGCAAGGGTCCTTTTCCAGTTTACAGGCTTCCATTGTATCTTCACAGGACAGAAAGAGGATAAGAGAGCTCTCTGGGGTTTCTTTTATAATGGCACTAATTCCATTAATGAGGGCTCCACCCTTATAACCTCATCAACTTTCAAAAGCTTCAACTCCACCTGTCCCTCCAAATTCCGTATGTTGAAATTGTGAGCCTCCCAATGTAATGGTACATGTGAGGTACATTCAGTACATTGCAAAGTGGCACTCTGTATAGAATATTGAAATTAAAAAATAGGTAAATATTATGGAAATTGGAATAATGTATGGACTTTGATGAATAATTGTATTTAATTACCAAATAAATTTCAAAGCTTAAACTAGAGGAGGAAAATGTGAACATATTTACTAAAAAATAATAGGAAATGCAAAGAATGTATATATCATAATCTTTTAAATTTGTCATAGTGTATAACTGATACAGCTTTTCATGCATTACTATTATTATGTAATTTAATAGAAATTATTGTGATATACGGGAATGTATGACAATGCCATCTAATAATTTTTGTCTTTTTATTTTCTTGACAAGTTGCAAACCCCACTACCATAACATTAGTCAAAGAGGTAGCTTAAATCATAGCAAGGCAAGGGGTTTAATCCAATCCCCTTATTGAAAAAGTAGAACAATTATGGTCATACTCTTTTGTAAATATAGTATTTTTGTATTCTAAAACAGGTTATAAAATATATATTTTTAATGTGTAATAGAACAATTGAAAACTTTTACATGAAAATATACAATCCTTCTGTGGCAATTCATTTAAAAAATTAAAAGTTCTACAGATTTGTTTTAGAAAGAAAGATACTGCTTGTTTCCAAGGCACTGCAATTTACATGTTTAATTCACTATGGATCAATAAGGATTTATAAAGTGAAAATCAATACCATTAGCAATTTATGTTTCAAAGGATATTAGATTTTTCATGGAGCTATTGGAAAAGCTGGATTCACATTTTGTCAGATAAACACTTTTTTTAACCAGTGAGGATAAGCCATGACAGGTAATAATACAAATAAAATAATGCATAGTAAATCAAGCACAGGTAACTACACACACACACACGTATATATACACACACACACACACACAGTTTACTTTATATATATAGTTCATTACTTGATATTATACATATATTTTATATATATATATATGTATGCCTGAAGTAGTGAACTTATTGTATAATAACATAAAGGAAGCTGCTACATGCTGATTGTATTCTTAATGAAGGTATGTATGTGGTTAGCAATGTCATAAATAAGTCAAATTTTAACAAGCATAATAAGTAATTTGAATCACAATTATGCCTGATCATATTCAATGCTATATGAGAAAACCATACTGTCATAAAAATAAACCGAGAATAAAGTATCTAAAACAAAATCTCTTGCTTTTCTCATCTTTGATTTTTATTTGTTTTTTAATAGATATTCTTAAATGTTGGCAATAACACCAACCAATGCTAGTTAGAGTGGCTAAAGATAAAATCTAATTCTTTCCTATGAATTGCTCAAAAATACCTCTTATTCGTTAGACCTATTACACTGTACCAATTTTTAAGACGACTTTACAATTACTCATCTAGATAATAAAATTATTACATTGCTAAATTTCACACTGACAAAGTTAAAAATACATTTATTTATTAGCCACACTTTATCTTCTTTACTGAATGTGTAAAGTCCTTTAAGAGTTTGCATGTTTAATTTGTTCATAGTTTAATAAAATACTGAATATAAAATTTTTAGGCTCATTTTGTTCAAAAGGAGAAATATTTTATATTTCTCTATCTATATCCGTGTATAGTTGTGCTGTAAATTAAGGGTCTTGTGGTACACATGAATCTAAAGATGAATAAAATGAAGAAAATAAGTAGTCCAATTTCAGAACTAGTATAGATCCAAAGGTCTTCTCTAATCTCTCTGATAGTTATTCAGTAACTTTCTAAGTAATTGAATATAGTAAATAGATTTTGCAAGTTAATCCCTATGCAGATTATCATAGGTATAAAGTAAGAAAGTACTCGACAATGCAAGGGCTATCTCAAAATATATATAGGTCAGGCATAGTGGCTCACACTTGTAATCCCAGCACTCTAGGATTACAAGCCGGCAGATTTCTTGCACCCAGGATTTTAAGACCAGCCTGAGCAACATGGCAAAACCCCATCTCTACAAAAATACAAAAAATGTTTAGCTGTACATGGTGGTGTGCACCTGTAGTTCCAGCTACTTTGGAGGCTGAGATGGGAGGATCGCTTAAGCCCAGGGAGGTCAAGGCTGCAATGCAATTAGCTGTGATTGTGCCACTGCACTTCAGTCATGGTGACAGAGCCACACCCAATCTCTCTCTCTCTCTCTCTGTGTATATATATGTACATATATACGTATATATGTGTATGTGTGTGTGTGTGTGTGTATACAGACACACACATGGCAAAAACCTGCTCACATTAAAAAAATTTAATTGCTTCATTAAATTATTTAGAAATTAGTCTAGCTATTATGTAATCACATTCTAATTTGTTCTGCTTTAGTCCTACTCTGTAAGAAGCAGGAATATCATTTTATATGCTGGGGATGAGACAAATATCATGTCCCATATCCTTGTGGATAAAAGGCCAGTGAAAGCTACCCTCTGTAGGCTTCGTTAACTACAAGTGAATATAGGTGACTCTTGGGGCTTTCTCGTGTCCTTGCTCAAGAGCTTTCCTCGATTTGGATTACTAAAATGATGCAAGGTCAATGAATCACATGCCATTAACCTAGCAAATGTGAGTTCTGCCTTAAAGAGAAACACAAACAAAACATAAGCTATGTACAAAGAGGTAACAATGGAACTGAGGTGACTATTACCATTTTTCTTTCAGGCAAAAGAATAAGTACCTACAGCAGTAACAAATAATACAATAAAACATAACAGAGTAAAATACAGTGCTAAGAATTTGATTTCTTGCTTTACAAATCAGAGTTTTCTGTTGATATCAATAGAAAGTGAATCACTTAACTGAAGGAAAAGCAGGCATTTCAAAAGAATGTACTTAATACTTACAAAATACTCAGGAACTAAGTGAGATGTAGAACATATCAAGTCTCAAACATCAAGAACTCTCTGGTTCAGAAGCTGTTGTTATCACTATTGTTCCTAGACATTCAGTAATGTCAGACACCTCTTTTATTCTGAGTACTTTCTCTCAGAACAGTGAGAGTGAATCTCAAGTCAGCAACTGTTGACTATTAACCTCCAATTGCCTGTGTGCTTTCGTGTCACTTTCTCAACAATTAAATATCACATGAAATATTCATTGCCTAAGTCTCAGACACCTGCCTACAGCTTAAATACTAGAGAGCGAGGAAAGTAGATATATCTTTTTGTTGAGCATATATAATTAGAAGACTCACCTTCAAACAGTAAAGATGTTCAGTTATGTTTTACCTAAATATTTCCAACTGATACTGCAGTTCACCATTTTGTCTACTCAATAAATCCTTGCCCATTTCCTGACACAAATACATTGGAGAAACTGATGCTGATATTATCAGTGCAAATGTCCTAGAAGATGTTGCAGAGAAAAGCATTTTATTCCTTTGTATATACTGATTTACTTCAAGGTAAAATAGATTCCCTTGAATTTGATCAAACAATAAATTAATTTAACCATTTATTGAACTTGCACTACAAAATTAATCCTCCAAGGCAGCTTAGTCAGCATCTTTTATTGACTGCAATATTGATCAAATCGACTATATAAACACCTAAATTTGTACCAAAATAAGGTCAGCTGTAAGGATGGGATTAGCTGTAATAAAATATTTTGTGGAATATTTTATTATTAAAGAAAGGTTTTTTTTCTTTCTTTTTTTTTTTTTTTTTTTTTCGAAACAGAGTCTCACTTTGTTGTCTAGGCTGGAGTGCAGTGGTGTGATTTTGGTGCATTGTGGCCTCAAACTCCTGGCTCAAGTGATCCTTTAACCTCAGTCTCCCAAGTAGCTTGGACTACAGGCATGCACCAACGTGCCAAGCTAAGAGGTTTTTTTTTTTGAGACGGAGTTTTGTTCTTGTTGCCCAAGCTGGAGTGCAATGGCACGATCTTGACTCACCGCAACCTCTGCCTCCCACGTTCAAGTGATCCTCCTGCCTCAGCCTCCCAAGTAGCTAGGATTACAGGCATGTGCCACCACGCCCGGCTAATTTTTCTATTTTTAGTTGAGACAAAGTTTCTCCATGTTGGTCAGGGTGGTCTCGAACTCTCCACCTCAGGTGATCTGCCTGCCTCCGCCTCCCAAAGTGCTGGGATTACAGGTGTAAGCCACAGTACCCGGCCAGAGTTTGTATTTTAATGACAGGTTTTGTTCGGTCGCTATATGATGTTCCTTTTTTCATGGTCAATTTTTCACATCATAATTAGATGTCCTGCATCTGTACCATGAGACTAGATGATTTCTGAAAGATTCTTTGGATGTGGTACAAAACCACTTCTTTTAAACTTTAGCTGATTGGCAGTTATTCTTGATGGAGTGAACATGCTCGGGAAATTCATGAAGAGAGAAAATAATATCTCCTCAAAATCTACATGAACTCAAGATGTAAGTTAAGTATACCGTCTAGTCTTTAATAGAGTCAGACTATAATCCTGTTGAAAACACTTTATCATTAATAGACAAAATGGATTTTAGCATTCTTATAATTAAAAAGATCAATGCATTTTATGCATTAATTATAAAACAAATTGTCGTGCAACCAAGGCAAAAACCATTTCCAAAATCTTGGAAGACTGCAATATGCCTTTTTGCAATCACAATGCTCTCCTCCCTAAAGTTAACTATTCTCCTCATTTTTGTGGTAAACAATTTCTTGCTTTCTTTTATATTTGTGTCATATATTGTATATGTTATGGGCTCAGATCTAAGTATGAGGTTACTTTAAAGTGAAGGTATAAGTTAATGTAACTAAACTTAATACAATGACAAGAAGGACTATACTGAAAAAAACAACAAAATTCTGAAATTTGCTGCAAAATGATTTTAAATTCAGAGTTCTACTTGGGATTTTAAAGAAAATTACTCACAGGGAAAGTAAAAAGCAGAATACTTTATGTTTTATTCTTCCTACTCTCAATTGTTAGGAATTGAGGGAATATTTGTTTTTTGTTTTGTTTTGTTTTTTTGTTTCCTTGATTTTGAATATTTGTTTCGTGCTACGTTTTAAACAAAATACTGACAGTAGTTAGTACTAATGTTTTAAGCCATACTTTATCCAAAATAGATGAAATGTTCATGAGATAGAGATGGAATGGGCAATTCATAAAATCTGTTAAAGAAGAGATCTAAAAGCTTATATTTCACACACACTCAAATATTGCTTAAATTAAACTTTCAGCAGTAAAGTGTGGTTTATCTCTCACATTTTATTTACTGGTTTTGGCTTTCATTTCAAACTGAGAAATCCAATGGATTTCAGTGCCTGATCAAGTAGCCTGAGAGTAAATCTTTGTCTTTGATTGGGCCTATGAGCCTGGAGAATATTTAGCCAGTTTTTCTACATCTTCTTCCTGTACTATTGCATAGATTCATATTGAAAATCTGCTCTTTGAAATCTCTATTTGGACTTTGATGTGTTTAACTTTCTTATTTGTTGTCCTCATATTGAAAGGGGAGTTCTTGCTCTTTTGCTTAATTTCAAGGCCTTGTGATAAGCTCAGATGTATGACTTTAATCTGATTGCACAGAAATTGTGATGTCACATTTCAGCCATATTGAAAATTGAATTAATAAAAGCATTTGTTTGTTTAGCCCTTTAACTTCACCACCTGATAGACCTTTAAAGTGGCTACTTTAAGGAATATAATCTTTATATAATCTTGCCAGAAATAATTATAAAACAATTAAAATTCAGCAATATAGGTTTGTAACAAAGCTGGTTCTCTTTCTCGTCTTTGAAGGGCAAAAAAACCAAAACTGTAAAGCCAAACCAAAGGAAATAAATACCATAGTAGATAATGTTTCTAACATTTTAAGTAAACTAAATGCTATATCCTCTTTAAAACCTATAGCTTGGCTTTGTTGAACCAGGTGCCTCTCCCCATGTCAACTTGGCTTTCTTCCCAAAGAGCATCATGCAAGCATTAGGATCTATGTAGAATGCCTGAGTTTCTACACTTTGATTAGGTACTTTCTATTTATCTGCCTAAATCAAGATTATGTTTTCTTTCTACCAAAAAGAAAGTGGCCTCTCTGACAACTTAGGTTAAATTACAATAAATGTCCTTTTTTTAATCAGACCCTATTTAGTATTTGTGAGAGTTCAGTTGGGGTTTAGATATTAATATGGGACAAGAAATCATTGGAGATCTCTGTGTTTCATGTATTTCAATATGTAAAAGTTAAATCAAGCTCACAACTGCTCACAGCATATTCTGTTCATCTATCTTGAAAACTATACCTATATCTATCTATCTATCTATCTATCTATCTATCTATCTATCTGTAGACACAGAGTCTGGATCTGTTGCCCAGGCTGAAGTGCAGTGGCCTGATCTCAGCTCACTGCAACCTCTGCCTCCCAGGTTCAAGTGATTCTCTTGCCTTAGGCTACTGAGTAGCTGGGATTACATGTGTGTGCCACCACACCAGGCTACTTTTTGTATTTTTAGTAGAGATGGGGTTTCACCATGTTTGTCAGGCTGGTCGTGAACTCCAGATCTATTCACCTCGGCCTCCCAAAGTTCTGGAATTACAGGCCTGAGCCATTGTGTTTGGCCTTGGCAATTATATCTTTGCAATGACTATAACTCTAGGTTCAAGTTTAGAATTTTTTAAGCCTCAAATTTCCTGGCCCATGGCTCATCTCCTTTATTCTTCTCACTTAGGAGAGGCTTAGTGTGTAACCACATGGATGAGCAGCCAGCCTGCCAATCTGTCTCTCAGCCACTGCTCAGATCTTTGGGGTACACATTAATAGCACATTTTGCCCCTAAGAAAACTGACAGAAATAGAAGATTATGCATTCCCTGCATGTGGCCTTCGGGCTGTTTACAAAAAGTTGTGGAATCTTGAGTACCTGAAGAAGGATGTTGGCAGGACACATCTCCTTGGCCCCCAGGCTATAGCCATGACTGTGAGGAGCTGATGGAGGAGAGACAGACTGAGGAGGCCTTCACTAAACTGGAACCCAGCTCAAGCCCTTTTCTTGCCTATGTCTAAAGATGGTACTCCATCCTATTTTCTTTCTGAAGACAGAGGCTGTGTCTTAATTATCTTTATATCCAGGATTATTTGATGGTCAACAAGTTGTTTTCATTTGTTTTACTTATTATTGTTGAATAAGTAAGTTTTAAACTAGAGAAAAAAATGTAATCGTGACTGAGGCCATGTAGGTAGGGAATGTCAAAACAGTTCAAATTCAGATTTCAAAAATCAGAGTCTTCTTGTTCTGAGGTCTTTGATCAGTTATTGTATTATCCTTTCTCATGCTGCTATGAAGAAATACCCAAGACTAGGTAATTCATAAAGAAGAGTTTTAATTTACTCAAAGTTCCGCATGGCTGGGGAGGCCTTAGGAGTCTTACAATCATGGTGGAAAACACCTCTTCACAGGGCAGCAGGAGAGACAATGAATGCCAGAAGGGGAATTGCCAGATGCTTATAAAACATCAGATCTTGTGATGTGACTCACAGATCTTGTGACTCATTCACTGTCATGAGAATAGCATGAGAGAGACTGCCCCCATAATTCAGTTACCCCTCCCTGGGTCTCTCCCATGACACATGAGAATTATGGGGATTACAATTCAAGATGAGATTTGAGGGAGGATACAAAGCCAACCATATCAGTTATTGTATCACACTGATGATTCCTTCCCACTAAAGCATAAATACTAGTGTCATTAAGCAACTGGAGGCCTGATGTGGTATGGGACCCCAGCTAAAGGGAAGGTTAAAGTAGCATTCAACAGTGAGGTATAATTGTATGGAGAAAGTCTAATTGGAACAGTGTCTTCCAAGTTTGAGTATGATTTAGTTAGGGATACAGAAGACATTCTAAATAGACAGAAGGACAACAACTGGGTTCTTAATTTATTTACCTCATTTATCCATAATATAGAACATATATCTACTGAAAGTAAATTTAAGAACAAAATAGCCAATTTTTAATAATGAATAATAAAAATGTTATGAAATTTTGTTTGTTGGTATCTTCACAACTTTCTCAACCATCAGGACACATCTAAATTGAAAAGTTTACAAATTACTTTGAAGACAAAATATAAAGTGGGCCTTTTTAAATCAATATATTTAAAACCTATTTCCCTCAAAAATAAATATTAAACTAAGATTCATTCTAGCAAAATAAATCTTTGGAGATCTCCTCTTTATGTTAAGAAACATATTTACAGTAACTGTATATAAATTCATTATGGTTAAATATTCTCTCTTCTTCTGTCTTCTTTCTCTGTGTATCTATCTCTATCTCTCTTTCTCTCTCTCTCTCTCTCTCTGTCAGTCAGTCTTTCTATTATTTTCCCATTTACCTGGATAAAAGCCACAAGCAAATAATGGTGCCAACCACAGAAAAACACATTTTTCAAATAATTGTGAAAAATATCATTTCTCTAGAGACAGGGTTTCCACTGAAGTGTTTAAGGGAACAGTATTTAATGTGGGGAAAAAGAGAATGACTGTTTTCCTTGGTGATACTAAGTCCTATTTGTCCCAATTACAGCAGCAGGGGAGGGAAAGGTGTACCTAAAATGCAAATAAACTATCCAGGTGCAGAGTGTGCATATAAAAGGTTAGCTGGATAGTGGCTGAGTAATTACAGTAATTCAGGACATGTAAATATATCCTGTGGACCAAAGAAACAGAAATATGTTATAATAGAAATGGAGCAATTAAGAAAATATGCCTTTAGGTCCAATAACAGAACACATTCCAAACAGAGGACTTTACTCACAGGACAAAACCAAGGATAATGTGCTCATTTAAGATACAACTTTTTAACCATATTGCAAAGTTGAGTATACACTAAAGCCAGTCTGAGGTGAAAAAACAATATCATGCTCCATTCCAAGAATGTCTTTTTTTAAACAAGTGTCAAATTATGCCAATTGATGCATATTTGTTTAATTCTTTGGGAGAAAGTAATAAACCATTAAGGCAGACAGAATAAATTTCAGAAACAAGGGAATAAAGTGAAAGAGCATGTCATTTCATGAGCACTGCTCTATACTGTCTGACAATTAATAAGCTACTTTGCAAAGTTAATGTTAAGATGGCAAGGCAAATGGACAATTAGGCTGGTTGCTTTTCCAGACGTCTTTAGTTCTGTGCCTAATTCTGAAGGTTAATGGCTAGTATCAGCACACATTTGATTTTAATTTTAAAAAAACAGGCAATTTAAATCCAATACATTCTGTAATATGCATTCTCTAGAAATATTTCTACTTAATATGGCCATGTAAAGTGTTTTAAAGTAATTGTAGAAGTTTAACTTTTTTCCAAATCAAAGCTGAATAGAGCTTCTAGGTAACACACATAAGGATTTCTTCCCATACAAAGTGATAGATAAAATTCTTCCCAGAGCACTGTACTAGGGGTCTTAAAACATGGATAATGATCAGACCTATATCAAGACTTCTGGAGCAGTACACAAAGGGGAAACTCATATAAGCCAATAATCACCAAGAGAGGTTTAGGATTCTTTTCGCTCCATCACTCTGGGGAGATGGGGTGATGTACAGCACACTGTTCATATATACAGGAATATGGCAAAGTAAGGCCTCTGAATCAGGTTGAATCAAGGAGCAAGACAAAAATCATTAGGCTGTGGGACATTTGAGCTGAAAGATTAACAAAGCACTGGTCTCCTTAATGGTGGGTTTAGTGTCTAACATATAACAGCAATATGATATGGTAGAAGCTACGCACCACTTTCTTTTACCAGTTCAATATCTGTGGTTAGGGAAGCATCTGCTTTTCTCCTGGAATAATCAGTGCATTTATGCCTAATCCTAGAGTTGGGCTAGAAAAGATTATTGTAAGTAGTGAGCATTTGGACAATTTCCACGAAGTCTTCCAAGACAAGACATTTGCTAAAAGTACAGTCTGTAGATTTTCAATATAGAACAAGGAGACCCTTATTCTCATTTGGTAATTATCACCGTCAGAAATGTGATGTTATAACTCACACTGTATACTAATGAAGATGTTGGAAAAAATGCAAAAAATGTCAAGCATATGGTTATTTCCTTGAAGGAACATCCAATATTGTATAAAAATAAAAATATAGAGAAAAAATATATTGACAATTAGGAACTATTGGGGGGCATGATAATAGAAAAAGGAAGCCACCCAAATCTCATCTTAAATTGTAACTCCTGTAATCCTCATGTGCCATAGAAGGGACCTAGTGGGAGGCAATTGAATTATTACCCTCATGCTGTTCTCATGATAGTAAGTAAAATATCATGATAGTGAGTTAGTTCTCAAGAAATCTAATGGTTTTATAAGGGGCTTTGCTCCCTTTTCTTGGCACTTCTCCTTCCTGCCACTGTGAAGAAGGATGTGCTTGCTTCCCCTTCTGCCTTGATTGTAAGGTTCCTGACGCCTCCCCAGCTATGATGAATTGTAAGGCAATTAAATCTCTTTCCTTCATAAATTACCCAGTGTCGGGTTTGTCTTTACTAGCAGTGTGAGAACAGACTAATAAAGGAGGAAATGATTTAACTTTTACATAGTTTATATTAAGTTATGACAGAAGTATTGCCCCACAGGAATCAACAAATCCCCAAAATGAGGGCTTTTCCCTCATCCTCAAGAGGACTAATCATTGAAAATTTAACAACACATTCATGAGTATAAATCAGAGAGGGAATAGTTTTAAATTGATTATGAAATTCATCAGTTCCTCCCTAATTCTCAATCTTTATTATAGAATTGAGGATGTTTATTTAAATGACCTGTAAATTTCATGAGAATGTGGAGTAATTAGGATTCATTTAACAGGTCTAGGATATTACTACATTAAAATTAATGTGTATCACAAACTGTAGGATAATGTATGTTTGCATAAAATGGAAGAACAGGTAAAAAATTTCTTCATTTTCACACAATTATAATTATGATTTTCACATGAATAAATAATGATTATTTTTAAGCACAATGAAGTTTTTGATGTTCTTTGTGATGTACTTTCCAGTCACGACAAAGTTGAGAAATTTGTAAGAGATCAAATATTTCATTCAATTTAATTGAATTGATTTTGGGGATTGTCCTTGAAATTTCTTCACATTGCCAACCCACACATGAGAGGAAGTTTTATATCATCATAGCATGTAATTCTACAATTCCACTAGACATTCCAGAGTGAGAGTAACAGCCTTCCTACAGATGGTGGTGTTTCAGTCTTGCCAAGCAGAGCTTCCACTGACTTAGCACAGATGCTGCAGGATGAGGCTACAGTTGTCAACCTCTGGTATCCTCAGCTCAGCGGGGAAGAATTTAAGGCAGGCAGAGACTTAGAAATTTGCTTGACTTATTGTGGTGCAGGTCTCTCAAATGTGAAAGGTGTCCAAGTATTTTAATTGTTCATGATTTCTTTAAAAGGACTTTTAGAATTTTAGGTCTAATTTTGACAAATTTCCCAAAGTTATTTTATAAATATTTTGTAATACTAACTATATTGTCTATTTAATATTCACAATTTTTATATTTTGAGCAAAATTGTAATCTGGGTACTTACTGAAGAAAACATACAATTTTGTATGTCACTTATAAAATGAGGAGAGATAAAATTTTTATGTATGACCCATTAACACTATATGATGTGTTACTGATTTATATTAAGATTTACATAAAAATGAACTAAGTAACAGAGAGAAAATTTGATAACATTCATTGAAAGATATTATTTGAGTCTAATTCTTTAAAGCACATAGTATTAATCGCTCCATTTACAAAGAGGACTTTACCGATAAAAATGTCTCCACAGAGGCAACATATATAAAAACACTTCTTCTACAGATTTGTAATTGTGCTTTCTGCAGTTTCAAGATGAATCTCTTAGTTTCCCCATCAGCTTTTTCATTTTCTTTTAGAATCAGCTTTTTCATTTTCTCTTAGAATCAGCTTTAATCAATCTTTATGGACCAATATATTGTGAACTTAATGTTCTATTGTCACAGAGGATTATGTGAAAGCTTATTATACATCCATGTTTTCTGTGACAGTCCAGTATATGCTTGATTTCCTGATTTCTTGGCACAGTAATAAATAGCCATTCTTTTACTCTCATCCTGTTTTGTTTGATAAATTACAAGATTACCCCATATAGAAGGAGCCTCAGCAAGTGTTTTTTCATTTAATGTGGTTGTATATTTCAGATATTTCTTTCCTCATCCAAGATCTCAGTCAGGAGCTTCAAAGTGAAGGCTCAGAAATGTCTGAATGCCCATATATATTTATTTATTTATTAAATAATAAATAATGATAAGACAAAAATTATTATTATATATGCAAATAGTGTATTAGTGCATTCTCATGCTGCTTTGAAGAAATACCTAAGACTGGGTAATTTATAAAGAAGAGAGGTTTAATTGACTCTCAGTGCCACATTGCTGGGGAGGCCTCAGGAAACTTACAATCATGGTGGAAGGCACCTCTTTACAGGGTGGCAGGAGAAAAAATGAGTACTGAGAAAAGGGGGAAAAGCTCCTTACAAAACCATCAATTCACTTGAGAAGTCATTCAGTATCACAAGAACAGCATGAGGGTAACTGCCCCCGTGATTTAATTCCCTTTCACTGGGTCCCTCCCACAACACGTGGACACTATTGTAACTGAAATTAAAGATGATGTTTGGGTGGGGATACAGCCAAACTATATCAAATAGCAAGTTACGATACTCTTTAAAAGTTTTTAAAATAATTTCAAGCAGAAAAAGTCAGGACAGTCCAAAAACATGCTGTTATAATATTAAAATATACAAACACATTGTGTCTTTAAAACTGAATTATGAATGTTTCTTGGTTGTTTATTTTATATACAGGATTTTAAACCTCAGGCATAATTGCAGAAATATTTAAACAAAGCAATTTTGATGCTTATACATTGATTTAATTTATATGCTATAATGGTTAATTTTTATTATTTAAAATTATTTGTTCCAGATACTGAATTTTAACAATTTCAGTTCCCATTTGCATTGGCATTAAAGAAGTTAACCTTCCCATTGCTCTGCAATGTCCCAATCACTTGTAAGTTTTCAGTTCATTGTTTCTTCCAATATCTTGCCTACTCAAGTCCTCGTTGCTTTACAGGTCTGATCTTCAATTTGTCTTTCTAGCTCTTTAATATTGTAAAAGCAGCTCCCTCCTGTGTGCAATCTTTGGGTGGATGTTCAGTGGTTTTTCCACCAAGTTTGGAGAAGATTCAAGAGAAAATGAGCCCAATAAAATCAATTCTTTACTCCGAAGCTTCCTACTCATCAGCAACTTGGCCCCTCAGTCTCTGGTTACCTAGGCAGCTATCTTATTTTTTTTTTTTTTTTTTTTTATTATACTCTAAGTTTTAGGGTACATGTGCACATTGTGCAGGTTAGTTACATATGTATACATGTGCCATGCTGGTGCGCTGCACCTACTAATGTGTCATCTAGCATTAGGTATATCTCCCAATGCTATCCCTCCCCCCTCCCCCGACCCCACCACAGTCCCCAGAGTGTGATATTCCCCTTCCTGTGTCCATGTGATCTCATTGTTCAATTCCCATCTATGAGTGAGAATATGCGGTGTTTGGTTTTTTGTTCTTGCGATAGTTTACTGAGAATGATGGTTTCCAATTTCATCCATGTCCCTACAAAGGATATGAACTCATCATTTTTTATGGCTGCATAGTATTCCATGGTGTATATGTGCCACAGCCATCCCATTACTGGGTATATACCCAAATGAGTATAAATCATGCTGCTATAAAGACACATGCACACGTATGTTTATTGCGGCACTATTCACAATAGCAAAGACTTGGAACCAACCCAAATGTCCAACAATGATAGACTGGATTAAGAAAATGTAGCTATCTTATTTTTAAAGAGAGACTATTCTTGAATTTTCATCTGCATTTTTCAGTTGTTCTTGATCTGCTGTGAGTTACTTCATCTTATTCAAAATCAGAACCTAAAACATTTATTCAGTGAAGAAATTATTTTTTCTTCAGAAGCAAAAATGTGGAATTTACAATAAAACCTCTTCAGAGAGGATAAGAGACAATTCTCTCAGTTAAATTGAAAAAAAATTTGGAATGTGTAGATCATTGAACTATTTTAATCATTGTAGTAAAATTTTGGCAGTATTTTATTGCACACTTTTTTCTAATCCAGTATGTTTAATATCTAAACCAGGTATATTTAATTAAGAATATTAGAAATATAAGCTACAAATCTAATTTTCTAATTTAGTATGATAGAAAAATAAAATGTTCTGTTTAATATTTCTTCAAATTGATTTAATACATTGATGCTATGTAAATTACCTTTCAACAAAATGAAAAATATGCTTAAATTATTGAAAAAATACTGTACATGTTTCTAGATAATGAATCTCCCATTACTTTATTTTATTTATTTATTTTTTGCTAAATCAAATTGTGGTTTAAACATTAGATTATGTTTTCAATCACAATAGCATTACTTTCATAATTCTTCAACAAAATGCATTTATGATGCTTTTGGTATGTAGTATGGCCCTTTCAAAATGCTTGTGTATGCCTGCAAATACTTAGTTCCTTGTTTTTATGCTCTTGAGGAGCAGATAATATATTTTTTAGTTGCTGCTTAGCAGTTAACGTAATGTATGGCAAATAAGTTTTCAGAAAGTATATTTTTAGAAAAAAACATTGATGACATACTTCAATTCTTGATTCTCATTGGACAATTATTGATCTCTCAAAAAAGTCCTTTATCATCAGTGTAATATTTTATCACCACATTAATCTTATGTGTTTTTTTAATTATACTTTAAGTTTTAGGGTACATGTGCACAACGTGCAGGTTTGTTACATATGTATACATGTGCCATGTTGGTGTGCTGCATCCATTAACTCGTCATTTAACATTAGGTATATCTCCTCATGCTATCCCTCCCCACCTCCCCACCCCACAACAAGCCCCGGTGTGTGATGTTCTTTACCTCTCTTTGAAGTGTTTTATAAAATATTATTACATATTTATATGCTTGTTTTAGTTTGTTTACCTTATAAATATGCTTTGATATATATGTATAAGCTATAGCAAAGAAGTTATTATGTTATAATTAGATGGATCTTATATTAATAATTATATAGCTGAAAAGGTGTCCTATAAATTGACAAGAAAATATGAGGACTGAAATATGTCTCAGGTTTTGAAATTCCATTGTATATTACATATACTGATATTTCAACACTACATTATTATATTTAGTAATATAAATTTTAAAACCAGTCATTACTTCTATATATACGAAAAATCATTTTTGAATTAGAGGAAAAAAATCATTATGTGTTAACAAATGAGTTTAACACTATACTATGTATCAAATGAAATGAAAATGTTTGGGCAATGATTAAAAATGTTTAACCTTATTTCCTTATTGTTTTCCAAAAACAAGAAAACACTAATTTATTATTTATTGATCTAGTGTTTCTTATATAGAGACCAATTATGTGTTTTAAGTATTAAAAAATAAGATATTTTGATTCCTCCACCTCAAAAGCTGTAATTTTATATAACTATCTGGTACACATGCAGCTTACAGTGTAGAGTAAACCAAACAATTCCCTGTTACTCAATGTGTTGAATTTTACATTCTTAAATTATCTTCTGAGGAAACACAACATTGAATAAGTAAGGAAAATAAAGCATTATCAAATATTAGCAAAAAACACTTTATTTCATAATTTAAAAACAGGAATTTCTTTAAGATTTAATAATCAATGTGTGAGAATTTAGAATAGGTGTCAATATGTCATTACCCTAATTAAATTTTCTTCATCAGTTTTTATTTGTTTATTCATTCACTCTTTTTCAATAAATAATGACACTTATGTGCACAGTACATGATAAGGTTTTTCCAAGTTTGTATGATAAATTAGTAAACCAGTGTAAAAATAAGACTTTATTATGAAAATCATTACCTGAAATGTCTTATGTCCTTCATCAACTTCTGTTATGAGCTTTGTCTTTTTGCACTTAAAATCATTACTATTATTAATATTTGTATGTATAAATTTAAATAGGTCCAGAATTGTGCACCAACATATTTTATAATAGTAATTTTTTATTCAAACAAGTTAACCTTTTTGGTATAATACATTTATTATACTGGCAGATGCAATTTCCAGTTCATTACTTATTTTGATAACAACAGGAAATAAGTGATACAACAAGAGTGTTTTCAAGTCAGTTGTTCAAAATTTTTTACAGGTATTATATATGTTTCAGAATAAATTTGTGTTAAAAATGTAAATCAACTCAAGAAATGCTTAAAGATATTGACATTAAGGCCACAGAAGGCATTCATGATTTAAATAGAAAATTTATTTCCTGAAAAGTTATTTCAATATACAAACTTTGCATGTTTTAAGATATTTTGTATATAGACCTTTCTATGAAAATATGTTTATCAGCGTTTTAAAAACAATGTGAAACATAAAAGTGCCAATCTTTATTTACAGTTTTTTCAATTAGAAAGCTAATGATTTTTTCAATTATTAATATGTTAATGTTTTATATTCTAATTAAGAAGCCACATGGCTGCTATTATGAGATATGTTTATGAAATGATTTCATAGTTAATTTTATATTTATTACATCAGAAACAGCTTTCTTCAAAATCTTCTATTGTATTTATTCAGCTTTGTTCAAAAGCTTCTATTATATTTATTTGTTATATATCAAATTTACTGAAATTAGAATGGTAATCTCTTTTTATACATTTCGCTTTAAATGCTATATTCAGTGGCAGTATGGTTGTAATGTAAAGACTTAATAGTAATGTACCTTTATGAGAAAACCAGACAAGTTACCTTGGCAAATATTTGCCATTGTGTTTTGGCTACTCTTAAATTTGTAATAACATCACTGTATGGATAAGCAAATATGAGTGTTGGAGGTAGGAAAATGGCAAACTCGAGCAGAAGGGATCCTGTGATGCTTCAAACAACATCCCACCAGAACATCTTTACATAAATTTTGAAGACAAAATAAACATTCTAAAATTTATTTATTCATTTTTTTTGGTTCTCCTTCAGGTCAAACATCAAAGTGTGGCTCTATGCACCTACATATGATGGTGGTGTCAATAGTAATAATCTCATGTATCTCATAGGAAATCATACTATTGGACATTTACAAAGTACAAGCACTATCTTTGAGAAGGTAGGCACATACTTACTTGAATATTATCATTTACTGAAGGATTGAGAAATATTTAAACTGCAATAGTGTCCTTCAGATTCAAATTATGGCTAAAGTTCTCCTGCATGAACTTAACAGTTTTGGGAACATGAAATGAGTACGTATTTAATACTTTGACCCTTTTATTCAGTTTGGTCGTTTTGATACCAGGAGTCAAAACAGCCATCACTCTGGGTCTTCAGAAGAAAAACTTAATCCCTTCCCATTGAGAAGTACTTCTGTTAACTTACCTTGTCATCTGGTGTTTGATGTGTTTTCATTTTTGTCTGGTGGAGTACTGCATGCATGGCATCAAAGGCATCATCAGTTTCATACATTTATTCCTGCTTTCTGATTGGCACACCTTTCCATGCCTATGTATGGAGGAGAATGTACCTGTCAAGTATAAAATCATGAAACTCAAAATACATGAAAGAGTTTAAATGGTGATAAGAAAAAATACTTACACAAAACTGAAGACCATATAACTTCAAGCCCTAAAGTCTACTTATTCTTTTTTAGGGTGCAACTATAGAATGTTTCTGCATTTTAAAACTAACATTAGAGGTATAGGAATCAATATACTTAATGTAGTTAATTATACTAAACATGTCATCATTAATGATCCATGTTTTCAAATGATCTATAGTTAGATGTGAATAATATTAAGTATCAAACATATGACTAAAATAACAACATAGCATCAACAAAAAGTAATAAAATTGTAATAGTAATAGGAAACACAGTAAAGGGCTTTTAAAATATAAAACATGTTTTAAGAAGACAGAGAAGACAAACAAATCAGAAAAATACAAACCCACAAAAAAGGAAAAAGAAAATTTGCATATGTGTGTGCGCATGAGATCAACCATGTTGACTATTGTGATGTGTGTCTATCTATATATATGAATGTATATAGCTTAAGACAGTCAAAGGAAAGGTAATTGGAATACATCAGTCATTTTAAGTCAGGTTGAAGAGTTAGTGTAAATTATTAGTTGCTATCAATGCCTGTTGAAAGTTAGTTAACTTCCTAATGTTGGAAATTCATCTAACTTTATAAACTTTTAAAACTCTATTGAAAGGAATAATTTATCTGAGAAAATAATTATGTGAATTTTCTGAATGTGTCAAAAGCACATGATAAGGAAGACTTTAAATCATAGGTTTGTAATCAAAAGAATTGATTATTTATCATATACTACAAATAGGTTATTCAAAAACATTTCAATTGACTTCCATTACTTGCAGATTCAATTCTAATTTTCAATATCCAAAAGTAGAAGATTAACTACCTTCAAATACTCTCTGATGACCATTTGATACCGCTAAAAATCCCTACATATTTTCTTCATTTCCCTCCACCTATGGCTGCATCTTACAATTTTGACGTTAGCACTCAGTATTCATCTACTAATGTTTAATCCAAACAGATTAGTGTGCTGTTGGTGGGAGTGTAAATTAGTACAGCCACTATGTAAAACAGTATGAAGGGAGGTCCCTCCAAAAACTAATAACAGAACTACTATAGGATCCAGCATTCCAACTGCTGGGTATGTATCCAAAAGAAAACAAATCACTGTATAAAAAGATATCTGAACCCCTATGTTTGTTGCAAGCACTGTTCACAGTAGCCAAGATATGGAATTAACCTAAGTGTCCATGTGTGGATAGATAAATAAATAAATAAAATGTGGTACATATTGTAGTACACAATGGAAAATTATTCAGCCATAAATAAACAGTCCTATCATTTGCAAGAACAGAGATGGAATTGGAGGATATTATGTTGAGCAAAATAAGCCAGGCACAGAAAGACAAATATTCACGTGATCTCTCTTCTGTGTAGTAGCTA
The DNA here is from genome assembly GCF_000001405.40 of Homo sapiens. Lineage (NCBI taxonomy): Eukaryota > Metazoa > Chordata > Mammalia > Primates > Hominidae > Homo > Homo sapiens. Next base: position 22,747,081 of record NC_000021.9, on the reverse strand, counting down.
AAAAAAGTAATCTTATGGAGGTAGTAGAATGATCATTACTAGAGGCTGGGAATGGTAGTAGGGGAGGGATAAAGTGGGGTCAGTTAACAAGTACTGAGACACAATTAGATAGAAGAAATAAGATTTAGTGTTTAGTAGAACAATAGGGCAGCTCTTGTTACAAATAAGTTACTGTATATTTCAATATATTAATAACTAGGAGATTGGAATTAGAATGTTCCTAACACAAACAAATGATAACTTTTTGTGGTGATGGATATTCTAAGTCCCCTGATTTGATCATTAATCATTGTATGTTTGTATCAAAATATCACATGTGCCTCATAAATTTTTTCAACTATTATGTATTCATATATTTAAAAATATATATATAAAGAGTAGTCTACTGTCTATTGAAAAAATAAAATGCATTTTAGTGGTTTTATGTTTCCACTATTGGTAAATCAGCTCCATTATTTCATCTACCTATTCATTCATCCATTCATTCATTTAGCAAATGTCTACTAAATATGAATACATCATATAACATACATTGATCACAAAACATGAATAAGATATTAACAATTCCCTGACAGAACTCGGCCTCCTCACACCCTCTCTACCTACATGCCTCAAGTCTATTTTTATTAAAGTTCTCACATGCAGTCACAACGAAAAGACATCTCTTGTGAGTTCACTGCAAGTATAGTTTATACTTTCCACGTGTTAGGAATAAGTATGTAACATATGTTTTTTAGTTGTATCTTTGTTAGATTTTTATTAAAAGTCCAAGCCATTTTATTTGATCTCCCAATCCAAACCACAAAGTTATTAAGATTAAGAATTACATACCTCTTCATAAAGAATTACATACCTTTCATAAAAACAACTACGTCATAGAATCTTACACATAGCAAATTATCAATGCTACTTTTTAGGCAAGAATCTTAGTTTTAAGCAATATAAAATGCTCTCTTATTAAAGCATAAAACTAATTTTTTATAAGAATATTGAATGGGTTAATACTTCAGTGGGTAGTTTTATATCAAATCTTAGAAAACCAAAATAAATGAACCAAAAAGGATAAAGAGCTGAAGTTAAAACTCATCTCATAAACTGCTCTGAGTACCAGACAACATAACTGCACCAACACTTAGGAGTTGGATGTTGAGTACAAACACCAAAATTTAAGATTAAGCCACAGTTTGGAGGAAACTGAAGGAAAGCTCTGGGAGTTTAAGCTTTATCAAGTGGGCATGCCCAGTGGCAGTGGGCAAAAAACATCAACACTGTTACCATAGCCACTGTTACTCATATGAGTTGGATGCTGTTGCTGTGATTAATGTTTGTGCATCTTTTTATATATATATCATTGATATATATATATATATCAATGATATATATATCATTGATACATATGTATCTTTGATATATATATCATTGATATATATATCTTTGATATATATATCATTGATATATATATCTTTGATATATATATATCTTTGATATATATATCTTTGATATATATATCATTAACAATAATACATTCTTAAAAAGATCCCCTTCCCACTGTCTTATTCTAATTTGTGAGCATTTAATTGGTCTTAGCTTTTACAAAAACTTGCACAATCTAACATTTTCAAATTGTATTATGTGGACTTATATTCTATTTATGGATAACTATGTACTTGATTATTTTCTTCTGTTTATTTCCCCTACTTTCTGCATATTCTTTTGTAGTAAATAGGCTATCTTATTAACATAATTTCCTTTTTTGTGAGCAAGTTTTGTCAAGTAGTTTAGATTCAATCATAAAAGATGTATAAAATATAGCATTTGAAAAATTCAAGGTAAATTTCAAATTCTTATGTATTTCAAATCAATTTACTAACAGTAATGTATATTTTTACATTAAAGAATGAATAACCTTTATTTATAGTGGGCAATCATCACATATGAAACCAGTCAAAGTAGAAGAGGACAAAATTAGAAAGCTTCACACAGGCCATTTTTATACCCAATGATTATTTCACTGCTGGAGGTATAAAATGCTCAGAATGAATTGTGAGAAATAACCACATTAATCCGGTGGCTACAAAGAATAACCACTAATAGCCTCGCCCATATTTACTAGTTGACTATTAGGGTATTGATCAGAGCTATTCCAGGTTTTTACAGCTGTTAACATGATTCTTAGTGCACTCAGACTCAAATCCAATGCTGCCATACCTAAAATTCTTCTCATGTTTCTGCTTTTTTAATAAAAGCTAACATCAAGTGAGAATTACTAGGTGATGTAAAAAGACAATTAGAAATTATGTGAATAAAGTGATAATAAGATTCATATCTGGGACAGTGATATGGTTTTGCTGTGTCCCCATCCAAAATCTCATTTTGAATTTTAATCCCTGTAATGCCAATTATCCCCACATGTCAAGGGAGAGGCCAGGTGGAGGTAATTGAGTCATGGGGGCAGTTTCCCCCATGCGGTTCTCGTGAAAGTGAGGGAGTTCTCACAAGATTTGATGGCTTTATAAGTGTTTGGTAGTTCATCCTGCATTCATTCTCCTTCCCACCACCTTGTAAAGAAGGTGCCTTGCTTCTTCTTAGTCTTCTGCCATGATTCTGTAAGTTTCCTAAGGCCTTCCCACCCATGCTGAACAATGAGTCAATTAAAACTCTTTCCTTTGTAAATTACCCATTCTCAGGAAGTTCTTTGTAGCAGTGTAAAATTGGACCAATTCAGACAGTATGTGCAAAAGGAGTTGCTTTTACTTCTTACTTTTTCTTTTCTTTTTTGGTCAGTGATAGAATTGGTCCCTCCAATTTCTTGATCCAATCCAGTGCCTTCTAGTCTGCCATTCATCTGTTCTAAGCAGGGTGAGTGGATTCTTGAATGACTGTATCCTCTACAGAAAGGGACAGGTACATTAATTAGTCTGCTCAGGCTACCATAACAAAATTCCACAGACTGGGGGGATTAAATAACATAAGGCCGGGTGTGGTGGCTCATGCCTGTAATCCCAGCACTTTGGGAGGCTGAGGGGGGCAGATCACGAGGTCAGGAGATCGAGACCATCCTGGTTAACACGGTGAAGCCCCATCTCTACTAAAAATACAAAAGATTAGCCAGGGGTGGTAGCATGCGCCTGTAATCCCAGCTATTCAGGAGGCTGAGGCAGGAGAATCGCTTCAACCCAGGAGGCTGACACTGCAGTGAGCCGAGATTGTGCCATTGCACTCCAGCTTGGGCAACAAGAGCGAAACTCCATCTCAAAAACAAAACAAAACAAAAAAAAAAACAAAAACAAAAAACAAAAGCTAAATATATTTTCTCACAGTTCTGGAGGCTTTAAGCACAAGATCAAAGTGTCAGCAGATTTTGTTTCTTCTAAGGTCTTTTTATTTGGCTTGCACTCAGTGCCTCCTTGCTGTGTTCATATGGTCTTCACTCTGCATGGAGGCCTGTCTGGTGTGTGTGTCTCTCTCTGTATGTCTTAATGTCCTCTTCTTTTAAGGAATCAATCATCTTGGATTAGGGCCCAGCCTAAATACCTCATTCTAAGTTACTTACCTCTTTAAAGACCCTATCTCCAAAAAAAAGGTCATATTCTGAAATACTGGGCATTAGGGGCTTCACATAGGAATTTTGAGGGGAAACAAGCCCATGACAAGGGATAACATTGAAATTTATTAGCACTGTTATCTGCCACCTTTGCTTCCTGCCATCTGTCCCTCTTCTTTGTTGCCACTTTGGATGCTGCTACAGTATCAGATAATCAAGCAGGACACAATTTCAGAAATGCTTTTTAGTGTATTGCCAAGCTTCTGGCATTCTCCCTCTTGCCTGTAGCTTTATCAGTTTCTGCAGAGAGCCATTTCTTCCCCACTAAACCTCATTAGCAGAGTTTAAAAAAAAAAAAAAAGTCAGATAAGAGTAAATCAGACTGCATGTGAGTGTCTTTATGAGGCAAAACAATTCTTCATTTGAAACTTAAAATGAGATAATTTTTAGATTCTATACCATCATTGAAAAATTAGCAAACACATTCATCTCTTAAATGTCTTCTTGATCCCAAATCTGTCTAATTAGGTTTACAGCTCTTGCTCTGTGGGATATGCACACTATTATTTCTTATGAAAAAGAACAGAGCAGTGCAGAATATAAGGGCCTCAAAGTACAACTAATATATTAAATTTATTTAAAAATCACCAGTTCACTGTTTCTACAGAAAGCAATTCAGGTGTCCAGGCTGGCACCTGAAGTTTACAAGAGCATAAACAATACCATTTGTTGGTAATATATAATTAATTAAAAATTAATTAAACTTGATACAGTTATGGCAGATCTCAAGCCTTTCAAGGAAGTACAAGTGGAGGAGAGCGTAATTAGAAAACTCATTAAACCTGAAACAAATTAGCAAAAGCTTTGTGAATGTAAGTCAGAACCTAAATCTAATGTTTTAAGTAAATAATCTGCTGTGGTTGATGGATTATTTTCCATTTTTAAGTTCCTTTCCTTTTTTTGTTCTGATCTACTGTTTTTATTTCTTAAATCCTTATAAGGTAATTATGTGAATCCCTAAATAATTTTTCATCTGTTTTTTAAAGCTCGCCTTTTGGCAGGTAGTAAATTGGTAACTCGCCTTCACAATAAGATTAGGCAATAATGTTATCATTAGTGAATTTTCAGCTTGTTTCAGAAATGCTGATGAGGTACCTGGCAAGCCTTGTCATGACCTTGGAAGGATAATGTGACAGTCTCATAACCAATACTTGAAGAAAAACAAACAGTTTTTTTTTTTTTTTTTTTGAGACGGAGTCTCACTCTGTCACCCAGGCTGGAGTGCAGTGGCGCGATCTCGGCTCACTGCAACCTCTGCCTCCCGGCTTCATGCCATTCCGCTGCCTCAGCCTCCCAAGTAGCTGGGACTATAGGCACCTACCACCACGACTGGCTAGATTTAAAACAAACAGTTTTAAAGGAAGTTGTTTTATTCCCCAGAGGAAGAGAAAATAATCAAAGTGTATACATCGATTTCAGGTTTTCTAATTAACTAGTTAATGTCCACCTACATTTTATGTTATTTTTAATGAAGATTCTTTACTTACATACTTATTTTACCCTTCTACTGTTCAACAATCATTATCATCTCCATAAATAGGGATCATCCATTCTTTAAAAAAATAATAATGTTGACTTTTAATCTCTAAATATGAAAATTTCACCATATTATTATGTGTCAAAGTGGTCATAATTAAAGTCCAGCTGGTCTTCTTATCTGTACATTCAGATACATTGTTTGTTTTGCTTTGAGATTGTCAGAGAGATGTTCAACTCGCTAAGCCTAACCAGAGAGAACATCTTTAGAAATATTCTTTCGAAAAAGAACCAATGGCTGGGCTCAGGCCTGTAATCCCAGCACTTTGGGAGGCCCAAATGGAAGGACTGCTTGAGGCCAGAACTTTGAGGCTAATCTGGACAACAGAGCCAAACCTTGTCTGTACCAAAAATAAAAAAACAAAAAATTAGTGAGGCGTGGTGCATGTCTGTAGTCCTAACTACTTGGGAGGCTGAGGCAAGAGGATCACTTGAGCCCAGGAGTTTGAGCCTGTAGTGAACTATGATAGCTCCAATGCACTCCAGCTTGGGAGAAAGTGAGAGACCCTATCAAAACCAAAACCAAACCAAAACCAAAACACAGACTAACTCCATAGGCGACAGGGAACCCGATCTCCCTAGCGTACATTTCTTCTTATTTTATAATTTTTATTGAGAGTTTATCTTCAGCTACTGTTTATTTGTTTTTCTTTGTTTTTCTTTCTTTTTATTTTTAGGATATAGGCTTGGCTGCAGTATCAAATATAAATATCAAATCAAAACATAAATAGCAAACTAAATTAATTATATATATTTTTTCTCTATTTCTTAGCAATCTAATATTTAGCAGTCCTAGAAGACAGGGTGGTGTCATTGTGTGAGGAACCGTGTTTCCTTCTCTCTTGTTCTGCTATCCTCAAAAGGAACCCTTATGTCTGTTAAAATAGAGCATAAAAGAAATGACACAAGAGAAAACTAAAACCAGCTAGCCCTCTGCCTTCACAACTGGGTTCCCAGACACTGGGCAGTGTCTCCTCAGAAGAAGGGCACCTTTTTTCTTGGTCCCACAAGAGGAGGTACTTTTTAAAAATTTTAATCCTATCTAACAAAAGGGAATTTTTTTCCAGTTCTCATAGAAACTAATCTGTGCTGTCATTGCCTTATTACGATGATTCTATCTCTCCCATCACAGGTCAAAAAGACATTTTTTGTATTCCTATTTCAGCTGCTCTTGAGGATAACTATTCATTTCTCTATTGTGTGCCCCAGATCTTCACAAAATTAACAAACCAGACATTTACATTCATGAAGGTCAGATTTTAAAAGCTTTATTTGAAGTTTTTTAAGAAAATGTATTCTAATAAAGTCCCCAACTTTAATTATCTTGAAGTTTAAAGCTAGAGAAAATATTTTTCAATACTCTTGGAAACATTTCTTTACAATAAACCCACAAGGCAAAACTCAGCTCTGTGAATCCTTGTTAATATTTTATCGAATTAACAAAAATTGATTTAAGTTTATAAATCATTTTACTCTTCTGAATTATGTCAAGTTCTATTCATTTAGTCATTACAGCCTACAGTGAAACTTACATTAACTCTCATTTTGGCATTTGTTTTAATATTTGTTATATTATTTATATAAACATAGTATAAGTATGCAATTGTTTTTAATTTCACAAATCAAATAAAAGTATATGACATGACTCCTAGTCAAGAAACAGAATGTTCCAATTCTTCAGAATTCTGACTTTGCCCTCTGCAAACCACTACCCTCAAGTGTAACCAATATCCTGAGTACTATTACCTGTTAGTACATATTCCTGAGGGAAACTTACAATAAACATGATCATACAATATGAACCCTTGTATAACTAGTTTTTTTATTCTACCTTATATCTGTAGATTCATCTACATTTTTGCATGTAAAATTATTTTATGTATCCTAATTGCTGTATAGTAATCTATTGTATAAATGTAATAAAATTAATATATCTATTTTGTGCTGATATACTTTTGGTTAGTTTTCCAGTGTGGGGATCTTGGAAATAATGGTGCTGTGTGTTCTTGTACATGGTTTTGGTTAAACATTGCTATGAATAATATTCAATTTTTTTATTAAATTTCATGTTTTCTTTTAGGATAGGCAGATGGACAATTACTTTCCCTCTTTTATGATTGAAACATTTATTTCACTTCCATTTTTGAAGAATGTTTCAGTTGGCTGTAGAATCCAATATGCCTATTATTTTGTCAATCTTTGGAATATCTTTTCGTCCACTCTGGTTTCTATTATTTCTCTTAAAATGTTAGTTTTTACCCTACCATTGTGCCCTTTGAGGGTAGCAGTTTTTCTCCAAAGTTAACTGCTTTTATTATTCTGATAGTTTGCTTTTCAGTAGTATAATTGTGATGTGCCTGAGTTTATGTAAGTGCATGAGGGTGAGTTGGCAGAGGAGGTAAGCAAGAGTGTTTAAACTTAGAATTGGTTGACAGTCTTAATTCTATGAGTTAATTTGCAAGGGGTTTGGAAAATTCTCAGCTATTATCTTCTAAAACATAACCACTCTCCTCCTGTGGCACTCCAATTGTCTGTTTACTAGATCTTTTGAGACTATCCCATGTATTTTATTTCATTTTTCCTGCTGTGCTTTACTTTAGGTGACTTCTAGTGCTGTGTCTTCCACTTGTGAAATGAAACTTACCCAGAGGCCATGGTGAATGAGAAAAGGGCAATGATGCCCTCTTTGTTCCATACAAGGAAGGCTCCAGACAAGCATGCTGCACATGCCTCTGAGCTAGGATGGTTCTTGTAACCTAAGCTGAGACACTGTGGTCAGCCACCTGAGAGGGCCATCCAACAGAAACTTCTGGTTTGGGCTTGGAAATTGCTTAATTATACCCAGCTATTTCCAACCAATCAGGACTGAAGAAATTTGAATTCCTCATTTGCATATATGGACCTGATTGAAGACTGAGGCAGGAACTTTCTTTAAGCCAGTCTCACTCTTTGTTTCGTAGAGCACACTTTAATTTACATCAGAGCCTGCGTTTCCCAGATCTACAGATTTCATTTATTTGTTTATTTCCAGAAAATAAAGTTCTCCTTTGTTTTCCATTACTTTGCAGATAACAATTCTCTGTAACGAAAATGTTCCATCTTTATTTTTTAACACTTAATCTATATTGTTTGTCATATTAAGCATGGAATTTTAAAGATTCCTTGTTCAACTATAGTATCTGGATCAACCGTGAGTAAGGTTTCTTTTCCTAGGATTATCAGTCATATTTTCATTCATCTTTCTATACGTAGTAATCATTTTATGAGACATTTTAGAAAGAGCCCATTAAGACTGTAAATAACATTATATTCTATGGGAAAATATTTTCTTTTTTTCTGGTTAGGTGTATAGGATGAGAAGCTGACAATATCTAACTAATTAGAAAGTGTTCTAGGTGGGTCTAGGAAACAACCTAATAAGATTCATTCCACCCTTGTGTTCCTGGGACAGAAACCTCTCAGGTTTCTAATCTAATTGATATTGGCTTAATCAGCTCCTCAGATCTGAAACTCCATAGGAGGGCATTATCTGCCCTTAGAACTTTGTAGTCATGATTTTCCACCCCCAATCCCACAAGAAACATTTTGAAAGACATTCCAGAGTAAAACATTTACATTGAGACCAACATTATTGATATATTTGACACAGTATAAGAAATAGCTGAATGATGAAGATAACTAGTAGACAGTTAAATTGGAATGGAGATAAGACAGCATGTAATAGTTAAGAAAACGATAATAATTAAGCAAGGTTGCAGCTTCAGTTTTAGGGCATGTATGACCTACATATTTCTTTGCTAGGACTGCTGTAACAAAGTACCACAAAGTGCATGGCTTAGAACAACAGAAATTGATGAGGGTTTTGGAAGGATTGATTCCTTTTAATGGCTGTGAAAGAGAAATGTGTTTCACACTTCTCTTCTATGTATTGGTGGTTTGTTGATAATTATCAGTGTTCCTTTGTTTCTGTTGCATCATTCCAATATCTGCCTTCATCTTAATATGTTGTTGTCCCTCTGTGTGTGTCTGTCTCTATATTTCTACTTTACAAAAGAACACCAGACATATTCTATTAGGTACTCATCTATTCCAATATGACCTCATTTTAATTTAATGACATCTACAAGGACCCTATTTCCAAATAAGATCATATTTCAGGAAACCGGGGGTTAGAACTTTAACATATGAATTTTTAGGAGATAAAATTAACCATAAAAATGTGATATATCTCTTGAGAAGTAATGTGGGTTAGAAAACTTTGGATGTTACCAAAATAAATAAAATTGAAAAAAAACTTTGGATGTTATTCTAAAATTGAAAATGTTTTATGACTTATAAGATACAAAATGACATAAAAAGATAATAATAGCTGCAATGAGCAAAATTGATTAGGGTGAAATAGGATTGCAGGGTAGAAAACCTGGAGGTGAAGAGAAAATTTAAGAAACAATTAGCACAATTAAATAGAAAGATAATGGTGTCTTGGAGAAGAAAAGTTGCACAAATAATAAACAAAAATAGATTATATGGTATATAGAATTTGGTAACTTCTTTGGATGTCCTCATGGGAAAGAGTAAGATTCAAGAATAATTCTCTAGAATTTGACTTGAAAAGTAGAGTTGAATTAAAGTGACACCCAGTTACATGTTTGGCGGAAGTGGTAATGGTGAATTATTTGTTAGCTAGTTAGCTTTTTTTTAATTTCCAAAATTATATTGTAAAAGAACAAAGCAAGAGGACTCACATTTCCAATTTCTAAACTTACCACAAAACTACAGTAATCAAAACAGCATGGCACTAGCACAATGCCAGACACATAGACAAATGGAACAGAATCAGGAGCCCAGAAATGAGTTCATACATCTATAACCAATTGATTTTTAACAAGGTTTCTAAGGCTATTCCCTGGAGAGGGAATCATCTCTTCAACAAATGATGTTGAGACAAATGGATATGCATGAACTCCCACATCATGCTAACTACAAAAATTAACTCAAAATCAACCAATGGGCTAAATCTATAAAACTCTTAGGAGAAAACCTAGGGGTACATTCTCATGACTTTGGATTTGCCAGTAGCTATGACACCAAATGCATGAGCAACAGGGGAAAAAATAGACAAATTTTGATTTCACCAAAATTAAAAACTGCTGTGCATTAAAGAACATTAAGAAAGTAAAAAGATATCCTACAGAATGGGCAAAAATAAGCTTTTATCTGTCTATTCATCTATTGAGTTACTTGTAATTGGAATTAAACATATGCAAATTAGATACATCTAGCCTGAAAATATTAATTTGAATGATGTGAAACTGTATCAGCAATGGAGACAATAAAAATGTGGGTCTTCGCTTAGAGTTAAGGTATAGAGAAAACAAAACAAAACAACAACCTTTGAGAGAACTTTGTAAAATATTAAGGAAGGAAGGCAGTTGTTTCTAGGAATGGCCAAAGGAACAACCCCAAATCAAGATATCATGGTGTTATAAAATTGAAAGAATATACAATTTAATGAAGGGGGCCAGGTGCAGTGGCTCACGCTTATAATCCCAGCACTTTGGGAGGCCAAGGCGGGCATATCACGAAGTCAGGAGATCGAGACCATCCTGGCTAACACAGTGAAACCCCGTCTCTACTAAAAATACAAAAAAAAATTAGCCAGGCGTGGTGGCGGGCGCCTGTAGTCCCAGCTACTCGGGAGGCTGAGGCAGGAGAATGGCATGAACTCAGGAGGTGGAGCTTGCAGTGAGCCAAGATCGCGCCACTGCACTCCAGCCTGGGCGACAGAGTGAGACTCTGTCTCAAAAAAAAAAAAAGAATTTTATGAAGGGGTAAATGTTCAGTAGAATTAATTTCTGCAAAGAACCTAAGCAAAGTAAAGACTCTGACATGACTCCTTCATTTAGAAATGAGTGGCATCTCAGTCATTGTAAGTGTAAGAAAAAGTAAGAATAATATCTGATGCAGAGAGTAACTTTTGATATTTGATAATTCGTTTCCTTCTTATAGCTTCATTTACACTCGTGAAAAGTGAATTGAAACAAATCTAACTAGCATTTCAATGAATGCAGTAGGGTAATGATTTGAAAAAGAACTGACTTGGAAGAAGAAAAGTATTTATTTGTATTCTTAGCAACTTAGTGATGCTTTGAGGCCATAAACTTAGAAAAAGTAATGCTTGGAAAGTTTGTGTCCTTTTCCTTGCAGTCTAAGTTTTTTGTTGTTGTTGTTGCAAATACTAAGTTAAATTTTGGACTGCATAAGATTTGTGTTTTACAGGCAGATGTAATAAAGACCAATGAGGCAAATATATTACACATTTTTTGTTTGTGAAGAGTTTCGATCACCCATGTGGAATGTTAGCTTAATAGAGAAGAATTTAAAAATAGGCATGAGGGAGAGTGAATGACATGTTCAAGGACTGGACATCTTTGTGTTGTCAAAGCATAATTATAGTGAGAGAATAAAAATTAAATAATTAAATTGTAGAGGATTGTGGTCAGAGAAATGGATATCTCAATGTACTATTTTATAAGTTATATCATTCATGATATTGGCTCTGTTTCTAGGTGCTCAGAATACTCAGAAAGTTTTCTTTCACCTATATTTGATTTCTATTTCAAAAGTGTAAGTTTTCTGTGGGTAGGCTTTCATAAGTGTGTGCAAATTAAAAAGCTGTTCTTTAAACAACGGCTTTTGAAATGTAAGTTTTGAATGTAAGTTCGGTTCAGATTTGTGGCTTTGCAAATTATCATGAATTACTGTTGTGAATAGGACCAACATCTACTGTTTATTTGTATCTCTTTTTTCCTCTCCCTTTTAAAATTTTATTTTCATTTTTCTTTATGTATTTAAGTAAAATAATTAAAATATTTATATGTTTGTAAAATAATGAAGCTTTCATTATTTCTGATAAACTGCAAGTTTAGCAGAACATATGCATATAAGTAAGCTTATACATGAACAAAATGAATGAAACTGTGTTTGTTACTGTGAATGCTAACTATGTTAATACTTTTATGTTTATACTGTTTCTACTTGCTGGGAAGAGTGTCATGTTTTTACACATCGCATGGGTGCTAGCATAACAATATGGTTAATATCTTAAAAATTACGGTCTTCAATATGATTTTATGACTTGTGATAAAAAAATTAAGGAAAATGTATCCATCAAAGTTGTAAACCCTTAGGAAATCACTCAGTAATTAAATTTATTCAAATTCTTAAAACAAAAGCATAAAAGTTGATGGCCCGGGACACGTTATTTAAAGTTAATGTGGATTTTAAAGTAAAGAAAAACTAGTAAAGAAGAGATTAATTAAAAGCTACTACATTTTGAAACCAATTCAAAAGAACTCAAGTGAAATTCATTGCCTGGCATCAGTGAAATGCGTGAAAAGTGGCTGTGAGAATCTTAGAGACACACTCCTCAGTACAGTAAAAAATAATGCATCCTTATAAATGTCATTCATTTCTAGATTTTTATTTGAGTAGTAAAAGAATAGTAGGACAAAAATGTGGCCAATATGTAAAACTTTCCAATAATACGTTGAGAAGCAATGTAGTAGAAATGATAAAGAGCATAGGCTTTGCCAATAGAGAGCTCTTGTTTTAATCCCTAGGTGATTTCATGACAGCTAGGTGAATCTCTGCTTCTTGGTTACTGCATTTGCAAAAGTATAAAATGATATGTGCCTGATGCTCAAAGTAGTTTATGTAAATGAAGTTCTGTTCGTGAAGTATTTGACAAATGGTATCTTATGCCCATAAATGGTAGGAAACAAGCTCAGTTTAAATACAAAAAATAAAAGCCATTATTTTATCTTAAGCCTTTTCTATTATCAGGAAGTATATTTCATAATAAGCAAATAATTCATATGTGAGAAAAAATGAGTTGATTAGGTATTCTATTGTAGTTATTTATATATTCTAATATCACTTTTAATCTTGCTTCCAATGAGCTCTACAACTTTAAGATATTTTTTATTTCCTTGGGCATGGTGTCCCATTTCTGTTGATTCAAAGTTGTATAAATGTAAGCATCAATTCTATGAACATTTCAGGAAAATTTCTGCAAACAGATTTTACACATATATAGACACTTATTTTAATAAACATTGAATGCTTACTGCCTTTAGTGCATAGAATCTATTGGTTAGAATAAAAATAAATATGAATTACTAGAACAGGAAAGATGGCATATTGAAGTTGTAGCACAACTTCATTAAAAGAAAAATAAAAGCAGATATCAATGCATCACAATTGAAAGGTATAACATGAGATAGAAACTGAGAAATTAACAAAGTTTGGGTATCACAGCTTGAAAAAAAAACATAAATAGGGGAGAAGAAGCACAGGATAACTGATCACATTGTCCTAGAAGTTTAGAACCTCATAAGGAAGATTCATCAACACCTGCTTAACAGAATTCAGTATCTTCTAAACTACAGTTATTTGGTCTAGATTAAAAAGTATCTGTCTATCTATCTATCTGTCTATCTATCTATCTATCTATCTATCTCTATGTATCTGTCTACCTAGATATATCATATGATTTAAATATAATTAAAATTATGAACCATATTTTAAAATAACCTTTGTAATAGTAAATGTTAGTTTTTGCAGGCATGGCCACAGAGACCATCATATCTCTAGCTCAGATGTACAGCCTTCATACATACAAATATTATTATTTAATGTTGCAGATCAGGTTCCCTGGAAACATAAGTTTGAAGGAAATTTACTAGGGAATGACCTTATGATCAATATTTGTGAGAGAAAATAACAGAAGTATAACTGGGCAGAAGAAAAGTAGTGCTACATTTTAATTATAGCAAGACCTTTGTAAAACCATAGGAGTACTCAGGAGCTGGGATATCCCTTCATATATTTTGTTTGTCAGAGAGATTCATTTGGGCTTTTAAAACTACATATCCACCAGTAATTGGATGAAAGCTGCTTTTCAGAAATGAGACATGAATTTAGGTCTGATAGAGGACAATCCCAGAAGCTCAGGGGTTAGTTTCTGCAGTTTTGGAGGGAGGATTTAGGCAGTGTAATGCAGCACAAGTGAGAGGCTGAATATAAATAAATAGTAAGATGGTATATCACAATGAAATTCTTTTATTTTTTTTTTGAGATGGAGTCACTCTGTCACCCGGGCTGAAGTTCAGTGGCATGATCCCAGTTCACTGCAACCTCTGCCTCCTGGGTTCAAGCAACTCTCCTGCCTCAGCCTCTTGAGTAGCTGGGACTACAGGCATGTACCACCACACCTGGCTAATTTTTTTTTATGTTTCTGGTAGAGACAGCCTCGGCCTCCTGAGTAGCTGGTACTACCAGCATGCGCTATGACACTTGGCTGAATTTTTTTTTTTTAAATTTTGGTAGAGATGGGGTTTCACCATGTTGGCCAGGCTGGTCTTGAACTCCTGACCTCAAGTGATCCGCCCACCTCAGCCTCCTAAAGTACTGACAATTAAATTCTATTTCCCAACCTCTGCAGCAACAAGTTCAGGAAACCAAATCACAACCTGTGCAGCTGTTGGCCTAGAGAGACAGCTGCTATGATTTTAATGTTTTAATGACTGCCATCTCTGTTTTTCATTTGTTTGTTTTCCTCCCACTTTCATCCCTAGACCAAGAAGAGAAAGTCAAATATGCTCCCCAAACCAAACACATAAAATGACCACTTCTGCTTAGCCCACGTTGTTTCTCTGTGCCTGCGTTCTCTCATGAGATAATTCCTGAAGCCTTCCCTTTCTTTTCACTATAAAGTTTTTCTACTCTCTTGCCTGATGTTGACTCTCTGATAAAGGGAAGTGATGGTGACTAACTCCCTTGTTATAGCAACCTCTGAATATATAGACAGACTTTGTTCTTATTTTTGTGGTCTTTTTTTCCACAACCGCTAAAAATTCCAATCAGAGCACACCTAAAACCTTCCCTTTTCCTCACTGTAAAATGTTCCCACACCCTGCCTGCTTTGGAATCTTAGCAAAACACAAGTGATGGAAAATGATTCCCTTGCTGTAAACACTCTGTTAGCATTTCTCTGTCTTCCTTAGAGCACATTTTTTATCTCTATAATTATTCTGATGGCTCAACCAAGATATGATCTGAACTTCTCTTAAATATTACACTATATTGTTTTAATGCCAGAATCAACTCAATTTAGTTCAACTTTGTCAATAACGAAAGTAACAGAATGATGAGTGGTTTTTGTTTGTTTGTTTGTTTGTTTGGAGACGGAGTCTCGCTCTGTCGCCCAGGCTAGAGTGCGGTGGTGCGATCTCAGCTCACTGCAATCTCCGCATCCCAGATTCAAGGTATTCTCCTGCCTCAGCCTCCTGAGTAGCCGGTACTACAGGTGTACACTGCCACACCCAGCTAATTGTTTGTATTTTAGTAGAGACAGGGTTTCACTGTGTTGCCTAGGCTGGTCTTGATCTCCTGAGCTCAGGCAATCCTCCCACCTGGGCCTCCCAAAGTGCTAGGATTACAGGCGTGAGCCACCGCACCTAGCCAGAATGATGAGTTTTATTCAGTGCAATGGATCCCCAGGTTGCAGATCAAGTTACCTGAGCATGCCCAGATGAACCAAACATGCCCAATTTTGACCCCAGGGGCAGCTAGAACAAAAAAGTTAAGCACAGGTGGAACCTAAGATCTTGGATTGAGGAAAGGGGACCAAAGTTAAAAACCAAGGTGTACCCTGTTTTGTTGCAGGAGGTACTTAGGAGCCAAGGCATATTAGAATATGCCTCTTTGCATATTCTAATAGATCATGCCTCATTGCATTTTTCTATCTCTTCCATTGTTACTATCTATAAATTTGCCCCTAGATCCCAGCTGAAGGATAGTGATATGAGCATTGCCTCCTGTCTTGTTGCCAGTTGACTCCACAATAAAGCTTTTTTCTTTTCTTAAAAGCCAACACCATAGTATGGGCTTCCAAGTATTAGGCAGCAAGCCCATTCTTGGTAACATTTTTTGCAACCCAAATGGTACAAAAATCTGCCTGTGGCAATGTAGCCTCTTGAAGTGTTGTAGGCCCCCTTCACTGACAGAATGGCCACCTAGAACAGTTTTATCTAGGGGATTGACTGAGACATCACTGATTCTCTGCTGCGACAGTTCAGGCTCAGCAGTACTACTTTCTTATTTGGGAAAAAGAAAGTGCTTCTGGCTTAGATGTCTTGGGGATGAGTACTTCACTAATATGTGCCTATATCATAAATTGTCAAAGGTTTCATCATAGGAATTTTGGGTTCTAGTCCCACCCTATTGGGATCCTGGTCTGATTAGCATCCTGAATCTGTTTGAGGTTAGATTCCCAAAGAATAAGAGTGATAATAAAATGCTGTAATCACTGAGGTACTCAGGTTGGTTTAATTTTGACTTCTGCTTGTCTGTGTTTGTGTCTTTAGTGTGTGTAACTATATTTGACTTAACAATGGTTAAAACCTTGGTGTTCATAGTAGCGGCCTAATTAAAAAATTATCTAGATGAGGGTCCTTAGACTCCCGAGAGACATTGCTCTGCTCCCCTGGGCCCTTTTAGGCTGTTCCTAGGTGACTAGGAGCCCAGCAAAGTGTTTATTACAGGCAGTTAGATAGGCATGGGCATGGCAGCAGAGGGCTCTTATTTCCCACCCACTAGAAATGTCAGGTGATGGTTCAACAATTATCACACTGCCTGCCTAACACCGGTAATTCAGCAGCGGGCACTGGGGCCTGGGTGCCAGGGAGAGACAATCTCCTGATGATCCACAGATGTTAACATTAATGTGTTAATTGAACGCAGATGCCACGGGGAAGCAGCTTCCTGGGCATGTGCACTAAGAGACAAAATGGCAAAGTATGACCTTCTGGGGATACTCCACCAGAAAAGGGAAGAAAGCCTCAGATGGCCATGCATACATCTTCCTCAACACACTGCACGTGCTCACTACCCAAGGGCAGGAAGAGACTCTATGCATGCAGGAAGCCCACTCTAAGGAAATAATCATGGGAAAGAGGTGAGTCTATAAAGTCCTAGGATCAAGGTTAAATGCCCTTGACCTTCAGGTGCCCACTTGGGTCCCTTCCAAGTGAATCTTCCTTTTTTCCTGTTCTAAAGTCTTTTTAATAAACTTTCACTCCTGTGCTGAAACTTGCCTTGGTCTTACTTCATCCTTATGCCCCTCAGTCAAATTCTTTCTTCTGAGGAGGCAAGAATTGAAGTTGCTGCAGATATATACGGATTCACTGCCAGTAATGGGGATACCTTCCACTAGTAACATGTTGAGGTTTTATGGCCTGTGACATGAAGTGGTCCTTTAGGAAATCCCACCAGCACATACCCCATTCCTGAGTCAGACAGAACTTTAACTGCTTATCAGGAAGGTGCACATACGATGACCAGTCACCCCGGCATCTTAAGCAACCCAACACCACCTGATGTTAGGGACCCTCTGAGATGCATAAGAGGAGATATGTGGCCCATTGGTGATTCTCTGGGAAGGAATTCCCATGAACACCACACCACAGACCCAAAACACCTCTCTAGTGCAGGGTCTTGCTCCAGCTCTGCACAAAATGGGGAACATTAATTTTAGCAGGACTGTAGTGGCACTAGTCATACAAGTATAACAGGGGCCAAAAGAAAATCCCTCTGGCTTTCTTGAGAGAGTCTTTGAAGTCTAAGGCAATATACTGGCATTGACTGTGAATACTCAGGTAACATGAGACTGCTTAATATAACTTTTATCAGTCAGAGTACCTTTGATATAAGAAAAAAACATACTGCAAAGAGTAGAAGGGGAATTGGGGATCCCAGTGTCTCGATAGATTGAGATTGCCTTTAAAATATTTAAATAACAGCCATAACCAAATCCAGGAAAGGCAAAAATAATGTGACGTGAGACAATAAACTATGCTCCTCTTCATAGCTCTTGGTCATGACGAGTCCCTGCCAGGACACAAAAAGCTGTTTGCTGAAGAAAACAAATGGCCATATGTAAGATCCCTGGGGCTCAACTGCCCAGGTAAAAAGCTACCCAGCCTTTGGGCTACAATAACGTGCATATTGTAAACAAGAGGGCCTTTGGAAGTAGAAATGTTCTAACTATACCCTACAGGTAGAGAAGGAACCCTGCCAATCACCCCCACCAAATGTCAGTTTGCAGATAGTGACTAGGAATGATGCGACCTGGGGGTTCCTCCATATTTCATTAGCTCCACTGATATTTCCCACAAGGATAAAAACTTTATTGTGCCTGTCTATATACATATCTGTTTGTGTATTGTCTCTGGTACCAAAGTGGCTTATAAATAAATGGGTATTTATACACTAAGCAAATAAGCCAACTGCTTTTCAAGTTCACATAAGTTATAAATGTTTTGGTGAATGGGACTAGTCTAATGTTGTCGATTTGATGGGAATAGCTGTAAATATTTGCCGGCAAACAGTAATGAAAAACTGGTTTGGGGTAACACATGGATGTAAAGATGTGTTTTTGGTAAGAAAGGTTAAGAATAGAAGATAATAATTTTATATGAGAAAAAATCTTGTGTGGTAAATTTCTGTCCTGGAGTAAAATGATTGGCTCTTCAAAAAACACATATAGTACAAAGCAGAAAGTCAAAGCACGCCATAAATGATCTGTGTAAGTCATGATAAGGATTGTGAAAGAGAATTTGTGAAAGAAATTTGCTGTATGACTTAGTTGGCAATAATTAATAGAAATTATAACAGCCTGTAAATATTGAGATTTCACATTAAAAATATTGTAACCCCAGCACTTTGGGAGGCCAAGGTGGGCGGATCACCTAAGGTCAGGAGTTTGAGACCAGCCTGAACAACATGGAGAAACCCCATCTCCACTAAAAATACAAAATTAGCCAGATGTGGTGGCGCATGTCTAATCCCAGCTACTCAGGAGGCTGAGGCAGAGGAATCGCTTGAACCCAGGAGGCAGAGGTTGTGGTGAGCTGAGATCGTGCCATTGCACTCCAAAACTGTATGACATTTCTAAAATTTTGAATATTTTGTGATGTTATCAGATTATGATTATTATATTCAATTATTATGATTATGATTAAAAATGTTTGTATCCACAGATATACCTAAATTTTCCTGTCAATTGTAAATTTTTATTAGATTTTTTTACTATGGTTGTTCTGTTTTATTGTCATCCACAGTTATTGTTTTAAATTCTCTGGAAACATATGCAATCAGCTGTGGTCCAAAATTGCTTTTCATGGAACTGCTAATCAAAATAGCAGTTTTGATTAGAGCAAAACAAAATTAATTACATGAAATTAAGTAATTGATGGGGCAACATTTTTGTCTTTTTTTTTTTTGAGACGGAGTCTTGCTCTGTCACCTAGGCTGGAGTGCAGTGGTGCAATCTCAGCTCACTGCAAGCTCCACCTCCCGGATTCACGCCATTCTCCTGCCTCAGCCTCCTCAGTAGCTGGGACTAGAGGCATCCACCACTACGCCCGGCTAAGTTTTTTGTATTTTTTAGTAGAGACGAGGTTTCACCGTGTTAGCCAGGATGCTCTTCATCTCCCAACCTTGTGATCCACCCGCCTCAGCCTCCCAAAGTGCTGGGATTACAGGCATGAGCCACTGCACCTGGCAATAGGAACAACATTTTTAAGACTGTATTCAAAATGTTAGTTCTCCCTTAAAAGATTGTTTTCTAGATTCAAGGAATTTTCTTTCAAAAGTTATCTATTTTTATATCTATTTTAATAGTTTGCAATTATTAGGTAAAGTATCATTTTGTGAACAAAGGTGGGGGCATTTGCTTTTTATTTCTACTTGATTCCTCCAAAATTCAAAAACTACTTATGAGTATTCTTATTTTATTTATATAAGTAGAAACAGCTTTAGAAAGCCTTCTGGCTAGGCTTCCTGGGTTAAAGGTCGAGTTTTCAGATATGTTTAGCAGGCTTCCCACTGGTATTGGATCACTTCTGCATTCTACCTTACATGACTTCATGATTTTCCTTATATTAAGGCTAAGCATTTGGCGCCTCTTTAAAATTGTTCTAGTCTTTTCTAACAAAGGTCACAAGAGACCCCCACCATGATTGTGTTGAATCAACCAATCATAGCTCTTCTGCCTTGGCCTATCATGGCTCACCTATAGACCAATCAGAACTCAGCTGTGTTAACCAATTAAAACTAAAAATAATTTTTCTTACTAGAAAACCTTTACAAGGAAATGATAAACAGTTTCATTCCTCTAACCTGTATTCATGCCTCTAATTATAAAGAAGTCACTAGAGCAGTTGTCACCCCCTTTCCCTCAAAATTGAAGAATAAAAAATATGAGGAGATTGATAACCACAGAACCAATATGGCTCAACTTTTTTAGTAGCAAAATGTCACAAAATGATGAGTTGTTTTTCAGTGCAGTGGACCCCCAGGTTTCAGGTCACATAGCTTGAGCATGCCCAGATGAACCAAGCATGCCCAATTTGTAACCCTGCAGGGGGCTGGAACAAAAAAGTCAACTGCAGGTGTAATCTTAGTGTTTGTATTGGGAATGGGTATTGAAATATGAAGAGATGTGTGCCCTGTTTTGTAGCAGATCTGGCTCTTCCCCTTTGCATGACCTAATGAGATCATGCCTGATTGCATTTTCCTATCTCTCCCATTATTACTTTGCCTATAAAACCTGCCCCCAGACCCCACCTAGGTGAATCAGATCTTACTATGGCCTCCTGTCTTCTTGCCAGTTGACTTATAATAATGCTTTTTCTTTTCTCAAAAGCTAGAGCCATAGTATTGGCTTCTATGCATGTCACTAAGTGAACCCATTGAATGGTAATCTTGTCTTACTTTTTTTCCACCTAATGAAAAAAATTATTCTACAGCAACCCAGACAGGAATCACTAGATCTTCTCATTAATCTTTAACTGTTTTTTTCCTCTGAGGTTGTTAGTGACTTCCTAATTATGGAATGTTTGTATATATTTGCAAGGACAATATCTGATCTGTCTGATGCATTTGTACTATTGAATGCATCCAGTCTCATATTTTTTACAAAATCTCTGCCCTTGCTCTACCTGGGTGAACATCATCAGACACTATTTTATATATGGCTTTTATTTGGGAGGAACCTTCTCTCCCACTAAAATGTAAGCTTCTTACAATGAGGAACCATATATGCTTTGCTCCTGCCTTAGTCCATTCTCACAGTGTTATGAAGAAATACCCGAGACTGGGTAATTTGTAAAGAGAACAGTTTTAACGGACTCACTGTTCTGCATTGCTGGGGCAGACTTAGGAAACTTACAGTCATAATGAAAGGTGAAGGAGAAGCAAAAAAGGCATATCTTACGTGGCAGCAGTCAGGAGGGCATGTGTCAGCACAGAAAAAATCTACCATTTATAAAACCAAAAACTGTCAGATCTTGTGAGAATTCACTCACTATCATGAGGACAGCATGGAAAGGACTATCCCCATAATCCAGTCACTTCCCACCAGGTCTCTCCCTAAACAACAGGAAATTACAATTCAAGATGAGATTTGGGTAGGGACAAAAAGCCTAACCATATCAGCTCCCTGCCATATTACCAGATCTCAGAAATATGTGTGAATCTTAGTAATCAAAAAATTAATATTTTCTGTGTAAATAAATGAATGTATAAATCATTTTTAATGTTTGTATTTTGAAATCATTTTTCTTATTTTTTCCCAAATCAGATCTACTCTCTTACTGTGTTGCCCTTTTTGGTGAAGGGAATTCTCATTCAGCCAATTATTCAAGTCATCTACATTTTATATTTATTAAGCTCATATTATCTCATGAGCACAACTAATAAATCATTTACCAAATCCTAAATTTAAATATATGATTTTGAATGTGGTCAAATTGAATGCGGTCACATTGAACGCAGTCACATTTTGCTGTAACTATACCTGATAATTTGTGGTGTAATGTTCACATAGTCTGACACATTTAGATCATATCCTAATTTTCTTATCTTCTAATGGTGTACATTAAATTGCTGTAGTGCACCTTGACTTTTACAATAAATAAGAATGATGAATAAATCTAGAAATGACAGTGTTTAAAAAAGAACACTGCTTAAAAAAGTTACTGCTTAAGTTGAATATGTTTTATGAAATTAGCTGTTGAGTATTTCCTGTTGGCAATGATTAAGGTTACTATTCTGGGAAAATGACAACATATAAATATATTTCAGGAAAGAAGGTATGGACATTTATTTTCAATTAATGTCAGCACATCTTGACCCACCTGTTTACATGACAAATAGACAATGAGGATCTCATTTGTAAGAATGGCCTTTTTAAAGAGGGCATGATTGAAGAAAAACATTGATAAAAGAACCAGTCCTGAAAGTTTTTCTTTAATTTGCTTGCAACACACAGAGGTTTTTCTTATTCTGGAAAATAGACCTTCCCCCAAAAATATCTTATTTGGTAATACTGGGAGACCTTATTGTTCTTGTTTTTGTTAGTTCAAAACTAAATTCAGCCTTAATAAATTTCTGCAGATATTTACTCCCTTTTTCTCAATAATGCAAATTGCTCTAGCAGGAAAACAGACATATTATCTCTATGCTTTACATCTAATTATTATATGTAAAAAATTTAATAACCAAAAGTATCAGAATTTCTTTGAAATAGTGCAAGCAATAACCCTTTAAAAATCCTCTAATAGCATAATTTTTCTACCCTCTTCCTTAATATTGAATTTCTATATGATGTTGGGAAAATTTTAATTACTTATCAACAGTATTAGTTTCAGCCTTAATTACATGCATAGTATTCAATTATTCACTGGGTATTATTGGAGGTTCACCAAATCTAACCTGTCCAAGAATAATTCCTATTACTACCCATTTTAAAATAACAAGTAGAAAAAAACCTAAGTGATTAATGTACTAAACATGAAAATAAATAATCAAACAGCATTTCTTGAACATCTCTTATGAGAAAAGCTTCTAGGAAATGATTGAAGGGAGAATGAAGAAAATTTCTGGTTTTTTGTTTTGTTCGTTTTCATCTTTCCCTGGTGTCAGCCAGGTGTGGTGTCTGGCACCTGTAATCCCAGCTACTTGGGAGGTTGAGGCAGGAGAATCGTTTGAACCCGGGAGGCGGAGGTCACAGTGAGCCAACATTGCACCGTTGTACTCCAGCCTGGTCAACAAGAGTGAGACTCTGACTCAAAATAATAATAATAATGCCAAGAAATGAAACATGCAGTATAGATTAAGATTAGGTCCCATTTTTTGGTCTAAATGTGCTGTACACTATTGGCTAGCAAGTTTTTAGCTTTTGCAATATTCATCAGTGTACAAATATAATGGTAACCATAAAGTCAATGCACTCTAACCTGGATAATGGAAGGCTAGTAATCACAACAATTGAAGTTCTGTTTCTGGAATCATATCT
The DNA here is from genome assembly GCF_000001405.40 of Homo sapiens. Classification (NCBI taxonomy): domain Eukaryota; kingdom Metazoa; phylum Chordata; class Mammalia; order Primates; family Hominidae; genus Homo; species Homo sapiens. The sequence goes on along the minus strand of NC_000021.9, from coordinate 22,723,520 downwards.
TGACTATGTATTTATTTATGAGGATACTTTGTAAAATGGTATATTGCCAGAGATAACAGCCCGGAGATGAGAGATCTAAGGCCCTTCTCATTAGATCTACTAAAATGAAATAACATGGAACTTTAAAAAGTGTAAAAAACAATATGAAAACTACAATTATTAACATATTTTAATGTAATTAAAGGGCTTCCCTGTGAGTTAAAACAAATTTTACTCTACACATTCTGGGGGCCTTAGGAGGACCATGGAGAGAAAGTTGTTATGTTAAACCAATTTTCTGCTGAAGGTAGAAACCATTTTTTGTTTTATTTTTTCAATAACGATAAATATTATGAATTGAGAAGGGTTATCCTGTGAGAAAATGCTTTTAATTATATAGCAGAGGCCATTCTCACTATACTCAGTATATGTTGCATTGAGTGCTCTCTGATATTTCTTTAAGAATCTATGATTAATATTGTCTGAACACTAGATTGCTTTGGTTAGTATACATATATTGTGAGTATTTCTTGCATACATCTTCTGTTTCAGAAGAATTTAAAATTTTGTATTTTCTCAAGACAGCCATAGATAGTAGTGGATTAATATAAATTTAAATGATGTGTTAAAAAAGAAACATTTTTGGATAAGGAAAAACCTTTGATAATTATACTAAGTCAAAAAATGTGTTACATTTCACAACAATCTTTCAAGCTTTAGATGTTTATTATGTTACTGTCTCTTGCAGTTAAACATATTCTAGTATAATTTTAGAGTGCCTTTTACAGCCTCATGTTTCAAGTTGAGCAAAAAGATATCTTTGCATAATCCCATGACATGCAATCTGCTTACTTATATTTGTTATTGGAAATTGAATTTTCATTACCCCTAACAGACCTAACTGCCTACAGTGTCAAAATCTTAATGCTGATTTTACCCGACAGTTATGATTTGCACAACTGTTATTTTCATGATATTGTATTATATTACCAGTAGATAGCTATGGCGACACAGTTATAAAATAGATAGAAAATCATTAATTTAGATGTTTGTATCTCTGCTAGATTTTCACTGCTTTATTGATATCAAATTGTAACTTTTTAAACACCAAAAATAAATCATCATTGGAGTTGCTAATTTCATTTATCAGTAATTAAAATTGTCCAAAAAAGTGTGCTGCAGTGGACGCAAATTCACGAAGATAATGCGTCTGTTTAACCACTGAGTCTGCTGAACCAGTTCAGACTATAGGAGTTTGCAAAGACAAATCCTTCATCATTAGTAAAACGTGTTTCTGGAATAACAATGTAGCGATCCCTTTGAGTAGCAGTACTTTGGGGATACTTTCAAAAATATTTGGCTGCCAGAATTTTAATTCAAAGTGGTATGCTAATTGCAAAGAAAACCCATTGTTAACATGCAGAACAAGTAGGAATGTTGGGTAGAAATTATTTTTGCCCAGAGTGTTGGCTTTTAGTAGTACTCTTTTCGATTTGGGTGGGCCCCAGAAGAAATGGAAATAATTTCCTTAGGTTCTGTATTTAGCAAGAAGATCTATAGATTTATGCATCTAAAACTGGCCTCTCATGTGACCTTTATACCTTCAAATGACTGTGAAGATTCTGGTTGTGTATCCTTAGATCACTGAGAAATTCAAGAGCGGTAAAAATTGGGCCGAGTGTGGTGGCTAATGTCTGTAAATTCCAGCACTTTGGGGGCCTGAGGTGGGTGGGTCTTTTGAGCCTAGGAGTTCAAGACAAGCCTGGGCAAAACAGCTAAACCCCATCTCTACCAATAATAATAATAATAATAATAATAATAATAAATTAACTGGGAATGGTGTGTACTTGTCGTCCCAGCTACTCAGGGGGCTGACATGGGAGGATCCCTTGAACCCAGGAGACAAAAGGTTGCAGTGAGCCAAGATGGCACCACTGCACTCTACCCTGGATGAAGAAAAATAATAATAATAATGGTAAAAATTGTAAATAAAACTATCCATTATGTTGTTTATAGGATTTCATTAAAGTTTTCCCTTTTTTACTTCTGAAGATATTAAGTATTTTAGGAGTTGCATGCCAGGAAACTGGGATGAAGACAGAATACAAATTTCAGGGCCAGGCGTGTGGCTTACGCCTGTAATCCCAGCACTATGGGAGGCTGAGGTGGGCGGATCACAAGGTCAGGAGATCAAGACCATCCTGGCTAACACAGTGAAACCCCGTCTCTACTAAAAATACAAAAAAATTAGCCAGGTGTGGTGGTGGGCACCTGTAGTCCCAGCTACTCGGGAGGCTGAGGCAGGAGAATGGCGTGAACCCGGGAGGCGGAGCTTGCAGTGAGCTGAGATTGCGCCACTGCACTCCAGCCTGGGTGACAGAGCGAGACTCCGTCTCAAAAAAAATAAATAAATAAAAATAAATAAATAAATATATATATAAAAATTTTAAAAAAGAATGCAAATTTCAGAATATGACAGTCCATCCTTATTCTTCTAACCCAGATCTCTTACTTTAAAAGGACATATAACTCAGTAGATATTGCCATTATTACTAGAATCTCATTAAGTCATTAATAATTAGTGCAGTTCATCACATTACATTATTGTCTCCCAAGGTGAGACCACTCAGGTTTGCAGGCTTTCGTTCAATCTTGTCAGGTTCCAAAAGCAGGAATGGTCTTGGAAAACATTCGGCTTCACCGTTTTAGTTATCTATTATAATTTAGCTAAAAGACAATGCCATTTCTTGCTCAGAGCCTCTTTCAAGGTATTAATGTAATGTGTTTGCCTCAATTTAATACCCATTTATTATTTTATTCTCAGCTACTCTTTTTCCTTCTCATAATTAATATTCAAATATTTTCACCTCTGGAAGAGTCATTAGAATTACCCTTGTGCTGATCTAGATTGCAGGCAGCAACACTAGTCTAGCAAGTACCTCCTTATCAGTCCACTTCAATTTAAATAGGGTAAAGTTACATAGGTGCAGAACTAGCGAGCTATTTTTACCACCAGGCAATATAGTTGCATGCACTCTTAGCCCCCAAACTTGCTAGATGAGATGAAAGTACCACCCACCCAATCAGGCCCTTAGGAATTCTGGCACAAGGTTTAAAAACGTAGCTTCAGTTTCTTGCTTAGAAATCATCCTTGCTTTCAGCACTTGTAGTTGTAGCCCTGGTCTTAAGACCATGCATCAGGCAGTAGAGAAAAACTAAATCTGAGGGTATTAGGGAAAGAAAGAAAAAATAATGTTAGTTATACCAGTGTACTTCTCCCTTGGCAAGAATTTCAGTCATACCGGCATCCTGCTCATCTTCTCTTCCCCAGATCAAACAGAAAAACAGAGAAAAATCTAGCAGGACACTCCTTTAGTCCCAGTCATGTTGAATGTGAGCACACACTCATGAAGGCATGTAAAACAGCCCTTTGTGCTTTTATGTCCCCCAGTGTTTTAATTCCCAATCTACTTCTCTAGCAAACTATTGACCTGAGGAGGATGTCTCTCTCTGCACGTTATTGGACACTGTGGGCTGTACAGTGTGTTCCGTGGACTGAAGAAATGATAGCCACCCAAATCCAGGCACCATCTTCTGTTTGTTGTTGCTGTTGTTTTGTTGTTTTGTTGTTGTTGTTGTTTTGGCACTCTGAGCATTTGCATCTTCCACTGGTTAAGCAAAGCCCACTCTAGACTCAGTGTCTATTACTGTCAATACCCATTTGTAGATACTCAGGGCTACCAGCATCAGTCTCGCTTACCAGCTACGTTCTGAGCCTTCCCAACAGAGAATATGCTCCCTAGCCATCGGCGGTCTCTGTTTCTGTTGCTGGCAGACAGGATAGTTCTTAAGGGTGTTTTGTGCCTGGGAGGGTATAAGAGAAACATGTCTAGACTCAGCTTACCTCTTCACTGCTGCGGTATCCTCATATCTACCCATTCCTTGGACCCAGGTGACCAGTTCAAGGAAGCATATGGGGATATCTGTTTTGTCAATTCCAGTCACCTTCCAAACCTAGAAAGGGGCTCTTCTGATAAGCATTGACATGTTTCACTTTATAGCATCCCTCAAATTTCCATAAGGCTGTGTATGGATATCTCTTTAATAGGTCCAGTGTGCATTGCCTTTGTTGCTATGGGCCAGGCCATTGGCCAATGCCCATGAGTTAATAGAAACCCAAATCCAGGGACTTCTACCACTGTTCAGTACTTCCATTGCTGTTAGAAGACAAGATGTAATTCAGCCCACCGAGGTGATTTGTTTTTACCTTCTTTCAAAAGCGTAGCAGACTTCCAGATGGGATGTCATTATTTGCTTTAGAACTGGCATGCATAAACCATAACATTGTTTGCCAGTCACTTGAGAGCACTGTAAGATCCAGCAGCTCCTCACATAGTTCCAGAGTCAGTCCCAGAGGGAAAAATGTTGTCAGCTTGTGAGTATTTTCTCCATATTCCCCACATAGCACAATCCTTTATAAATCATTTCCATTTTATTACAGAACTCTTTGGGGGCACTGCCATCCCCATTAGTTTCTCTGACATCATCTTGGACAGCATGGGTATTTCAGGTGTCAAGATCATTGTATGCCCTTCTGTCATAGTGGTAACTTCAGGTAATGTACTATAACAAGGCAGTAAAAAGTGGAAATTCCCGCCGGGCGCGGTGGCTCACGCCTGTAATCCCAGCACTTTGGGAGGCTGAGGTGGGCGGATCACGAGGTCAGGAGATCGAGACCATCCCGGCTAACACGGTGAAACCCCGTCTCTACTAAAAATACAAAAAGTTAGCCGGGCGTGTTGGCGGGCGCCTGTAGTCCCAGCTACTCGGGAGGCTGAGGCAGGAGAATGGCGTGAACCTGGGAGACGGAGCTTGCAGTGAGCCGAGATTGTGCCACTGCACTCCAGCCTGGGCAACACAGCAAGACTCCGTCTCAAAAAAAAAAAAAAAAAAAAGGAAAAGAAAAAAAAGTGGAAATTCCCTAGTCCAAAATTCTAGTAGGCATTGGGAGGCACTCACAGGCTTGTTTCATAAGCCTGAGTAAATATTCTACAAAGGGCAATCAAGAGCAGAATTCATCCCTAACAGCATTCTAGCTTCTACCCTGCATTCAGTGGTCTTAGGCAATCTTGCAGGTACCCATTTACCATATCATATTGAATTTACATTACTTGAAGGGTGGTAATGTAGTTTGGATGTACCCTCTAAATTTCATGTTGAGATGTAATCTCCAGTGTTGAAGGTGGGGCCTCGTAGGAGGTGTTAGGGTCACGTGGGAGGAACCTGCATAGCTTGGTGCTGTCCTCACAATGGTGAGTGAGTTCTCATCAGGTCTGGTTGTTTAAACACGTGTAGTACCTCCTTCACCCCACTCTCCCTCTTGCCCCTGCTCTTACCATTTTATGTGCCTGCTCCCAGTCACCTTCTGCCATGAGTAGAAGCTCCCTGAAGCCTCCCCGAAGCTGGGCAGATTGCCAGTGCCATAATTGTACAGCCTGAAGAACCATGAGCCAATTAATCCTCTTTTCTTTATAAATTGCCCAGCCTCAAGTGTTCCTTTATAGCAACACAAGAATGACCTAACACAAGTGGATTTACTTGTCTTCTGTTTTATGGGACTAGGTAGAGAAAACTTTCCCCACTCAGATACAGTGTCCATTTCCATAATATGATCAGGAGAAGGAGAACCAATTCCTGTGAAGTGTGTTCAAATATACTAAGTTTTATAATCTTACCAACCCTTATATTTTTATGTTCTAGTTCCATAAACTTATCTTTTTCACCCCCACACCATTTTATCTTCTCTATTGCAAAAGACTTTGGGTCCCCTCTTATCAGATGACTCTGGACTCTGTGAATTGCTGCCTTGATTAACCAGTGTTAACCATTGTCCTAGGCAATTCCAGTTGAAGTTTCTTATTGTAATCTTTACCTTCTAGCCTTTTAAAATTCTCCAGCTGGGAGTGATACAGCAAACTGATTTGGTGCTCTGTGATATTGGGGGGGACAGAAAGGGCTCCCTTTGTTTCACCCAACTGTTGACAGTGTTGCATTAAGACCTTTGTTTTAACCCTATCAATTTTCATTTTATTTAACCTATATCTTATAAACTATCTAAAAATTTCCACCACACTGGGGTGAATTTCATGACTCTCTCGATTCCTGAATCTCTAGTTTCACCCCAACAATGTTTTCTTTATTCACTTTATTTTTTTAGTACGCGTTTAAGTATTTTCATCCCACAGGGATGAGTCATTTCACTCTCCCTTGTGCCTTTCCCCCATTCCCTTGTTAATTAACCTAAGGTTTTTTGTTGTTGTTGTTGCTTTTGTTGTTTTTGAGATGGAGTCTCGCTCTGTCGCCCAGGCTGGAGTTCAGTGGCACGATCTGGGCTCACTGTAAGCTCCGCCTCCTGGGTTCACACCATTCTGCTGCCTCAGCCTCCCGAGTAGCTGGGACTACAGGCGCCCGCCACCGCGCCCGGCTAATTTTTTGTATTTTTAGTAGAGACGGGGTTTCACCGTGTTAGCCAGGATGGTCTCGATCTCCTGACCTCATGATCTTCCCGCCTCGGCCTCCCAAAATGCTGGGATTACAGGCATGAGCCATTGAGCCCAGCCTAATTAACCTAACGTTTTTCTTAGCATGTGTAAGATCCCTGAAGAGAAGCTGAGACAGCAAATTTGATAAGGCTTCTCAAACTGTTGTTCAATTCTCTGGGAGTAATTTCATGTGTAGTGCCCATGTAAAAGAGGCTCCCTTAACCGTAGTATTTACCATGATCTGAGTAACTGGCATATTCAGGGGGTGAATATCTCTGTCATCATTAAAGCCAGGACCACATGGTTTGCATATAAAAGCATAACAGCTACTTCATCTCAGGTGCTCCACATGACATGTATAGGGGGGATCAGACAGTCCCTCTTCTGAAGGTAAACAAATCTTACTGTGGCTTTTATTCAGTCCACCAGGCTGGCTGTTCCCTCAGGAATATCTTCCTGCATGTCTGAATTATATATCTTCATCTGCCATCGAACTATAGCAAGTTGTGGGTCCTGCATCAACACAAACATGCTCTTCATCTCTGCAGCACTTAAAAGATACTCCTTCTAAATTGGCTACTATTGGAATCCATTTTATTAAAGGTTCCTCAGGAAGCTGATGATACCTATCTACAAAATGGAACAATTACTTCACACTATGTCCTGTGGTTTTATTCATCACTTTGTTTTGCCCTTTCCCCACATTGAGTACTTTCTTGGTAACCACAGGACTCGGAGGTACTTTCTGTTGTCCTTGCATAATTTTGCCTTTGAGGGGTGGCTCTGAGGCTAGTGGCCAAAGCTCAGACTCACCAAAATCTAAGTTTGGTATGATATCAAGGTCAGACCCAGCACTTTCCTTTGGTTTCATTTTAGCTAATACAGATGACAATAAGCAATGTCAACTCAAAGATGATGAGGTTAATAAATTTAGAAATGAGAGCTTTACTTCTCATGAAGGGCTGCAGCCTGCAGGGTGGCCATTCTGACAGGCTGGGAAGCACAGCCTTGGCCAGAAGCCAGAAACAGACACTGAGAGAGGGTCAAAGGGAACGGGAATCTATGCTGAGTGAGGTGGTTGAATATACTGATTTAATAGGCTATAGGAAGAAATGAGAAAGCTGCACATGTGCAATTAATCCCGGAGTGGAGTTTTTGGCCATCTGATATCAAAAGATGAAACAGAGGATATAAAACTCCTACTGCTCGATCTCCTCGGACTAACTAGAACCACTCTGTGGTCAGTGATTTCTTACCAGGCTGAAAAAGAAGGGTACCATCAGGTGGTATTCTCATCTTGAATTCCCACATGTTGTGGGAGGGACCTGGAGAGAGGTAATTGAATCATGGGAGCAGGTCTTTCCCTTGCTGTTCTCATGATAGTGAATAAGTCTCATGAGATCCAATGGTTTATAAGGGGAGGTTTCACTGCACAAACTCTCTCTTTGCCTGCTGCCATCCATGTAAGACAAGATTTGGTCCTCCTTGTCTCCTGCCATGATTGTGAGACTTCCCCAGCCACATGGAACTGTAAGTCCATTAAACCTCTTTTTTTTGGTAAATTGCCCTGTCTCAGGTATGTCTTTATCAGCAGCGTGAGAATGGACTAATACACCCCCCCCCCAGCGCCATACTAATGCAAAGGAGGCGAACCCCATAATTGTGGCTTAGCTTGGGAGGACTCTTGGCTTTACCCAGTAAAGTATTTAAGGGAGAGCTGATGGTGTTAAATAGCAACTCTTATTGAAGCAGCAGTATACAACAGCAGCAGAGGTACCGCTCCTCGTGGAGCAGGGATACTCCTTAGGCAGTATGCACAGAGTAGCAGTTCAGAGGCAGTTCTGCAGTTATATTTATACTCATTTTTAATCACGTGCAAATTAAGGGGAGGATTATGCAGAAATTTCTGGGAAAAGGGGGGTAACTTACAGGTTGTCAGGTTGTTGCCATGGGAAGGAATGGTAAATTTGGGTGTTGCCATGGCTATAGTAAAATGACATGGCACACTGGTGGGTGTGTCTTATGAAAGGCTGCTTCTGCCCCATCTCTGTTTTGGTTAGTCCTTAATTTGGTCTGATGAAGCCTCCCCTCCAGAGATGAGCCCCGCCTTGTACCTCAATACCATCATGGCTGAGAATTCAGCTTTCAGGGTTACTCTGGGATCCCTTTGGCCAAGACATGGCACATTCAGTCATTTAGGGGGTTAGAATTTTACTTTTCTTTCTCACAAGGGTTGACTGTTCCACTCTTTTCCTATCAGTTTGCATTTCCTTAGTCGGTGCACATCCAATGAACCAACTCCCCCTGGGGGATTGGATCTATTTCTAAATTCCACTGGTGACTGTTGTCTTTAGTAACTGATCTCAGCATAGCAGCAGCTCCATACCAAGGGTGACTACATGGCCACCCAGGAATCAAAAATCCTTTATTCTTCACCCTTTCATGTTTTCTGTCCCAAAGCCCAATGTTTCCATGAGCCAGGGCCATTCTAGACAATCTCTGCTCTCTGACACGAATTGCTTTGGAAAAATTCTCAGACTGTGTTTTCCTTTGCTCTCACACTGCAACCATCAACACAGAAGACTTCTGTGACCAAATGTGTGGAAGTTTCTCCCCACCCACAAGCAGTAGACACCAGCCAGTATCCACCAATTCAATTCCAACACTGTCTACCTGGAGATAGCTCCTATTTTTCCCATTTTAATAAAATTGATGGGTTGCTCTGTAGCAGTATACCATGCATAAAATGTGTTTACAATAATATTAAGCAGGTGGAAAGGAAAACTTTTTACAGTTTAAAAAATAATCTACAATTTATTGCTTTTGCCTCAGAGTGTCTGCAAATATTTTACTAAGAGTATTTAAGAATACTATTTTATATTATACCAGATAATAGGGAATTTGAATAAATATTTCAAAAATTATGAAATCTATGTCCTCCTACAAAAATAACAATTATGTATGAGCAATTTGGAAAGAAATCACTGAAAAAGTGAAATAAAACCTAAAAGTGGCCAAATCATGCAACACAAAAATATTTAAATTTTCAAAATTAAATAATTATTAGGTAATTATTTAATTTTAGCCATTGTGCTAGACATTTGTTTTACAAAGGTACATCAGGTTTGTTACTAGTCACTGCAGGGTCCTCAGTTCTTGTCTTTTTGGAAGAAAGAATTCAGCCAAGAGACATGTAACGAGACTAAGTAGTAGCAGAGTGTATTTAAAGTGACAGTACACTCTGAATGCTGAGTCAGAGCAGGCTGCTGGAGAGAATGAGCCAGCATAGGCTGACACTGGGGAGCCCCTTTACTGGGGGTCTCTTACATGATAATTAATGAAAGGGGTACAAACGGGTGCTACTAGCAAGCATTTTTTGGGTGGTCTCCTGAGCACATATGCATTGTGGCCGCATGTGCTAATACATAAATTGCATGTCTCATTAGCATGTTAAATCTCTAGCCAGGGGTGTTTTTATTCCCCCCTGTTATAATGAGCAAAAGACTACTCTAGGGTGAGGTTTTTTTGTTTTGTTTTGTTTTTTGTTTTATTTGAGACGGAGTTTCCCTCTTGTTGCCCAGGCTGAAGTTCAGTGGTGTGATCTCGGCTCACTGCAGCCTCTGCCTCCTGGATTCAAGTGATTCTCCTGAGTAGCTGGGATTACAGGCATGCACCACCACACCCGGCTAATTTTGTATTTTTAGTAGAGATGGGGTTTCTCTAAGTTGGTCAGGCTGGTCTCAAACTCCGACCTCAAGTGATCCTCCTGCCTTGGCCTCCCAAAGTGCTGGGATTACAGGTATGAGCCACCGCACCTGGCCTAGGGTGAGTTTTTAAAGGAGTGTGCACACTCGTCAGTGGGGAGAGTTCCTATCATGGTTATCTCTGACTAGGGCCTAATAAATCCCTATCAGGGTTGGATGAGCCCAGTCCACAAGGCCAGATGTTACTATTGTAGCCATTGTTTTTGGCTGTCAGTGGGCAGCACTGACTATCGGTGGGCAGCGCCTCTAAGGATTTCTTTTCCAGGGGCTCCCCTTCCTGCTCATTTCCAGCTATCTGCCTATTCTAATAAGCTGACTTGTCCATTCCTCACAGGAAGCATTAAATCTTTGGAGAGAGAAAAACAAGTTAAACAAAGCTTGGTGTATGCTCTGATTGCAAATATTAATTAGAGTGTGCTACAAGAACACCGGATAAGGACATCAAACCCAATCATGGGAAGGTTAAAAAAATCTAAATATGTTTCAGAATACTAATAACGAGCAGTGATCTAAAGTTCATGTTAAACAGAAAGTCCATGAGGCTGGGGATACTGCTTGAAATCACTTAGGCTGAATGAATATCATATAGTACTGACAAAGCAAGTGGCCATAAAAGCCCTTTGCAAAAATGGAAACATTCCACGTAACTAAACAATGAGCCTTGTAGAGGTGTCTATAGGATTACAAGGAATGGCTAAAGATTAGGCTTATAGAGATGAGCAGGACCTTGATCATGTAGAATTTGATGAGCTGGATCTGTGGTTTCTTGTTTTTTGAAGTAATTAAAGGCTTTTTTTTTTTTTTTTTTTGTAAATGGGGAAAGCCACTATATCGTCTCAGTGTCCTGTTATTGTGTGCCAAAAATGGATTCTTTCTGATTTAATGCTGACAATTTAGGTCTCAGTACTTGCCTTTTCAGTTCTTATTGATTTCTAGTCCATACTTTCAGCAGATATTTCAAGTCTTTATTTTAAAAAAGCATGCTATTCCATCATTTCACTAATAAAAATGGTGAACAACGGTATGCCTTTAATAAGATCTATAGAACATTCTCATTCCTCAGACAAGCTAAAATAATAGTGGTCTTAAGATGACAAAGTAATAGAAACAAATGACATAATGTGGTTTTATGACGATGTGTGAAATATGCATTATTTTTGGCCTATATAACCATTATTCCAAAAATCTTATACATTCTTGTCTTAAACAATGCTATATAAATACAAACTATGCTATTTTTTCTTTCACATTATTTATTATATAAGGCTTCAGGTTATGCTAAATTTTAATACTGCTATTGTAGGAAAAAATATATTTTTGTTACAGCAGAATTGAAAGAGAACCTATGACTTGTTTTTCTGTCTTGACAAACCATGAGTTCCTGTTCTTCTGGGATCCCAGCCAAAAAGATGGTGATATTCAAATAATGTTGTTTCCCTGCTGTGATATTTATTATTCAATTAATTTTTTGATGCTTTCATCTCCTATGGGCAGGAGTAGTAAGAAATCCCTTAATTACTTTCCATTTCACATAGAGCTGCTTTGGGTAATCTTAGAAAACAAATTTTAATTAATTTTTTTTTAAATCTAGATTCTTTCTTACACACTTTACCATTTTTGAAAATATGGTTCAGTAAAATACTAGTCAGAATGAAATTATTCAAGCTTTTGTATCAACTCCTTTTAGTTTGGTAATATTTTAGGCTTTTCATTTTATACAAGTAATTTAAGACTATGATGATAAAATTTTCAATTTCTTCCAATGATATAAATGCTGTGATATTTTCTGGGTATTCTGGTCCATTCCCAGTGTCAATGGTTACAGACACAGGTTAATTAGAATTTTTCTTCCTTAAAAATAAAATCATGGGTAATAACAACAGAATTGACTGCATGTTGACTTGTAAGCATCTGATTATATCTCTGAAAGTTCTTTAGTTTAGTTATTGACATGATCAATATTAGATCACAAACACTTGAAGCCATTATTTCAAGTGTTGTTTTAATAATAGGTTTAATTGTTCATTCAATAATATAGGTATAAAGGTTACTCAGGTTTATATATTTGAAAGAATTAGTACAATTTCACAGAGCGTATTCACCTAAGGATTTGACAAAGGCTAGTAATGTAATATAGTAAGGATTTAACAAAGGCTAGTAATGTAAAACAGTAAGAAAAGAAGAGTTCATGTACATTTGAGAAGACATAGAAGACTTCCTCGACAATTCCCCAGGATCTTTCATATTCCCACAAGGACTCTAATCTTCTTGAAATTGAACCAACAAGATTTTTGTGATAAATCTAGACTTGGAGAGCACTCAAGGAAGCAGATGTTTCCTGCGGGGGCTTTTATATCTCTCTAGTCACATAGCCAAGACATAGTGTCTGACCTCCTACATCAGTTGGTTAGCAAAGTCCGGACTCAGAGAAACAAAGAATAAATGATACAGTATGTTAGGATTCCCCAAGACTATTCTTAGAGCCAATAATTAATTAGAAGGACTCACAAAATTTGTTATACTGTGGCGTAAATATAGTATTATTATAGTAAAATTATTAAGATTAAAAATAAGCAAAGGGAAAAGCCATGTGGGCCAAAGTGTAGTAGAAAGCAGGCACAAGCTCCCACGTGTCTTCTCCCTATGAACTTACCCGGTGGGCTTAATTCTCCCAGTAAGGCTGTGTGCCAATGTGTGACAAGTCCTCCCAACCAGGAAAGCACACCTGAGCTGGGTGATCCAAGTGTTTTATTTAGAGTCATTTACCTATGTATGTAGCACCTATGTGCCTGACCTCAGACACTCAGACTTCAGTCACAAAGAGCAAAAACAGCAATTTATTATAGATCACATTGTTAATAAACTATCTCATAAAACTAGTGTTCTGTGCCCAAAGGTGTCAGCAAAAACACTGTTATGAGGCAGAATATTTCAAGAGCTTTAGAGCTCATCTCCCAGAACCCAGGTAAGGGCCAATTGCAAAGATTGGCCTTTCTTGGGAATGTGTGGGGTTGAAGCAAACCAGACTTGCTGAATTAACTCTTTCCTGTGCATACAGATTTCTAAACAAATAATTTGCAGGTGAGAAAAAAAAAAGACCGGAGAAAGAATTGATACCTAAATAGCAACTTAAAAGACAAATCAACCTATTTCAACATGTGTGCTTTATTTGAAGCATTATAGAAACACTAGCCATATATAAAGGTGTGTGTGTGTGTGCATATGCACGTGTGACAGTTATGAAGTAATTAACAAAATGTTAGCTGGATATTTTACAATTTTTTTTAACTTTTAGTTTCACAGAAGCATGTGTAGATTTGAGAAGTAGGTAAATTATGTGTTGTGGGGGTTTAGTGTACAGATTATTTAGTCACCCAGGTAATAAGCATGGTACCCAATAGGTAGTTTGTCAGTACCCACCCTCCTCCCACTCTTCACTCTCAAGCAGATCCTTAATATCTATTGATCCTTTCTTTCTCTCCATATGGACTCAGTGTTTAGCTCTCACTTATAAGTGAGACCATGAGGTATTTGGTTTTCTGTTTCAATGTTAGTTTGCTTAGGATAATGGTCTGCAGCTCGTTGCTGCAAAGGACATGATCTCATTCATTTTTATGACTGCATAGTATTCCATGGTGTATATGTATTACATGTTCTTTATCCAGTCTACCATTGATCAGCATCTAGGTTAATTCTATGTCCTAGTTATTGTGAATAATGCGGTGATGAACATACATGTGCAAATATCTTAATGGTAGAACCATTTGTATTTTGAGTATATACCCAATAATGAGATTGTTGGGGCAAATGCTTCCCATGGTGGCCGAATTAATTTACACTTCCATCAGCAGTGTATGTAAGTGTTCCCTTTTCTTTGCAACCTTGGCAGCATTTGTTATTTTTTGACTTTCTAATAATAGCCATTCTGACTGGTGTGAGATGGTATCTTATTGTGGTTTTGGATTGCATTTCTCTGATGATTAGTGATGTCAATTACCTGGATTTTAAAAAGCATAATAATCACATTTTGCTTATGTGACAGGAGTTGTTATTTTTAGTTATGTATGCAGAAATATTTAGAGATGTAAACTAGATATCTGTGATTTTTTTAAAAAAATAATTTGAAGTTCAAGAGGCTGAGAGAGGAGAAATTAAATAATTTGTGGCATGAAATTGTTATAGTTATGGGACACACTATGGCTTATTATGCTCTGCCATAATAACATGTCTAGAAATTTGCATATGAAAAGAAATTTAAATATTAACAAGAGAAAATATTACAAATAATTTTAATAGTTTGGATATGTACTAGGTATGATGATAAATCATTGCTAATTTTGTTACATGCTATAGAGTTACTAAGGTTTTATAAGAAACTGTTTTTTCTTTTTTTTTTTTTTTTTTTTTTTTTAAAGACAGAGTCTCACTCACTATGTTGCCCAGGCTGGAGTACAGTGGTGCCATCTCAGCTCACTGCAACCTCCACCTCCCAGGTTCAAGTGATTCTCCTGCCTCAGATTCCCAAGTAGCTGGGATTACAGGTGCACACCACCACACCAGGCTAATTTTTGTATTTTTAGTAGAAACGGGGTTTCACCATATTGGTCAGGCTGGTCTTGAACTCCTGATCTCATGATTTGCCCACTTCGTTCTCCCAAAGTGCTGGGATTACAGATGTGAGCCACCGCGCCCCACCAAGAAATTGTATTTTTAAAATCCATTACAAAATATGTAGACATGAAATAATGTAGTATCATTAAAATATTCAGAAAAATAAAAGAGGACTGAGGCTAAGATGAAACATGTTCTGCAAAATGTTGGTAGTTACCAAGTTCTAGCATGTATATAGGAGTCTATTCACAATCTAATTTTGTGTGTCTCTTTAAAAAATAATAAAAATCAAAGAAAATTGAAAATCAGAATAGAATGAGCAGGTTTTCCCAACATGCAATGCAAATATAATGCATAGTTATTTCTCAGATTTTTTAAGAAACTGATATTTTACATTATGTCACATTTTATGAGTTGGCATTTTTAACAAGCAATTAGTGCTAATTTCAAAATGAACATTTTTAGTCTAACAGTAAGTATATAACTTTCCCTTATTCTATTTCTAGCTTATAATGTGTTACTTAATGTGTTGGATCTTTGTGTTTTGATTTCCTTTCATTCATGTCAGAAGCATTGGGAGCAATAAAACATGATCCTTCTGTTTCTGCGTTCTTCAAGTCTTGCTCTCACATGAGTATTTCTCATTTTATTGGCATTTATCTTGATATTTTTATTAATGGTCCCATTGCCCCCACAACAAGTAGGCTTTTTCTTCATTTTTTCATTTTCCCACTGATTGTTTTTATGCTCACTTTCTGTTATTAACCGGAGTTTAATATGGATGCAAATGACCTGATCACCTTATGCTTTAATCTAGAGCCTCTTCATAATCTCCTTAAACTAAAGCATGACAATATGCTTCTCAAAATTGCCTCCCCTATAAAATACATAGTTATATTTTGACTTATTCTTCCTCTTTATCCACTGTATCTAATTAACCAATAACTAATTAATTATTTTAAGCTTTATTATAGCTTCTCTTCTTTTCTTACTTTCCTCTGCTATGCCTATCTAATCCCATCCACAATTTCACACTTACCATTAGACCATTTTAATCACTTATTAATCAATACTTGTAGTAGGTATTTTCTGTATGTCATTTATGTAAGAATCTACTTTTTAAAAATTGTTGATTTTTAAAATATTGATTTCAGAGGGTACTTGTGCAGGTTTGTTACATGGATATGTTGTGTGAAGCTGAGGTTTGGGCTTCCACTGAACCTGTCACCTAAATGATGAACATAGTGCCCAAGAGGTAGTTTTTCAACTCTTGCCCTCTGCCATCTCCCCCTCCTTTTGGAGTCCCCAGTGTTCATTGTTTCTATCCTTATGTTCATGTCTACCCAATGCTTAGCTTCCACATCTAAGTGAGAACATGAAGTCTTTAACTTTTTATTTCTGAGTTAATTCACTTAGGATAATAGCCTCAAGTTGATCCATGTTGCTGCAAAGAATATGATCTTGTCCTTTTTTATGGCTGTGTAGTATTCTATGGTGTGTATGTACCACATTTTCTTTATCCAATCAACCGTTGATGAATACCTATGTTGATTCCATGTCTTTGCTATTGTGAATAGTGCTGAAGTAAACATATGAATGCAAGTGTTTTGTTTTGTTTTGTTTTGTTTTCCTTTGGTAGATTAATTTTTTCTAATTAATTTCTAATTAATTTTTAAATTTCTTTTCCTTCGGATATATACGCAGAAATGAAATTGATGGTTCAAATGGTAATTTTAGTTTTTGTTCTTTGGTTTGTATCTATAGTATACCATTCAAAAATTCAAAATTTAAAGAACTTGAACCTTCATAAATACATGTAGTTTTTACTTTTTAGTTTCCTTAGTGTACTCATATATTTTGATAAGAATTCTAAGTTGAAAGGATCCTCTTTTGTTTACAGTGGTATTTACTTCAATCTATGTTTTATTCTTTTATATAAACTTCATGAGATAACACACATAAAAGTTCTTTTCTTATAATACCAGCAGCTTCAGATAAAAATCCTTCCAGCACTTACAGACAAATCCATTATAGCTTACCTTATTCCTTTTGGGTTATATAACTATCCACTAAAATAAAATACAAAATATTTTACAGTATGTTTTAGTATTTTTAATATGCATGGCAAAATGTATTAAGTATATTTGAAGGCCATGACTTTAGAGTTCTTACTATTTAGCTATTCTAAGTATAAATTTGTATTTATATAGTAAAAAAAAGGTTCTATTAAACAACATAGATCTAGGCAATAATTAGAAAAATAATCATCACAAAGAATGTATTTTCAGAACAAATTACCTTAATTAAACAATTTGCTTAGTACTGATTTTTACAATTTTTAAACTCTATTTTAGCTATTAGAGTTTAACAAATAAAATCACTATCAATATCATTTTATAATATAATCAATGTCATTTTTATAAAGCTGGATTAAAGATATTTCTGAGAAAAAGAAAATGCTTAGATAATGAGTAGTGATTACTTGTGATGAGTATGTTTTACAGTTTCCTCTCCTCTGTCTGCATGTTTACATTTTTGAGAAGTTATACCAATATCTGTGAATGAAAGACATGTATGGAGGCATTAAACTGTCTTTTTTTTTAATTTTAAGAGATAAAAGAAATCAATACTTCAGTTACAACAAAAATGTAATTTATAACTATTAATATAACATGTTTATTTTAATTTTCATGTAAGCACAAATACAAAGTAAAATACAAAGAATATGTTATTGGCAATGTATTTATGCATTATTTCTGTTACTTTTCTGGTTGTTACCTTGACAATCAAAAATTAGATTTTTTAATTTTTATCTAATACAGAGAAGATTATGACTGTAAATATGTTAATTAGACATCCGTACATTTATGGGTTGCATATGATAACGAGTTAATATCACTTATCAGTCACATACTATTTATTTATAGGAATCTTAAACAGATTATGGTAATATTGTATTAGTTCCAATCTAATACAATACAATAATTATTGTATTTATTTATAGGAAATTCTTATGAATTTAATAAATTATATATAATATAATTTATTTATAGGAATCTATGTTATTGTATTTATTTATAGGACATTTCTATAATTTTAATAAATTACATAAAATATAATTTATTTATAATAATCTATAAATAATTATTGTATTTATTTATAGGAATAAATTATATTCCCATAAGTATTCCTATAAATTATAGGAATATAATTTATTTATAGGAATTAATTATATTCCATAAGTATTCCTATAAATTATAGGAATATAATTTATTTATAGGAATCTTAAACAGATTATGGTAATATTGTATTAGTTCCAATCTAAAATAAAATAAAATGTAACTTAAGTGATATACTTACGAATATTTCCATGGATATTATAAATACATCCCAAATTACCAAGGATGAAACTAATTTGAAATATTTGTCAAAAATACATAGACTTTTTTAACTTAAAAATAGGACTTCCTTCTTCTGCTTATGGCTTCACATTCTTCTGACTGCACACACTTCAAACCTCCTTTTATTAGGTAATAATTTGAAGAGAATTTTTATAGGACTAAAATTGTATTCCAAGAGACTCGTGTAATTAAGAGGCATAGAAGAAAAATTAAATATAAAACAGACTACAATTATGGGAAGGTACATAAAATAAACTGTAACACCAAAATAAAGAAAGATTACTAGAGAAGTTATTATGCTTGTTTGCATCTATGTAATGACTATTTGGTTGTCTTTATTATCAAGTTCTCATTGGAATAAAAAATGTAAAAGTAATATAAAACTATCTCTTGCTAGTCATGCCAGCTGGCAGGTAGTAGAACATCAAGTAATGATTACATATTCTATCTATCTCTACAGACAGTCATATACTTTATATATTAGTGCATACAAAGTATATATAGGATTGGTATACAGATGTACAGCTAACTCTCAACTATTTCTAAATTATATTTCAGAATTAAGTGGACGATTAAAGAAGATTTAGTTAGCTTTTATGAACTTTGAATAGGGTATTAATAACACAGAAAATGTGGGTCTGTGATGGGAGGGGCTGCTGTGCAGGTCTGCGTCATGCCTTGGAGGCATTTTCCCCATTGTCTTTGTATTCTGCTTCTCTTTACTTCTGCAAATTTCTGCAGTCAACTTGAATTTCTCCCCAGAAAATGGGGTTTTCTTTTCTACCACATGGTCAAGCTGCAAACTTTCCAAACTTTTATGCTCTGCATCCCTTTTAAACATGTTCCAATTTCAGACCATCCTTGTGAATGCATTTGACTGTACACTGCTAGGAACAGTCAGGGAACTTCTTGAATGAATGCTTTGCAGCTTCAAAATTTTTTCTCCCAGATACCCTAAATCA
This sequence comes from Homo sapiens, assembly GCF_000001405.40. Lineage (NCBI taxonomy): Eukaryota > Metazoa > Chordata > Mammalia > Primates > Hominidae > Homo > Homo sapiens. Next base: position 22,704,261 of record NC_000021.9, on the reverse strand, counting down.
TCTCTCTCGTGTTCAAAGTTCCACAGATCTCTAGGGCAGGGACAAAGTGTAAACATAGTTAAGAGTGACCTTTGCTCCAGTTCCCAGTAAGTTCCTCATTTTCATCTGAGACCACCTCAGCCTGGACTGCATTGTCCATATCACTGTCAGCATCTTGGTCAAAGCCATGTAGTAAGTCTCTAGGAAGTTTCAAACCTTCCCACATCTTCCTGTTTTCTGAGCCCTCCGATTCTCTAGGAAGTTCCAGACTTTCCCACATTTTCCTGTCTTCTTCTGAGCCCTCTAAATTGTTCCAACTTCTGCCTCTTACCCGGTTCCAAAGTCACTTTTACATTTTCAGTTATCTTTTTGGCAGTGCCCCACTTTCCTGGTACCAATTTTCTGTATTAGTCCATTTTCGTAATGCTATAAACAACTACCCGAGACTGGGTAATTTATGAAGAAAAGAGGTTTAATTGACTCACAGTTCCACAATGCTGGGGAGGCCTCAGAGAACTTACAATTATGGCAGAAGGTGAAGGGGAAGTGAGGCATGTCTTACATGGCAGCAGGAGGGTGGGGTTGGTGGGGAACTGCCAAGCACCAGGTCTTGTGAGAACTCAGTTACTAACATGAGAACAGCATGGGGGAAACTGTCCCATGATTCAATCACCTCCCACTAGGCCCCTCCTTTGACACCTGGGGATTACAATTTGAGATGAGATTTAGGTGGGAACACAGAGCCACACTATATCATACACCTTGAAATATACCTATGGCTATGTAAACATGCAATTTTAAGGTATCATACATTGGACCTCACTTGGTAAACTGGCTACAGTAAATAGCATTTATATATGTAAAACATACTTTTAAAATTTGAATCCTTAGATCCTTAGAAAATTCCAGAGCCATGGCTTTAATATTTGAGGACTTTTGGCAAGATGATACGGTTCTTTAGCTGACATCCCTGTAGTGGTTAATTTTAAATGTCAACTTAACCGGGTTAAGGGATATCCAGACAGCTGATAAAAAATTATTTCTGGGTATCCCAGTGAGGGCATTTCCACAAGAGATTAACATTTGAATCATGGACTGAGTAAGAAGGATCTACCCTTATCAGTGTGGAGGAGCATGACCTAGTCCACTGAGGGACTGGATCAAACAAAAAAGCAGGGGAAGGGTGAATTTTTTCTCTCTTCTGGAGCTATTTGTATTCTTCCTCCCTTAGACATCAGAACTCCTGGTTTTCTGGTCTTGGACTCTGGGGCTTAAATCAGCAGCCTTCTAGGTTACCAGGCCTTTAGACTCAGATAAATTATACTACCAACTTTCCTGGCTCTACAGTTTGCAGGTGACATATCATGGAATTTCTCAGCCTCCATAATGGTGTGAGTCAATTCCCATAATAAACTCCCTTTCTCTCTCTGTCTCTCTCCAATATCTATCTATCTCTTTTTGTTTTGTCTAGAGAACTGTAATGATTATAGTCTGTACTGCTCTGAACAATTTTCTGTCAGGAAACAGTCTATTTCCATGATTACAATTTATTTTGAATTGTAATCAAAATATTGCCCTAGTTACTCACTTGATTATTATTGCGTTTTAAGAGAAGCCTTGACCAAATCTCAGGGGAAAGTGCTGGTTGTTTGCTAAGATCTTAATTTGTTTCTTGATTCCATTTTTATGGCAAAGATTTCAATGCTCAAAAATTTTAAAGGAAAATATTAATTGTTTATTCAACATTCTTTAGTTTTCTTCTAAATCTAATAATAATTGTCATATACTACCCACAAGTATTTCAAAATTATTTCAAAACAACTCAAAAGATCCCTTTTGATTTCATGCATTATTCAGTTTTGTAACAAAGAAACAGGAAAAATGTTTCAGCTATTCAGGTTCAAGCTTTATTGATACAATTTGATTATAGATTCTTCCCATTAAGAAGTATTGATGGCCAGGCGCCATGGCTCACACCTGTAATCCCAGCACTTTGGGAGGCTGAGGTGGGCAGATTGCTTGAGGTCAGGAGTTTGAGATCAGCCTGGTCAAGATGGTGAAACCCCGTCTCTACTAAATATGGAAAAATTAGCCGGGCATAGTGGTGCACGCTTGTAGTCCCAGCTACTCAGAAGGCTGAGGCAGGAGAATAGCTTGAACCTGGGAGACGGAGGTTGCAGTAAGCCAAAGTTGTGCCATTGCACTCCAGCCTGGGTGAGAGAGTGAGACTCCTCTCAAAAAAAAAAAAAAAAAAAGTAAGTATTGACAATAATTTTGTTTTTCTAATTGCAAAACAATGGAAAGAATTATCTTGCTTTAGAGTAGAATGTAAACAATGAAGATAATAATTTATATATTTGTTCCCTCCTAAGATGTTATTTAGATATATTATTTCTTGAAACAAGCCTTGCTACCCCTATTATGACCTAATAAGACAATAATATTTCCCCTGTTTCTAGAAGAAATAAGTATTGTCATATGACAAAGAGCAAGTCTTGACCTGAGGACAATATTATTGAGGAATGCCTTGGTATGCATGGCAGCTGCTATATTAATTTCTAATAATAATCATACTCCCACATGCCTTTCTTTCTTTATTTTTTCTACTGAAAACTAGGAATTATGTGTTTCACTGTCAGCATATATAAAACTGAGTAAGTAAAACTCAAAAAATTTAAAACATATATTCTACTTGCTTTTATGTGTATGCAATCATTTTTCTTTGTTAATTACTTGAATATGTGATCTTTATTGAACTTTTAAGAATCTTTCTGTGTCCATTTACTTAATTTTAATATTCAGACTGTATACTTAATGTTTACAGTTTTGGGAGAAATACTGGACTAAGATAAAAGTCCTGTATTTCTTCATACATTCAGTATTTTTATAAAATAGAAATAGGAGATTATCTGATGTGAAGAGGTAAATGTAGAATGTGCATGGGTAATAGCAAAGAAAGCAATAATCTCAAATAAACCAATTACTATGTACATGTGGATACAGAGAGTAGAATAATACACATTGGAGACTCAGAAAGGTGGAAGGGTAGGAGGAGGTGAGGGATGAGAAATTACCCAATTGGTAAAATGTACACTATTCAGGTGATGATTAAGAGCCCAGACTTCAACACTGCACAATAAATTTATGTAACAAAACTGCAATTATATTCCCTAAATTTATAAAAATAAATAAATAAATAAATAATAAATAAATAATTTTGCTTGGGAAAAAGTAAACAATCCTAACTAGGTTTTGTTTGTTTGTTTTTCTGAGACAGGGTCTCACTCTGTCACCCAGGCATCTTGGCTCACTACAATCTCTTCCTCCCTGGCACAAAGGATTCTTCCACTTCTGCTTCTGGAGCAGCTGGGACTACAGGTGTGCACCACCACACCAAGCTAATTTTTGCTTTTTTTCTCGTAAAGATGGAGTTTCACCATGTTGCCCCAGCTGATCTCAAACTCGTGAGCTCAAGGAATCCCCACTCATTGATCTCCCAAATTGCTGGGATTTCAGGCATGAGCTACTTCACCAGGCCCTAAATAGTTTATATTTTACTATACAACAGGGGAAAAGAGAAATATTATCATAGCTCATTATTAACATGTAAATAGATATATAAACAAAATAAGAACTTATAATTGTCATTAGTACACAGAGACCAATGATTTTGAAAGGGCCAATTTGCTTGTAAAACATAATGATGACATATTGACACTTCAGCACATTCAGGTGGTGAAAAGTAAATACAGGAATACGTAGAAATATACAAGTCTGTGATGTAATGAAGGGACATTATTTTGGCTTTTATAATTTTAAAGCATTTTATGTGAAGACAATCTATAGAGCTTTCCACCATACACTACATGTGAATTGTTAGAAGCAGTTTTTTGTCTGATTTTTTTACTCATATATATTTCTTCTTAAGAAAATTGTTCAGCTGAACTTTGCTATGTAAAGTTTGTGACTTTTTTTGTTTTCAAATAATTAGTAATATTTAAATACAGAACATACGTAACTTCAGATTCATATTTAAATTGTATAAATTAAAAATGTAAAGGTTTTTGGATATAAATTATACCTCAGTAAAGTAATACGTTTTTTTGCCAAACCTAAAAAAAACAGAAAACATGTCCAAACATCAACATGAATAAGTTAAATGGGTGAAATTTTTTAATATATTATTATACTTCAATAAAGCTAAAAAACACAAATAGATTTTATGGATGAAGAATGGTATATTATTTGAAAATAGTAATAGCATTAACTGGCATTGTAATTGTGTCCTGTTGTAAATATATAGACCTAATAGCAAAGTATGCTCCAAGGAATTAAAGTGTAACATTATTGACCAGAAATATTTTCTACATTTTTTTCCAAATATGAGAGGCAGTCTCATTAAAACATGTTACAAAATGATAATCTAAAATAGGCTTATTCTTTTGTTGTCCAACATGGCTACCAAACTATGCAATTCAGAAGCTATAATTTTCAAACAAGTGAAAATACTCACCGATGAAATTTTGTCACAGCATTTAGTAATTTTTATTTTTAGTAAATGTTTTATTTAATGTTTATTTTTGTAGTATTTTTTCTTTGTATTTGAGGTTATATGTACCTGTACCTCATGAGGTATATACTCAACTTTCAAAATATTGTCAAGTAAACTCTTTAAAATAATGACCTATGGGAAATACAGTTATTTATCATAGGATATTTTGTTACAAGTTATATACTCCAGGTTTTTTGTATCATACATGACAGAAATTGATTCCTACAAAAGTTGAGCAATTTGTTTAGGTCAGATAATTAAATGTTAAGCTGGATCTAAGGTCACGTTCATCTTATTTTTATGTATTACTTTGTTTTACAGCAACGACTACAACAATAAAATAGTGATAAAACAACAGCAGCATAAAACAGCAACAGCAAAAAAATAAGTCCAGATCTAGCAATTAGTGAGTGTGTAGCATGAGTCAGTCCATTTTTTGAATATTCATATTAGCTCATATAAACCACTATTAAATATTATTATAATTCTAATATTAATGACAAAAATGTGATTCAAAGTGCTTCATTTTACATGTATATTTATTTTTGTTTCTTATATAAAGGTTAGAAATATTTTTAAAAAGACAAATCAGTAAATCATTTAGAGATAACACTGTATTATATGTCATAAGCAAAACAAGGTTTAAACTAAACTGAAGGCAGAAGAATTATCCCTTCATAAATAAATATAAGAAATAGTATAAAATAAAAATGTAAAATTATAAAACCATCTTATAACTAGTCTTGGCATAACTAGCTCTATACCACAGGCAAGTTACATGAGAGATTATTGGTTTTCTTCCATTTAAACATTTCTGAATCTATCAATCAGACTTATTTCTGTAATATAATTACATATCCCTGTATCTGAGAAAAATGTCTTTGAATAAAAATTTTTATTAGTAAAATAGAAATGTGTTTGGTGTAGTGTTAAAACCAATAAAATAAATGTTTGATTAGGCATGTTTTTCTAATATCTCTCTTAAATTTCATATCATACAAATAGAATTTAATGTACTACAATTGATTATTAAATGTTTTCTAAGAGTGGATGAGTGAAACACTCTTGTGAGTATACTCAGAATCAGGACAAGTCTGTTTTTGTAGTTTTCAGTATGACATTTAAAGAAGAATTCCTTCTGTCAAAAGAACTTGCAGAAATTGTTTCAACAAAATATGCCTATATGGATTTAGGACTCCTCTTCTCTTCCATTAATCTAATTCATTTCATTGTACAAAGTTCTCTTACAAATGTGTCTGTGCACTGTGGAAATGTCAGTGAATGTAATAGAGGAAACTCTTGGCAGATTGATCATGGCATGTAATTTTTAAATTACCCACATCGTTCTGCTGGGCAGGATCACAGATGAAACTTATTTGAAATCACTGTTTCTTAGATGATTTGGAAAACCCTAAAAGGTCATAAGTCTCCCAATTGTGACTGAAAGTTAAAATATAAGTTAAAATGTTACAAAAAAAAATCATTTCTTGTTTTTTGATGTTTAGTACCTTTGGCTTCTGTTGAGATATCTTTAAGTGTTAAAGCCCAGTTGACTTAATTTTTAAATTAATAACGTGCTATAAAATAGAAATGAGCATGGATAAATTAATATGTTTAATCAAAACTTTAAGTGCCTGGTCAAAAATGTTTACTTACTAAAGACAGAGTTCTACACACACAAAAATGAAGAGACAGCATCAGTGCTCTATGAGATGTTAACTGAAGACAATGGGTAAAAGCATGTGAATGGTATATAAAATACATGAGGACAACAAAAATATCTGTAACAATTTATATGTGCTGTAAGATTAGAGACATATAGGCTGATGAAATAACTCGAGATTATATGTGTGTGTATACACATACACACATATGTAAATACGCTCCTCAACTAACATGGAATTATATCCCAATAAACGCATCACAAATTGAAAATATTAAGTCAAAAATGCATTTAAAATGCCTAATCCCCATCAGCATAACAATGATATTCTTCACAGAAAAAAAAAAATCCTGGAATGTATATGGAATCTTAAAAGGCTCCGAATAGCTAACACAATTCTGACCAAAAAGAACAAACTTGGAGGCATCACATACTATCTAACTTCAAATTACACTACAAAGCTATAGTAATCCAAATAACATAATAGTTGCATAAAAACAGACACAGTGACCAATGGAACAAAGTAGAGAGCCCAGAAATAAATCCATGCATTACAGTCAACACATTTTCAACAAAGGCACTAAGAACACATCTTGGGGAAAGAAGAGTCTCTTCAATAAGTGGTCCTAGGAAAACTGGATAATTATGTCCAGAAGAATGAAACAAGACCCCTATCTCTCTCCGTATATAAAAATTAAATCAAAATAGATTAAAGATTTAAATGTAAAATCTGAAGCTGTGAAACTATTAGAAGAAAACACAGGAGAAATGCTTTAGGACATTGATTAGGGGAAGATTTATTGAGCGTAACCTCAAAAGTGCAGGCAAGCAAAGCAAAAATTGACAATATTACATCAAGCTAAAAAGCTTCTGCACAGCAAAGCAAACAAGAAGGTGAAGAGACAACATACAGAATGGAAGAAATTGTTTGCAAACTATTTTTCTCACAAGAGGCTAATACTCAGAGTACATGACAAACTCAAACAACTCAATAGCAAAAATACAGATAGTCCAATTTAAAAATGAGCAAAAGATCTAAATAGACATTTTAAAAGTTTACACACAAATGGCCAACAGATATCTGAAAATTGTCCAATATCATTAATCATCAGAAAAATGCAAATCAAAACTACAGTGACATATCGTATCACTCCATTTAAAATGGCTACCATCAAAAAGGCAAATAATAATAAATGCTGGTGAGAGTGTGGAGAAGGGGGAACACTTGTATGCTGTTAGTGAAAATGAAAATTAGTATAGTCACTATGAAAAACATAGAGGTTTCTCAAAAGAACTAAAAAGAGAACTACTGTATGGTCCAGCAAGCTCACTGCTGGGTATGCATCAAACAGAAATAAAATTTGTATAACAAGGTGATATCTGCATTCCCATATTTATTATAGCACTGTTCAAAATAGCCAAGATATGGTAACAACCTAAGTGTCCACCAGTAGATGAATGGATAAAGAATACGTGGCATATACATACAATCAAATATTATTCAGCCATAAAAGGATAAAAGTCTATCATCTGAAGCAACATAGATGATATTGAAAGATATTATGTAAAGTTAAATAAGCCAAGTATGGATCTCATGTTCTCGCTCATATGTGAGAACTAAAAAAAAAAAAAAAAATCTCATGGAGGTAGTGGATAGAATGGTCATTACCAGAGGCCAGAATGGGTAGTGTGGGGAAGAAAATGGAGAGGAGCTGGTTAATTGGTTAAAAATACAGTTAGATAGAAGGAATAAGATATAAAGTTTGATAGCACAATAAGGCCACCATAGTACACAATAATTTACTATATATTTCAAAATAGCAAGAAGAGATGATTTGGAGGTTCCGAACAAAAAGAAATAATAAATGTTTGAAGTTAATGATATCCTAATTACTCAGATTTGATCATTACACATTGTAAGCTTGTATAAACCGTTCACGTGTACTCCAAAAATGTATACATCTGTTGTGTATCCATAATTTTTTTCTAATAAAGATTGAGGTGGGGAGAACAGAACCAAGTTGGAAAACACACTTCAAGATATCATCCAGGAGGACTTCCCCAACCTGTCAAGACAGGCCAGCATTCAAATTCAGGAAATCCAGAGAACCCCCAATAAGATCCTCCACCAGAAGATCAACCCCAATACACATAACTGTCAGATTCTCCAAGGTTGAAATGAAGGAAAATATGTTAAGGGCAGCCAGAGAGAAAAGCCAGGTCACCTATAAGGGGAAGCCCATCAGACTTACAGCAGACCTCTCAGAGGAAACCCTACAAGCCAGAAGAAATTAGGGTCCAATATTCAATATTCATAAATAAAATAATTTCCAACCTAGAATTTCATATCTGGCCAAACTGAGCTTCATAAGAGAAGGAGAAATAAGATCTTTTTCAGACAAGCAAATTTTGAAAGAATTTGTCACCACCAGGCCTGTCTTGCAAGAGTTCCTGAAGGAAGCACTAAATATGGAAAGGAAAATAACATTATCAGCCACTGCAAAAACACAATGAAGTACACAGACCAATAGCGCTATGAAGCAAGTATGTGAACAAGTTTGCAAAATAACCAGCTAGCATCCTGATGACAGAATCAAATTAACACATAACAATATTAACCTTTTAATGTAAAGGAGCTAAATGCCCCAATTAAAAGGTGCAGATGGCAAGCTGGATAAAAAGTCAAGATCCATCAGTGTGCTGTATTCAAGAGACCTATCTCAAATGCAAAGACACATATAGACTCAAAATAAAGGGATGGGGGAAAATTTACCAAACAAATGGAAAACAGAAAAAAGATAGGAGTTGCAATCCTAGTTTCTGACAAAACAGGCTTTAAACCAACAAAGATCAAAAAAGACAAAGATGAGCATTACATAATGGTAATGAGGTCAATTAAACCAGGAGAGCTATCCTAAACATATATGCACCCAATACAGGAGCACCCAGATTCATGAAACAAGTTCATAGAGACCTACGAAGAGTCTTAGACTCCACACAATAGTAGTGGGAGACTTTAACACACCACACTGTCAATATTAGACAGATCATCAAGACAGAAAGTTAACAAATACATTCAGGACTTAAACTCAGCCCTGGATCAAGTGGACCTGATATATACCTACAGAATTCTCCACCACAAAACAACATAATATACATTCTTCTCAGCAGAACATGGCATTTACTCTGAAATTGATCATATAATTGGAAGTAAATTTCTCAGCAAATGCAAAAGAACTGAAATCATAACACACAGTCTCTAAGACACAATACAATCAAATTAGAACTCAAAAGCTCACTGAAAACCACACAACTACATGGAAATTAAACAACCTGCTCCTGGATGACTCAGGTCAATAATGAAATTAAGGCAGAAATCAAGAAAATGCCACACAACATACCAGAATCTCTGGGACGCAGCTAAAGCAGTGTTAAGGGGAAATTTATAGCACTAAATGCCCACATCAAAAAAAGATAGAAAGATCTCAAGTCAACATCCTAACATCGAAACTGAAGGAACTTGAGAACCAAGAGCAAACAAACTCCAAACCTAGCAGAAGACAAGAAGTAACCAGGCTCAGAGCAGAACTAGAGGAGATAGAGACACAAAAAGCCCTTCAAAAATTAATAAATCCAGGAGCTTTTTTCTTTTGAAAAAATTAATAAAATAGATAGACTGCTAGCTAGACTAATAAAGAAGAAAAGAGAGAAGAATCAAATAGACACAATGAAAAATAATAAAGGGGACATCATCACTGACCCCAAAGAAATATAAAAAACCATCAGAGAATACTGTAAACACCTGTATGCAAATAAATGAGAAAATCTGGAAGAAATGGATAAATTCCTGGACACATATACCCTCCCAAGACTGAACCAGGTAGAAGTTGAATCCCTGAATAGACCAATAACAAGTTCTGAAATTGATACAGTAATAAATAGCCTACCAACCAAAGAAAGCCCAGGACCAGATGGATTTACAGCTGAATTCTACCAGAGATATGAAGTGGAGCTGATACCCTTTCTTCTGAAACTATTCAAAACAATTAGAAAGGAGGACCTCCTTCCTAACTCATTTCATGAGGCCAACATCATCCTGATACAAAAGCCTGGCAGAAATATAACAAACAAAGAAAATTTCAGGCCAATATCCCTGATGAACATCAATGCAAAAATCCTCAATAAAATATTGGCAAACCAAATCCAGCAGCACATCAAAAAGCTTATCCACCACAATCAAGTTGGCTTCATCCCTGGGATGCAAGGCTGGTTCAATATATGCAAGTCAATAAATGTAATCCATCACATAAACAGAACCAATGACAAAAACCACAGAATTTTCTCAATAGATGCAGAAAAGGCCTTCAATAAAATTCAACATCCCTTCATGTTAAAAACTCTCAATAAACTAGGTATTGAAGGAACATACCTCAAAATAATAAGAGCCATATATGACAAACCCACAGCCAATATCATACTGAATGGGCAAAAACTGGAAGTATTCCCCTTGAAAACTCACACAAGACAAGAATGCCCTCTCTCACCACTCCTATTCAACATCATATTGGAAGTTCTAGCCAGGGCAATAAGGCAAGAGAAAGAAAGAAAGAGTATTCAAATAGGAAGAGAGGAAGTCAAATTGTCTTTGTTTGCAGATGATACGATCTTGTATCTAGAAAACCCCATCATCCCAGCACAAAGGCTTCTGAAGTTGATAAGCAACTTCAGCAAAGTCTCAGGATACAAAATCAATGTGCAAAAGTCACAAGCAATCCTATACAGCAACAACAGAGAAGCAGAGATCCAAATCATGAATTAACATTCATGTAGACTGCCATTCACAACGTCTACAAAGAGAATAAAATACCTAGGAATACAACTAACAAGGGAAGTAAAAGATCTCTTTAAGTAGACCTACAAACCACTGCTCAAGGAAATCAGAGAGGACACAAACAAATGGAAAAACATTCCATGTTCACAGATATGAATAATCAATATTGTGAAAATGGCTATACTGCCCAAAGTAATTTACAGATTCAATTATAGTCTCCTTAAATTGCATTGACATTCTACACAGAAATAGAAGAAACGATTTTAAAATCATTATGGAACAAAAAAGAGTTAATATAGCCAAGATAATCCTAAGCAAAAAGAACAAACTGGGAGACATCACACTACCTGACTTCAAACTATACTACAAAGCTACAGTAAACAAAAGAACATGGTACTTGTACAAAAACAGACACATAGACCAATGGAACAGAATAGAGAATTTAGAAATAAGACCAAACATCTACAACCATCTGAACAAACAAGTGCATCAAAAAGTGGGCAAATGACATGAACAGACACTTCTTGAAAGAAGACATTCATTCAGCCAACAAACATACGAAAAAAAGCCAATCATCACTGATTATTAGAGAAACACAATTCAAAACCGCAATGAGATACCATCTCACGCCAGTCAGAATGGCAATTTTTAAAAAGTCAAGAAACAACAGATGCTGGTGACGTTGCATAAAATAGGAATGCTTTTACACTTTTGGTGGGAATGTAAATTAGTTTAATTATTGTGGAAGATGGTGTGGTGATTCCTCAAAGATGTAGAACCAGAAATACAATTTGACCCAGCAATCCCATTACTGAGTGTATACCCAAAGGAATGTAAATCATTCTATTACAGAGATACATGCACACGTGTTCACTGCAGCAATACTCACAATAGCAAAGACAGAATAAGCCCAAACATCCATTAATGATAGACTTGATGAAGAAAATGTGGTACATATACACTATGGAATACTATGCAGCCATAAAAAATGAGATCATGTCCCTTGCAGGGACATGGATGAAGCTGGAAGCCATTATCCTCAGCAAACTAATGCAGGAACAGAAAACCAAACAACACATGTTCTCACTTATAAGTGGAAGCAGTTATGCTCTGCTTTCATTGGAAATATAGTAGATACTCTTATACTTGTCCATTTTTATGTATTTATTGTGTATATTGTTAATTTAAAATTTTTCAGTAAACTGCCTGTACTCAGTTGGTGCCCTTTTAGAGGTGAATTTCCCTAGATTTATTACATCTTCATTTTTCTTTTTGGCTTATTACTGAACTAAAAAATAAAGCCAACAACTACTGAAAACTCAGAGAGAATTTTAGCTGCCAAATTTATTTTTAAGTTTGGGATCTCAGACAGGATTAAGAGCATCTGGTCTGAGTCATGGTGGTTAGAGCAATTGAAACCAAATAACACAACCCAAGAGCATTACCAGAAAATATATCTAAAACTTGTTCTGTTGTTCTTAGAAATTGTTCATGCTCAATCTCAAAGAAGATTTATATTTATTCATACATAACTACATCTATTTATCTGTGCTAAAGATTCCATTTCTTTGGTCTAGATTTCTGATAGCAAAGTTAGATATATGAACACAAAGTCAGAACTTTGAAATGCTATAGTTATAAGAAACTTCAAACTTTTTTTTTTTTACTTCAATAGCTTTAGAGGTACAACTGGTTTTTGCTTAAATGGATTAATTGTATAGTGATAAAGTCTGGACTTTCAGAGTACCCATCATCTGAATGGTGTACATTGTATAAAATAAGTAATTTTTCATCCCTCCCCTCCCTCCCACACACTCCCTGAGAAATTTTATTTTATCTTTTATTATTCTTAGACAAAGTCTAGCTCTGTTGCCCAGACTGGAGTACAGTGGTGTGATTACAGCTCACTGAAGCCTCAACCTCCCAGGTTCAAGTGATCTTCCCACCTCAGCATCCCAAATAGGTGAGACTACGGGCATGTACCACCACACCTGGCCAATTTTTGTACTTTTTTGTGGAGACAAGGTTTTGCCATGTTGCCCAGGCTTGTCTCAAACTCCTTGGCTCAAGAATCTGCCTGCCTCAGCCTCCCACAATGCTGGTATTACATGTATGCCCCTGAGAAACTATAGATTTTTATATTTATTATGAAGCCAATCCTGTGATCATTGTCATTTTTTTTCAGAGGGACAAAGTTATGGTTACTGTGGCAAAAAGTTCTTTACTCCCATTCTAGGATCCATTCCTCTAAGCTATACACCATCTTTTCTAAATAATAAGAGCACTTCTAATGTGCTGTACAACATTCTGAAGGCTTTGAGGTATTAATTTGTTTACTTCTTGACAACACTGTGAAGTAGCTACTGATCACCCCATTTATTCAATGAAAAACCTGTGGGACTGGATGTTACATGAATTTTTGAAGATCACTCAGGGAGTGACAATCTGGACCTGGAACCATGTACTTAGTCAAGAGGCTAGGTTGACTCTCTTAGTAATGTTTGTAACAGAAACCTAGATTTTTGTATAGAAAATAATACTTCCTCAAATATACTGGCAGAATGAATGAGTGACAAGCTTTCTCTCTCTTTAAAAACACAATGTTTTATTGTAAGCATTATAGAACCAGGAAAGCACAAGACAGAACCACTAATGTCAATATCTAGGGAGAGTGGATATAGAAACAGACAATGGCTAGGCACCATATTTAAAAATAGAACTAACTCTGGTCCACAATCTGGGCAGGAATCTGCCCAAGGGACCAACCCATTGTCTACAGAAAGCAACCCAGGAAGATGGTCTGCTATCTATAAATCAGAACTGTAGTCTTACTGTTATCTCTAGTTACTGGTCCAGAAAGCTAAACCATAACTTCTGTACCCAAAATGGCCAGGACTTGACAATTTTCTAAATTTTTGTCCCCATTTTCAATGTATGACCAAAGCAACTTGAGAGATAGGGAAAGGCAACTATGTACCCCTAATCAATCACAAATAATGTCTGGCTTCTAATTACCCCACTCACAGCTCTTTCATGCTAATAGTCTCCAATCAGGGAAGGCCTTCATGTTTCCACTATGAAGCTTTGCCATTCCTCTGCTTGATGTTGAGTCTTTACCAAAATGCAAGTGGCTGTGGCTGACTCACTTTGTACGGCAAGATTCAAATACATAGTCTTTACTTATTGTCATTTGGTTGGTCTTTGTTTATTTCCACAGTCCTATGGTACTTTTAACCTGACTTGACCTTACTTACTTTGGATAATATTGATCCAGATTATGCTACCATTCATGGTATTCTTAATATACTAGTTTGTTTTCTGTTGCTATGACAGAATACCAAAGACTGAGTAATTTATTTAATGAAGAAGAAGTTTATTCAGCTCATGGTTCTAGAGACTGGAAGTTAAAGAGATGGCAATGATATCAGGCAAGGTTATCTTACGGGAGAAGAGTAGAAGGCAGAAGTGAGCATGTGAGATGGAAAGAAAAAAAATCAGATGGAACACATTTTTATAACTAACCCAATCTCACAATAACTGACCTACTCTAGTGATAATTAATGCGTTCATGGCATAAATCATTAATCACCTCATAAAGGCCCTACCTCCCAATACTGTTGCATTGACAATTAATTTCAACAAGAATTTTGGTGATGACATTCAAACTATTGCACTTACTCTATGTGACAACACAGGCCAGAAATGTGTTTGTTAAGATAGTCTCTGGTGTGTGTAGTTGCGTATTTTATAAAAATGAAAAAAAACAGAATTGAGGGTGAGGGAGTATCACTACTGTGTACGCAATTAAAAATGTGATGAGGCCTGGAGTGGTGGCTCTTATCTGTAATCCTGGCATTTTGGGAGGCCGAGGGGGACAGATTGCTTGAGTCCAGGAGTTCAAAACCAGCCTGGGCAACATGGCAAAACCCTGTGTCTATTAAAATACAAAAAATTAGGTGGGCATGTGCTTGTGGTCCCAGCTACTTGGGAGAGTGAGCTGGGAGAATCACCTTGAGTCTAGGAAGTTGAGGCTGCAGTGAGCCATGATTACACCATTGCACTCCAGCCTAGGCCACAGAGTGAGACCCTGTCTCAAAAAAAAAAATGTGATGAAATAATAGTACATCACAATAGTTGTTCACTACTGTTTTCACTGGTACCTAATTTTTATGTGTAGTGCTTTCAAATTTTATTCTCAAATTCACTTTTCACTTTCTGATGTAACTCTTGTTATTAACAAAACATGAGACTGGAAATTTTTTAATTCAAAGGGTTAGCTTTTTCTCTGTATCTGAATTGGATCCATCACTTTGCTTTTCTTTGTACGGATTATTTGAGACAAAAATGTTTGTTATTCTCTCTGTTTTTCCCAGTACTCCTTAAATTATAAGAATATAGCCAGGATGTTGTACTTTCTTGATTCTGATAATGTTTATAGAGCAGAAAAAAAAGGTAGCTTGAAGTCAATGGCTCTAAATGATTTAAAGAAAAAAAATACACGAAATTGAAGATACGTTCATTGGTATCTCGAAAAAGGGGATATAAAAGAATACCTTTATGAGGAGTTACTGTGGGAGAATAGATTCTCATGGTCTTAGGAGTTGATATAATTCAAAATTCTCATGAGTTGAGGAAACTATCTCCCCTGGAAATGTATACTATGGAAGTAATTGGATAATGGGAGTGAAGACAGACTGATTATCTGGAAATACGTGGTGTACAAATGGCTACGTAGAGAGTCTGCAGTAGAGAGTCTGCATTGAAGAAAATAAAGATTTGTGATCTTTTAATATAGAGGATCTTGCTATATTGCCCAGGCTGGTCTTGAACTCTTGGCCTCAGTGATGCTCCCACCTTGGCCTAACAAAGTGCTGGATTACAGCCATAAGCCACCATGCCCAGCCTGAGATCGACAGTCTTGTACAGCAATTATTTACTCAGTTATCAATAACCGATTGAAAGTATTGTTGAGACAGCAGAAAATCTGATTTTCTATGGTATACAACAGTGAAAAGTAACCCAAATATATCTTTATTGTATTTTTATTTTTTAAACTTCTCCCTGTTTTATGTTGTTAAGTTGTCTTAAAAGGGAATTCTAGTCAAATCTTTTTTTTTTTTTATACTTTAAGTTTTAGGGTACATGTGCACAATGTGCAGGTTAGTTACATATGTATACATGTGCCATGCTGGTGTGCTGCACCCACTAACTCGTCATCTAGCATTAGGTATATCTCCCAATGCTATCCCTCTCCCCGCCCGCCACCCCGCAACAGTCCCCAGAGTGTGATGTTCCCCTTCCTGTGTCCATGTGATCTCATTGTTCAATTCCCACCTATGAGTGAGAATATGCAGTGTTTGGTTTTTTGTTCTTGTGATAGTTTACTGAGAATGATGATTTCCAATTTCATCCATGTCCCTACAAAGGACATGAACTCATCATTTTTTATGGCTGCATAGTATTCCATGGTGTATACGTGCCACATTTTCTTAATTCAGTCTATCATTGTTGGACATTTGGGTTGGTTCCAAGTCTTTGCTATTGTGAATAGTGCCGCAATAAACATACATGTGCATGTGTCTTTATAGCAGCATGATTTATAGTCCTTTGGGTATATACCCAGTAATGGGATGGCTGGGTCAAATGGTATTTCTAGTTCTAGATCCCTGAGGAATTGCCACACTGACTTCCACAATGGTTGAACTAGTTTACAGTCCCACCAACAGTGTAAAAGTGTTCCTATTTCTCCACATCCTCTCCAGCACCTGTTGTTTCCTGACTTTTTAATGATCACCATTCTAACTGGTGTGAGATGATATCTCATTGTGGTTTTGATTTGCATTTCTCTGATGGCCAGTGATGGTGAGCATTTTTTCATGTGTTTTTTGGCTGCATAAATGTCTTCTTTTGAGAAGTGTCTGTTCATGTCCTTTGCCCATTTTTTGATGGGGTTGTTTGTTTTTTTCTTGTAAATTTGTTTGAGTTCATTGTAGATTCTGGATATTAGCCCTTTGTCAGATGAGTAGGTTGTGAAAATTTTCTCCCATTTTGTGGGTTGCCTGTTCACTCTGATGGTAGTTTCTTTTGCTGTGCAGAAGCTCTTTAGTTTAATGAGATCCCATTTGTCAATTTTGGCTTCTGTTGCCATTGCTTTTGGGGTTTAAGCCAAAAGAACAAAGCTGGAGGCATCACACTACCTGACTTCAAACTATACTACAAGGCTACAGTAACCAAAACAGCATGGTATGATACCAAAACAGAGATATAGATCAATGGAACAGAACAGAGCCCTCAGAAATAATGCCGTATATCTACAACTATCTGATCTTTGACAAACCTGAGAAAAACAAGCAATGGGGAAAGGATTCCCTATTTAATAAATGGTGCTGGGAAAACTGGCTAGCCATATGTAGAAAGCTGAAACTGGATCCTTTCCTTACACCTTATACAAAAATCAATTCAAGATGGATTAAAGACTTAAATGTTAGACCTAAAACCATAAAAACCCTAGAAGAAAACCTAGGCGTTACCATTCAGGACATAGGCATGGGCAAGGACTTCATGAATTCTAGTCAAATCTAAAACCCCACCATGATGTTTATTTCCTAGCTGAATGTTTATTTCCTGTGCTTTCGTTTTCATCCAAATGAATCTCTTTTCTTGAGTGTTGCTTTAGCACTTTCTTCCAGTTACAGTGAGATGGATTATTAGGCTCATGTAGGATGACCTATCAAGGACATTAAGCCTGCATTGTGCAAATTATTCTTAGGTACCAGAACTATAAAGAATGCTTTAGAAAAAACTCACAGATTTCATTAATTTTAAGCACAAATTAATTATACTGCAAAATGGAAACCGTGGTCTTTAGAAAACATAATACCTTTTAGTGAATTTGATTTTGAAAATGACAGTTGTGTCTTTAAATAGAAAAATATGTTGAATAACTTTTATAACATAATAATTTCTTTCTGATAAAATTTTTTCTATATAATATGCATTTTATTCCACAGTCTGCAAGCCTAAGAAAATATTATGAATTTTAGGAAATTGGTTTAAATTATCCTTCCTTAACTTAGCCTTAAATACTTTTCATTGGAACATATTTGCAAAAATAAACTTTAATTAATAATAGAGCATTGTTACCAATTAATATCTTTCCTCAGTAATAATGCAAAAATCAAACGCTATTGAATTTGTCAATGCAAAAGTGATTCTACTTGCTTTGTTGAAGATACTTAAATAAAAAATTAATGGTAGCAATATAGTTAATTTTAGCATTAAATTGAACAGCAATTTATACCTTTCACTATTGTAGCAGAATCAAATGTATAAAAAGATAGATTACCAACATAGATTTGCCACCATTGTCTCCAAGTCTAGCAATTGAACTCAATTGAATAATTCTCTTGTAATCAACCACTCCAAACGCATACTAGATTTTTGAAATTTCAGCTTAGCTCGGCATTTAAAACAGGCAATCTAAACATGTTCTCTGTGGATAAGAATAAGCCCTGAAGAGCTACTCTTTAAACTTTATATTTTTCACAGAAACTAGACTTCAAAGATATTCTGAAAACACCATAAAGTTTCAAACTACAGTGCCCGCAAACTTTGCACATGGCTCCCATTGACATCAATCAGAATTCTCTGTGCATGGACTAAGGGCAAAGCATAACCTTTTATATGGTCGACAATATGTTTGAAATGACTACAAAAATGTCTGAAACTTCAAACGCTGTGTTGAATTTACACTTTCAAAGGACACATAGTTTTAAGAATCCAACAAATGCAAAATATGCTGGGTTTTACTAGTTTAATTTCAAATTTCAAAACTTCAGTGGAATTTTCCTTGCAATTTGAAGGTCAAAATTAAATTAACTGAAAACATGAAAAATGTTGACGTAACTTATAGTGGCTTTTGAATATCTTCTTATTCAGTTATTTCTTCTCATGCAAAGTATTGATTTATTAATTAATTGATAATAGTAAAAGCAATTTGACATGTTGTAATTTGAGAAAAACAAACCCATCAGGTAAACTTCAATGGTAATTCCAAACTGTAAAACAAAAGCAAAATAAACAAAAAATCAAATATACAGTATATTTGGATATATTGATAAAATAAATATAACACTTTAAGTAACATTATCACAGTTGTGATTAAGCTTCATGAAGTTTTAATGCTTTTGGATATCTGTGTTATATAGAGATTTATGTTTATTAATAACATGCAATAACCTCATAGATTGAATTTTGTCTTCCAGAAAGAGATTTCTAGTGCTGTATACTTCCCTGGAATTAAGTGGAATTCTTTTTCTGCATCTAAGTAAAATAATTTAAGATATATGTCCAAGAATGAGTTTTTAAACACCTTGCTCATTGTTTCTCACTGTTCTTGGAATGCAACTTTCAATTAATTTATATGGGCCCAATAAAATTTCTGATTTCTAAGAACTACTATTAAAATGCAACTATTTCTTAAAGACATGTAATATTAAGCTGCTGCCAGCACAGTAATATTTAGTAAGTGAATAAAAATATCTGAAACTTATCTTTCTTAAAATGGGAAATAAAGGGACAGAAAAGTTAGAGAAAAGTAGAAAAACAAATGAAGAAGTGAAAATAATAGAGCTCCAAAATGAATTTTAACTGGTTTACTATTTATTTCCCTAACTTTATTCATCATGTTAAAGTTTGACCCTACACTATTAACATGGGATCTCTTGTTCTTTATAGTTTTCTAACTGAGAAAACAGATTGCATTTTCAGTCAGGCTGGATTTCATGAACAATTGAACGTGTCACCACAACACAGGACTCAGGAAACAGGCTAAATAGTAAAATCTGGAGGACAGTTAAACTCAATAGAAAGGCTTATTAGAAATGCTTGGTTTTCTAAAGAAAGAAGTATTTAAATGAAGAATTCAGATAAACTGTCTTTATTTAAATACTACTTTATTTAAAGTATTAAAGAAGTATTTAAATAAAGAGTTACTCCAGGAGTTTGAGAATAAAATAACACAAAAAGCATCATCATGGGGGCCATAGGAAACTATTTAACATTAAGTATGGTACAATCATCATAATTTGGAAAGGTTCCTGGTCCCAGGCAGAGAGAAAAAGCAGCTTCCTGGAATACCTGTTATGCAAGGTTAACCTTGTTAGAATCTGAAGTTGGGGAGGTAAGGGGAGAGAGGCTCAGTAGCTAGGTCAGCTGGAGATTTGGGGGAAGATTGATGAAGCAGCTATTTGCCAACTGGACTGAAGTGTTTCACATTTTTACAAACTTGTTTCATCTTTATTGTGTGCTATGGTGAATATCAGGCTCCATCGCATATTTAACAATTTCACTTGATCTAAGTTTTCTACCTACAATCCAAACATGATCAAAGAGATTTCCTATTCTTACACATCTGTTCTCACAATACAACTCAGGTCAGCAGTATGTTATCTCATATTAGTTAGAAGATTCTCTACTACTAATTCACAATTTTGTTTTTAGTGTCAAGACACAATGTCATAGGAATTTCCACCTTTGGCTAAGATAAGAAGGAGGCCACCCAATTTACTTTCCCAGATGGAAAACAAAAACAAAATAAACTGAGAAAATACATAAAATAATAGTTTTGGACATTTAAACAACAGGTGCGATATTTGAGAGGTAGAAATGAACAAGTTGAACCCTAAATTATTTCATTTAACCACCTGGAAAGGGTTTCCACTTTGTAGTTCATGGAGGGGGAAAATCAGGCAGACCCCAGATAAGCCCTGAACTGTGAAGGCAGAGCTGAGAGTTAGGCAATCCTACTCACCAAGAGTTCCAAAGACAGAATAGTAGAGAGGAAAGACCTGTACGGCTAAAAAACTCAAGAAGACCACAGAGTTTTCCTTTAGTGTTCAGTAGAGTACTGATTGGCACATGTGCTTAAAGAAAATACCAGAGGAAAGAAGCAGGTGAAAAGAGGAGAAAAAACAGGATCAGATGCTCATATATGGATGGAAATATCCTATTTACATCAACCAGCTGAAAAACACTGTAATTCACAGAGTATGGTTACAGTACTCGGAAGGTTCTTGCCTCAGGTATTTGTAATAACATGCTACAGATTAAACACTTCCCTGTTTATACCTAACAAATCTTAAAGGCAAAGCCCCAAAGGATTAAACTATTCCCAAATAAATTAATTGTATCCATGAATAAAATTTAATATGTATGGAAATACAAATATATTGGGCAAGTAACAAGGCAAAATTCACAAGCTCTGACATCTAAGAAACACTATCTGGACAATCAAAGAAGGAAAATATAGAGAAAAATAATCCAGTTGAAACCAAACTGCATATGACACAGATGCTAGAATTAGAATACAACTACATGAATTACATTATTATAATTTTAGTGCATAGTTTCAAAAATCCAGATAAATGGTTAAACACATTAAATAAATGGAGAATTTTTTTTTAAATGGGAGCTTCCCTGCACAAGCTCTCTTCTCTTGTCTACTGCCATGTGAGACATGCCTTTCACCTTCCGCCATGATTGTAAAGCCTCCCAAGCCACTGGGAACTGTAAGTCCATTAAACCTCTTTTTTTTGTAAATTGCCCAGTTTTGGGTATGTCTTTATCAGCAGTGTGAAAACGAACTAATACAGTGAATTAGTACAAGTAGAGTGGGGTGCTGCTGAAAAGATACCTGAAAATGTGGAAGCAACTTTGGAACTGGGTAACAGGTAGAGTTTGGAACAGTTTGGAGGGCTCAGAAGAAGAAGGAAAATGAGGGGAAGTTTGGAACTCTCTAGAGACTTGTTGAATGGCTTTGATAAAAATGCTGATAATGAAATGGACAATGAAGTTCAGGCTGAAGTGGTCTCAGATGGAGATGAGGAACTTGTTGGGAACTAGAGCAAAGGTGACTCTTGTTGTATTTTAGCAAAGAGACTGGCAGCATTTTGCCCTGCTCTGGAGATTTGTGGAACTTTGAACTTGAGAGAGATGATTTAGGGTTTCTGGTGGAAGGCTTGGGTGCTGTTAAACGCATTCAGTTTTAAAAGGGAAACAGAGCATGAAAGTTCAGAAAATTTGCAATCTGACAATGCAATAGAAAAGAAAATATCATTTTCTGAGGAGAAATACAAGCCAGCTGCAGAAATTTGCATCAGTAAGGAGGAGCCAAATGTTAGTCACTAAGACAATGGGGGAAATGTCTCCAGGGCACATCAGAGACCTTTGTGGCAGCCCCTCCCATCACAGGCCCAGAGGTTTAGGAGAAAAAAGTGGTTTTATGGGCCAGGCCCAGGGTCCCTGTGATGTGTGCAGTCTAGGGACTTAGTGCCCTGCGTCCCAGCCACTCCAGAAACCCCAAAACCAATGAAAGAATTCCATCCTTAATATTCCATTTCTCTAGAACAAATCCTGATCACAAGGTCCCACAATAGGCCATCTGCAAGCTGAAGAGCAAGGAAGCCAGTCCGAGTCCCAACACTAAAGAACTTGGAGTCTGATGTTCGAGGGCAGGAAGCATCCAGCATGGGAGAAAGATGTAGGCTGGGAGGCTAGGCCAGTCTAGCCTTTTCATGTTTTCTTCCCTCTTTATATTCAGGCCTCACCGTCAGTTGATTAGATGGTGCCCACCCAGATTATGGTGAGTCTGCCTTTCCTGGCCCACTGAATCAAATGTTAACCTCTTTTGGCAACACCCTCACAGACACACCAAGGATCAATTTTCATCCTTTTCATCCTTCAGTCCAATAAATTTGACACTCATTATTAACCATCACCAGAAATGAAAAGGAACCCCTTAAAATGACAGAAAATGAAACTAGATGGAAATATTAAAGGAAAAAAATGAATTAAGAGTAATAACATGGTAACAGTTGGTAACTATGTAAGATTATTTCTTATTATTTGAATATTAAAAAGAACAACTGACATTTTAAACAAAACATATACCAATGTAGTCTGAACTTTATAATATAGGAAAAATAAAATGTGTATAAACAAATTTTTATAGCACAGAGCCTGATAAGAGGTAAACAGAAGCATACTATTTTAAGAGTCTTATGCTATATTTTAAGAGGTAACATAGGCCAGGCATGGTGGCTCACGCCTATAATCCCAGAACTTTGAGAGGCCAAGGTGGGCAGATCACCTGAGATCAGGAGTTTGAGACCAGCCTGGCCAACATGGTGAAACTCCATCTCTACTAAAAATACAAAAACTAGCTGGGTGTGGTGGCACACGCCTGTAAGCCCAGCTACTCAGGAGGCTAAGGCAGGAGAATCACTTGAACCCACAAGGTGAAAGTTTCAGTGACCCAAGATCGTGCCACTGCACTCCAGCCTGGGCAACCCAGGGATACTCTGTCTCAAAAAAAAAAAAAAGTGGCAACATATTAAATGAGAGTTGACTATTTTTTTTTGAAACAGAGTTTCACTCTTGTTGCCCAGGCTGGAGTGCAATGGTGCGATCTCGGCTCACTGCCACCTCCACCTCCCAGGTTCAAGTGATTCTTCTGCCTCAGCCTCCCGAATAGCTGGGATTACAGGCATGCACCACCATGCCCAGCTAATTTTGTATTTTTATTGGAGACAGGGTTTCTCTATGTTGGTCAGGCTGGTCTTGAACTCCTGACCTCAGGTGATCCACCCACCGTGGCCTCCCAAGTGCGATGACAGCCATGAGTCACGATACACAGCCGAGAGTTAAGTTTTATAAGTAATGATGTTTGTTATAAACCGTAAAGCAACAACTAAAATAACAGAAGTAAGGGTTAAAGTAATAGGCCAGTAACAGGGATAAAATAGAATCTGAAACAAATACTCAAGTAAGCCGAAAAAAAAAAAAAAGTACAGTGGAAAAAGGTAAAAGGAAAGAAAGAACATAAGGAATCACTTTAAAATAAGTATCAAGATGATAGATTTCAAACACTATACCAATAATCATATTAAATATATGTGCTCTAAACATGACAATTAAATTGCCAGATTGAAAGATCAAATAAGAAAATAATAACTTAATGCTTCCTACAAAAACTCAATTTAAATATAAAACCAAAATAGATTAAAAACAATAGCATAGGAAATGTTACCATGATAAAACTAATCAAAAGAATGCTGCATATATTAATATCAGATAAATAGATTTCAGAAAATATCTTAGTACTAATGATAAGGAAAACCCTTCCATATTGATCAAGGAGTCAGTTCTTCAAGAAGACATAATTACTCTAAATATGTACTACCTAATAACAGAATTTCAGAAATACATAAATTAAAACTGTTTGTGCTTCAAGGAGAAATTTCCAAATCAAAAATTGCAATTGTAAATTACAATACAATCTATCTGAAATTAACTAAAAAACTATATATAAACAAGCAAGAACTTTTTAAGAAGTCTATCAACCAGTTTGAGGAAAGTATTTTAAAGGCTCATGAGAAAAATCTGGGGGCTGATGGATATGGTGACTTTCTTGAATATGGTGTTGGTTTCCCACATGTACACTTTTGAGACAGAGTCTTGCTCTATGGCCCAGGCTGGAGTGTAGTGGCACAATCTTGGTTCACTGCAACCTCTGCCTCCCAGGTTCAAGTGACTCTTGTGCCTCAGCCTCCCAAGTGCCTGGGATTGCAGATGCACACCACTGAAGCAGGATATTTCTCTGACCCCTTCACAGGACTCGAGATGGGGTGCCTAGCTTAGCCAGCTTATTCGGGGGAGGGAGACTATGAGCGAATGAAGCGGGAACCAGAGTGCACAAACACTGAAACTAGCTGGCAGCTTCAGTGCTGGCAGGGGTGAACGCCACTCACTCAGACCCGCTGTGTTCCACCCTTCGTGTCGGGGAGCATGCAGGTGAGTGGGTGCGGGAGCCAGGGTGAGCACTTTTAGGTGCTGGCAGGAACAAACTCTATGCAGGCCCCACGGCAGCATCTGGGGTGGTGCCTGTGACCCCTGAAGTCCCAGAGGGAGTGTTACACTGCTTTTAGCTCTGCTCTCTGCAGATGGCTTACATGTTAACAGATCAGTAAGCCCTCTGCCTTTTCACGTGAGGCGGCTGCCTTCCACCAGCGAGGGCAAAGAGAAAGCGTGACAGTCTTTTCTATCCACATTGTGGCACCCGAGCTCTTGTCTGGCATCCAGGAGAAATAAAGGATAGTAAACACAGGGAATTTGTGTTGCTGATGAAAGTGGCTGTCAGTGGGAAGGAGAGCTGAAAAAGGGATAAGGCAGAAAAATAGCCTTCCACTGAACTCCAGCCATCTCCTGATGGATTCTTCTCAAAAGTTATACCTTCAGGCTGTCCCTCTGAAGCCAAGCTGCTTTTCTCCAACATCCAGTCATAGTCCAGCTGTTTTTTTCTCTCTCTACCAGCTAATCCTGGGGTTTTTATAGGCAAAGGATGGGCAGTGTGGTTTTGGAAGCGTCAACATTCGAGCAGGAAAACAGGGATGTAAGTTCTCACTTTGGGCTGCAGTCTCAGGCTTTTTGGCTTGAAGTGGGGCTTTTTCAGGCACCTGCCCTTTTCTGTCTAGAATTTCTGTGCCTCCTGCCTGGATCATGGTATCACCACCACACCTGGATGATTTTTATATTTTCAGTATAGATGGGTTTTGCCATGTTGGCCAGGCTGGTCTTGAGCTCCTGACCTCAAGCAATCCTCCTGCTTTGGCCTCCCAAAGTGCTGCGATTACAGACATGAGCCACCATGCTCAGACAATATATCTTTATTTAGATAGTTAATTATGTCTTCTGTATAGGTCTTCTTTGTTGGATATATGTCTTATGATTGGACTTCTAGTCAATGTCCTTCAGTCTCTTAGTGGTGACTTTTGATAGACATAACCTCTTAAATGTAATAAAACCAATTAACCAACATATAATTAATCAATTCATTTTTGTGTTTATATTTCTTAAAGGCAATGTTATATAAAATATGCAGATATTGTATGACTAAACACATTCTAATGCTATCAATTACATGATTGTTGCTAGCTTAATTACAGAGGTCTTACTTTCCTGCAAGTACATATTTCAAACACAGATATCCTATACCATTGTCTATATAAGTTCTACATAGTAGTAAACCCTGTAATAGTATTTTTACTTTATATTTAATGATAATGTAATCTATATGTTTACAGGGAATTTTTAAGACTATAGTCCACTATGACTGTAATCGTTCTTTATAGCCTCCATCTATTGTGATTATTAGTGGCCCAGGTCATACCAATTAATATATATTGTAATTGTCACTCTTACACACAGGAATGTGATCATGCAATGACAAATACATAAAATGGTGAGTGAACTGCATTCCATAAATAGTAAGAATTACAACCACTAGACTACCTAAAAGTCCTTCAGAGACATCCCTGTGATATCTACTTCTGATTTATTTTCAACCTCAGATACACAGTGTTAATTTTATCGTAACCCTCAACTGATGACATTATATCTTCATTCTTTATGGTACTGGGAGTGGGAGAGATCCTGTGTATTCCCATCTACACTGGACTATTTCAGTTATCTTCTACTTGTTCTTCCTGCTTCCATTCTCATTTGCCTAAACTCAGTATTTACAAAGAGCCAGAGTTAGCTATTTAAAATGTAATCAGAGTACATTATTCAGCTGCTTAAGATGCTCTAATTATTTCTCATTACACTTAGAATGAAATTCAAACCTTTTTATATAACCTGAAGGTCTTTGCACAACTTGTCTATACATATATCTTGAATTTAACCTGGTTCTTTTTATTATAGCTTTGTACAAGCCCCAGCCAAACCATTGTTTGTTAGTTCCTAGAGCATATGGGCCCTGTCCAGTTTCATTTCAATTGCTGATGCCGACTTCTGTATTCCAAGCACTATTTCCTCAAATTCCGTGTCTATCACATTTTCATTTCTACATGACATGTGAAATCCCACATCCTCAGAAGTATTTCTTGACCACCCAAACAGACAACTGTATTTTCTTTCCTACAAGAACATTTTTGATAAACAGTGATAACATTGTATTTGCTTACTTGTTTTCTCTTTTTGCACTGGGATGACATTATTAAGAACATGAATCCTGTTTGTAACCAGCTCTCTGAAGAATTATTGATATGTAGTAAGTATAATAAATATTAATTGAATAAATCAAATAAATAATAATCTGAGACAAGGTAGCATATTTAAAATCATAAGGGATGTATTGTCAATGATATAACCAAGGCTGGGCATGGTGGCTCATGCCTGTAATCTCAGCACTCTGGGAGGCCAAGGAAAGCAGATTGCTTGAGCTCAGGAGTTTGAGACCAGCCTGGGAAACATAGCAAAACCCCGTGTCTACTAAAAATACAAAAAAAAAAAATAGCAGTACATGGTGGTGCGCAACTGTAATCCCAGCTACTCAGATGGCTGAGGTGGGAGAATCACCTGCGCCTGTAATATGGAGGTTGCAGTGAGCCGAGATCACTCCACTGCACGCCAGTCGAGGAGACAGACTGAGACCCCACCTCAAAAACAAATAAACAAGAAAGAGATAAAACTAGACACTACTTAAAGTGGTAATGATAGATTTTATTCAATAACTACACCAATATGGAAGAGGGTTCAGCATGAACTGAAATCAACTTGGATTTGTGCAGAAGCAACCAGGTATTTTCAAGGGAGAATGAGAAAATAGAGAGGGGGAAAGGCAGGGGCTTAGCGGAGTGGAATTTCACAAAAAGCAGAAAGAAGGACTGAACAACATGATTAGGTCACCTGGGTTCGCTAACTGGCATTTACCAAAGTTAGGGACCAATCCTCTGACAGAGACTGGGAAACAGTGGGACCCTATCTTCAAGTTTTGACTGGAACAAACAGTAAATTATTTTGGCAACCCTGAAATTTCCCAGGAAGGAACTTAAAGGGGCTGCAATCTTTGTCTTAGGTATACGGCCTTGAGATGTTAGAAATTATGCTGGTGTTTAAGACTCTCAGGGGTGGGAGCTGGTGCAATGGATCATTTATGCTGAGAATCTGTAGTTTTTTACAGGCCAAAGTTAAAAACTAGTTGAGAACTGGGCTGAAAGGATGCCAGCCAGGGTTTAGACTAGGAGAGCTTTTGTCAATATGTACTGCACTCAGTGCACTCAAATATATTGCTACCTTTGTTCTTATTCTTATGCAATCAATTTCAATTTAAAGTTTCTCAAATCTTATCAACGTATATTGCTCCAAAAATTCTAAGACTAGCTACCTTAAGTAAATAACAAATAAGACTGGAGGTTTTCAATATAAAGAGATAATTTTTCTTTTTTTTTTTTGAAGTATCAGTGTTATACTGTGAGATTTATGATTTATTTTTATGGTTGTTTAGTTTGTATATATAAACTGGATTTAAAATATGCTCCTTTGTGTTTTATAGTATTTTCAAGATTGAATAGATTCATAAATGAATGGAAACAAAATGTTTCCAAATAGTGTATTTTGTATTTCAAAATAATCAATCCTATTCAAATATAGTTGCATCTCAAATTATACTAGTTACGACATCCTGGAACATGCATTGTTTTACGTTGTACAGTCTTAGTCTAGATTAACCTAAAGGGAGACCTTGAGACAAGTAGTATTTCTAAGGTAATCCTGGTGAACACGGGTGTGATAGGGAAGTGGGGAAGTGAAACACAAAGAAGAAGAAAGGAGCCAACAAAGGAGGTACTCATGAGCATATCATCTCAAAGGGATACTGGGGCTCAATTCTGCTGAGAACTTTCTGAAATACCAAGAGAACATGCCGTAAAAATGTGGCTTTATTTTCTGAGGATGCTAGAGTATTTATTCACCAAATTTTTTCCCTCATTAATGTAGGGTCACTCTGGGATGATTACCTCTCCGGTACTGCCAGTCCAACCAGCATAGGTGTAAAAAACCTTCCTTGTGGCGAAAGATCCCCTTAGACTGAGATAGAGACATAGAGAATGAGAGAAAGAAAAAGAAAAAAGAAAGAAAGAAAGAATAGAGACATAGAGAATGAGAGAATGAGAGAAAGAAAAAGAAGAAAGAAAGACAGAAAGAAAGAAGAAAGAAAGGAGGGAGGGAGGGAGGAAGGAAGGAAGGAAGGAAGGAAGGAAGGAAGGAAGGAAGGAAGGAAGGAAGGAAGGAAAGAAAGAAAAAGTAATAGTCCATTTATGCATATAGAAAATTTTTTCAGGGGATCTCCATGATTGGGCCAAGTGTATATGGATCTCCTTTAAGCACATAAAATAAGAACTATTCTCAAGAGGCTATATTTCATTCATATTATATACGAGGCACCATTTTCACTATCGAAAATTTTTAATGAGAAACAACAGAGAAAAGATGGCTATGGAATTATTACACTTATGTGATAATTTTAAGACAGGTGAATAAAAATCTAACATCTTATCCTTTCCTTTTATGCTGGCCTCAGTCAAATAAAGAGGCATATATACAAATTAATAATTCATGAAGTAAAAAGCGAATTCTGTAATATTTTGGCATATTCTCCTAAAACAAAAGTTTTACATGCTTACAGATAATAGTGAATTCGAAAAGGAAAATGAAATGTTGAAATGAGTAAATGCAATTAGGTGAAGGTTATTGAAATAAAATCTAACACTGTTGTTACAGTGTTTTACCAGGCAGCAAGAAATAAATAATGCCACTATAAAAATAGATCCATTAACCTTCAAAATATACTAAAATAAATGCTGTCTGTCCAAATGAGTTGAAATAGGAACAAACAAAAGAAATTCAATTTCAATGTGTTTATTGATGTTATAATATCATTGCTGGTTTTGTCCCTGTATGTTTTTATGTATTACATGCTACCTGACAACTATTCTGAGTAGTCTTTATAATAAGGCAATCAGTTGGAAAACTTTGCTTTTGCTTAAGCCAAATTTTAAAAATGGCTTTTTCATGATATTTAGTCATATAATAATGATATTTCCAGGATAATTATGTGAATTACTTACTACAGGTATTGTTCAGTAGTGTAAATACCTAGGTTAATATCTTTTTCAATTTAAAGGAAGCTGTTTATCCATACAATAGATGATTACTTGCTTAACTTTTTCTTCTGCTTCATTGAAGAATCCTTAAAGCACACATTATAGTCATAAATTTGAAAATGCATGGAAAGATTATTTTTTGCTATAAAATATTATCTTAAATTTAGATCTCATTGATAGGCTTCAAAACTAACTCTGCTAATAAAATCTGTACTATAAAGAATAATATTACAGTAAAAATGCAGGTGATTAATTAAAACTATTTTTATAATGCATAATATGAAAATATCTATAAAAACATAAGATTCATAGAAATATTTTTAAAATATGAAAACATGGGAACACATTTCTTATTTCAAAGTGCTGAACTCATGCTTGGTAGATTTTAAAAATTATTTCTGAAACAAATCATGTTATGGGTATCTCTGTATTGTCTTTTAACTTCAGATTAAAAGGCAATACCTTTTATAAGTACTTTTTAAATAAATCTGACTTAGAACTATGAAGTGATATTTGAGACTTTGAGAGTGCACTTTACTTTTAAATAATGACATTTGGTTATAAATTGAAGATTATTTATAATTTCTGACATATAAAATATGTATAGATGGGTTTAAAGAAAGCTTTATTTTTTTTCCTTTTTGATTTAGTTGCCTTTTTTATTTTCTTGTCTCTTTTTCCTGGCTAGGATCTCCAGTACAAAGTTGAATTGAAAAAGTGAAAGTGACCTCCCTTTTCTTGTTCCCCTGTTTTACTGATAACCCTTATTTCTTTCATTATTAAATATATTTTAGTCATTGAGCTATGATAGATTATCTTTACTATGTTGAAGAAGTCTCTTTTATATTAAGTTGTTGTATTAGTCCATTTTCACACAGCTGATA
This sequence comes from Homo sapiens, assembly GCF_000001405.40. Classification (NCBI taxonomy): domain Eukaryota; kingdom Metazoa; phylum Chordata; class Mammalia; order Primates; family Hominidae; genus Homo; species Homo sapiens. Next base: position 22,673,351 of record NC_000021.9, on the reverse strand, counting down.
AAGACATACCCAAGAGTGGGAAGAAAACGAGGTTTAATGAACTTACAATTCCATATGGCTGGGGAGGCCTCACAATCATCAGAGGAGGCAAGGAGGAGCAAGTCACATCTTACATGGAAGGCAACAGGCAAAAAGAGAGGGAGTTGTGCAAGGGAACTCCTCTTTATAAAACCATCAGATCTTGTGAGACTTATTCACTATCACAAGAATAGCACAGGAAAGACCCTCCCCCATGACTCAGTTACCTCCCCCTGGGTCCCTCTCACAACATGTGGGAATGTTGGGAACTACAATTCAAGATAAGATTTGGTGGGGGACACAGCCAAACCATATCATTCTGCCCCTGGCCCCTCCCAAATCTCATGTCCTCACATTTTAAAACCAATCATGCCTTCCCGACAGTCCCCCAAAGTCTTAACTCATTTCAGCATTAACTCAAAAGCCCACAGTCCAAAGTCTGATCTAAGACAAGTCCCTTTCACCTATGAGCCTGTAAAATCCAAAGCAAGCTAGTTACTTCCAAGATACAATGGGGGTACAGATATTGGTTAAATACAGCTGTTCCAAATGGGTGAGATTGGCCAAAACAAAGGGGCTACAGGGCCCATGCATGTCCAAAATCCAGTGGAGCAGTCAAATCTTAAAGCTCCAAAATGATCTCCTTTGACTCCATGTCTCACATCTGGGTCACACTGATGCAAGAGGTGGGTTACCATGGTCTTGGGAAGTTCCAACCCTGTGGCTTTGCAAGGTACAGCCTCTCTCCTGGCTGCTTTCATGGGCTGGCGTTGAGTGTCTGTGGCTTTTCCAGGCTCATGGCACAAACTGTCAGTGGATCTACCATTCTGGGGTCTGGAAGACAGTGGACCTCTTCTTACAGCTCCTTTAGGCGGGTACTCCAGTGAGAACTCTGTATGGGGGTTCTGACCCCACATTTCCCTTTTGCACTGCTCTAGCAGAGGTTCTCCATGAAGGTCATGCCCCTGCAGCAAACTTCTGAATGGGCATCCAGGCATTTCCGTACATCCTCCAAAATCTAGATGGAGGTTCCCAAACCCCAATTTATGACTTCTGCGCACTTGCAGGCTTAACACCACGAAGAAGCTGCTAAGGCTTGGGGCTTGTGTCCTGTGAAGTCATGGCCCAAACTCTACAATGGCCCCTTTCGATCACGGCTGGAGTGGCTGGGATGCAGTGCAGCAAGTCTCTAGACTGCACAAAGCAGAGGAACCCTGGGGCCAGCCCGCAAAACCATTTTTTCCTTCCAGGTCTCTGGGCCTGTGATGGAAGGGGCTGCCGCAAGGGTCTCTGACATGCTCTGGAGACATTTTCCCCGTTGTCTTTGTGATTAACATTTGCCTCCTTGTTGCTTATGCAAATTTCTGCAACCAGCCTGAATTTCTCCTCAGAAAAATGGGATTTTCTTTTCTATCTTATTGTCAGGCTGCGCATTTTCCAAAGTTTTATGCTCTGTTTCCCTTATAAAACTGAATGCCTTTAGCAACACCCAAGTACCTCTTGAATTCTTTGCTGCCAAATTTCTTTTGCCAGATACTATAAATCATCTCTCTCAAGTTCAAAGTTCCACAAGTCTCTAGGGCAAGAGCAAAATGCCACCAGTCTCTTTGACAAAATATAACAAAAGTCGCCCTTGCTCTAATTCCCAACAAGTTCTTCATCTCTGTGTGAGACCACCTTAGCCTGGACCTTACTGTTCATATCACTATCAACATTTTTGTCAAAGCCATTTAACACGTCTCTAGGAATTTCCAAAATTTCCCACATTTTCCTATCTTCTTTTGAGCTCTCCAAACTGTTCCAACCTCTGCCTGTTACCCAGTTCCAAAGTTGCTTCCACAATTTCAGGTATCCTTTCAGCAGCACCCCAGTCAATTAGTACCAATTTACTGTAATATTTCATTTTCACACTGCTGATAAAGACATATCCGAGACAAAATAAAAAGAGGTTTAATGGACTTACAGTTCCACATGGATGGGGAGACCTCACAATTATGGCAGAAGTCAAGGAGGAGCAAGTCACATCTTACATGTATGGTGGCAGGCAAAACAAAAGAGCTTGTGCAGGGGAACTCCTCTTTGTAAAGCCATCAGATCTCGTGAGACTTACTATCACAAGAATAGCATGGAAAAGACCAACACCCATGATTCAGTTACCTACCACCAGGTCCCTCCCACAACATGTGGGGAATGTTGGGAGCTAAAATTCAAGATGAGGTTTGAGGGAGGACAAAGCCAAACCATATCAGTCATGAAAACATTTTATGAAGAATGAGTATTGGATTTTGAGAAATGCTTTGTCTAAATTTAATCAGATAATTTCTTTTGTTTTTCCCCCCCTTTTTGTTAAGTCAATGAATTGCATGGATTGACTTTCTAATCAGCCTTGCACTCCTTGGATAAATTCTTCCTGATCATGTTGGGAAATGATCCAGAAAATGATATTCTGAAATTCTGAAATATGGTGCTTTGATATGCTGAACTAAAAAAGCAGCCTGATAGTCTCTCTGACCCACTTCAATTCCCTCCTGTCTCTCAATTTTCTGTATCTGTTCTCAGAAATTTCCTTATCTACCTCAAAAGCGGATCTCCAAAGAGCAACACAGTTACCTTCCATCCCCTCCCTAAAATTTCATTAATCAGAGATTAAAACTCACTTCACAGAGAAAGACTGAAAATTAAACACCATATCTAGAGCCCAAATAAACTTCAAACTTTGTTTCAAGCCATTGTTTGTTTCCTCAGTCCATTCAATTTCTGAAGAGAATCTCCCAAAATCATTTACTCTGACATTCTCGTCTTTCTTTCCCCTATGAAAATGGGTATATAAACTTCTAGACTTCACTGAGTTCTTGGGTAATCCTCATGATATTCCCCCATTCTTATGAATATTAAATAAATCTTTATGCCTTCTCTCCTATTAGATTTTCTATTGTCAGTTCATTTCCAGTGAGCCTGTAGAAAAGGGTGGTGGGAAAGCTTTCCCTTGGATGATGCAATCATGATGCATTATTATTTTTACATTGCTGAATCCCATTTGCTAAATCATTGTTTAGAATTTCTTAATTTATTTTCAAAAGTAATATTAATCTTCTTTTTTTCTGTTGCTTTTTGTAATCTGGTTGTTAATTTTAGTGTTAGAATAATACTGGGCTCATAAATGAGTTGGAAGTCTTTTTTTTTAATTTTCTGGAGGAGTTTGTGTAGAATTGGCGTCATTTCTACCTTAAATGTTTTGGAAAATTCACTGCACTTGTGCAGACATTTGGGCTCAGAGGTTTCCATGTGAGAAGGATTTTAACTAGAAATTTAATATATTTAATAGATAGAAGGCTATTCATGTTACATAGGAATTTCTTGTTCTTGAGGTAGTTTCTCTAGTTTGTGTTAAGAAATTTGTTTCTTTTATATAAACTGTCAAATTCATTGGCATAAAGTTATTTATAATATTCCATTTTTATCCTTTTGATATCTGTATTATCTAAAATGAAATCATTCCTCTCATTTCTGATACTGGCCATTTTCACACGCTGTCAATTTTTTTTCTTTTTCTATTTTTTATTTTCTCACTGATCAAACAGTCTAGCTGGAGGTTTATCAACTTTGGTGATATTTTCAAAGCATCAGCTTTTGGTGTCATTCATTTTACCTATTGCTTTTCTGTTTACTATTACATTGATTTCTACTCTGATCTTTATTACTTCTTTTCTTTTACTTACTTTGTGTTTAATATGCTATTTTTTACCAGGAGCTCTGCTAAAGATGGAACGAACTGAGCTTTAAGGTGTAAGACCAGCCACCAATGAAACCAAGCCAAAACGAACGTTTTAACCAAGTATGTATTCCTTTACTCATTCTGTATAAACAACAGGATAAACTGGAGAAAGCCCTGCTCCACACTGTTTCATTTTCCCCACTTGAAACGCACCCACTGGTGGAGGGTCAGGTGGATGAGTACACATGTGGAGTTCATTTCGCGGCTGAGGCACCCCCAAATGAAAGTCTCTTGCAGTTTTGCGGACCTGTGGGTGAAGGAGGAGAGGAGGAAGTTTTACGGGTGGAGGAGTACTGAGTCAGAGTGAAGAAAACTATCTTCCTAGTTTTCCACTTCTTCCCTTATAAACAAATTTCCTGCAGGGGTACCTGAGGAAGGCCTCACCGTAAGGCCATAAATAAAGAGATCTCCAAATTAAGGCATCTAGGCTAGGAATACAGACATGCTTAAGAGTATACTTGGCCAAGGGACCTGAGTCCTTGACTGCAACTCCCTTCAGAGACTGCATTGCACTGGCTGTGCACCAAGTCAGGTGTGAGGTGGGCAGCTTCTTCCTGTGAGACCCTCCAGGTAAAGCCTTTAGAATTACCTACAGCCAGGCCTGAAAAAAATCACATAGATTTTTAACAAAGACCTGAACTCTTTAATTTTCTGTGTTTTTTTGGCCCCTTAGCTCGCTCTTTTTTCTTTTCTTTTCCTTTCTTTTCCTTTCTTTTGTCTCTCTTTCTCTCTGTCTCTCTCTTTTCTTTCTCTTTCTTTCTTTCTCTTTCTTTCTTTCATTCTTTTGCTCTCTTTCTCTCTCGCTTTCTTGCTTTCTTTTCTTCTGTAGAAACTGAGTCATTCTTTCCAATATGTGTATCCAAGGCTATGAATTTCCTCAAAATTACTGCTTAAGTGGCATCCCACAAATTTCAATATACTGTGTTTACATTTTTATTTAGTACATAATACTCTATTATTTTCCTTTTGATTTCTTCTTTGTTTTTGTTTGTTTGTTTTTAGAGACAGCTCTCACTCTGTCGCCCAGATGGAGTACAACGTTGTTGTTGTTGTTGTTTTTGAGATGGAGTCTCACTCTGTCGCCCAGGCTAGAGTGCAGTGGCGCGATCTCGGCTCACTGCAAGCTCCACCTCCCAGGTTCAAGCGATTCTCCTGCCTCAGCCTCCCGAGTAGCTGGGATTACAGGTGCCCGCCACCATGCCCGGCTAATTTTTTTTTTTTTTTTTTTTTTTTTTTTGCGGTAGAGGCAGGTTTCACCGTCTTAGCCAAGACGGTCTCGATCTCCTGACCTCATGATCCGCCTGCCTCGGGCTCCTAAAGTGCTGGGATTACAGGCATGAGCCACCGTGCTCAGCTGATTTCTTCTTTGAACAGAGATATTTCTTGTATGGATTTCTGGTTTATTTCTATCTTTTTTTTTTTTTTTTTTTTTGAGACGGAGTCTTGCAACTTTCACCCAGGCTGGAGGGCAGTGGCGTGATCTCGGCCCACTGCAAGCTCCGCCTCCTGGGTTCAAGCCATTCTCCTGCCTCAGCCTCCTGAGTAGCTGGGACTACAGGTGCCCGCCACCACGCCTGGCTAATTTTTTTGGTACTTTTAGTAGAGACGGGGTTTCACCATGTTAGCCAGGATGGTCTCGATCTCCTGACCTCGTGATCCGCCCACCTCGGCCTCCCAGAGTGCTGGGATTACAGGCGTTGAGCCACCGTGCCAGGCCGGATTTCTGGTTTATTTCTATATGGACAGATAATATAATTTGAATGACTTGACTCATCTTAAATTTATGAGACTTATTATGGCCCAGAACAACCTAGCTTGGTAAATGTTCTGTAATCACTTAAAACAAATTTGTAGTCTACTGTTGTTAGTGGCATGTGCTATAAGATTCTCAGTAAGGTCTAGCTGGTTGATTAATTTTGCTCACATTTTATATACGCTGACTGATTTTGGTCTACTCGTACTATCAATTATTGAAGGAATGCATTAAAATCTCCAACTTGTTTGTGATTTTGTCTACTTCTCTGGGCAGTTTTATCAGGTTTTGTTTCTTGTATTAAAAAGCTCTGTTATTAGAGGTATACACATTTAGAGTTGTTAATTACTCATAATATGACTGCTTTTATGATGCAATTTTAAATTTAGAATCTCTTTAATTTGATTGTCTCATTTCAAATGTGTTTAAATAATATTTTAAAATATCTAAAGAATGCAAAGCTGAAGGGTATTGAATGCTTGAATGCTTTTTTCGGGGGAGGGATCTAAAACACAATTTGTCCTTTGATTTGAACATTTTTTTCTTCTCAATCTTAAGAAAATGCTGTAATAGTAGATAATTGAAAGCATATTTATTTCTATTACTTTAATGGTCTGTTTTGTGTTGGATTATCTTTGACTTATTTTTTAATTTTATTTAACTGTAATTGCTTTTATTTAACTGTAACTGTAATTTTATTTAACTGTAATTCAAATTTCTTTGAATTTCTTATTGTTTTAATTGTGATAAACACGATTCTTTTTCTCTAGTTCTGTTTTGATATTTAGTAGTGTTTACACTCTTTATCAAATTTATCTTCAAATTCATTAATTACTTCTCTAAATGGTGTTTGGTTTTAAAATTTATTTCCTTAGTTCTACAGTTTCCCTTTAATCTAATTATTCTGTGTATTATTTTCACCTTAAAACTTTTTTACTATATTGCAGTTATTTCATTATTTTTCAAAAATTAAGACCACATTAAAAATGTCCTTCTTTTGAGTCTTTTTCCTTAAAGTTTAATTTTTTTAAAACTTTTTATTTATTTATTTTTTTGAGACAGAGTCTCACTCTGTTGCCCTGCCTGGAGGGAAGAGGCACGATCTCGGCTCACTGCAACCTCCGCCTCCCAGGTTCAAGTGATTCTCCTGTCTCAACATCCCTAGTAGCTGTGATTACAGGCACATGCCACCACGCTCGGCTAATTTCCTTCTGCATTTTTAGTAGAGGCGGGGTTTCGCCATGTTGGCCAGGCTGGTCTTAAACTTCTGACTTCAGCTGATCCACCTGCCTGGGCCTCCCAAAGTGCTGGGATTACAGCATTATAATATTTTAAACATTATAATATTCTTTTTCACCTTTTCCTTTATACTTCCTTCATAGATTATGGTTATTTGCAGATGTTTTATCTAAGAATGATTTGTTTTCTCTTCTAGTTAATATTTGAGAGTTGAGTGTTTTTGCTATGTATTTTTTTTTTGGTAAACTGATCTAAAATATTGATAAATGAAGCACAAAAACCTGTAATAAAGTACTATACAATTTTGTTTGTTGGAAAAATCAGTCTTTGCTCCCTTCTGAAATATGATCACGTTTTTATAATAAACTAGTAAGGTGATAGCCAGATATTCAGATATTTTTCTTGAATTCATTGAATGTTTATTGATCCTTTACACATATTTTTTGGAATCTGATGTGCTGTTTATTTTTTAATTCACTAGTTTCTTCCTAGAAACTATTTCCATTATTTCTTAATCTGAAAAAGGAAATAATAGATACCCTCTCTGTTTTATTGTCACGAAATCTGTGGTCATTACCGAGTATTCTCAGGATCTTGCTGATCTGCCAGTCCTGCTTTCTGGGATACACAGTAGTTGGATGTGAGACCTCTTTTTTTCCGTGTTCCTCCTTTCTGAGTCATCTACTCCCTGTTTATTTATTTATCTGAATGTTCAAAGAATATTGTATAAAATGATGCCCCTTCATTTGTTTATTTGCTGGTGGTTTTGTCACTGCTTCATTATTAATTCACTCACAATTTTTGATATCAAAAAAATGCTTTGTTACAATTTGATTCTGTTAATTTGAATTCCTCAAATGCAATTGTATATATTTTGGTTTGTTTTATTATTTAATATTCATTCTGACATTATTTATTATTATTTAGCAAATACAAATTTTTGTTATGCCAGAGACATCTTTGGATATTCATAAATTCAAGAATAAAGTCTATAAATTATGACAAAAGAAATTTTTTTTCTATTCTTAATATTTAATGCACATAAAGGTTTACCTTCCAAAATAATACATCACTATTTTTTTACTCATCCAGCACACATACAATATTATTTGGTTTGACTTCTTAAAGGAAAGGAAATAATTTGCAAAACACAATCTTTAATGATTATTTTTAATGTCACCATAGCTCAAATATACATTCACAAGAGAATCTAAACCCAGACTATATATGTGAGGTTTTGATCAACACAGCATGATTTGTGTATCTTTTTTCTCTATACATTTAAGATTTACAACATGATATTTTGATATGCATATACACCATGAGGCAATTACTACAGTCAAGCAAATTAACATAGTCAATATTTCCTGTAGTTACCTTTCTTATTTTTTTATGGCAAGAATATCTAAAATCTATTCTCTTGGCAAATTTCCATTATACAATACAACATTATTAGCTATAGGTTTCATGCAGTGCACTAAATCTAAATACTTATTCACCCAACGTAACTACAACTTTAAATCATTTGACCTGCATCTCCCATCCTCCCCTGTCTCACATCCCAGCCCATTACTCTTGCCTCTGGTAGCCACACTCGTACTATTTCTATGGATCAATTTGTTTTAGATTCCCCGTATTATCTTTTGTCCTAATGTATACAATTTAGACGAAGTAATTATATTTCAGCAAAATAAAATTATCTTTCGCTTTCTCAGATATGCAATTTACCAAGTACAAAAATTTTCATATTAATGCATTATTGTTTTACATGGAAAAAATAAGGAACTTTTCATAGATGGTTGAGAAAAGAATAACCTGGGGGGAGATAATGTTGTTCTAGCCATATGGCTTGTGACTGTTATGTTCTCCAATGGGCATTGAGATATGCCCACATTGGAGTGTGAGGCTGTCGACAGCTGGTTGCCTGTTTTCTATGGCAGCCATGTGTAATTCCTCCTGCTTCTGAAATCTCAGCTCTAGAGACATTAGTCTAACCCCAAGGAAGAGCTCAGCTGGTAGAAGTCAAAGTTTTCCTCCACTTTTGCACCTAAGAGAGTAAAGTACTAATATATTTCTGGATCCTAGAGAGAGTCACAATGATTGAAATTCACCCTTGATATTTACTCTCTAACTTAAACATAAAAGAACTCACTAAATTGTAGAAAAGGCAATGCAGTATTTAAAAAGTAGGAAATTTTAAACTGAAGTTTTGAAAGTTCAAGTTAAGAGAATATAGCAATTCTTACAAACAGAAAGAAATTATTTTTGGGAAAAAATCAACAAAAGAGATACAAACCCAATCAAAATAATCTAATAAATTAAATCACATGGAACTAATCAGTTGCAAAACATAATATTAAATAAAATTAAGTTAATTTAGTCACCATGTTAGTTTGTAATTAACCAGATTTAGTTTTTGTGTATGGAGTGAGGTAGGGATCCATATATTTTTGGAACTGTATAACTATTAAAGCACTGTTTTCCTCTCATCTGCAATGTCAACCTGGATACACAGAAACACACACACACATTTCATATATATTGATCAGTTTCATATCTGGCATCATTTTATAATCAATTGATTTGTTTTTATTTATCTAAGCCTTCTGATACTACATTTGTTAGCTGGTAGGCAAAAGATTAATGCTTACTTTGTTTCTTCAGAAACATTTATACTATCTGTTATTGTGTTATCTCAAGAAGAATTCACTTAAGTGAACTTAATATTTTATAAATGTTTTGATTGACAAATATGGATCAATTTTGAATACATTGGAAATTTTTAAAATATTGATTCATTTTATCCAAAACAGTATATTTTCATTTTCTTCATATATTGTAGACTTCTTTTATGTATTCTATATTTTTAAATTGCTATCTTGAATTCTAATATTATTAAATTATATCTTTCAACATCTTGTTACCAATGTGAAGAAAATTTGTTGACTTTTACATTGAATGTGTTTTCTATATGTGATTTTATGTGTTTAATTCAATCCATGGCTTAATCATCTTATAAATTCTGTTCCTTTACTAGTAGATAGGATATTAAACTGTATACAGGCAATTATTATCTTAAAGTAATCATTTCAAGTATACATGTACTTAGGTTTTTAGTATAAAGTAGAATAATTAAGGATACTCTGTGTTTTTTCTTTTGTGGACAATGACAAATGTTTAAATATTTCACAATGAAGAATAATTTATAACAGTCTTTATAAAACTTTTATCAGATAAAAGATGCTTCCCTTCATTTGTAATATACAAATGACTTTTTCAATAATATATGTTAGACAATATGAAATACATTTAGAATTTCTACTTATATGTTTCATTTTTAATAAAATTACATATTTGTATATTTAATTATATATTTAATCTCTTAATGTGAGTGAGATTTTTAATATTATAAAACAACTTTGTATTCAAGGGACAAACCAATTTGTTCTGATGTGTTATTCTCTTTATAAGTTGTTGAGTTCATTTTTATGATATTTTATTTAGAATCATTTAATGTGCCTTAATGAAGTGTTGGATTGTAATTTTCTTGTCTAGTTTTTGTAAGAAAGTTCTGTTCAATTTATAAGTTGGTATGGTGATAGTCACACTTCTAAATTAGCCTGTTATTACATTTATATGTTACATATATAAAAAGTAAAATTAAATTGTTATTATTACTCCTTGAATGTTTGATAGTACTTTAACATTAATCTGGCCTTGATAAGTGTTTTGTTCATGAATGTTTTCAAAAGTTTTTTTATATTTTTTACAGACTTAAATTATTTAATAAATAAGTCTATTGACATTATTATTTTTTCCTAATCTTTTCTGACTTCAGTTTTGCTAGTGGTACAATTTTTCATAACTTCTCAAAGTTACTGTTATAATTTTAGATGAACACTCTCAATGTTTGTTTAATTACTGCAACTGCAGTAGATCAATATTTATATTGTTTCCTAATATATATTGCTGTGGTTTGCATGTCCCCACCAAAACTCATGCTAGAACCTTAATTCCCAGTGCAGCAATGTTAGTAGCTGGAAACTTTTGGGAGTAGGGCCTAATAGGAGGCATTTGTGTCATGGGAGCTCCATCCTGGTGAGTGGCTTGATGACATTCTTTCAGTAGTGAGTTCTCGTTCTTGTGTGACTGGATTAGCTACCACAAGAGTGAGTTGTGATAAAGCAAAGTTTCCCTTTGTGTTTGCTGTCTTTGCACACATCCACTTCCCCTTCTGCTTCTGCATCATGTGATGCAGCATGGGGCCCTCACTATAACCCAAGCAGATACCTAAGTCATGCTCTTGGACTTTCCAGTCTACCCATCTAATTACACCTGTACAAGTCCCTGACATTTGCTGAATTCTGTAAGTTTCAGTTTCCACCAGAATTCAAGATGGGATTTACAAGGCTTAAAATGGTACCCAACTCCTTAACATTTGCAAACTTTCCAGTATCTTCTATTAATTGCTTTTAAGTGCAATGGTGCTACACTCTGAAAATGTGTTTTGCATGATTTCAATTCTTTTAATATTGGACTTTGTTTTAGGAACCAGAATATGGCATCACAAAAATGGTGCATGTGATTAGAAAGTAATACTCTGTTGTTGTTGGAGTGAGAGAGTGTTCTATAAATGGCAATAAGATCAATGTATTGATAGTGTTGTCCAGTAGTTCTCTAACATTACTAATTTTCTGTGTCTGCCCTATAAATTGAGAGATTAGTCTGCCCTATAAATTGAGAGATTAAAATATCCAAATATTTCAAAATTAAAGTATCTCTTCTGTTTTGAGCCTTCTCAATTATTGCTTCTTGCATTTTGAAGCTCCATTGCTAAGCACATACCTATTTAGCATTTTTTTAAAAGACACTATCATACACCATATTCATTTTGAAACAGTTACAAAGAGCCTTAAAAATGCTTACACCTTTTATCCAAGTTGTTTCAACTCTGAGAATCAACTGTAAGGAAATAATTAGAGCTATAAAAGCATTTGTGTGCAAACATGTTCATGAGCATCAATATTTATAATTCTAAAAAACTGAAATACCCCAAAAGCTAAAAATAAAAGTCAAGATAAATCGTTATGTAAATAAAAATAATTTTAAAAGTCAAGGAATTCTCCTTGTTGTTAATTTTTATATGTCTTAATTTTTTTTTATCTCTTTCTCTCTCTCTCTTTCTTTCTTTACCTTGCTTAACGTTTCTTGGGGATACTTGATCTTCAGTTTTCCTTTAAGTTTCAATATTATTTTTTCTTGTATGTATTTTACTTGTCAAATAATAAACGTAACTTAGTTTATTATAAGTTTCTTTCAGTTGTCTTTAGCTGATTTGTTAGGTGGTTTGTTTCCAGGCTCCGAAAACTACTATTAGACCTTAGTTATATTATTTAAAACATCTTTGGCTCAAGATATTCATGTGTTGCTGAGAATATACTTTTCTTACAGGTTTTTAAATGATTAACTGCAATAATTCATGTCAAGTGGTTATGGACATATTTGTAGTGGGTGGTTTTAATCTTTATCATTGGACTACATTCAGGGCCGTAGATGAAGATCAGATCAATTTTTATAATTTTTTCCCTAATATATAGCAGAAATTCACCACACTGTCTCTAATGGGTTGAGATGGGACATTCCCTAAACTTTTTTCTGTCTTCTCTGATAATCTTATTAAAAATAGTGCTCTATAAAATTACAGTTAGTGTTTCCTCTACTAAACAGAACTTCTCTATTCTTTATAGTTGTATGCAGAATTGTTTTAATTGTAAATTGCTTCATACAATGTAAATCCTAATTTACACCCATTGATCCCTTAGATTTGCTTTATATACTTGTTATTTTATATGTGAAGTGTATTATAAGAGGAACTATGAATGGAGTTGTGGAAAAGTAACCCTTTTGGAAAAAAGAAAAAACAATTTTTAACATGACAGAATGATTGTTGTAAGCATTCAGATAACTATATAGCATCACCACCCTGTTTTTTTTTCAATCTTCCAGAGTTTCGTATGTTTTCCTCTCTTTTAATGGTAAATTATGTTCCAGTTTCTCATTGCGTCTATTAATTTACTACACTAGATTTTCTGTCAGTGGAATTTTCTTAAATGTTGGGTCAAAATTAGAATTATAACTTAATTTTATTATAATGGTCAGCTCTTTATATGTCTCCAAAGATACTTTAGTGAGGAAAAATATATCCTTAGGAAACATTAGGTAATATCTTTTAAATTAAAAATCCCTATTAATTTTGAACTCATCTTGGACCTAGTTTTTCCAAATTGAGTCAGTTTATTGATTCTTGGCTTTTCATAATTTATTTTAAATTTTATGAATCTCAACTTTTGTTGTTGTTGCTAACAATTAAAACAACAAAACATCAACATGTTTCTCTCAAAGAGTTGTGAAAGTCAAAAGTGATTGTCTTTACATGAGAACATGAATGAAAATATGCTGTATACATAAACGTATAATTAGTATCTTAATCCTCTTTAATCCCCTTTATTTGAAATGTTTATATTTCCTCATGTTTCTCTATTTGCCCCAGATTTCATCAATTGTTTTCTTAACTGTCAGATAAATGATAATTTCCAAAAAGAGGAATATACATTTTAATATAAATGTCATGTTGCTATCTCTCACTATAAAGCCAGCCAAAGAGGACGTTTTCATTTGTATTTGTGTATGAACATGGCTAATTCTTTAATATATTTTTACCTGGGTCTACTGTCCTTAAATCACCTCAATCCCAATTAAATGTTCACCCCATATGCCCCATTTTATCAGGGGATTTATCCTCCCAAGGCAAGTCAACTAAGTAAATTCATGCAGCTGTGTTTGGTGATAAAAGACTAACACATTAGTTTCTCCCAGTAACCAATCAGTAATTAAATAAAACTTACAAAGATTATAATGAAGTGACTATTCTTGACAATTTAAAGCATTCGGAATAACTTCAAAGTCCAGTGTTCTGTTCCGTAAAACACTTCATGTCTGAAGCCTATGATTTGTGGTAATATTAATGGCAATGAGGCACACTTTTACACATAAACAATTACTTGCAAGACTTGTCATATGGCAAATATTCAAGAAATGGTAATAACTTTCCTTTGGCTCAGATGGCTAACCTTAAATTTTACCTCTGATTCAAGAAACTTTTCGTTTGCCTGCAAAGCCTCATTTGTCTTTTCAATTTCCTTTTATGTCCCCTACATTAGTCTCTACACTCTTCGTTCTAAACTAGTTGCTGTTACACTTTCTTCTTTCACTTTAGAAATTACAAAGTGATATATAATCCTTTGGGTATATACCCAGTAATGGGATTGCTGGGTCAAATGGTATTTCTAGTTCTAGATCCCTGAGGAATCGCCACACTGACTTCCACAATGGTTGAACTAGTTTACAGTCCCACCAGCAGTGTAAAAGTGTTCCTATTTCTCCACATCCTCTCCAGCACCTGTTGTTTCCTGACTTTTTAATGATGGCCATTCTAACTGGTGTGAGATGGTATCTCATTGTGGTTTTGATTTGCATTTCTCTGATGGCCAGTGATGATGAGCATTTTTTCATGTGTCTTTTGGCTGCATAAATGTCTTCTTTTGAGAAATGTCTGTTCAATCATGCTGCTATAAAGACACCATGCACATGTATGTTTATTGTGGCACTATTCACAATAGCAAAGACTTGGAACCAAGCCAAATGTCCAACAGTGATAGACTGGATTAAGAAAATGTGGCACATATACACCATGGAATACTACGCAGCCATAAAAATGATGAGTTCATGTCCTTTGTAGGGACATGGATGAAGCTGGAAACCATCATTCTCAGCAAACTATCGCAAGGACAAAAAACCAAACACCGCATGTTCTCACTCATAGGTGAGAATTGAACAATGAGAACACATGGACACAGGAAGGGGAACATCACACACCGGGGCCTGTTGTGGGGTGGCGGGAGGGGGGAGGGATAGCATTTGGAGATATTCCTAATGTTAAATGACGAGTTACTGGGTGCAGCACACCAACATGGCACATGTATACATAAGTAACTAACCTGCACGTTGTGCACATCTACCGTAAAACTTAAAGTATAATAAAAAAAAAGATTAAAAAAAGAAATTACAAAGTGAATGAAGGACACTTAAATAGAAGGACACTTTTATGAATTTCTATGTTACTACTCAAGGTAATGGAGGTGGCCTCTAATAGTTAAAAGGTATGAATGAAGATGTGTAGATTATCAAAAGAAGCTCTGATTTCTAAGAAAACAATGAATTTTTGATGTACTCTTCATGTGTGTTTAACAGCACCTTGACAGGAAGACCTTGGGATAGTATACTAGAATGTGCAATAACAAAGTATACAAGGGAGTAAATATTGAAAGGATTTGGGTCCAAAGTTAAATTCTAAATATTAAAGGTTATATTATTTGTTGAGGTACCAAAATAAAACCCTTATTTAGATAAAGTTTTGTGGTAGTGAAGTTGAGGAAATGAGACAAAAATAAAGTTATAAAATAATAAAACATAGAGTTTAGGAAATAATACAAACCATCTGATCTTTTGGGACTCTTGCCAAACCACATCATTTGAATTTTCCTTGCCACTATCCCACAATTGATATGCTAATGATAGGATAATACTGGCTGAAATAACTGTATATTTTAGGATTTAGTGGGCCCTACCTGCTCATTTTGTGTCCAAACAGATGTGTGAACATCTGAAAATTATACTATCAGAAAAGCAAAAGTAAAAATGGATATAATAGCTTGGAAGCAAATCTATATAAAGAAATAATGTTTTTCCTTCCAATATAAAAGGAAGAGTTTAGAAAGAAATTTATAACTAAAGAATGTTTTACTATTTAGAAAGCTTTTCATTGATTTAAGCTCTTTCGGATCTCTTTTGTTCAATGTTATGTCCACAGTGCTTAGAATGGAATTTAGCAGACTATAAGTAATTATTGTCTTGAAGGTGAGAATGGCAAAATACAGAAGAAATAGATATTATACAATATTATTTTTGAAAATCAAAAATCCTAAAATCCACTTATACCTGATAAAGTATTTATATCTATGCAGTAATATTATATATTATAAACAACATTATATACAATAATATAATTGTGATATTAACAAGAAATTAACGTAGAATACAATCAGTTAATCTGGTGTTTTGTTTTCTTTCTATGTTTGTACTCTGTGTAAGTGTACGTGTTTATGTATGTGTGTTGGAGGATATGTCTGAGAGTTGGATGAGTGAAGATTGGAGCAAAACTGAATTAAACAAAACCCTAATAAAACATAAGCTAATTATCTGTTAAAACTAATATGCATTCTATTATTCCAGTTGTGCATATGTGAATATCTTGAGAATTTTTGTGTATGCTTATTATTTTTATGTGTGTACATAAAAGTGTGTATGTGTGAGGTAGGTATTTATATGAATTCGAATGAATTGCCATGCAGAGAAAGACTGAGTAATAAAATATAGACTAAGTGTAAAAAAGCAGGATGACAGAAAGTGGGATCTGTTGAGTACAGAGAAAGGTATGTTTGTTCTAATGGGGACCAAGACAGAGGTAGCAGAGAGACAATCTAATATTATGTAAATCATAAAAGACAAACATTGGGGTGTATTGGGATAAGTGATGTGAAGATAATACCACTGGTAATGCTTGAGCAACGGCCATGCCCGACTCAGCTTATGTCTCAGTTACCTCCATGTGGATATTTGTGTTTGAATCACTAAATCAAAGTAGAATGTTATTATAATAATTTAGACAGGAGCACCATTTAAAAATATAATTAAACTAACTAATAACTCCAATTGTTCATTTCCCCCCAGTAGTAATCTATAGCTTCATGAATTTTCCTACTTGTAGTAAGAATAAAGATATAATGAGCATTTTATTCAGTGTGATGACCTCATATTATATTAGAGGTCTATTTCCATGAAAGGATGTAAAATGATTTTTGGACATATATTATTCTTAATTCTACCAAGAAAAATATTTTTTAGAAAGCATATATATTTTAAAACCAAAGTTTTTGAGATTAATTTCTCAGTTGAATCCATTTATGGAATACTCCTCTGTTTATTTATTTTACTCAGATTGTTTACCTAGGTGTAAAAAGCACAACTTTCACACAAAAACTAAAATTTATAAATTTTTAGATAAAATAAAATTATACATCCTTCCCTGTCCTGTTCAGCTTCCCCAGACTCAGCCTTAGACTACAAAATGTATATGATTCTGATTGGAGACATCTGTTGCAAATTTATAAATTCACAGCTGCCTGCCAAACAATTTAACAAAGGAGAAACTCACCTGCCACGGGAAACTGGAAGAGGTGCAGATGTGTGAACTCTTGCCAGATTGCCGGAAATATTACATTCTAGGCACATAAAGTTAAAAAAGTTGGCTAAAACCACAGCTTTGTAATCTTATGTTTTTTAGGTGATGATAAACATATTTAATGTTTTAATACTTATGAACAATACCAAAAAGGAACTTATTTTAACTCACTTTTATATGAGACTTTAGAGAAAAAAAAGGTGAGTGCATTCCAATATCCCCTTCTAAATATAAACAGAAACGGTAATTTCACTGTGAAACAAGATTCAGATAAGTTAGGATGCCCTACATAACCTGTGATACTTCTCTGTCTACACTAATAATGGTGGGAGTAGCAAGTTCATGTTTTCATGAAGGTAGACGTGTGATGTGTTTTCTCAGGTGTGTGAGGTGAGGTCCTGTATAATAAACACTTAGCTGATAAGCATATGCGACAAAGATTTATCAAACACATTAATGTTGATTTTCTTACTTCATATTTAACAATTAATTGCAGAAGGCATTATAATTTTCATAGGACATGTAACTTAAATATTAGGTTGGTGCAAAAAGAATTGCTGGTCTTGCCATTAAAGGTAAATCCAAAAACCGCAATTAGTTTTGCACCACGTGATACACACACACAGTACACCCATGTATACTTGTTCACACATGTAGGCACATGCACACACACCTAAAGTCATCACATTAAATTCTTCTACTACAGAATTAGAAAAAAGAATATTTCTGGCTAGCTTTTTCACACACATCCACAAGACTTAGTTTATTAAACAATATTTTGTGGGATTTTTCATGTTGCATTATTACTCATATAGAAATGATTACTCTTCACTAGTATAAAGGTAGTTGTGTTGTTGTCTGCTTGTTGTCTAATTGAAGTAAAAGAAAATCCAATTGAAATGGGTAAGAGAAAAGTCTCTGAAGGCAAAAGGTTTCTATTCAAAAATCAGAAAAACCTTTGGCTACTTTATTCGTACACCAGTTAATGACCTGTTTTTTCTGTATTGTCATTTACTTGTGCCTTCTGCAGTACTTTCAACATCAACATCTGATCTCAGTTTTTGCACTCCATCTGTGAATGCAGTTGAGTCACAATTTGCAAAGAGACTCTGGGGAAGGTTTCTGAAATCTAAGTATCAGAATGTTCACTAAATTACAATGCCTAGTGAAGTGGAGGGATCAAACACATATCATTTTTTTAGACCAGAAATGAAATATTAATAAAAAAATTGTCCTCAGTATTTTCTTTAAGTATTCCATTCCTGTTTCAGCAAGTTTTATTACCCAGTCTCAGAAACCTACTCCAGCTTAAGTGATGCATTCAGATAAGCCCCAGGGATTTGGAAACCACTGATAGGTTACTGCACTTTAGGGTAAGAGCTGAGAATAGGGTTCCCATCAAAATTCAAATGAAGCTCAGTAAATATCAGTTGTTCTTTGTCTCATCTATTTCATGCATACAGGAGCAAATAAACTAAAATCGGTTAACTTGAAATTTTGGCCTCAAAGGCTCATGAACAAAAGATCACATCAACTGTAAATTGCCTCAGAATTTAGAAACAATTGACTCTTAGCCTCCCTTTCAAATACGATGAGCAGCAGGTCCTGGACCTCTGGGATGATAGTGAAAGCAGAAAATAAACCCAGACGTAGATTTCTAGGTTCAAAAAATCTTTATGGAAAGTACCTGAAGTGTGAGAACCTCTCCTTTCTCAGTCCTAGTTTCTGGAAGTTGATCCACAAGAGATTTGGAAATAGATTCAATGATGTATGCCAGATATTCATCACATAATCTTCACTTAATACTGATTCTAGTTCAAGTTCGCCAGAGATGAGAAAAGTTTTCTGTATTCAGAAAATCCCTGTCTTGAATATTTAGACTTAAGTCACTCTCTTTGTACCTGTCATATCCATCCCTTCCAGCCTTTATGCTTGATCTATGGCAAACTGCTACAAAAATCCTCCACACACCTTTCTCCTAGTTGTTGCTCGCTGATTTGAGTTTCTTGTCTTAATTAATGTCTTTTAATTACTTAATGATCAATTCATCTTTTAGAGACAGGGTCTCACTCTGCCACCCATGCTAGAGCGCTGTGGTGTGGTCATAGCTGACTATAACCTTGAACTCCTGGGATCAGTCCATCCTCACACCTCAGCCTCTTGAGCAGCCAGGACTACAAAAGTGCACCATTTTTTTTTCTTTTCTGTAGAGAGGGTCTTCCCATGTTGCGCAAAATGGCCTTGAACTTTTGGCCTCAAGTGATTCTCCCACCTCGACCTCCCAAAGTGGTAGGATTCCAGGCATGAGTCAGCATGCCAGGCCAATTCGTGTTTAGTCTCACATGCATTCAATACGAGCACTGTAATTTGAAGTTCATATCACCACGGAAATATGAATGGAAACACGTGGTGCTACAACTTTGATTTGGGCATTTCTCTCCAACTAGTCTGAATGATAAGGTGCTTTTGATTGCATTGATTCCTCTCATTAGAGTAATATAAATTATGACAAACACATCCTAAATTTCTCGTTTAGTCTCCTTTCCAAGGTGACATCTGGATTACCCTGACTTTACTTAATTTAAAAATTCAATTTGTATTTCAACTAGTTAACATTGATACCTTGCGCCTCCTATTCAGTGGGTATGTTCTGGAATCAACATTAAACTCCATAGCAATTTCTCATTCTTAGAGTTTTCCTCCTCTCTTCTTTTTTTTTTTTTTTTTTTTTTTGAGATGGAGTCTCAATCTGTCTAGAGTTTTTCTATACATAGTATTTTTACTTGACCGAATAGAAAAATAAAATTTGTTTTCATGGTTCCAAATACAGAGCACAAGATTAATTAATATGTAGAAGTTGGAGAGAAAAATACGAAAGGTAAGAACTTTTTTTCTGTTTTCTATTTGAGCCAGGTTTCTAAAGCATAGGGTCTATTTTATTAACAGTGTAAGTGAATAAAATTGGTTGAATAGTTTTATTGGAATTAAAAGGATAATAGAAGAGTCTTTCACCTTTAACTACTTGGCTTATAGACCTCTTATTTACAGTGTAGATAGTTAAAACCAGGGGCAATCAACATGCATTGCATGCACGGTTTAGCAAAGGAATATTTAGTAGTCTTCCTTTATCATTCTTGTCTCACGTCTGTAGAGTTTACAGAACCTGGACCACTGCAGGCTTTAGCCTTCTGCGGGGAATTGATCTGATAAGATTCAGTGCTGCTAATGTCTGAATTCTTACACAGAAAAAAAAAAAGTCAAATCCATTTTTATTTTTCAGGATACCTCTTTTATTTTCTATATAGAATCGAAGTAATATTGGTTTCTTCAGGGAGAGAGAGTGACAGAAAATTGATAACATATTCTGTGAATAGTGCTGAAAAAGGAGAAGAAATATATTCTCATTGACTATTCAAAGTCTAATTGTTTGAGGAGTTTGGATCAGTAAATTCTAGTAAGTCTGATAAATGTTTTTAATTCTTTGAATAATGAGGCAACACATATTTGTATTATGTGCCATATCATTTGTTGTAAAATATCTAGAACATAAACTACCATGAGGTCTTCTTTCTTATACATATTGTTAAAATTATAGGCATAAATATAATGAATTAAGTCACTTCAAAGGGTTAAGCCACTCTTAATTACTACATACAATAATACTACAAATCCTTAATGTATATTTTTTGGATAAGATATATCTCTACCAAGAAAGTAGACTGAGCATGTGGAAATAAGGAGCTGATAGATAATGGTATAATTACTATGTGTATAATCATATTTTAGAAGCTTATACTTAAAACAATTTCCACAAAAATATAACTCATATAATACAGAATAGTGCCAGAATGGATTTTTAAAAAATATTTCTCAAAAGCTTCCTGCACATTGACATAATTATATTTTCAGTTTAGTTTTTTTAAGTGTATATCACTGAGGTAAATTAAAACGACAATGTCATTACCACATTATGAGAATGTTCTTGTGTGACTATGGTTGGATAAAATACAGTGGTGGCTTCAAAGCCCACTGACAGCAAAGTGATCTCTAGAGAGAAAAGATTTCCAGTTATTTCATTGCTTAAGGAAGCATCTCAAAATTTAGTGTTTCAACATTAACCATTTAATTATCATACAGTTATATGAGTCCGCTTGATTCTTGGGTCTGGGACAGGTCAGCTGATAGCTGTGGGGCTTGTCCAGATATATATGTGTGTATGTGTGTGTGTGTGTGTGTGTGTGTGTGTGTAGATATATATATATACACACACACACCAGTTGATAGCACCCACCAGTTGATAGCAAATATATATATATATATATGTGTATTTGTGTATATATATATGTATGTCTGGATATATGTGTGTGTGTATATATATGTATATATATGTGTGTGTGTGTATATATATATATACACACACACATATATATCCAGATATACATATATATATATACACACACACACATATACACACACACACACACACACACACACACACACATATATATATATATTTGCTATCAACTGGTGAGTCATCTTGCATCCAGACAATCAAGGATATCCTCATTCACATGTGTGGCTCCTACAGGCTGTTTAGAGTGACAGAGACACCCGAGTTTTATTTCTCTTGTCATTCAGCAAGCTACTCTGAATTTCTTCAAATACTGATTGCACATTTACAAAAGCTGCAAGAGAAGCCAGCCCCAATATACAAGCACTTATCAAGTCTTTGCTTGTGTTACATTTATTATAAAGCCACATTTCCAAAGAAAGTCACATGACTGTTTCAGGTTCAAGAGGTGGAAAATGCCCATCTTCATAGAAAGGGAAGACTTGTGAGCATTTGATATTCAATCACAATTCTCCCCTGGCTGCTATTTGTTTACATTTCTGTCACATGAATAATGTGCTCACTCTTACTCCAGGGATCCAAAATGTTTCATATAATTTTCCCCTTAGGGTCAAAATACAAAATTCTAGTTAGGTGTAGTGGTTCACGCCTATAATTCCAACAGTGTTGGAGGCCAAGGTGGGAGGATCCCTTGAGACCAAGAGTTTGAGATCAGGCTGGGCAACCTGGGGAGACCCTGTCTATACACACACACACACACACACACACACACACACACACACACACACACAATAGCGAGCATCGTAATGCACAACTACAGTCCCAGCTACTCGGGAGGCTAATGTGGGAGGATCGCTTGAGGCCAGGTCAATGCCGTAGTGACCTATGGTGGTGCCACACCACTCCAGCCTGGGCAAAAGAGCAAGCCTCTGTTTCAGGAAAAAAAAAAGTAATCTAAAATCATGTCTAGAAGGCAGAGTTGGATATGCTTCCTCTGGTCTAAACAGTCAAGTTACCCATGCCCTTCCCCTTCCCCCAAAGACATCCAATGTTGCGCTAGATATGTTCATTACATACATGTAACAACCTTCAGAGTTAGAGGGGCTGATAGTTTTGCAGCTGTTTTACTACAAAATAATAAGGGTTATCTTTTTTTCATCTTATCAGAATAATTTTCTCACCTTCATTTACAGATTATGCACGTTTTTCTAGCATCACATAATAGTTTCTTCTCTGCTGTTTCCAGTCATCACTATCTCCATTTCCAAAGAAAACACCACTTCCAAGCACAACATGTTTCTCAATTATCTATTGCTGTATAACACACTACTTCCTAAATGTCAGTGGCTTGAGACAATAATTATGTATGTGGTTCCTAATTCTGTGGGTTTGTTGGAAAGTCTTAACTGTGCCAGCCTAGCTGTTTTCTGCTGTCAATGAATAGCTGGATGATTTGTGGTGAACTAGCTCACGTGACTGACAGCAAGCAGGCTCTTGGCAATTTGGAAGAGACTGCTTCTTGCTTCTTGTTATTCAGGAGGATAGTCTGGGCATCTTCACATGGTAGTTGAAAGGTCAAAACACTACACATAGAGTAAACCCAAATGCTCAAATGCTTTCCAAGTCTCTGCTTTTAACATTTGCTTATTTCCCATTGGCCAAAGCAATTCACATAACCCATACCAATTTAAAAGATGGAGAAATAGATACCACTTCTTGATAAATGAAATAATTTGTAGTCATTTTTGCTATTTATCATGGGGGTTCAATAAAAAAAAGTAATAATTTCATTTTTTCCCTGTGAAACTAAACAGACAGAAAATATAAAATGAGACATGTAAGGTCTGCTTCATATATGTGCCATTTATGCACCTCTTGGGCCTTCTAATTCCTTAAGCTCTTCATCAATCATACAATTTTCTTCTTCCATACTTCATAGTCTAGTGTTCTCATACTTTAGTGTTTATCATTGCCAATTACTCCACCATCTTCAGAAATTTAGATTCATGGATCTCGGCTATGATTTAAAATTTCTATCTTTCAACTTATTTCTCTTACTCTTCCTACTTGAAACAAAAAGAAAAACTTTGACTTCACCTTGAACTCCAGTCTATTAACTCTATCACCTTTACCACTCTTCATCCTCCCCTCCTTACCCAACTTAGAATTCAAGGTATGTTAATATAATTACTTTTTCTCAGATAACTTCAATTTTACTTCCATGTTTAACCATACCCAGAAAGATCTATTTCTATATAACCTTCTAACTACATCAGTGAATTTGAAAGCAACTAACTTTGCTTGCACACACACACTCATATGCACACACAATGGTATGGACTTGTCTCACTTTAAATTTATAACCGCAAGCATGGAGTGTATGCTCAGGACTTCTTGGCAAGGCTATTACATTTCCTAGCCAATTCACATAACTGTTCAGTGAGAAAATTTCTTCACTCCCTATTTTAAGCTAATATTATTATTTTACCGAAAATATAGTACAACTTAAAAGTGAATTCCTTCACCTACATCACCAAATGAACCAATCCACTGGAATCTATAGGCCCGACCATTCTTTCCCTTTCCTCACAGTGAATACATAGCCAGTGTTTATATCTAAGATCACGTCCTCTGTTTTACACTGAACCTCATTCTAACTTAGCAAATCAGTGTATTCCCTTTGGTAGTTATTTGTTCTCTCATGCCATGGCATATTTAAATAATTTATTAGATTAGTTCTATCACTATTTAACTTGATGCATAGTAATCAAATTTAAAATTATGCAAATTCCTTATTTACTTGTCCCTGTGTATTAAAGAAAACTTTTAAAGTTATCTGTATATACATGTAGACACATACATATATGCACATACATACATATATAAATATATTCACCATTATTGACTATTATCTTATTCTTGCTATACCTCTGCAATTAAACATTCATCAAGGTCAAACCACTGAAACCATTCTTTTCAATCTCACCATTTTTAAATTCCTAAAGTAAACTTGGTACCTTTCAACAATATTTGACAAAGGTGATAGGTGCCTCTCTCATTAACCAGTTTCTTCACTTGTTTTCTGGGTCATAAGAGTCTTCTCGTTTTTCATACAATTTACTAACTATTCCTTCTCCTGTCATTCTCTTCAGTCTCTAAGTATTAGAATTTCTGTCTAATCAGTAAACATTAGGATTATTCACTACATGCTTAGAAATTATTTTCTCCCTATGACTCACTATGTTCGTAGTGAGTTTCCATGGCTTTAAGTAACATCTATTGATTAATTACTCCTGAATGTATATAGCCAGTCCCCAATTGGCCCTAAGCTTTACTTTTGTATCCAGCTTTCCACCTAACATTTGTACTTGGATGCCAATCAAACAAGCATCTTTCACATGTCCAAGGCAAAGCATCAATTTCAGCAATTCCATATGCCTGCCAGTCTTCTTTGTACCAGCAAATCACTCCAAAAATAACCCACCTAACCAAAGGGGAAATAAACAAAAACAAAAACTTCAGTGTCATCCTCATGGTCTTTATTTCCATATCACATGTTGAACCTACTTTTAAAATTCATTTCATGTTAAGAAGATCTTCAAAGGCCAGGTGCAGTGGCTCACACCTGTAATCCCAGCATTTTGGGAGGCCGAGGCAGGTGGATCACGAGGTCAGGAGTTCAAGACCAGCCTGGCCAGCATGGTGAA
The DNA here is from genome assembly GCF_000001405.40 of Homo sapiens. NCBI lineage: Eukaryota > Metazoa > Chordata > Mammalia > Primates > Hominidae > Homo > Homo sapiens. Next base: position 22,648,148 of record NC_000021.9, on the reverse strand, counting down.
ACCCCATCTCTACTAAAAAAATTACAAAAATTAGCCAGGCATGGTGGTTCGTCCCTAGTAGTCCCAGCTACTAGGGAGACTGAGGCAGGAGAATCGCTTGAACCTGGGAGGTGGAGGTTGCAGTGAACTGAGATCCTGCCATTGCACTCCGGCCTTGGCGACAGAGTGAGACTCTGTCTCATAAACAAAAGAAGATCTTGACTAGCTCTGATGCCACCACTAGCCACTTTTTTGTTTGGACTACTTATGCAGGTTTCTATTAGTCTCCCTAACACCACGCTTTCTTCTCCAAACAGCATCAACAGGCATCTTTTAGAAATATAAATAAGATCTTGTTATTTTTCTTCTGCCATCACCCCAACAGTGAGTTCCCATTAAACCCAAATAAAATCCAAAGCCCAAGGTATCATGTGATCTTGTCCATGCTTACCTTTGTAACCTCATTTTCTGCTTGTTCAACTTTTTTTCAACCACGCTCATTCTATTAGACAACTAAGAGGTCTATTTTACACTGCTCCTTAAAGATTACTAAGAGGTTTATGCCTTAACTGTTCAACTCTCAACTATAATAATGAATAAAGGCACTCAGCCTTTGATTGACTTTTCTTTCTTCTGTCTCTCACTCTTCCACTTTTCCTGTCCTCTTGCTCTTGCTCCAGATGCATACAAATTCTTTTATCATCTTTTTTTTTCTTTCCAGGTAACCCAAACGAAGACAATTAGTGACAGCAGTGGCCCTTATTGTTTTGGTGAATAATGTTGCTCCAAACTCCAATAAGCTTCCCATTGCCAGTGGTAAGTGAAGCAGTAATTCTTGTCATGTAGTAGCATTATAGTTAAGATATTTACAGGAGATAAATTAGAATTTGGTACAAAGAGAACATGAAGCGTTGGTTTGCATAGTAACAACACACATTATCAATATAAGAGCAATAGTAATATTAAGGACTGTGCAATTCATTGTCCTTAGTTTACAGTTTTAGAAGCCAAAAAAAAAAAAAAAGAAAAGAAAATTACAGGCTTAAATTATCAACTGAAGGCATACTGTAAAGTCATCCTGGCAGAACAGAGCAGATATTGATGAAAATAAGACTCAGTATTTAAATATAAAGATGTCAGAGTTACAATGGACACTGAATGTTTAACTCCCATGTGTCTCCTGTGCCAGAGAAGAGCCCGAATTTGTCGGAAAGAAAGACCTAAGGACCCAGGATGTGCGCAATTATCTGGAAAACCCTGAGAATATTGAATTTCCACAGTCATATTCAATAGCTAGTTTGGAAGAAATAGCTCCTTTCCCATATTAAATGTTGTTCTTACATAGAGCTCTGGTAAAGGCCTCATCTGGTTCAGGTGTCTTGCAGGATGATGCTTAGATTATTCAATTTCTGACCCTATCTCCTCTCATAGTTTCCTAGTCTCTAAGTAGGGACAAGTGAAACAGAGCAAAGGCAAGATAATATAGTAATTTATCTAGGAGAAAAAAGACAAGCACATCCAAATAACTAAAAGATATGACTGATAAGTATTGAAAAATATTAGGGAGCATATGTTGGAATGTATCTGGAAGTGAAGATTTGGACCAGGACTACAAAATAGATGGCTTATTATTGACGCAGGGGCATGCCACTGTGACTCAATGTTTAATGTCCTGGCAAGGACACCTGTAGACAATGCTTAGAATTGCTCTTTAAATTTTAAAAACAATGATTATCTATGGTGGATGAAATAGAATATTCAGAACAATTTCAGAAGATGCAGGTAGATGAGGAAAATGGAAGAAATCCAATATGTGAGATTAGAAACCCTACCAGTGAAGCATGTTACATGGGAAATATCAGAGGATATAGTAATCCCCCTTTATTCATGTAGGTTCAAAGATTTCCAGTGGATGCCTGAAACCATGGATAGTACTGAACCCTATGTATACTATGGCTTTTTTGATCTGATAAGTAAGATGGATACTTCATCACTAATGAGTGGGTAGTGTCTACAGCATGGACACACTGGACAAAGGCATGATTCACATCCCCGGTGGGACAGAGTGAAATACCATGAGATTTCATCATGCTACTCAAAATGGTGCACCATTTAAAACTTCTGAATTATTTCTGGAATTTTCTATTTAATATTCTCAGACTGTGATTGATCACAAGTAACTACAACTGTGAAAAGTGAAACTTCAGATAAGCAAAGATTATTGTATTTCTTTCAATAACAGTAAAAAATAAACTGCTAAGATATACGCTGACATCTCTGAGAAGCCCAGGTGTGCCTCCTTCTCTAGGCCAGAGCTGACATTAGAAGACACTGCCATGGAACTGAGCTCCCTAGGACCACTGGGCTTGGATTCTGTAATTGAAGAGGCCAGAAGATCAACACTTATCATCAGAAATAGTTTCAAAGTAACTGTCATAATGAGCATCAAGATTAGAAAGTCAACCAGGTGCCTTTACCCACAAGGACCTGCAAGAATGACTAATAGATCAGAATATTGCTTAATGTTAAGACAGATGGGAGCTAATTAAGGTGTTAATTGATTTCCCTAACCAGAAAAAAAATTGAAAGCTGCTGAGCAAATGTCTAACTTAGCTGCCATATTAAAAATTGAGATCTATACCCCCTTTTCAGACCAAAGCTAGAAAATTCTACCACTGAGAAAAGGACTTAATTGTATCCATATGATATTGAGATTGCTCCTACACAATGGTGGAAGCATGGAGTACATCAAGGTATTGCCTAGGGTGTTCCTGGATGTTTCATGCCCAATGATAACTGTAAATGAACAATTGTAAAACTAAATCTTAACAAGAATAAGGCAACTAAAGACTCCTACTCTTTAGTTAAATGAGTTAGAACCACCCCCCCTCCACTCCCATTTTGCCAGAAATCTATACATTTTGAAGAATTGGATAAAAATGAGAAAATTCTGAAGTGGAAAAATATTAAGTACGGTCTTAAAAACCACTTACTTAAGCTCATTACAATTAACTTTGTTTATTAAATATTTCCTAGAGAATGAGGCATGCCACAATCTTGAAGGCTGTAGAATGTATTGGAATTTAAACACAGAAGGACTGAAGGTGATTAGTGCAAAGGGTGAAGTGTATTGGACGCTGGGTAGGAGGAACTTTTTACATGCTATCCAATCTTCCAGCTCACCTTTATGCTCTTGCCATCACCTCAAAGAACAGCTGCAACCAGACACAAACAGAGCGTCTGCCTAGGATTTACCACATGTCTGTTGCTATCTGCCCAAGGGACTTCTCTTCTACTTTCATGTAAAAAAATCTTAGCTATTCTGTGTATTTACAAACCCAAAAATGTGAGTGTTAACCCTAGTGAATCTTGACCAATAATCTATATGTACTGATAGATTAAATTGCATCTTCTTTGTTCCTTTAGTGGCAGATTCTGAAATCAATTTTACATGATCCCTCAGAGTCCCCACTAGGATTAAGTCTCATTTTCCTACAGAAGGGTTCAGCTTGCTGACAGCTTAGATTAGCATTTCCTACTTGCCTATTTCACTCTTTTCTGCCTCCCACTCTTGACAAATGGCTCATTTTCAAAAATAATCTTACTGCATGTACTTCTTTATCTCAGGTTTTGATTTTGAGTGAATCCAGTTTAAGACGCTGGCATTCTTTTTCATTCCTCAAACACATACAACAAACTAATTTCCACCTAAGTTGATGAACTCTTTTTTCATTTTTTCCCAATATTCTGTTGCCCACAAGAAACACTGTTTACTTCTTTAATTTATTCAGAACTTTAGCAGAACATCTACTTTCTAGCTAGCCCTTCCTTGGATTGGATAACACTTCGTACTCCCTCATTGCTCTTTAACACGACTTCATTTGCATGTTTATTATGTAACTTAGTCACTTAATTTTAAATACCATGAAGTTATAACTTTTCCTAGAAGAGTACTTAGCAGTTTTTAGCACTCAAGAATCTTATCATCAGCAAATGACTAACAGTTGTCTATTTTTGACCAAGAATTACGAAGTCCCAAGTATCTCATTCTATGGTAGAACAAAATATCTTGCCTAAAATTAGAACATGGTAACATGTAAGATTGAATTGTCAAATATGACTCACATGAATTATGGATCTTATGATTGAAACCAATGTCGACTTTATTAATGTTATAAGAAACAAACGGGTGAGGCATTTCCCTTGGAGAAATCTGAGGCCCTCCTGTGCACCTGTCCTTTGAAGCTCCTTGCTCAATAGCATTAGAATGCTTCTCAATCTCAGATTTAGTATGTGGATGGGTATTGAGTAAGGTATAATGGTGCATTGCTTCATAGCGTAAGCCACTTGGTTAAATAAAATTTTTATTTTATACCTCATTAAATAATGAACACATGTGACTGACCCATTTCTCTAACAAGCCAGTAATCCCAACCCCATAGATCACAAAACTTTAAGAGTAATTGCAATAAGCAAACTAGAAAGACCAAATCTGTTCAGCACCCAAACATCTTATAGATAAGAACTCTCCACTTCATGCCATAAACTCCATTTGTGTGTTTATAAGGTCTGCTTTCTGACATTTTTACTACAAGATTTGTTTGAGGTTGTTCATTTTTTACAGGCATCACTGCAAGTGAGAGGAAATGAGTTACAGGTCTTGCTAAGTTTTTATGTCCCAGAACTCATAATATTACAAAGTATAAGAGACAACAACTCAAAAAAGGAATAATGATAGAGAAAATGCAAGCATTGGCAATTTTAATGCTATGTCATGGACACTTTTTTCAGTATTTTCATTTTCAGGTGAGCTTGTCTGATATTTGGCATCCCTCCACAAGTAGTAAGTGAGCTGACTTATTGATGTATCCACTTTCTCAGTTCTATCAGTCAGAACAGGTGTGGCAAACTGGCTAAAATATTTTCGTATTTATACAGAATTACTAGAAAATTAAATGATATAAGAAGTTACCGTTTTTCTTTGTCATAATTTTTCCCATGAACACCTCACAAGAGGAGATATTAAAGGAGATATTAAAACAAAAACAAAAATAACCCTTGCTCCACTGATAATTGGAAACCATTGTCTCTGTTGTCACTTGTCTGAGGAGCCATGCTCTTGTCAGTGCCTCTAGGTAGTGAAGTCTGTGACTCAGTTCTGCTTCATCACACTTTGTGTTCGTAGATTTTATTATTTTCCTTTGGATACAGAAAGGTAACATATGCTGACTTTCAGCATATTTTTAATAAATCTTCCTCTTTCTAAATGAATTATTTTCTAGAAATTATGCAAAAATGTCTCTTTTGCTGAAACTTAATCCTTTTCTTTCTAACTTTACTTGATGCTTTCTGCTGTTCCTCCAAGAAAGTTAGTTTCCCTATGATTATTCTTCCCTTGTAACAAATACCAAAACTACGTATAAAATATAAGCCACAGGTGTTCACTATAAAAATATTTTCAAAGGGAGCAAAAGTTATCATTAATAACAAAAAAGTAAATAGAGAGGACTATAAAATAATTCTTCAAATAAAATACAACAAACATAGAATACATTCTATACATAGAATATACATTCTATACATAGAATATACATTCTATACATAGAATACATTTCCCTATAGGTATACAAATATAACCACAATTTTATTTGAATTTCATGTGTCCCTTCTGTTAACGTATCCTTCTGTTAAAGAAGGGAAAACTTAAAACTCCCTTATCACTAAAGCCTTTTTTTGTCTCCGTATATTTTGAATAATTCATTGTTAAGCAAAAAAAAAAAAAAAAAAAAAGTAAGAGAGAATAAATAAGAAGAAGTAGTACAGGAGAATAACAGACTAATTTAAATCAGTTTGAAATTAGATTTAGTGATTTAGTGTTTACTTTCTTTACTATACTGAGGTCACTTTTTGTCAATGTCATCATAGATTTTCAGAGTTATTTTTTCTACAGGTTACTCTTATGTAAATCCTTTATAAGATACATTGCATTCAGTATTACAGCATACATTGAAATAATTTTTGAAAGTCTAAATCATTTTATCCCCTTCAGGGAATACAAATATATCTCAATTTGTGTCCCCCCCAAAAAAACAGACTGCAAAGTTAAGGCTTATGGTTCAATTAATTTATGTCGTCGTGATCCCAAGATGCACTAAGATAGGGGGAAATGAGACTAGAAAGGAAGAAAACAAACTTTAAGGAGTAAGTTACTGCCATGGGCAAATTAGACTCAGTGTTGCTGGAATATTGATCCACCAACTTCTCTTTCATTTTTTTAAAGTTTTACTTTATTTTTATTTGACCAATAATAATTCTACACATTTATGGGTTACAATGTGGTTTTGATAAGTGTATGCATTTTGCAATGATCAAATCAGGGTAATTAGCGTATTCTTCATCACCTCAAACATTTATTATTCCTTTGTGGTAAAAACATTAAAAATCTTCTCTGCCAGGCATCTTGAAAGACATAATAGAATATTAACTATAGCCACTCTACTGTGCAATAGAATCTCAGACCTTATTTCTATCTAACTGTAAGGTTGAACAAATTGATCAACTTCTCCTCTTTCTCCTCTCACCCTTCCCCAACAGCCAGTGATAACCACCATTCTATTCCTTGCTTCTATAAGTTCAACTTTTTAAGATTTCACGTATGAGTGAGATCATACAGTATTCGTCTTTCTATGTCTGGCTTATTTCACTTAACATGTTTTCTAGATTTGTCTGTGTTGCTGCAAATGACTGAATTTCCTGTTCTTTTAAAAATAGTCGAATACATATACATACACACGCACATCACACTTAAAAATTTTTTTCATTCATTCATTCACCCTTAGGTTGTTTCTATATCTTGGTTATTGTGAATAATGCTTAAATAAACATGGGAGTGCAAATATATTTTTTGGGAAACATTTCAATTTGGGGGATATATACCCAGTAGTATTATTGTTGGATTATATGGTAATTCTACTTCTAGATCTTTTTCAGAATTTTCCAAACTATTTTACACAGTTGCTTTATTAATTTAAAATAATAACAGGTTACAAAGGTTTCATTTTCTCCACATCCTTGACAACCTTGGTTATCTTTCATCTTTTTAATGATAGCCAGTCTAACAGGTATGAGGTCATATCTTATGGTTTTAATTTGCATTGCTTTGATGATTAGAAATGTTGAACAGTTTTTCATGTATCTGTAGGTCATTTGTATGCCTTCTTTTGAGAAATGCCTATTTGTATCCTTTGCCCATTTTAAGTAGGGTTATTTATTTCCTTTGTTGTACAGCTTTTCTTTGTACATTTTGTATATTAGCCCTTCTTTGATGTATGATTTGCAAATATATTCTCCCATTCTCTAGGTTGTTTCTTGACTCTACTGATTGTTTCCTTTGTTATACAGAAGATTTTTAGTTTGATATAATCCCATTTGTCTCTTTTTACTTTTGTTATCTGTGCTTTTGAGGATATATCCAAAAAGCCTTTGTCCAAATATATGTCATGAATATTTTCCTCTATGTTTCTTCTAGAAGTCTATTGTTCCGTGTCTTAAATTTCAGTATTTAATCCATTTTGAGTTGATTTTTGTGTATGACCAGAGATAAGGGTCTAATTTCTTCTGTATATGAATATCTAGTTTTTCCAATACCATTTATTTAAGATATTGTCCTTTCTCCATTGCCCGTTCTTGACATCTATGTTGAAAATCAGTTCACTTTACATGCCTAAATTTATATGTGGGCTCTCTATTCTGTTCAATGGGACTATGAGCCTGGAGTCTGTTTTTATGCCAGTACCATGTTTGGCTACTTTAACTTTGTAGTATATTTTGATATCAAGTAGTGCAATATGTTCATCTTTGTTCTTTTAACTCTAGATTGCTTTGGCTATTTGGGATAATTTGCATTTCCAAACATATTTTTAGGCATTTTTTTATTTCCATGGATAATGTCATTGGAATTTTAATAGAGATGTCATTGAGTCTATAAATTATTTTGGGTACCATAGACATTTGAAAAATATTAATTCTTCTAATCCATGAATGCAGAACATCTTTCTATATAATTGTTTCCTTTTCCATTTCTTTCATAAATGTTTTATAATTTTCAGTGAATAAATTTTTCACCTCCTTGGATAAATTTATTATTAAGTATTTATTTGCAGCTATTCGAAATGAGATTGTTTTCTTGATTTCATTTTTAGACAATTAACAGTCAGTATACAGATATGCTACTGATATGTGTATGTGGATTATGTATCATATGACTTTACTGAATTTGTTTACCAGTTCTAACAGTTTTTAGTGGAGTCTTCAAAGTTTTCTCTATATGAGATCATGTCATTTGCAAACAGAGACAATTAACTTCTCTCTCTCCAATTTGAATGCCATTTATTTCTTTCTCTTTTCTAGTTGCTCTAGTTAGGACTTATAGTACAATGTTGAATAGAAGTGGTGAAGTGGGATACTTGTCTTGCTACAGATCTTAGAAGAAAGGCTTTCAACTTTACTTTGTTTGGTAGAATATTAGCTGTGGGCTTGTTATATAGAGCCTTTATTGTGTTGAGATACCTTCTCTCTATACCTAATTCATTGAGGGTTTTTATCTTAAAGAAATGCTGATTTTTACAAAATCACTTTTTCTGCATTTATTGAAATAATATAATGTTTTTGTTATTGATTCTGTTTGGTTGATTGATTTGCATATTTTGAATAAAGTGGGATGAAGCCAACTTGATTATAGTCAATAATCTTTTTACTGTGTTAAGTTGGTTTACCAGTATTGGTTGAGGATCCAGGAATATTGGCCTGGATTTGTGTGTGTGTGTGTGTGTGTGTGTGTGTGTGTGTGTGTGTGCCCTTGTCTGCTTTTAATATTAGAGTAATACTGGCCTCAAATACTAAGTTTGAAAGTATTCCCTCCTATATAATTTTTGGAAAAGTTTGAGTAGAATTGATATTAATTAATCTTTAAATATTCAGTAGAATTCATCAGTGAAGATTTGAAGTTTGGGATTTTTTTGATGGGTGACTTTTCACTACAAATTCAATCTTGCTACTCATTATTGATAGATTCAGATTTAATATTTCTTCATGATTTGATATTGGTAGGTTGTATGTTTCCAGGAACTTATCCATTTCTTCTAGATTATTTAATTTATTGGCATATAAATGTTCAAATTTTCTCTTATTAGCTTTTGTATTTATGTAACAACAGATAAAACGTCTCCTTTTTCAGATAGAAATTCTAGAGATAAATGATACAATGACTGAACTAAAAAAGCCAACAGAAACCTTCAGCAGCAGACTTGGTCAAGTAGAAGAAAGAATGAGTGGGCCAGAAGACAAAATGTTTGAAATTATCCATTCAGATGAGCAAAAAAAAATTTTAAAAAGGAAAAGGATAACTTACATAATGAGAGTTCCACAATTAGAAGAAAGGTAAAAAGAGGTACAAAGTATGTTTAAAGAAATAATGGCTAAAATGTTTCCTCATCTGAGGATAAATGCGAACACTCAGTTGTAAGAAGCAAAGAGTTTCCAATCAAATTCAGCACTAAGTGGAGTATATTAATGTATCTAATAGTCAAACTACCAACAATCAAAGACAAAGAAAAAATCTGAAAAGCAGCAAGATATAAGATACACCACATAGAAGGAAATGCCAATATGTCTATCACAGATTTCTCAGGAGAAAGCTTACAGGCCAGGAGAAAGTGAAATAATATATTTCAAAGTGCTGAAACTAAAACACCACCAACTAAGAACACTTTATTCAGCAAATCTGTCCTTCACACATGAAGAAGTGAGAACAGTTTTCCCAAAAACAGCTGGGAGAATTCATCATGACCAAACATGTCTTACAAAAAAAAGTGCCTAGAAAGTTATTTAAATTGAAAGAAAAGAATGCTAGTGAGTAACACAAAAACATTTGAAAGTATAATACTGGCTGGTAAAAGTAGGTCAAATTCAGATTAATTTAAAACTGTAATGATGTGTTAATCACTTATATATTTAGTGCAAAGTTTCAAAGACAAAACTATTAAGTATAATATAATGACAGTAACTTTTGAAGGGATAGGCAGCAAAAAAATGTAAATTGTGACACCATAAATTCAAAAGTTTGGGAGGGGTCTGGACTGGGGTTAAAATCTAATGGCTTTTATTTTTTGCAATCAAAATTAAGCTATTATCCACTTAAAATTACATGTTATAAGATTTTTTTTAAGATGGCGGTAACCACAAAGCAAAAACTTGTAATAGATACACTGAAAACAAAAGGCAATAAATCAAAACAAACCACTGAAGAAAGCCACTTAATTCCAAAGGAAGAGAGTAAGGGAAGAAGAAAGAAAGAAAAAGAAGAAAGAATCCACAAAACCACAAGAAAACAACAAAATGACAGTTGTAATTTATCCAGAGAGAAAATCTACAAAGAAACATTGAATGCATACTGCACTCTAGATTAAATGGACTTAACAAACATTTACAGAACATTTCATCCAATAGCAGCAGAATACACGTTTCTCTGAAGTGCACATGGAACAATTTCTTAAGGAAAAGTCAAATTACAGGTCACAAAGCAAGTCTTAATAAATTTAAGAAGGTTGAAGTCATGTCAAGTGTATTTTCTGACCACAATGATATAAAACTAGAAAACAAAAACACTATTTTGTAAAATTTTGAAATACATAGAAATTAAACTACAAGCTCTTGGACCAATGTGTCAATGAAATAATTAAAAATGAAATTTAAAAATTTATTGAGACAAATTGGAATAGAAACACAACATACCAAAACCTATAGGGTACAGCAAGGGCCATTCTGAGAGGGAATTTCATATCAACAAATGCCTACATCAATTAAAGAGAAAAATCTCAAATAAACAACCAAATATCACATCTAAAGGAATTAGAAAAACAAGAGCAAACTAAAACCAAAATTAATAGAAGAAAAGAAATGATAAAGATCAGAGCAGAAATAAACAACGTAGAGAAAAAATAAGCAATACAAAATCTAAGAAGAATTAATTTTTTGGAAAAGATAAACAAAATCAACAAACCTGTAGCCTAAGAATAAAAGATAGAAGGTTCAAAGAAATAAAATCAGATATAAAAAGAAGGAATTACAGCCGCTTTCATTTTTGAAGATGACTTCTGAAATTCTATTAAACTTCTGTACTTCTCAGAACCAGAGATGCTTTCAGGAAGAAGGACGAGGTAGTTGTAACAGGAAGCTCTTGGCATAAATGGGAGCTCATTACATAACCGCAGGTGAACCCTAGGATATGCTAATGGGGCATGGATAAGACATTTACAAAGCTTGATGCCAGTGAGTCAAGTTGTAAACCTGAATAGTTTCCAAAATGAGCACCATAACTCCAATTTTTTGTTGTAATAAATATTTTAAAATCCCTGGTAGAAACTAGGCATTCCGTGGTAAATTTTATAATTTCCTTTCAAAGAACATTTTCAATTTTAAAAGATCCATATTTATACTATACTCCTACTCTGACATCTCACACTTATGCCCTATCTGCTATATAAATTTGTATCGTCCTATTTATTTGAATTAAATTAGGCAGTAGGAGAGGTGTTAGGAGACGTTATTGACAGGATTTCTTCCTCAGGATTGTGTATCCACATATAAGATGTGTTTTTCTCCTATAAACCGGTTGTTATTCTTGAAGCTGAGAAAAAGTGTTGACAGATTTTCCCATTGATTGAAATATGTTCAATCTCTTTGTCTTCAATACATAGGATTCTATTTGACATAGCAAATAATTGTAAGTTTAAGCAGCAGGGTTATATTTGTGGGTTTGTTTTGTTTTGTTTTGTTTTGCCTTTTTGTAAGAAACTATAGAAGTTAGCACAGTCCATTCAGTATTAACAAACTTTTTTTTTTTACTCTCACTTGAATTCTCAGGTGTCACCCAGCACTAGTTTTACTTTCTTCTATTATGACCTTAATAATGATAATGATGATTTCTGTGATTATTGTTGTAAGCATTTTTATATTTGGTTGTGGTTATACAGTATTTCAAAATTTTGCTCTGCTACATTAGGTCAGCAGTTTGATTCATGGGAACATTTCAGCCAAGTATGTGTAATAGTTCATAATTACACAAATTGCATAATTTTAGAAAAGCTTTATGTCTTAGAACAGTTTTAATTTTTAAAAACAGTTTTAAATCTACTGATAAATTAAAAAGATAGCATAGAAACCCTCCATACACCTCACTTTTAGTTTCTCCTATTATTAATATCTTACATTAGTATAACATGTTTATTACAATTAATGAACCAATATTCATGCACTATTATTAACTAATGTCTGTAGTTTATTCAGATTTTCTTTGTTTTAATCCAATGTCCTTTGCCTTTTCCTGAATCTTATCCAGAATGTTACATTGTGTTTGGGTGTTATGTACCTGACTCTCTAACAATTCAAGTAACCTTAGTATATTTCTGCTAAAGAACGAAAGTACTGTTTGGTTATTCAGAAAAATATTTAGCAGCTTTTAACATATTTTCCACTACATTTTTTGGACCCTTAGAAAGAAGAGAGGGAGGCCGGGCACGGTGGCTCACGCCTGTAATCCCAGCACTTTGGGAAGCCAAGATGGGTGGATCACCTGGGGTCAGGAGTTCAAGACCAGCCTGGCCAAATGGAGAAACCCTGTCTCTACTAAAAATACAAAAATTAGTTGGGTATGGTGGTGGGTGCCTGTAATCCCAGCTACTTGGGAGGCTGAGGCAGGGAGAATAGGTTGAACCCGGGAGGCAGAGGTTGCAGCGAGCCGAGATCGTGCCATTGCACTCCAGCCTAGGCAACAGCAGACTGCAAACTGAGACTCCGTCAAAAAAAAAAAAAAAAAAAAAAAAAGAAGAAGAAAGGGAAAGCAGGTGCCAGACTTGTGGAGTTAACTGTGTCTATCCAAATTGCACATTTAGTGTGGACAACTTTCCTGCTTGGAACAGCCTTTCTGGATCCTCCACCTTAGCCCAGGGTCTATGCATGCCCTCAACTTAGATAAGCATCCTGTTGAGCCACCAGACTGCCTTTCATTCATTCAGTCACTCATTTATTCATTCATTCTAAGGATCAATCATCTTCATAATGCTATTTTTCCCTACTATAAAATCGTAAATGATAAATATTTGTTGAACTGTATTCAGCATAGGTTCTCCAATAGCTGAAAATGATTTTCATCTTTGCATTTGTGGACGTTTCTCTGAGTTATTAAAAATATATTTATAATATGTACCTAAATTTCAAAGTACTTCTTTTTTGCATTTGAACATTTTATATCAATGTTAATTTACAAGGTTATTGAGAAAAAGAAAGGATAATGTATTCCTATATAAGATAATTCTAATCTTATAGACAAACATAAAGATTTTATAAAGTATCCTAATTTTTGAGAAAAAATAGGAAATCAATTTAAGAAATTGAAAAATGCCATTAGAATATTTAATATTGTTTAAAAATGTAAAAAAAATCCTCATCTGTAAAAAGCTTTACGATTTGATGAAACTAGCTCAATTGAAAGTTGAAAAAGCAAATGTAGGTGGAGGAAATACTGAGAAATCACCAGCTAACAAGGTTGATTTTGTATTTCATTCCAAAACTGATATTGAGAATAGACATAGAATATGGTAAATGTGGGAGCAGAGACTGGATGAATGTTAGACAAACCCTTCCCTTTTCCCTGTGAAAACACAGCAAGACCACATTTTTAAGGTTGTCCTTTAGTTGACTATGACAATGTGACTTATTTCTCTTCACTGTATGTATATCTATCTATCTAGATAGATAGATAGATAGATAGATAGATAGATAGATAGATAGATAGATATCTTGTGTACTCTTTTTATGCCTGGTTCATAAACTCAGCCACAGAAAATTTATTTCTATTTCTCCATCACCCTGCTGTGTTTTGATTCTCCTTACAACCTTGGAATCCTGGCACTGAGGATGACAGTGACTTGGTTATTATCTTACGGAGTACCTTTTTTTTTTTTTTTCCAGCGAGGGGGATGGAAAGTTGTGCTACTTATTCTACATCAGCACTGCTTTTCATAATTTTGGAGGTCCTCTCCTGCTGTGCAACTACTGCAAACACAGGTGAACATGTGGCTCACACCACATCATCCTGTGAAGAAATGTACCTGATAAATGGACACATAATGCTCTGTAAGTAATAAGTGGCCTGTTCTCTAATCAGAGGTCTTGTGTTTCCTCCTATCAAAACAGGAATATAGAAATCATCTTAATAGATCCATGTTATGCAATGTAAAAACATTTTATAAAACTATCATATTTTATATTGAATTTGGGGTTTATGGAGTTTCTACACTTGGGAATGCGGTTGGAAAACAGATTATTAGAAATATGGAGTGATCATTACTGACTACTTTGAGCTAAAGTGAAAGAAACAAGGAGGTGAGATGAGGTAACAGGAATCGGTTCATTTTCCAACTAAAAGAACAGAAAATAGAACATGACAAAAATTTAAAACCTAAAAAGTGTAGAAAATATCTAATGTTCCTCAAATCTCAAAAATAGGAAAGAATATTTAGGAGTACTGGAGTCTGATCATTCATTTCCAGTATGGTTTGATTTTCTTGATTTTACAGATTACCAAGAGTATTTTGTGTGACAAATGACTTTCGATTCTTATTGACTGAATGAAAGAATGTATGTTGTCTTTATGGGATATGTTTACTGATAGCACTTAAATCAACCTTACTTATAACATGATTCATTCATGTACAATTTATTTTATTTAAATTGTTTGACAAAGACCAAATGGCAGTGTTTCTCTTGATTCTTTCTTGTTTCTCTCAGGGTTTGTTTACTTAGCTGTGTTTTTACCAAAGTGCTTATGGCTAAATTCTGATGGGTATAAACAGTCCACTTTTACCATTTGGTTAATATTATTTTGGATGGTCTTAATATTGTTACCTCTCTTTATTTGTAAATATTTTCCAGGCGTATATTTTTAAATATTTAGTTTTAAAATTCATGTGTACTTTTTACCCAGAGGCTGATAAAAAAAAAAAGGTGGACGCAGATAGTCTTTTTTTTTTTTCTTGACTTTTATTTTAGGTTCAGAGGCTAGAAGGGCAGGTTTGTTACAAGGATAAATTGTGTGTCACTGACATTTGGTGAACAAATGATCCCTTCACTCAGGTAGTGAGCATAGTACCCCATAGGGGGTTTTTGAAACCTAACCCCCTCACACTTTTCCACCTCAATTAGTATCCAGTGTCTATTTTTTCCATCTTTGTGTCCATGTATACTTAAAGTTTAGCTCCATCTTAAAGTAAGAACATGCAGTATTTGGTTTTCTGTTTCTACATTAATTAACCTAGGATAATGGCCTCCAGCTTCATCCATGTTGCTGCAAAGGACACAATCTTACGGTTTCTTATGGCTGCATTATATTCCATGGTGTATATGTAACACATTTTCTTTATCCAGTCCACCACTGGCGGGCATCTAGGTTGATTCCATGTCTTGGCTGTTGTGAATAGTGCTGTGATAAACATAAAACTGCATGTATCTTTTTGGGAGAATGATTTATTTTCATTTGGGTATATACCCAGTAGTGGGATTTCTGGGTTGAACAACAGCTTTGTATTAAGTCCTATGAGAAATCCCCATAATGTTTTCCACAATGGCTGAAATAATTTGCATTCCCACCAGCAGTGTGTAAATGTGCCCCCCTTTTCTCTGCAAGCTTGCCAACATCTGGTATTTTTAAACGTTTTAAGTAATAGCCATTGTGACTGGTTTGAGTTGCTATCTCATTGTGGTTTTAATTTGCATTTCTCTAATGAGAAGTGATGTTGAGAATTTTTTCATGTATTTGCTGGTCTCATGTACATCTTCTTTAGAGAAGTGTGTGTTCATGTCTTTTGCCCATTTTTCAATGGGGTCATTTCTTTTTTGCTTGTCAAATTGTTTAAGTTCCTTGTAAGTTCTGGATATTAGACTTCTGTCAGATGCAAAGTTGGCAAATATTTTCTTTCATTCTATAAGTTGTCTGTTTATTGTGTTGATAGTTTATTTTGCTGTGCAAAAGCTCTTTAATTAGGTAGTACTTGTCAATGTTTATTTTTGTTGAAATTACTTTTGAGGACTTAGTCATAAATTCTCTGCCCAGGCTGATGTCCAGATGGTGTTTCTACATTTTCTTCTAGAGTTTTACAGTTTTTTATTTTACATTAAAGTATTGTATCAATCTTGGGTTGATTTTTGTATATGGTGAAAGGAAGAAGTCCTTTTCTATATTTGGCACATGGCTAGCCAGTTATCCCAGCACAATTTATTGAATAGGGAGTCATTTCCCATTGCTTGTTATTATCAACTTTGTTGAAGATCAGATAGTCGTAGTTCTCTCACCTGTTCCATTGGTCTATATATCTGTTGTTGTACCAGTACATGCTGTTTTACTTACTGTAGCCTGATACTATAGTTTGAAGTTAGGTAGCTTCGGCTATTCAGGATCTTTTTTGATTCTATATAAATTTCAGAATAGTTTTCTTTTCTAATTCTGTGAACAATGACATTGTTAGTTTGTTAGAAATAACATTGAATCTTTAAATTCTGCGTCTTATGCCATTTTAACAATATTGACTCCTTCTATCCATGAGCTTGGGATGCTTTTCCATTTGTTTGTGTTATCTATGATTTCTTTCAGCAGTGTTTTGTAATTCTTATGGTAGAGATATTTCACCTCCTGGATTAGCTGCATTTCTAGATATTTTATTCTTTTCCCATTTGTAAATGGGAGTACTTTCTTGATTTGGCTCTCTGCTTGGATGTTATTTGTGAATAGAAATCCTACTGATTTTTTACATTGATTTTGTATTCTGAAACTTTACTGACGTCATTTATCAGTTCTAGGAGCCTTTTGCTAGAGTCTGTGGGGTTTTCTTGGTACAGAATTACATCACTTGTGAAGACAGATAGTATGATTTACTCTCCTGCTATTTGGATTCCTTTTTTTTTTTCTCTTGCTTGATTGCTCTGGCTAGGACTTACTAGTATTATACTGAATAGCAATGATGAGAGTTAGCACCCTTGTCTTGTTCCAGTTCTCAAGGAGAACAGGAGAATACTTTCAGCGTTGGCTCATTCAATATGATGTTGGCTGTGGGTTTGTCATAGACGGCTTTTATTATTTTGAGATATGTTCTTTCAATACCTCATTTGTTGAGGGTTTTTAACATAAAGAGATGTTCAATTTTATCAAAAGCCTTTTCTGCATCTATTGAGAAGATCAGGTGTTTTTTGTTTTTAATTCTGTTTATCTGGTGAACACAGGTAGTCTTTATTCAATGCAATACTATGTGAATTAAACGTTGGTCATATTTGGAGGATACATTGTCAATATGCTCAAGCTCCAGTTAATATGGTTCTGTGCAAAACAGGTCCTGCTTGCAACTGGGTTTTCCACTTCCCATCTCATATTGAACGTATACTTATTTTATTAGGAGAAACGGTTGAATATATTTTATTTTTATATTTATAAAGGTAAATTAATTCCTCTCACCTATATGATTCACTGGACTATACTTTCATTTTTTTCATATTTTAATCTTTTTTACATGCTTTGTATCTTGTCAAAGGACTAGCTTTTTCATTGGTTTGAAAGGTGTTTGTAACACTTCTAATTTTACTAGAAGCTATAATTAAATTAATAGCCAATTATTAATATTAAATATATTTATATGCAACCCATAATAGTTTGAACTATTTTTATTCCTTCAAATTCCAGAAAAGATTTAATCATATTTTCACTTGTCATTATTTATCTTTCCTTCCAAAGTTTTGATGGTGGCCACTGTGATCTGTGATGATTAACTTAAAGCAGCTTTTCCAATACTGTTTGGGCTAAAGGTGATGTAGGTATTCAAATTCTAAGCAATTATGTGCCTATTTAAAAATGGAAAGATGAGGATTATTTGTGACATATTGACATAAAAGGAAATGAATTATAAACAATCAAATAATAAACATGCACATACTTTATTAGCTACCAAATTATTCTGAAACAAAGGTCTGAGGAAAATTTAAATCTGACTCTGCTATAATATTTTAAAAAGTATGAAGCCAGTGTTTACTTATTTGCAATGCAAACATTTGACCTATAAACTGTGAACATTTATAAGATACATTTTAAAGAATAACACAAACAATAACACACAATTATTGCCAGAAAGCATGTTACTTTATACATGTTTATTCTCTATCACATACATCTAAGTTTCTAAAGTTTCTCATTCCCTTTTAAAATTACATAACTGAGCCTGATGCAGTGGATCACACCTATAATTCCAGCACTTTGGGAGGCTGAGGCGGGAAAATGACTGGAGCCTAGGAATTCAAGAACAGCCAAGGCAGTATGGTGAGACTTTGTCTCTATAAAAATAAAATAAAAATAGCTGGGTGTGGTGGCACATGCCTATAGTCCCAGATACTTGGGAGACTGAGGTGGTAGGATCACTTGAGCTTGGGAAGTCGAGACTACAGTGAGCCATGACTGCACCACTGCATTCCAGCCTATGTGACACAGAGAGACCCTCTCTTTAAAAAAATATATGGCTGGGTGCGGTGGCTCAAGCCTGTAATCCCAGCACTTTGGGAGGCTGAGGCGGGTGGATTGCCTGAGGTTAGGAGTTCAAGACCAGCCTGACCAACATGACGTAACCCTGTCTCTACTAAATACAAAAAGTTAGCTGGGCATGGTGGCGTATGCCAGTAATCTCAGCTACTCAGGAGGCTGAGGCAGGAGAATCGCTTGGACGCAGGAGTCAGAGGTTGCAGTGAGCTGATATTGTGCCATTGCATGCCAGCCTGGGCAACAAGAGAAAAACTCCATATATATATATATATATATGTGTATATGTATATATATACACATAACTAGTGTGTGTGTGTGTATATGTATATATATATACATAAACTAGAGTATTTCTCTGTGTGTAACTTGTATATCCCCACCTCAATTTTGTTATATACTCTTTAATCTCCATTACTTTTTCCTGCTGATAATAAAGTGAAGGTGAAAAACAAATCAGAATTTTTTACAATTTGATATGTTGGTGTGTTGCCACATATTTCTCAGCAAACAAATTGTGCATGGACTGCTAACTATAAATTTCATCAGCACTAACATAAGAAATGTTATTTTCTTTAAGCATGATTTTTGATATGGCGCTACTTGTGTCTGCCAGCATGATTTTATTTGATTGACTTTTCCCACTACAGTGTAAAAGCTAAGGGCACAGTGAATAAAAAAAAAGTTAAAAGGGTCAAAAATAATCAGAAAATTGGAAGAAAGAGATTAATCTCTTAGATAGAGTGAATGAGTACTTTTCCTTGCATGAATTAAGCAGTAAAAAGAAAAGAAAAAAACAAAAACAGGCTTAATCTGTTTAGGGATTCTTGTGAGTCAAGAAAAACTCAGTTTGAGTGTGTTGCATATGACAGTTGAGTTATCATGCCTCCCCGGGGAACTTGTAAAATTATTTGTGGGCTGCAATAGAGTCTCCTAAGTCTTCTGATAGAGTCCCATGGGCCAGCCATGCCAGCTTTCCTCAAAGGAAATTCATTCTTTTGGGAATAAAATCATAGACAGATTTAATGCTCTGTAGAAGTTGAGTTGTTAATCAGGCTGATTCTCACAGTATATTTTCCTTTTGGACCTTGAGTAATGACCAACATACTGAAAGGTAATATGCAAATTCACAATCAGCCTGCCCACTGTCAACATATCTTTTCCTCTCCCTGTCCAAACTTGAGTTGTACTTCACTGAAACTATCTTAATTCCTCTGTACTATATAGATATTTTTAAATTATGAAAAATATCTAAAGGGAGGAATTAGCTGTGTGTGCTGATGTTAGAAACCAAGAGTCATATTCTAGCAAATCACACATTCCTTGTTATCTTGTGCAAAGCATGAGTTTTACAAGGGAAGGAGTCATATGTAAACTGGTTCCTGTATCTGAGTCAAGCTAATTGCATTGCTGGTACTTAGTGTGTTACAACCCAGGAGGAAGCCCTGCTAACATATTCATGGCACAGACTGGCATAAATTTGGAACAGAGAAAAGTATTTATTTATAGTCAAATGCTCAGAGCAGCTGGAGAAATCATTAGGCATGAGCAGCAGCCACCAATAGTGAAGAAACTGTATGCCCCCAAAAGAAAGCCATTGTGCGATCTCTTGTTTATATATGAAATCATAAAAATTATTTATTCTACATCATTTATTTTACTGTGGATTATATTTTTATATAACATACATCCCAGATGAAACCATTTTTAATTGAGGTATTTGATATAAATGCTGTGAAAATTTATCTCCTTCATGTAAATGGATACTAGCAAATATGATATATTTCTATGATTCTCTCCAAATATACAAATTTCTTGAGAGACTGAAAAAGACATATAACATGTGTATAAAGAGTTCTAACAGTTTCCATTATAGTGGCTTTTAATTTTGAAGTACACATGGATTTTATCAGTAAGCTCAAGCAAAGAAGTAATAAGTTATAGCACAATCAGTGAGATACCCAATTGATTGGTTTGGGTTGATGGCATGAAACTTTCACATAAATTACAATGTCAATCCTAAAGAGTCCCAGAAGAATAAAACAGCAAGTCCAACTTCTGGTACCCTTTAGCGTTGTCATTTAAATTTATGTGCAGATCTTATGTGCTTTCCTTCCCCACACCATTCAATCAATTAAGCATCAGGCTGCCAGAATTTTCTTCCCCCAAACCCTTACCTCCTCCCCTTGTATCTCCAAGAGAATTAATATCAAGAATTTTATCAAGAAGTACTATATATTTGCTATGGTTTGAATATTAGTCCCCTTTAAAATTCATGCTGAAATTTAACCCACGATGTGAAAGTGTTGAGAGGTAGGTCCTTTAAGAGGTGATTGGATCATGAAGTTTCTGCCCCCATGAATGGATAAATCTATGTATGGATTACTGAGTCAATGGATTAATGGGTTATCATGGGAGGGGAACTGGTGGCTTTATCAGAAGAGAAAGAGAAACCTGAGCTGGCGTGTCGGCATGCTCAGCCCCTTCGCCATGTGATGCCCTGTGCTGTCTTGGGTCTCTTCAGAAAGTCCCCACCCGAAAGAAGCCTCTCACCAGACACAGCTCCTCAACTTCGCATTTCTCAGCCTCCATAACTGTAAGAAATAAATTTCTTTTATTTACAAATTACTCAGTTTCTGGTACCTGCTTTATTTTATTTTATTTTTTTGAGACAGAGTTGCGCGCTTGTTACCCAGGCTGGAGTGCAGTGGTGCGACCTCGGCTCACTGCAAGCTCCACCTCCTGGGTTCACGCCATTCTCCTGCCTCAGCCTCCCGAGTAGCTGGGACTACAGGCGCCCGCCACCATACCCGGCTAATTTTTGTATTTCTAGTAGAGCCAGGGTTTCACCATGTTGTTCAGGATGGTCTCAAACTCCTGACTTCATAATCCACCCGCCTCAGCTTCCCAAAGTGCTGGGATTACATGCGTGAACCACCTCGCCCGGCCCTCTGGTATCTGTTATAATCAACAGAATATGAACTACTACAGCACATGTATCTATACTTATATATGTATGTGTATATAGACATATGTATGTGTAGGTGTTGATATCTATTAAAATATCTGTATTTATATCTGTCTCTATATCTATCTCACTCAAGCTAAATTATTCTTGACTCTTTAGAATTCCTAAACAGACCATCGCTGTGTTTGTTTGTTCCTTGATTTACACACACACACATATTCATATATATTCGTGTGTGGATGTGTATATACACATCCACACACGAATATATATCAATATATGTGTATATATGCATATACATTTCATCTGGGATGTATGTTATATAAGAATGTAATCCATATATACACATACACACATGAATATATATCAGTATATGTGTATATATGGATATACATTCACACATGGATATATTGTGTATATGTGTATGCTCATTTGAATAGACTTTCTGCATTATAATAGTGATGTGTTTGATAAGTTTCCACTGGCCTTATTCAGCAAGTCTCATTGCTCAGCAACTCAAGCATTATAACTCCGGAGTATTTTCTCTTATGCTCAGTTAAAAGATTCCTGGCACTTTTCTATGTTAGTTTAGCTCTCTTCGTTAAATAGTCTTGCCTTTAATGCCGTCAACAGGATTCCATCTGTATTGGCTCTGTTAGGGAAACTCTGGCTAGGAGGAATAGCACACCTTTCTAATAATTTTCCATGAAACTCAAAATAGCACAAAGGTATAATTTTAAAGATCCCTAAAATTCAAAGTTAAACTAAAAATTGCTAGACAAATAAAGATATTCTGCAGACACTATTGACTTAAGCATACATATATACCCCAAAGTCAGGAAAATGACCAAGAGAACGACTAATATTGTAGTCACAATCCTAATAACAGCATTACTCTTACCTTAGCCTCTTGAAAGATGCTGTATGTAGTCTCTCGCTTGTGGATCTAAGGTTAATATATGTAAACCTAAAGAAACAAAATAGCAAAGCAATCAAAACAACGACAAACAAGAAAGAGCAGCTGACTATTTGAATTGAATTTAAGAATAAATAAAGGCTTTGACAAGCACTCAAGCATCGATAATTGCCACTGGGATTCATCCTGGAGCAATACTACCTGCCTTCGGATCTGATTTACTGAATAAGATTCTAGAACAATTAACATCCATCTTTATCAGCTAGCAACACAAAAATTACCATGCCTTGTTAGTGTGAGTAACTATTGGATCGGTTGTTAAAATAATGAAGGGAAAATTTATGAAATAAATTCATGGCTTTAGAAAATCAAAATGTTGAAACCTAAAAACATAACATAGAAACTTTAGAGGTACAAGATGGAGGTGGACAAGGTCTCCCAGAAAGCAGGGGGCCTAAAGCCTTTCCAAGGCTTTGGAAAGATAGAATTTAAATTATCTCCAGGTGTGTCAAACCAACCTTACACCTAGTGGTTTAAAACAACTACCATTTATTTACTTATAATTCTGTATTATGAGCTGAGTTCAGGTATGGAGATATATTGTTGTTCTTGGCTTCAATCGCCATGTGCTTACTGGGACTGGAAATCCAAGTTACCATATTAGCATAGCTGCTGCCTCAGGTAACTAGAAGGCTTCCAAGTCAAACTATATTCATTCATATTCTCATATTCTCTCTCTCTCTCTCTCTCTGTCTCTCTGTGTATCTATTTATCGTCTCTCCATCAGAATACTCTTCTCAGAGAAATCCCATCTGATATGGTTTGGCTCTGCCTCCCCACCCAAATTTCATCTTGAATTGTAAGAATTCCCATCAGTCAAGAGTGGGACCAGGTGGAGATAATTGGATCATGGGGTCAGTTTACCCCAGACTTTTCTAATGATAGTTAATGAGTTCTCACAAGATCTGATGGTGTTATAACGGGCTTTCCCCTTTTGCTGTCTTTGCTGCTGCCGTGTGAAGAAGGATGTGTTTGCTTCCCTTTCTGCCATGATTGTAAGTTTCCTGAGGCCTCCCCAGCCATGGTGAACTGTCAGTCAATTAAACCCCTTTCCTTGATAAATTACCCAGTCTCAGGTATGTCTTTATTAGCAGTGTGAATGGACTAATACACCATCTTTGATTTTTTTTTTTTAAAGGAGCATCCAGGACTCTTAAAATCTAGGTCCAAAATGGGCAGATTATTGTTTCTGTTCCATTCTTCCAGGCAAACTCATAACAAGGTCAGCCAAAATTCACAGGAGAGGGAAATGAATTTCCTTATGGTAGAAGTGGCAAATATTTTATGGCAACTTTAATTTCCCAATAATTTACCTCTACAGTACAGAGTGTGCCCTGACATACAAACTCATACTTTCACAATATCCCAAAATTTCATCTTATTGTAACATCAACTCTGGGTTGAAATCTAAGAGCTCATTATCAAAATTAAATCTACATGAGGCGGAGACTCTTGGGGTGGCTCTCAGGTGGGCAATTTCAGATACAAACAGCTGTAAAATAACCAGGATATGTAACCCTAAGTCCCTGCCCTCTCACACAATAGATCCAACATACAACTGTGAGCAAAGGACAGAATAATAAAAGTAGACACTATCATTTGAAAAGGGAAAGAGAGAAATGGGAGGCATATCGCAGTATTGGGTCCATAGCAATTCTGAAATTGAAGCAAGTATATGTCACCACTTCACTCAGTTCCAGGAATGAGGAGTATGCCTTTTCCTCTGATGGGAAGCCAGGGAGAACTCATGAAGAGGACCAATACATGGCAGCTGGGTTCTGCTTAATCATCTTAATTAAGGACTTGGGGTTCAAACATCAGGAATATAGGGAGATGTTTGTTTGCTTTTCAAATGAGGTCCCAACTTTTACTACTGTCATTGAGCTCATAGTTTTAATTTTATCAGTGGTTAAATTGTATGGAAATGTGTTTGCATCTATATTTAGCCTCACTTCCCCTCAGACTCCTACAATTTTGAAGATGTGATCAGATACTCTTCTAGGAGCATCTAGGACCAGTCACTTGAACTGACTAGACTTTAAACCCATAAATATTTTATGGTGTTATTGCTTCACTCTCTGAAAGCATGAGACTGTTAAATCAAGAGATTACTAAAACTCAGGATAGCAGTATTTTGAGTTCTTTAATTTCATGACTGTCACTTTGAGACAACCTGAAGCATGAGATGATGAAACTTTTCTTTGGCAGATTGTGAGCTTGAAATTATCAAACTGAGAAATGATTAAGCCACAGGACTGTAAGAGCCCATCACTTCAAGACTATGAGATTGTGAGTTCTAATGATGCCCTCTATTTCTACCCCACCTTCATCTGCTTTCTCAATGGTATTTCTCTGTAAAACATTACTTGTAGAAAATTATTTTATTTTTCAAAATGTTTCCTTTAAGACAACTAGAATGCTGTAGCACATGGTTTTGCCTTAAGTTTTACTGGCTTCTTTTCAGTTGAATAAAGACCTTCCTTCTCCGGTAGGTTTATTTCCCTGCCTGCCTTGCCTGACCTCAGCAACTATCAGGAGGTAGTGAAATATCCTCCATAACTTGTTTATTTAGAAACTTCATAGCTTGAATCTTGGAGATTAGTTATTTCATCAATTTGTGTCCATAGCAACTTGATGGCTTTAAATAATATATTAATGTAATATTTTGGCTTATTTTATTTCTTTTGTTTCTTTGTATTTTAACAATAGTGGAAGTTTTTTTTTTATCTTTTTATATATCAAAACCAGAAACGGAACTACATTCTATTTTGTGTGTGTGTGTGTGTGTGTGTGTGTGTGTATCTAGTCAATTCTAGAAGTTATTTTTGTTTGTTTCAGATCTTTCTGGTCTTTTCATTCACCTCTTTTTCGCCTTTATATTTAAATACCTTCTTTTTTATTAAAATTCTCTATCAAATCTATGTGTTTTTATTTCAGCCATGTGGGCTTGTTTTCTATTTTTAGTGATATGTATGTGTGAGTTCATATTTTTTAGATGTTTACCTATGAAAAATTTTTATTTGAGGGGAATTTTATAATTAATTTTTTCTTTTTTTCTTTTTTTTTGATGAAGTCTTGCTCTGTTGCCCAGGCTGGAGTACAGTGGCACAATCTTGGCTCACTCCAACCTCTGCCTCCCGGGTTCAAGTGATTCTCATGCCTTGGCCTCCTGAGTAGCTAGGATTACAGGCACATGCCACCATGCCTGGCTAAATTTTTTTTGTATTTTTAGTAGAGATGGGGTTTCACCATGTTGGTCAGGCTCGTCTCGAACTCATGACCTGATGATCCACCCGCCTCCACCTCCCAAAGTGCTCGGATTACAGGCGTGAGCCACCGCGCCCGGCCAATTAATTTTTTGAATGTGTATTTGCACATGACTCTTCCAGGATCTGGGGTCATAATCAATGCCAGATCTTCATATCAAAATAATTAAATTTTTTGACACCACACAGGTCTGTGAATGCAAGCTTCCATCTGAATGTTACTCCAAGTCAAGAATTGGAATTTAAAATAGGGTTTATTTATAAGGAGTGTCTTTTTGTTTGCTTTTTTCTATTCAATGAAAACAAGTCATTTCTGTTGATGATTTTGTTGTTTGTTTGCTTTTGTGTTTTTGTCTGTCATTTTTCTAGTTGTCCATTGATATTTTCCTGCAGAGGTACTTTTTTTTCTTCATGCAAAATTCCCTGATTCTGCCTTCTAACTTGCCCTGATCGGTGTCCTCCCAAATCCCCAGGAATTATGGGGTTTTTTTTCCACTTTGCTTCCTATTTGTCTAATATCTGATCAGCACTTTTATTTTATCATAAGCCTTACCCAAGCTTAAAATATGTTCTCTTTTACCATTGAATCCTGTATTTTTATGTAAACTTTACTAGGAGATGTTTCTCTGTAAATCTCATCTATTACTAAAAACAGGTTAAATTTCTCATAGTTGTGAAAACATTAAAAAATGCATTTAAAAATCTCCTGTTAATGGAATAACAAGTATCTTCCTACGTTAAAAATAATAGATTCTCAATAACTGGAAAATAGCATCCTTATTCCTTATTGCATTCAGAAACTCATTTTATCATCTCACCTGATAAAATATTCCTATAACCCATACTTTCAGTCTTATTTTTAATATTTAATTTCATTCTGCTAATGTTCTAATCATAATTAACTGCACCTGTTTTTTTGTTTTGTTTTGTTTTGTTTTTTTTGAGATGGAGTCTTACTCTGTCACCCAGGCTGGAGTACAGTGGCACGTTCTCAGCTCACTGCAACCTCCACCTCCTGGGTTCAAGCAATTCTCTTGCCTCAGTCTCCTGAATAACTGGGATTACAGGTGCACACCACCACACCTAGCTAATTTTTTTTTTTTTTTTTGTGGTGGAGGGGTTTCTTTTCCCAATGTTGGTCAGGCTGGTCTTGAACTCCTGACCTTGTGATCCACCCACCTCAGCCTCCCAAAGTGTTGGGATTACAGGCGTGAGCCAACGTGCATGGCCAACACCTCTTCTTAAACATACTTTAATGTATCTCAATTTTGTCTTGATTTACACGTGGCCAATTATTAAATATTCATCTTTCTATCACTCTAGATGGCAAATACATACTTGATAGGCTCATGTTCCTATAGATTTATTGCCTGTTGCATATATATTTGACTATAATAAATGTATCAGAAACACATTTAAGTGATTTGATCTGAGTGGGGTATAAACTGGAAAATATTGTGTTTTATTTTAATATTTATTTCATGCATATTCTGTAATCCTTATCTCTACAGTTAATTATATCTGAAGCAAAAGCTCCAGTTACATTCAGATATTACAAAATCTAATCTGGTTCAATTTAAATCTCTCATCTCTTATCCAATTTAAAATGTATTTCTCTGCTCAAACTTAGGTTGGGCTAATGGCTTGGCTCACAACCTGCAGTAGGATGTGATTCTATCTTCTAATCTACCATCTTGCACTTCCATATGTCTTTTCATTTGATTCTTCCATGGTCAGGATATAGGGACAGAGTATAAGCACAAGGTACAAAATTCTGACATCACTAACTTCCGTAAAATGAATAACAAATACATTTCTCCAACTTAAGAGATCCAAAGCTGAGCTCTTGAGAGCCTCACTCCAAAATCACACACATGCGCTCACATTTGATCTGCTCACAATTTCCCCTTGTAGTTGATGATAGTTTCCAGTGCTGAAGCTCAAATTCTAGAATTAGAAGTATCCTTGACTTTCTGTCTGTGTCTGTCTTTCTCACTGACAAACATACACAGGTACTCATACACATGCACACATAAACACACAATTTTCTTTCTCACTCTACATCTAATCAATCAGAAAATCATGCCAAGCCTATTTTCAAGATATAACCAGAATCCTACTGCTTCTCACCATCTACTTCAGTAGTGCAATCAAGCATCATTACTTTGTAGGATCATTTCAATACCATCCAACAGGTTTCTGTGCTTTTTCCATTGCCCCTGCAATCTATTCTTATCTAGGTAACTAAAATTATACTTTTTAAGCAAAAGACCGGGCATGTTACTACACCCACTCCCCAGCACACCGCTGTGGCTTTCCAAGGTGATAGCTATGAATTAATGAAACTCTACAAACTCTGGTGCCCTGTTATCCTTCTGATACTTTTTTCTACTTCTCTCCCCTTGTCTTTTCATTTTTAGCTTGTTTGTTCTCCTGCATATGCACCAGGAACTCCTGCTGTAGGATATTTACTCTAGCTAGTTCCTTCGCCTGGGAAGTTCTTGCCTTGAATGTCAATTGGGCCAACTGCCTAACCTTCTTCATACCTTTGCTCAAATTTTATCTTCACTGTTAAGTCTGCCCTATTTACCCTACTTAATGTTCACATATTCTGCTATCTTCTTGGGCACTTAGAATTCCCTATTACCTTGCTTTTATTCTTTTATTGATTTCATGAATAAGGTACATGTTTTGGGTCATGAATATATATTCTAAGACAATATCTTCCTTTCGAATGAAGAATGGCTATGACTCTATTGTCCCCAGCCAATGTGGTAAAAGGACTCTTTTACTTTGGCAATAAACTACCTGCCTCAGGTAGTCATTTATTTGTGAAACTCATATCAATTTCTGCTGTTAACATGACATAAATAGCCAAAATTGAGAAGCGTATTAATTATGAATTATTATGAATTAGTTTTATATTTGAAAACATGGAAAAAAACTCATGAGCAATTCAAGAGCATATTTGTTTCTGTTTTTTCAAGTAAATTGAAGGCCTGTGAAATATGTAAGTCTCATTTACCATTAGGAAATGAACTATGAAATGGCACATCCAATGTGGTTGTATTTCTTGCTGTCCTGTCACCTTCTATTTGGTGTGCATTTTTGGACATTTTTAAAACTTCTGTTGGTATGCAAAACAAGAAGTAATAGTATTGCAGTCACTGTGGCATTTTCATTTAGAATTTAGCTTTTCTCATCATCCATCAAAGACACAAGAAGACATGAAATCAGAAATTATAAAACCTGCTTTTTCCTAAGGCATTAGCTTTCCCAATCAGAGTTTGTTTTTCAGTTCAATGGAGTGTTTTAGTTTTTAATGGTTCACTTCACTGTTGCTTCAAAGGACACAATATGTCAAAGCAGGGAGGATGTCTTATTTTTTCCAACAAAAATTGAGGAAAAGGGCCAGAGTTTTAGTTTTTATAATATTTAATATAATGTGTTTTGTATATTTTGTTTAATAAATGACATGTTAGAATCATGTTTTTAATAACTTGTTACCTGTAAAAATTACATTGTGTGCTATAAAAATGAATAAAGCAGAAAAACATTCTACATGATAATACAATGGTAAATGTAGTATTTCTATAATTGTCTGGAGGCTTATCTGATTTTTATGTCCAAGGGCAGAGAGTGTATGAGTTGAGGAGAGAAATATTGCAGTGTTGGCTGAAATTGGAATATGCGCCTTAAAATAAAAAGTGCTGTGGGTTGAATTGTGTCCCCACCATCCCTGAAAATAAAATAGGTTGAAATCCTAATCCTTATTATCCGTGGATGTGACTTTATCTGATGTAATCGAGTTATGCAGACATAATCGAGTTAAGATTACATCATTTGTGTGGGCCCTACTCCAATATAACTGGTGCCCTTTGTAAAGAGGAGACGGCAATGTGAAAACACAGAGACACGGGCACAGAGGGAAAACCACCATGTGAAGATCCAGGCAAAGATGAGATTCATGTAGCTGCAAGCCAAAGAACTTCCAGGAGTTCTACCAGCCCCAAAAGTTAAGAGAAATGCATTAAACAGAATGTCCCCTGTGAGCTTTAGAGGATGCATTGACCTACCAATATCTCCCTTTCAGACATCTCGCCTCTGGAACTGTTAAAGAATATGTTTCTATTGATTTAATCCACCCAATTTGTGCTACTCTGTTATGTCAATCCTAGCAAACTAATGAGAAAGAAAAATGAATTTTTACTTGTTTATGAGTCACAGAGAGAAGAGTTTGTCCGTATGTATCTAGAAAATATAAAATAAAGTGACATTAGTTTAAAGCATTTTAAATACCAAGCTTTAAGGTGCATCTCATTTAATTCTCATAATCTAGTGAGCAAGATGCAGTTTCAATTTACAATTGAGTAAGTTGACAGCTATATCATAGAGCTAATAGATGAGAGAGAGAGAAGATTTAGACACACATTTGTCATACTGAAAAGCTGTGCTATACTGAGTCTAGTCTCTCTTCATATACATATATATAGATGTATATATTGTGTGTATGTGTACGTGTATTTATTTATTTAGAAACAAAATCTCTATGTCATGTAGGTTGGTGTGCAGTGGCTATTCACAGGTAAAATCATAGCATGCTGCAGCCTTGAACTCCTTGGGCTCAAGTGATCTTCCTGCCTCACCCTCTTGAGGAGCTGGGATACTAGTTCACACCTGGTTATAAGTTCTTAATGCACTGAACATGTGGGTGACAATTGCTTTTTATAACATCTATAGCATCATGATAGAGACACATTTTTCCCTCAATTAGTGAATTTTACTCAAACAGTACTCACTTGTCCTCAAAAAAGTTTAAATACCAACCTGGGATTTTTAAAATATGACAGCAAAAAACTCTTCTTAATAAGATAAGTAATCTAAAATGAGATCATAAATGATCACTAATCATGAATTTTTAGCAACTGTATAAATTGCAGATTCTTTCTTTTACATGATTTAAAATGCATTTATGAGAAAAGCATTTAGCTAGAGTCAGCAGAATAGTGAATTTTATTTGAATTCTAAAGATTGCTTAGAAGCTGAATCAATTTGGCAAGTAAAAATGCACTTCAGTACTGTCTGTACATCACTAGGGTTTAAAAGAACTTGAAAAGGTTTGAAAAAAGACTTGGAAGAAAAGAAAGAAGAAACACTACATAGAGGAAAGTAAATTCATACTATTATGTCTCCCTTTCAGTGTTCTACAGGTTTCATTACATTTCGTGAACAGCCAGGAAATTACTGAACTTTTTCTGTATAGATGCTGATAATACTTTTTCTTAAAATAATATGATTACTTCTTTAGACCTTTTTGATCATCTTTCTGTATGCCTGAATGTGTGTCTTTGTAGCAATTATATTTTGCTGATCCATGTTTTTCTTTGGCTTTTCTATCATCTAATAAGCATATGTTGATAATTTCATATAGGACCACATTAGGATCAGTGATCAGTGACAGTAATGAAAATATGAGACATGATTCTTCAGAGAAATCTGACCATCTAGCTAAAGGTAAAATTGAGGATGCCTTAAATCTTTTAAATGTTCAGAAACTTTGAAGTTTCTCACATCAAAAGAAAGTGGCTAATGAGCCACTTTAAAATTTGTAATTTTATAATAAATTAAGTTTAAATATAATATATAATATTATATAATAAATATATATTATATTAAATATATAATAATTTAATTATATTTATATTTAATTTAATAATTATATAATTATTAAATATAATTAAATAATTTATATTTATATTTAATAATTATATAATTATTAAATATATAATTAATAATATATAATAATTTATTAAATAAATAAATATATAATATTATATTATATATAATATTATATATTATATATAAAATATACAATATATAAATATACATTTTATATATAAAAATATATAATATATAAAATATATAATATATAATATTATATAATAAATAAAGTTTAAAATAGGCATTACTGGATACATATGAATTATTTTTTGTAAGTAATAAATGGTAGCATAATTTTAGAAAACCGAGAGATATGCTACTAAACTCTCAACTACTGTTAATTAATGCCATTTACTCTACAAATGAAAAGTACCTGAAAGCTGAATAAAATAAACATTATAACTCATAATTCAAGACACATTAAAGCAGTAATTTAGAACAGATGATTTCACTATTTTAAGTCATGTTTCCAAATTAAAATTTATTTCACAACATGGCACATGTATACCTATGTAACAAACCTTCGTGTTGTGCACATGTACCCCAGAACTTAAAGCATATATTAAAAAAAGATAATAACCTTGTTATAGTCAGGAGGAATGTACTTAGCAAAGGCTGAACAAAAATCTTGTCTGGAGAAGCAATGATTAAAAAACAAATGAAGAAAAGCAAACTTTTTTTTTTTTTCCATTTATTTGTCCCATATCTGTGGGTCGTTTAGGACTCAGTTGCCTTGGCTACAAGCCAGATCTAGCATGTACTCTCTGCCTGTGTCCTCCTCCTTAAACAAGAGCTTACTCAAGGCTTGTTCTTGCTATAGTGAAACTAATGCAACCTTGTTTCAAGTCTTGCATCATGTCTGCTAACACCCCATTGGCCAAAGCAACTTAAATGTTTCGCCAAGCCCAGGTCAAGAGACAGGACAGCATGCTCTACTTACTATGAGGCCAAAACAAGTCACAGAACTAAGCTCAGCATCAAAGAGACAGGAAGCATATTCTTTCCAGGAAACTGGGAGTGGGAGAGGAGGTGAATATTTGCTGTACCATATTCTAATCTACAACCCTGTTTCTCCCTGAAAAATGAAGAACGCACAGCTATCTGGTAGATAGTGGAATTTTGCCTACATTGAATCCATCAATATGGGTTCCATTTCTGAAAGATGGACAGGACATCATGATAGGATGAGCAACCAAAACATCTTGGCCATGTTCAAGAGGTCATCCCTACGACCTGTCAGAAAGACTCACTGAGGAATTTTGAGAGCTTGATCCTGATTCTTCAGGTCGTGGAGAAATATTCTATGGTTTGAAAGTTTATCTGCAAGGAGAATGAAAGGGAGACACTACTTGAGAAACTCAGTTTTTAAATATTTACCCCTTTTCTTGATATAAACTTTGTTCGCTCAAAAAAAAATTACTTCATTTCCAGTATTTTTTTTTTTTTTTTTTTTTTTTTGAGACGGAGTCTCGCTCTGTCGCCCAGGCTGGAGTGCGGTGGTGTGATTTCGGCTCACTGCAAGCTCTGCCTCCCTGGTTCACCCCATTCTCCTGCCTTAGCCTCCCCAGCAGCTAAGACTACAGTGCCCGCCACCACACCCAGCTAATTTTTTGTATTTTTAGTAGAGACGGGGTTTCACCATGTTAGCCAGGATGGTCTCGATCTCCTGACCTCATGATCCACCCGCCTCGGCCTCCCAAAGTGCTGGGATTACAGGCGGGAGCCACCACGCCTGGCCTTTGTTTCTTTTTTCTTTTTTTTTTCACTTCCAGTATTTTAAATAGCTTACACATGTGATT
The DNA here is from genome assembly GCF_000001405.40 of Homo sapiens. Classification (NCBI taxonomy): domain Eukaryota; kingdom Metazoa; phylum Chordata; class Mammalia; order Primates; family Hominidae; genus Homo; species Homo sapiens. Next base: position 22,614,811 of record NC_000021.9, on the reverse strand, counting down.
GCAGAATGCCTCTTTGTATTATACAGTTGACCCTTCAACAACACGAGTTTGAAAGGTGTGGGTTCACTTACACACGGATTTTCTTCTGCCCCTGCCACCTCTGAGACAAGACCAATCCCTCTTCTTCCTCCTCTTCCTCAGTCTACTCAACACAAACACAATGACAATGAAGACCTTTATGATGACCCACTTCCACTTAATAAACAGTAAATATATTTTATCTTTCTTAGGAATCTCTTAATATTTTCTCAATATTTTATTTTGTTCTGTCTTACTCTATTGTAAGACTACCATATATAATACATATGCAAATTATGTATTAATCAACTGTATATATGCAAGACTTTGGGTCAATAATAGGCTATTAGTAGTTCATTAGTTCAGTTGGGGAAGTCAAATGTTATATGTGGATTTTCAACTGTGCAGAGGTCAGTTTCCCTAACTTCCGCATTGTGCAAGAGCCAATTGTATTAGTAATTGAGGAGTAGTGCGTAGCTAGCCAAAATATAAACAGGAAATTTATTCACAGGTAATAGAACACAGCAAATTCTTTGAATTATAGCTCAATGTGATGAAACTTATATGATGAAATATATGATATTGGTATATCTTATATATAATTTAAATACTTAGAAAAAGAAGTGGTCACTAGAATCCAGCATAGATTAAAATATATACGTAGATTTACCATATACTGCTATAAACTGATAACATTCATGAAATTATATATGTGTGTGTGTGTATGTAAATATATATCTTTTTAGATGTTCATTTTGAGTTCAGGGGTACATGTGCAAGTTTGTTACATAGGGAAATGTTTGTCGTGGGGGTTTGTTATACAGATTATTTTGTCACCCAGTTATTAAGCCTGGTATCCATTAGTTATTTTTCCTGATCCTCTTCCTCCCCACTTCTCCAGTAGGCCCCAGTGTGTGTTGTTCTGCCTATGTGTCCATGTGCTCTTATCATTTAGCTCCCACTTATAAGTGAGAACATGCAGTACAATACTTCAAAATGTTTAATATGCTAAAATAAATAAAATTGGGTTAAACATGGATTTGGTTCATTGAAATAAAGCTTATAACACTTACATATTATGTAGAAGGTGATAAACTTAAAGTATTGATCTCAGCCAAGTTTTGAAATTTAAATTTACAAGTCTTACTCATAAAACTTGAAAATAAAATTATAGGAAAAGACTAAATGGTAAAAGAATAAAATTGAAAGTAAATGAACATATAAAAACTCAAAAGATGAGAGTAATAGATTAAAACAATTACATTGGTACAAAATTTTTCTGTTAAAAATATATCCAATTAACTCTAGATCTGGCTTGATAATATTTTATGTAATAAAAATAAAGAAAATAATTTAGTATATAAACAAATGGTATATAAAATAACTTACCTAAAATTTAAAAATGAAAACTGATGTGGCCACAAAGATAAGTGAAAATTCAAAGTATGAAAACATAAATACAGTTAGTACAGAAGTGATTGATCCATTCTTCCAATCTAATTCGTGTTTATTTTCCATAGCTAGAGGATTTTGCTCGATCCTTGGCATCGATTTTAATGGATGTAATATCAAGCCAGAGTTCACCGAGGAGGAAAAGAAGCAGAATGTTGAGGTGTAAATGCAATGCTGAAAAAACATGGTGTGTAACGTGGAGTACATTTTCAAATGCTACAAGGCACATTACATGTAATGGAATGTATTGCCTGGCATAGCTCGAGAGTTCAGAGATAAGACAAACTGATATGGTTTATTTTTTCTTTTTGCTTAAAATTAATATGAATTTTTTTATTACAATGTTAAAAAAAATGAGTTGGCTTCCATATTATTGTCTAGCCGTTATGGAGAACTATCATATTCCCTTTTGACCAGAGCCCTTCTCTTATCATGACCACCTTTCATTTTTTTCCAAATACTTGGTGAAAATGGGATCTAATCCTTCCCTAACTACACAACTCTAGCTATAGTTGACTTACCCCTGGAGTAAACAATGAACCTAATCTTTCCTAGTATTTGCTTACAGAGCCAACCACAATTCATTCAGTGATCTTTGGTGAGTTTTAACCTTAACAAGCCAATAGATATTTTTCCCTCCACTGGAATACTTTCACTGTGAATAACAATATCAAGAGTCCTTCTGTGATAGTAAGAATTAAATGGTTTTAAATTAAGTCACTTGGCACCCACGAGTGCTAAATTGCACTTGTTGGTGCTCACATTCCCAAGGTATTTAGGAAGCAAATATGCAGCCAGAAAGAACTAAGTCAGATGCATACAGCATAGATGACAGATGGACATCAACTGCCTTGAAGCCAGTACTTTGAGGATTAGCTCTTTCCTGCTCATCCCATTCTTTGATTCCACTGGCTCTACCTCTAACATTCCATGTTACTAAGCTAGTTTCAGTTGCTTTTCTGTGTTTTTCTTTCAAAGGCTGTTATCTAAAATAAGTTTTCATAAGAGGACTAGAGTGATATTTCTCAGTCATAATATGTGACATGGAAGGATCCTATGTAAGAAATAATTGGACCTTCAAAGAACATTATTACTTTGTAACAAAACTTTTATTTCTGTGAGTTTTATTCATGATTAAATCCCAGCAAATGGTTCTAAATATAAAAGAACATTATTAACTTTAAATGTAGCTGCAATTCTTGGTACAATATTTTTCTGTAATAGTTAACAATACTATTCATGGTTATATATACATTTTATATTTTCTTAAAGTTACTTTTTTTTTTTTTTTTTTGAGACGAAGTCTCTCTCTGTACCTTGGCTGGAGTGCAGTGTTGCAATCTCGGTTCATTGTAACCTCTGCCTCCTGGGTTCAAGCGATCCTCCTGCCTCAGCCTCCCAAGTAGGGGGGACTACAGGCACATGCCACCGTGCCCAGCTAATTTTTGTATTTTTAGTAGAAACGGGGTTTCACCATGTTGGCCAGGATGGTCTCAATCTCCTGACTTCATGATCCACCCACCTTGGCCTCCCAAACTTGGCCCAGCCAAAGTTACTATTTTCAAATTACTTTGAGAATAGGACAGTCTCAACTTGCAATTTTTATAGTAAAATTATGTCTTAATTTGTAGACACGTTGAAATATTACATTTTTACATACATGGCTTTTAGAAATTATGTTCAGCTTCCAATATTTAAAGGCATGAGTTCCATAAACATACAGAAACATATTTGCATAAATATAATTTTAAGGGCTACACACCAAGAGTGTACTTGTATTTAACACAGATGTGTGATGATCAACATTGGGCTACAGCTCAATCTCACTTCTCTTCAAGGTCTCCAGATATTTCCAACAGTCTCTAAACAGATGACAGATAAGTGCGGACACTTTGGTAATGAATGTCATTGATGGGCACCCAATGACAAGGTGACTCATGCCCTTGAATTTCAAGAAGGTAGAACTATGGTAGGGAAGGGTCTGCTGGACCACAGACCCATACCATGACCAGCAGTGCATAGAGCCTACGTAGGTCTCCCATTCACAGGAGGCTGAGTGAGCAGGGCCCCTTGTATCTGCTGACCTTTCTGCCTGTGAGTTCCATGACAGAGTTTGAAATTTAGAGGAAGAGATTATATAACCTCTTTTCTAGTTGAAAACAGCAAACATTTAAGTTATTTTTTAATTTGTACAAGTAAATGGGTGTGAAAGGAAAATAAATCTTGGGGCCCTCAAATCACAAGCTAAAGGGAAGAGTCAAGCCGGGAACTGCTTAGGGCCAACCTGCCTCCCATTATGTTCAAAGTCACCCCTCTGCTTACTGACATAGATGCATATATGATTGGCTCCTTTGGAAAGACTAATCAGAAACTCAAAAGAATGCAACCATTTGTGCCTCACCTATCTGTGACTTTCTCCCTGCTTCAAGTCTTCCTGCCTTTGCTTCAAGTTGTCCCACCTTTCCAGACAAAAACCAATGTACACATATATTGATTGATGTCTCATGTCTCCCTAAAATGTATAAAACTAAGCTGCGCCCCAACCTTGGGAACATGTCATCAGGACTTCCTGAGGCTGTGTCACAGATGTGTCCTCAACCTTGGCAAAACAAACTTTCTGAATTAACTGAGATCTGTCTCAGATTTTCTGGGTTCACATTTTGGTAACCACGGAGGGATTCTGAATGGAGATGCCCCTGATCTTTGACAAATCTCCTATTAGTGCTTGTTCTGATGTCCCAAAATTTGGTCGAGATCTAAAGTTTATTTTGCTGTACAACTCCTCCTTTTTTGGAGTTTTACTTGCTTCCAACAAGGAAGGTAAGGTTTTCTTTCTTCCATGATGATGGAAGGCAGGTAACTCCTTTATGGAGGCAGAGCTTACTTCCAACAGGAAAAACGAGTTTCTTTTTCCTGCTCTAGCATGGTAGAGAGCAGTGTACAACCTGAGAACCATCAATAGGTAAGAAACTGGTTTGGGATTCTGTCTTGCAAATTCTTTTTAAATGCCTAAAGTTAGCATTAACAACCAGCTGGTGTTAATTTCTGCTTACCCTTAGAGCGCTCAGAAATCGTATAATTTGTGTGATCATTGTTCGTTTAGCAGCATTTTGTCCTAGCTGAAATACTGTAATAAGATTTAAAAAAAAATTGTTTTAAGGAGCTCAATGGTTAAAAGTCAGCTTAACTTTTCACCTCATTTTTTGACTAAAACAGTTATTGCAACAGAAGCTACTCCTGGGTTTTTAAGGAAGAATGTAGTTTAGACACTCAGAAATGTCTTTGTTTCAAAAAAAAAAGGAACTCTGTAAAAGCGTCTCCCTCTAGCACCACCAGACTTTTTCTCTCTGATTTTCACCTGAGCTGTTTCCTTTATTGTGCAAATGTAAGGCTACTTAGCTGACAGGTGCTTAGCATTGTCAAACAGGTTATCAAGAATCTGAAAGTCTATGATAGCAAAAAAATAAATAAATAAATAAAAGAGGGGGTATTTATAAATCTATAAAATGTGTTTTCATTGGCACGCGTAATATGTCTTTATATGCTTTCATGTGTTGTGTACAGAATGTTTCACTGCTAAAAATATATAAAAGAGCTCTAAATAATTGGCTTAAAGAAAAATAAAAGTGCTTAAATCAGATACTGAAAAAGAAAAGACTAGTCAAATGCTTTTTCAATTTTATGTAACAAGTAAAATATTTAATAAATAAGCTAGCTTTAAAATTATTGGTAAAATAATATGAGAAATGTCTTAAGAATTGGCAGCATATGTTTGTGTTTACATTTATTAATCAAACAATTTCATAATTATTCCTATTCAATACTATAAGATGTCAAAATTTGGCGTAGGGGTTACAAAACTATAAACCCATCCCAAAACAGGATGATCTTTGCTTTTGTAATTTTTAATAAATAAGACATTGATATAGGTTTAATACAAATAGCTGCATCTTGAATTTAGTAAGATTACTATAACTTCTAATCCTGTGGCTTTAGGCAGTTTAGTCCACAGACAATAAGGAGGTTTGTGTTGGGAAAGGACTGTTTCATAGCCTTGTTTCAATGCTAAAGTGTGAACTATAAACTAAGTTCCTCCCAAAGTTAGTTTGACCTCTGCCCAGGAATAAACAACGACAGCTTGGAAGTTAAGAGCAAAATGGAGTCAGTTAGGTCAAATCTTTTTTCACTGTTTCAGTTATAATTTGGCAATGGTGATCTCATAACTTTAAATCACGACTATCACAGTTTTCATAAATAATCTAGGTAAACAATTAATATTAAAAAATTAGGTAAATGTAATGGGATAAATACCTATAGACAAACTGGACATAATTTAGAATATAAAGTAATATTAAATTAAATAATAGCTATTTCATTTTCTGGGTATTTTCTAATAAATAGATATTGTAGGAAAAAACATTCTTGCTAAAAAACAAGGTGAACAAGTTTTGTCTAATTCAAAACTTACTTAAAGGTTATATATAAAACAAGGTAAAAGGAACCAAGAAATAAAAAAAGATGTAAAGGAAGTTATAAAAATATAGAAGTATTTTTTTGAGGTAAAAAGCTAAAAGAGAAATAATTTTATATGTAAAAAAATCTTGTGTAGTAAATTTAGTTCTAAAACAACTGTTTTTTTATAAAGGAGGGATGTTCAGAGCAAACCCTAAAATCCAATCATATCATGAAGGCTCAGTGTAAGTCAGAATAAGATAATTTATATAGAAAAAATATGCTTTTATATAATCAAGTTATCATGTTATTAAGTTTTGGTTTGCTTAGGAAAAAATAACAACCGAGATAATTTTTTTTTTAAATTAAGGTTATTACATACATGTATCTCCCTGTGTATGCTTTCAAAGTCCTTGTAACATTGAGTTACAGAGCTTTAACTCCTGGGTCTAAAAAGGACACCAAGTCCGGCTAATTCTTCAACATGGCCAGCAATTAAAGCCTCATCTTCAGGTCCCATAGAAGATGCCAATCTAAATGAACTGCATTCCTGAGACACAGGACAAGAAGTTAAAGCTACTTAACTCCTCAAGGCCCAGAGACTATCGTGGAAGTAGTGGGCATGTAAAATTGTAAGGGCCATTTTAGGAAGATAAAATAAGTTTAGTTCCTCTATAAATTAATCATTAGTATCAAAGGCTGACTGATGAAAAATTAGAATATGGACTCCTGTGTCAGATTAACAAGTTTTTCTTTAAGCATTAACCAACTACTTAATAAAGGTTATAAAGGTTATAAAAGGCTTACAGAAGTTACATTTGATAATCAGGATTAAACTTTATAGATTGTTTGCAAAATTTTGAAAAACAAATATAATTGTCTTCATGCTTCTTTTTTTGAGATGAAGTCTCGATCTTGTCACCTAGGCTGGAGTAGTGCAATGGTATGATCTGAGCTCACTGCAGCCTCCATCTCCTGGGTTCAAGCAACTCTCCTGTCTCAGCCTCCCGAGTAGCTGGGATTACAGGCACGCACCACCACACCTGGCTAATTTTTGTATTTTTTAGTAGAGACGGGGTTTCACCATGTTGGCCAGGCTGGTCTTGAACTCCTGACCTCAGGCGGCGATCCGCCCGCCTCGGCCTCCCAAAGTGCTAGGATTACAGGTGTGAGCCATCACACCCGGCCTCATGTTGCTTTTTTAACACGGCTTTTTATTTAGAAAATTAAGTCTCCTCTCTCAAAGAATAAAATTTTTTTTCTTTTTTGAAATGCTTGCATTATCACTTTGGTTAAATAAATGACTTTACAATGATCTGTAATCCTATTTTGTAATATCAAGTATTTTAAACCATTTACATTTCAGACTTTCCAAAATCAAGTTATAAATTATGTCTTTTTCTAATCTAATTAATCCTTTAAAATATTAGGTTCCCTAAAATCCAAAAATGACATGATTTGGCTTATTTGGTATAAAAATTATACAGGAAGCATTATCTAATATGAAATGGTGTTTTTTGTGGGGGGGTGCTGTAGTTGTATAAATATTTTATTGGTATATGTTCCAAAATTATGGGAAACTCCTAATTCTGATAAAACTTAGTGTAAATTATCAGTAATTATCATAATTGTTATGTTAAAATTGTTGTGTGCCACAGAGGTAATAGGTTTCTTTGTCAATTGTGTCTTTTGACTATGGCTGCCTTAAAACCATTTTTTTTTCATTCGTGGATAATTGTTGTCTTGCTTTAGTTCTCCTTAGAAGGTGGTTTTATAATCAGCTATAAAACTTCAACAGGTGTTCTTGAATGCAGGTTTCTGATAACTTTGGAGATTATGACATCAGAATAGAGGAAAAACTTTCAGGACTCATGGAGAGCTAAAATGTTCATGAGTATCAAGCAGAACATGGAATAACTACATAGACTAATCCTTTTGACTTTTTGTTTAAAACATTGCTGATCTTTTGTTTTGTATTTCAGCATCTTGAAACTTTTCTTTCGAGCTAATGACAGCTTTTAATAATTTAGTATACTCCCATGAACAAAATTTGGAGCATATTTGTTTCTCTCTACCTGATTTCTCCAGAATTTGGAAACTCTGAGTATTCTTAACTTATGGCAATACAGTTATTTGCATAAGTGCAATAAGAATCTGTTTTCATTTGTAGGCTTTGACTGGAATGGTGTGCTTTCCTTTTTTGGTTTTTGTTTTTATTTTTGAGACAGAGTCTCACTCTGTCGCCAGGCTAGAGTGCAGTGGTACAATCTCGGCTCACTGCAAAGTCCGCCTCTTGGGTTTCAGTGATTCTCGTGCCTCAGCCTCCCTAGTAGCTGGGATTACAGGCACATGCCACCACACACAGCCACACCCAGCTAATTTTTGTATTTTTAGTAGAGATGGGGTTTCACCATGTTGGCCAGGATGGTCTCGATCTCCTGACCTCATGATCTGCTGGCCTTGGCCTCCCAAAGTGCTGAGATTACAGGTGTGAGCCACTGCGCCTGGCCTGGTGTGCTTTCCTTTAAGGAATCAAACCTGACTTATGGAGACAATAAAGCCTTTGGAAAAATTTGCCTCATATTTTGTGTACACAGTCCCTGTACAGGGTTTCTGACCCGTGGTAAGTAAAGAATGTCACTTTCTGACAGGCACAGAAGCTACACGTTGATCTTGGAACCTTAAGAGGAGAGGAAATTCACCCCACTCATGGATATTTGATGGCGCAAATCCATGACTGGGCCCGGCTTTAAAAATGTCTTATCTGAGATTCCTCCTATGGAACAAAGTTCCATCAAAGCCAATTTAAAAGCCTATGTAAAAAATAATTATTCTTGCTGCACTGTATACTAATAATTAGACCAAGTATGATAATGCAAACCAGTCCTACCATGATTTTTCTTTAGTAGAAATGGGAGACTGGAGAGAGAAAACATTGTTTCAAAACTAGAGTACATTTGTTATTAGATTCTAGTTTGCCTAATTTTGTTTTCGCTTTTTATTATTTTCTACAGTTTCAGCTAAATTCTAATTTTTCTTGGCTACAAGTCTTCAAAATAACGTTTTCAATTTTTTTCCTTTTTTAAGCAGCAAGCATTTATTTAATTATTTTTTTAAAAAAGTGTTTACAAGTAAATTGGGTACATGTGAGATTTTATTGCATGTATATAATGCACAGTGATCGGGTCATAGTATTTAGGGTGTCCGCCTTCCAAGTGCAATATATTTTTGTTTGACTCTAGTCACCCTAAACATCTATCAAACATTGAATTTTTTTCTTCCATCCAACTGTATGTCTGTACCCTTTAAGCCACTTCTCTTTGTCCTTCCTCCCACCTACCCTCTCATCCCTCCCCGTCTCTTTTCTCTACCTCTCCATTATCTACCTCTGCGACTCTTAAAGGAAGAAGCTGTCTTAGCAAGCATGTAATCTAAACTCATTCTCAGTGCAGAAATTTTCCTTTCACCAAACCCATTGTTCTTTTTTATTTTTCCCGTTTTCTAAGTCTTCCCTCTGAAACACACTATCATAAGATTCAAAAATATTTTTTGTTAATAAACTTGATGCAGAAATTTCTATCATTTTTTTTATTACCAGTTAATTTAATTTATTTTTCATATCCTCTTATCTATTCAGAAGGAAGATATGAGAACTAAAACTGGACATGAAAGCACAATCTCTAGCCTCAAGATATTTGTTTTCTGTTCTGGATAACTAAGGCCCTAAAACACATGATCTAAATTTTTTCCCCAAATCGTATTGGCAAATTGGGAAGCAACTGAAGAATCTGGCAACTCTTGTTCACTCCATGTCACAGTTTGGGAAAACACTCTAGGAAGGTTGGATATTCTGATTGGTCATGTCATATTGAAACAGTCTCTGGCACAATTATTCCCACTAACAAATAATACAACTCAAGTGATGATAAAATATAAAGGGAATAATGTATTTTTCTGCTCAGATGCCACTTTCTCTAAGGAGTCCCTTATAAACCAAAAAGTGGCACTCCAAATGTTCCCTTTATCCTGTTTGATTTTTTTTCACAGTGCTTATGCACCAGCTGATACATCATGTAATTATCATTATGTCTCCCCATTACATACAAGTTATACTGAAGCAGAGACTGACTCAGTTTCAATAACTGCTATGTCTTTAGTGCCTAGAACGAAGTCTGATATATAGAAGGCACTCACTAAACATTGTTAGATCAAACGCAGCTCTTTTGCTTTTATTGAAACAACAAATCCCGGTAATCTAGAATAGTACTGCAGTTCCAGTTTGCCCTAAATAAAAATAATTGAACTTAGAGAAAATAATATTAAACAACTGTAGAAAGTGTCCAGTATTATTATCTTAAATAGGTACCTCAATATTGTAACCCTCTCTTAAAATATGCATTCACACTTAGTGCTAAATATTATATATTCCAATGTAAGAGTATTATATTTCCACCTAGGAAAATAATATCAATCATAATTGAATATGACTGGCTGAACTTTAAACATTTCAAAAGGCATGCGATTTGTATTGAATTCTATTATCAGCATATTAGTCTGCAAGAGCTGCCATAACAAATTATCACCAGTTGTATGGTTTATAAAACAGATATATATTTTTTTCTCAAAGTTCCCAAGGCTGAAAGTCTACGATCAAAGTGTCTAGACATTTGGTTTATCCTGAGGCCTCTCTCCTTGGCTTACAGATGGCCACCTTCTGACTATATTCTCACATGTCACATGTCTAGTGTCTCTCCCTCTTTCTATGAGGACATTAGTCATATTGAATTAGAGCCTCAACTTTGTGACCTCATTTGACCTTAATTACCTCTTTGGAGGTTTTATGGCCAAATATAGTCACATTACGGATTAGGGTTTCAACATATGAATTTGAGGGAGGGGCACAATTCAGTTCATAACTATCAGTTTCTGAAAAAATATAGGGTAATAAAACACTCACATTTTTGCATGGAACGATAATTTTTGAAATAATAAATTGAAATTGAATATTTAAATTGCATCAAGGGTATTAAAAAGGTGAAATATTGAAAACCTTTTCTGCTTAAGATAAATTTTGCATTGTGGTTAAAATGAATTTATTTAGTTATGACCCGTCACTTTAACTACACCGTTTTATATTTGAGTTCCTTTACCAAGTTTCCTATGTTCTATTTTTCTACAGTTTTATCCATTTAATTCTGATCCTTAAATTTATTAAATAGCATTGGGCAAAGGAATCTTTCGATTATTTAATTATTTGTATATGTTGTGGTTTCCTAATAACCATCTCTTATTTTGAGTGTTGCATTTTTATGTATTTGTTGGCTGTTAGCTAATATTTTGATTATCAGATAACCGCATTTCAATTTTTATATGGTTTCTATCACATTATTGCCTTTAATTGGCTATTTTCTACCTTTATGTTTAATTGCCTCCCTTTGCTTTATGCCCCCTTTGCTTTCTTAGGTTGTAATAGTCTTTGTTGTCTTTCTTTGCTAAATGTTGAAATTCATGAGTTTATTTAAACAAAATTAAATTAACAAAAATATTTAATACTGTTACTCTTATTCTGTGCTCAGCTTTAGCTATTTCCCACCAGGATGGCTATGTAATGTTTTAATTATACATATGTGTGTGTGCATGTTTACTCTAGATAGACTTAAATGTATTAGATCCACAAATAATTAATATGGTTTTCAAAGCTATCATATAATTGTTATTTTTAGTAACAGTTTTTATATGTGCTTATGTTTTTGACATTTTATTTTAGTGTAATATAATCACATAGTCTTGTCTGCAATATTTCAACTTTTTATAATTTCTGAAAACTGTGCTTAATGAGACTACCTGAGATCTATACTTATCTCCTCCATGAACACTTGAAATAAAAATTGATTTTGTCTTTTTTTGGGTGTATTTTATTTAGTTAATTCTTTTATTCGAGTTTTACTTTTTTCTCTATGGAAATTACGCTGCTGTGGTTTGAGGCCAGTTTGATTCTTATTTAAACGGCAGAATTGATATATTTACGTTCCGTTCTTCCATCTATGTTAGCTCACCCTCTGCACAACTTTTTCTCTTCTAAATTAATAATTAAATATCCTTTTCCAGTTTGTACTTACACCTGAAAAAAAGAAAGGAAAAAAGTGAATTGCACGGGAGTAAATTTCTAGCTTAAAATAATGAATTAAATCAAATGAACTTTTATATACTAATGTCTTCAACCTTCTAATGCTAGTTAAATTACTGCTGTAGAACATTGTTTTAAATTTGCATGCAATTTTTTAATTCCTGGATATATATATATATATATATATATATATATATATATATATATAAACTAATAATTTACCATTTCTCCTAATCCTTGGCACAGGTGAAAGAGAAGTTGTTCTCTATTCGTGGGTAGGGCAGGAAGGAAAAAAGTAGAGGGGGGAAGCCTGTTGTACTGATACTTATTTTCAGATCTACATATAGTTCAATGATAATGACTCTGTTATTTTGCAGACATATTTAGGTTATTGTGCTGACAAACTCAAAACTAATGAGCCTTTTTTAATTAAAAACAATGTTCAAGTTTTGGTTTCCATCTAACATTTTCTATAGATATTGAACTCTGTTCCAGTTAACATATCTTTTGTAGAACCAATTTAATACAAGTTGATTTTTCTTTTTATGATTGGTGTGAGCGTTCTAGATCGAAAAGACAGCATTTTTTTCTTCTTGCTTATTTAAGGAAAACTTTTCACAGAACCCATTAACTGAAATGAAGTGTCATCTACACAAGCTTTGGGATAAGCATGAAAATACTTGCAAGGAACTAATTTTATGTAGTGAATAGTTGATAGGGGCAAGAGACAGCCAAATGCTCAGGCAAATAGAGAAAGGTCCCTGGAGAATTTCCAACCCATCCCACAAGTCTTTCCACCAGGTTTTTGCAGATAGGGGAACCTGCATAGGGGGCTTGTCTTGTTTGGGCATTCCCCACATGCACGGGGTGAATAGAGTATAGCCACCAGAAATTCACACCTTATGCTGGGGAGGAGCCTTGCCTCTTCAACTAGTGTGTGGTAACCTGGCATTCAATTTTGTGAGGTGGAAACCTAAGTGCAGGACCTCTCTCTTTGTTGAGAGCTTTCCTTTCACTTAATATATTCCACCCGCTCACTCTTCAATGTGTCCTTGTGCCTAATTTTTCCTGGTTGTGAGACAAGAACATGGATTTAGCTGAACTGAGAAGCAAAAATCCTGCATCATAGTGATCTGCACAATATGTTGTTGTAACCGCCCAAGGGGTTCACCTTGCCTGCTGCCTAGACAGAGCTAATTCATCAGTATAGGGGAATTGCAATAAAAAAAGAGTAATTGATGCAGAGCCAGCTGTGCGGGAGACCGAAGTTTTATTATTACTCATATCAGTCTCTCCAAGCATTTGGAGAGCAGAGTTTCTAAGGATAACTTAGAAGTTGGGTGGGGAGAAGCAGTGAGCCAGGAGTGCTGATTGATCAGGGATGAAATAATAAGTGAGTTGAAGCTGTCTTCTGCTGAGTCAGTTCCTGGGTTTGGGCCACAAGATCAGATGAGCCAGTTTATTGATCTGGGTGGTGCCAGCTGATCCATCAAGTGCAGGGTCTGAAAAATATCTCAGTGTTCTTAGGAGCAGTTTAGAGAGGGTCAGAATCTTGTAGCCTCCAGCTGCATGACTCCTAAACCATAATCTCTAATATTGTGGCTAATATTAGTCCTACAAAGGCACTCTAGTTCCCAGACAAGAAGGAGGTCCGCTTTGGAAAAGGGCTGTTACCATCTTTGTTTAAACTATAAACTATAAACTAGGTTTCTCCCAAAGTTTGTTCAGCCTATGCCCGGAATGAACAAGGACAGCTTGGAAGGTAGAAGCAAGATGGAGTCAGTTAAGTTAGGTTTCTTTCACTTCTGCAAAGGCGGTTTCCTTCTTTCAGATAAGCAACCTAGTTAAGAAAAAAGTAGACATTTATTAATAAATATTAGTATTTTTACTTTAACGAGTTAAGAAAAAAGTAGACATTAATAAATATTAGTATTTTTACTTTAACTGTGTCTGAGTACTTAATATGTTGCTCAAATAATTTTATAACTAGAAAACTGAAACATCTACAAAAAAATACAGCTTATCAATTTATTAAAAGGTATTGAAAAAATGCCTTTGCAAAATTATGACAGTAAGAGAATTCTGAACAGCTGACTCCATCTTGCTTGTAGTCTCACAGGTTGGTTATATTTGCTCATTGCTGGGCATGGTCCAAGCTATCTTTGGGAGAAATTTATTTTATAGTTTGAATGATAATAGCCCTTCCCAAGAACTAAACTGCCCTTGTGAAACCAATGAAAGGCCACCAAGTTAGGAGAATGAGAAGGACATGAATTCTACTAAGATGTAGGTGTAGTTAAATAATTAACCAGCCATGGACTGGAGGTCCCAAGATTTGCAACTTCCCTAATTACTCCTGCAGATGACATGACTATTGTAGAACCTAGGATTGGCCTTTTGAGATGTCTTCTTAGGTTTTCGCATTTCTGCCAACCAAATGGACCAACCCAGACTTATCAACTCGTCCTGTGGCCCTCACCCTGGAACCGACTCAGTGCATGAGAACAGCTCCAACTCCCTATGATTTCATCTCCAAACTTAGAATTCAGCACTCCCCATACCCTCTGCCCACTAACCTATGTTTGAAAAACCCCTAACCTTCCAGCCTTCAAGGAGATTGATATAAGTAAAAACTCCATCTCCTGCATGTTTTGGCCAGCTTTGCATCAACTAAAATCTTTCTTTCATTGAATGCCATGTTCTTATTAGATTGATTTTGTCTGTACAGTGGGCAAGAAGAATCCATCAGGTAGTTACAGTATGCCTCCTTTTAATTTTTAGAAAATATAAGTTTTTTAAAATATATTTTTAAATATAGACGAAGCATAGGAACCATAAAACTTATATTTTGTTCCTAATTTTATTTAGAATGACTTGAAAATAGAAAAATAAAATGCATAATGAAAACAAACCTTCTTTTTAGGAGACACAAAAAATTTAAAAAGTCTGGTCCCCAAAGATGAGATTTTAATCACTATGCCCTTCCAGGAAACAATGGTAAATTTTTCTTGCCAAATATTTGCTCTTCTATCAAACTTTTCTTACCACAATATTTGTTCTTATGCTCAGATCTTTTTGTTTTGATGATTAATGCCTCTTTTTTCCTATTTATTTTTTCCTAAAATGGTTTCATCTGTCTTCATTTCAAGAGTTGATACTTTCTGAAATCAGCGACAAAAGACAAAATTACTTTGGAAACTAGAGTTTTGTTAACACTACATCTGTTAGCCATAAGCAGTTAACATGTGTTAATTTATCCACTAAAAAAAAAGTGAATTATTAATGCTAGCAAAATGTTTAATTAAAACTATTGGAAATAATTCTGAAGATAAAAGTCCAGGTTAAGTTTATTGATTTCATTAGCAAACTGCTGCAAAGATCAAAGATGCTTGCAGGCCGGGTGCAGTGGTTCACACTTGTAATCCCAGCATTTTGGGAAGCCAAGGTGGGTGGATCACGAGGGCAGGAGATCAAGACCATCCTGGCCAACATGGTGAAACCCCGTCTCTACTAAAAATACAAAAAAAACACAAACTGGGTGTGGTGGCAAGCGCCTGTAATCCCAGCTAACTGGGAGGCTGAGGCAAGAGAATCGCCTGAACCTGGGAGGCGGAGGTTGTGTGTCTGGAATTGGTGGGTTCTTGGTCTCGCTGACTTCAAGAATGAAGTTGCAGACCTTCGCAGTTGAGTGTTACAGTTCTTAAACATGGTGTGTCCTGTGTTTGTTCCTTCAGATGTTCAGACGTGTCCGGAGTTTCTTCCTTCTGATGCGTTCATCGTCTCACTGACTTCAGAAGTGAAGCTGCAGACCTTCACGGTGAGTGTTACAGTTCTTAAAGACAGTGTCCTGAGTTTGTTCTTTCAGATGTTCAGATGTGTCTGGAGTTTCTTTCCTCTGGTGGGTTCCTGGTTTAGCTGACTTCAGGAGTGAAGCTGCAGACCTTTGCAGTGACTGTTACAGCTCTCAAAGGCAAGAAGTTGTTCCGATCCCCCCAGTGGGTTCATGGTCCTGCTGGCTTCAGAAGTGAAGCTGCAGACCTTTACAGTGACTGCTACAGGCAGTGCAAACCCACAGTGAGCAGCAGCGAAATTTATTGAGAAGAGCAAAAGAACAAATCTTCCACAGGAGGGAAGAAGACCCAAGGAATTGCCGCTACTGGCTCAGGCAGCCTGCTTTTATTCCCTTATCTGGCCCCACCCATATCCTGCTGATTGGTCCATTTTACAGAGATCTGATTGGTCCATTTTACAGAGATCTGATTGGTCCGTTTTACAGAGTGCTGATTGGTGCGTTTACAATCCCTGAGCTAGACACAGAGTGCTGACTGGTGCATTTACAATCCTCTAGCTAGACATAAAAGTTCCCCTGAGTCCCCACCAGATTAGCTAGGTACAGAGTGCTGACTGGTGCATAGGCAAACCCCGAGCTAGACACAGAGTGCTGATTGGTGCATATACCATCCTCCAGCTAGACATAAAAGTTCTCCAAGTCCCCACCCAATTCAGGAGTCCCCCTGGCTTTGCCTAGTGGATCCTGCGCTGGGGCCGCAGGCGGAGCTGCCCGTCAGACCCACGCTGCATGCCTGCACTCCTCACCCCTTGGGCAGTCAGTGTGACCGGGTGCAACAGAGCAGGGGGCAGTGCCCATCCAGGGAGGCTCGGGCCACGTGGGAGCCCATGGTGGGGTGGGCTCGGGCATGGTGGGCTGCAGGTCCCGAGCCCTGCCCTTGGGGAGGCGGCTGAGGCCTGAGGAGAATTCAAACGCAGGCAGGCGGGCCGGCAGTGCTGGGGGACCCGGCACCCTCTGCAGCTGCTGGCCCGGGTGCTAAGCCCCTCCCTTCCCGGGGCTAGCAGCCCTGGCCGGCCACTCGGAGTGCAGGGCCCGCTGAGCCCGTGCCCACTTGGAACTCACACTGGCCCAGGAGCACCGTGCGCAGCACCAGTTCCTGCCTGCGCCTCTCCCTCCACACCTCCTTGCAAGCAGAGGGAGCAGGCTCCAGCCACAGCGAGCGAGGGGCTCCCATCATGCAGCGGCGGACTGAAGTGCTTTTTAAACGCAGCCAGAGTGGATGCTGAGGCGGAGGAGGTGCCGAGAGTGAGCAAAGGCTGCTAGCACGTTGCCACCTCGCAGTTGCAGTGAGCCGAGATTTCACCACTGCACTCCAGCCAGGGTGACAGAGTGGGACTGTGTCTCAAAAAATAAAAATAAAAAAAAAAAGATTTCAAACTCTGATGCTGGTAATTGTCTTTCTTTTCTTTTTTTATTTTTTTATTACTGTTACTATATTTTTAGATGAAGTCTTGCTCGGTCACCCAGGCTGGAGTACAGTGACACGATCTCAGCTGAATGCAACCTCTGCCTCCCAGGTTCAAGTGATTGTCCTGCCTCAGCCTCCTGAGTAGCTGGAATTTCAGGCACATGCCACCAGGCCTGGCTAATTTTTGTATTTTTTAGTAGGGGCGGAGTTTTTTCATGTTGGCCAGACTGGTCTATGGACTCCTAACCTTAAGTGATCCACCTGCTTTGGTATCCCAGAGTGCTGTGATTACAGG
The DNA here is from genome assembly GCF_000001405.40 of Homo sapiens. Classification (NCBI taxonomy): domain Eukaryota; kingdom Metazoa; phylum Chordata; class Mammalia; order Primates; family Hominidae; genus Homo; species Homo sapiens. Next base: position 22,597,209 of record NC_000021.9, on the reverse strand, counting down.
CATGAGCCACCACGTCTGACTAGATGCTGGTAATTTTAAAACCAAGATTAACTGACAATTTTCTGTAACTATAGTTCATCATCATTGAGCTGAGGTTTTAACCAAACGTAATAATGAAGGTATAACCTTAAAATACATTGAGTTCTGTTTTTGTATGAATGAAATCAGCACAATATGACAGATGATTTTGGTTGTAGAGCTATGGAGATGTATAAAAATTATGGATAAGACAAGGTTTAAAAGTTTTGTATTTTGTGTTCTTTGGTCAGCAGCATTATTGTGTTTTAGGCCAAACAACAACTGGTGGGAATTTTTTGAATTAATGTGGTTCAATCGGAATTACACTAGATTAACAATTAAAACATTAGTTGTCTAGTTTTTCCACTAAGTAACTGTGGGAACATACGTAAATCTATTTCTGTTTGTCTCACTTACCAAACAAGACTACATTTATTGTCTCTAATGTAGGGGAAGTGTATGACAATCACAAGAAAAAAATAAAGCATTCACCACTCAGAAATTACTGATGTTATTGTTAGTCCTTTAAAATTAGGGGTTGTATTAAATAACAGGATATATCTGCCTTTCACGGAGACTCCTAATTTACCATTGCTTCTTGGAAGAGCATATGATTATTAGTCAGTTTTTGGAACCACAGTTTTTTCGTTCTTACTTCAGATATAAAATAAGCCAGTTTTGTAACTTTGGACAGTTTAATGAAAATAATGATAGCATTTACTTTATAAGATTGTTGTGATATTACATGAGCTAATTCATGCAAGCAAACAAAACAAAATGTCTAATGCAGTGTAGACTTGCAGTGACGATCAGTGTGTTTTTTTTACCTTTGTCCCCATTCTCTTTGTGTCTCCAAAGAATGGTATAATAGAGGATTCTTCTTTATTTCCTTTCTATGGACACATTTATCTGTATATTAATAACTATGTTTTGGGATTCTTTTCAACTTAGGGTATCCTGGCAGGGGAAAGCATTTTGAATAGCATAATCTTGTATGATCAGGATTTTCTTGTGTAGCCTGTAACTGACTATTTATATTTACATTAGATGTCAGCAAGACTGATGCTATTGCATTTTTATTATTTCCTCTCCAGCCTCAATCTCCCAAAACTCTCCTCTTCCTGTATGTTATCCAAGTGCTCTTAGTTCCCTAAACACATCAAGTCTTCCCTTGGCTCGATTTCAATTCCTGAAATACCACTTCTCCATCTTCAACTGGATGACACTGTCTCATCATTTATATTGTAGTTTCAACATCACATATTTTCAAAAGATTTTTTCTTTTGACCTAAGAAAGTTTTGTAAGGTGCCAATTTCTTCACAAATTCTGTCAGCAGCAGCATCCTTGATCTAGAAAACACATGCTTAGTCAAGGTTAAGGTCATGTAGACTATTTCATGGAAAATAGCTGCCAGACACGAGGTTCTCTTCATATTACTTTCTCTGCCCAAGAATCAGGTATAAAGTAATGCTGAAATCATTAAGTGAACTAGGCTTCCCCAGCTGAAATTTCTTTTCCATTGAGCTCTTATTTTAAATTGTTTGGCCCTGCCCATAAAATCAAATAAGATATTAAAATGAAATTCAAAGGAGAAAAAAAGAAAGTAAAAACCGCTCCATAATTATGGATTGTTTATTCCAGTTCTCCTAATTTCAGCATATGGTCTGTGCTAATTAGCTATTCTTGACACCTGGGCTTTTAAAATAAAAGTCAATTTATTCAGGAGGAGGTAGAGATAAGAGATAACATGATTTAACTCCCTTATTCCCTCTTTTCTCACTCATCACTCCACAGTGTAAAAGAGTGTTCAAGGCTTATTACTGCAATTGCAAAGGCTTGTGGATCCTTTGATGAAATGTCATGTACCTTTTTAACTATTAATATTGTGTGGTTGACTTTAACCAGGTCCATTACACTGTTTTTTATGTCTCTTAAGAAGACAATGATATCCTTTGCAATGCCCTTTGCCTGAATACTTGTTTTCTTATATAATTTCTTGTTGTTGGAGATGGAAATAATTCTGCAGTTAACCAGCAATTCTTTTCAAGGCATTTTGAAAAATTGTAAAGTAATTAGTCACTTCAAAGCATAATCTCTTGCTAAGGACATGATAAAGAATCACATATCCCTGGATCATATTTTTCTAGGACCACAGAAAGAAGTTCCTATTAATCACACCTCTTCCCTATAGGACACTCCCAAAATCCCAAAATAGTAAATGGGAAAGACTAACAACTACTGGACTCATGCTGAAATTCTCAAAGCAATACTTTCAGGGAAACTAGGTTTGGACAACAGGTTAGGTTGAGAAACCAAGAAAACTCTTTTTTCACCTCCAATCACATCATATAGCAAATGACGTGAATTTGGAAAAGTTACAGTAGTTCAACTTTTGAAGGTCTGACATTAACTAAATAGCTGAGATATACTATATTTGAAAAATGAACTGTTGTGGGTTTAATTGCGTCTCCCAAAAGAAATTGAAGCTCTAATCACTACTGACTTTATTTGTAAATGGGGTTTTTGCATCTAAATCTGTTAAGATGAGGTTATTAGAGTAAACCCTAAACCAATATAACTAGTGTCCTCATAAAAAGGGGCAAAATGGACACAGGCAAATAGGGGAGAATGACTGGTGTCCTCATAAATCAGTAGAACTAGTATCCTCATAAAAAGGGGCAAAATGGACATAGATAGACAGGGGAGAATGACTTATAAAGATTGAAGTTATGCTACTATAAACCAAGAAATGACAAAAATTGCTGGTAAACCACTAGAAGCTACAAGAGAGGCACGGAACAGATTCTCCCTCACAGCCTATAGAAGGAACCAACTTTGCTGTTGCCTTAATTTCAAACTACTAACCACCAGACCTATGAAATAATAATGTCTGTTGTTTAAGCCACCCAGTTTATAATTTTTTTTAAATGGTAACCCTAGCAAACTAATACAGAAATTATTTCTAGTTTTAGTTAATAAGTTTGCCTATTAATGGTTAATAGCTTATCAAAAATATGTTTGACTCTTCTAGCATAATTCCCACACGTTGTGAGAGAGACTCAGGGAGATATAATTGAATAATGGGCACGATTTCCCCCATACTGTTTTCCTGGTAGTGAATATGTCTCATGAGATCTGATGGTTTTATAAGGGGTTGTCCTTTTCACTTGGCTCTCATTTTTTTCTCTTGCCTGCTGCCATGTGAGATGTGCCTTTCACCTTCCACCATGATTGTGAGGCCTCCCCAGCCATGTGGAGTCTTGGGTAGGTCTTTTATCAGCAGCATAAAAATGGACTAATATGTATGTCTTTTTTTTTTTTTTTTTTGAGAATTGTCTATTCATGTCTTTAGCCCACTTTTCGATGGGATGGTTTGTTTTTTTCTTGCTAATTTGTTGGAGTTCCTTATAGATTCTGGATATTAGTCCTTTGTCAGATGTGTAAATGTGAAGATTTTCTCCCACACTGTGGGTTGTCTGTTTACTCTGCCAACTGTTCTTTTTGCTGTGTAGAAGCTCTTCAGTTTAATTGAATCCCAGCTATTTATCTTTGTTTGTGTTGCATTTGCTTTTGGGTTCTTGGTCATGAAGTCTTTGCCTAAGCCAATGTCTAGAAGGTTTTTCTGATGTTATCTTCTAGATTTTTTACAGTTTTACATCTTAGATTTAAGTCCTAGATCCACCTTGAGTTGATTTTTGAATAAGGTAAAAGATGAGGATCCAGTTTTATTCTTCTACATGTGGCTTGCCAATTATCCCAGCACCATTTGTTGATAAGGTGTCCTTTCTGCACTTTATGTTTTTGTATGCTTTTTCAAACATCAGTAGCGATCAGGGTTATGCAAATCAAAACCACAATGCAATACCATCTTACTCCTGCAAGAATGACCATACTAAAAAAAAAAAAAAATAGCTGTCGGTATGGATGTGGTGAAAAGGGAACACTTCTCCACTGCTGGTAGGAATGTAAACTAGTACAACCATTAAGGAAAACGGTGTGACAATTCCTTAAACAACTAAAGTAGAACTGCCATTTGATCTAGCAATCTCACTACTTGGTATCTACCCAGAAGAAAATAAGTAATTAAATGAAAAAGATACTTGCACACACGTTCATATTAGCACAATTTGCAATTGCAAAAATATGGAACCAGGCCAAATGCCTATCAATCAACAAATGGAAAAATAAACTGTGGTATAAGCCAGGTGCGGTGGCTCCCCCCTGTAATCTCAGCATTTTAGGAGGCTGAGGCAGGCAGATCACTTGAGGTCAGGAGTTTGAGACCAGCCTGGCCAACGTGGTGAAACCCTGTCTCTACTACAAAAAATTAGCAGAGCGTAGTGGTGTGCACCTGCAATCCCAGCTACTCGGGAGGCTGAGGCAGGAAAATTGCTTGAAACCGGAAGGCGGAGGTTGCAGTGAGCTGAGATTGCACCACTGCATTCCAGCCTGGGTGGCAGAGTGAGACTCTGTCTCAAAAAAAAAAAGAAAGAAACTGTGGTATACATATACGATAGAATTGTACTCAGCCATAAAAAGGAATGAATGAATGGCATTCACAGCAACCTGGATAGAACTGGAGACTGCTATTCTAAGTGAAGTAACTCAGGAATGGAAAACCAAACATCATGTGTTCTCACTTATAAGTGGGAGCTAAGGTATGAGGATGTAAAGACATAAGAATGACACAATGGGGATTCGGGGGTAAGGGTGGGGTGAGGTGAGGGATAAAATAATATAAACTGGGTTCTGTGTATACGTCTTGGGTGATGGGTGCATCAAAATCTCACAAATCACCACTAAAAAAACTTACTCATGGAACCAAATACCACCTGTTCCCCAAATCCTATGGAAATAATAGATAAAATTATGCAAGGCTATATGGTTATTAAGACAGTAATTAAAAACTTAGCTTACATTTCCTAGACCTTTGTTTCTATGACAATGTACTTTTAATTCTCTGTTTAAAAATAATGTGAGAATTATTTTATTTGTATGAAATAGATATTAAATTTTTAGGTATTAGAATCTGTACATTATCAAATTATACTAAATATGCTTTATGCCCTTGCTTAAAAAAATTATAGAAAGATTCTGTGACACACATATGCATTCCCCATTAAATTTATATGACAAATAAGCCTAAAATCAGTCTGCCTTGATGATTTAAATATATATTACACAGAATTATTTTTCATTCACAGCAGTCTAGTAGTTTAGATTCATTTTAGTACATAATAATTCAATGCATTAACCTTTGAATTATTTTGAAATAGGCATAATAAAAGTGAAAACATAAATACAAGTAGCAAATAACATTATTTGCTGTTGGCATAGCAGAATAAAAATTGAGTGAAACACAGAAAAAGTAATATAAATACGTGTTGTCCTGAGGTTAAAAAAATTTGTCTAATATATCATGTAGAATCATTAAGAATAGGTTTATATCTTTGATAAAATTATTCTATGAATCTGCCATAATATGATAAACTTTACATTCATCAATTTATTATATAATGGTAACAATATTTAGGTAATTATAAAAGGTTATGGCAGTATTTATTCATAGGTGATGCTTAAAATCTTTTTATGATATTAGTATTCCCCCAATTCATACTGACATGAATAACCATTTACTTTTAAAGCATGTGTTTTATGGACAAAAAGACAAATGTCAGTGGAATGAGTATACAATTTTTAAAATAAAACCTCCAATGTTCATATGACGGAGTCATTTTTCTAGATTTCAAATTAAGGAATATGTTTGTCCTCATTATATCAAAAGAAGAAAATATATTTATAATATCTCTGGAAAACATGTCATTTTAAGCACTTTTCCTTAGGGTTAATTCTAAATAACTGAAGGTTTACCAAGCCCTGTAACATCATGGAAAAGGAGATGCCTACTTCTATTCACCATAACCATGTCTTCATATGCCTGAAGTGGCTGCTGGTGAAATAATGATATGGTTTGGCTATGTCTCCACTCAAGTCTCATCTTAAACTGTAGTTCCCAAGATCTCCATGTGCCACAAGACGGACTTGGTGGGAGGTAACAGAATCATGGAGGCAGTTACCACCATGTTGTTCTAATGATAGTGAGTGAGTCTTCATGAGATCCGATGGTTTTATAAGGGCCTTTTCTCCCACTTTGCTCTGCACTTCTCCTTGTTGCCACCATATGAAGAAGGATGTGTTTTCTTCCCCTTTTGTCATGATTGTAAGTTTCCCAAGGCCTCCCCAGCCCTGCAGAACTGTGAGTCAATTAAACCTCTTTTCTTTATGAATTACCCAGTCTCGGGTATGTCTTTAATATCAGCGTTAGAAAGGAACAATACAGATAATATGTTTCACTCTTTGTCAGGTAATATCAAACCTCCATGTTGGCAACTGTTAAAGGACCTATGGCAACTGAGCTCCCCATCTACTAAAAGAGTTCTCCAGGCCATGCACTCACTCAGCAACATCTCAGGCCACTTAATGGGCACGGAAAGTTTCACTCACCCTCCATGTTTTTCCTTGGTTTTATGGAAGAGTTTGAGAATTATTCCCCCTTTTTTATCACAAAGAGCCAACTCTACAACTTTGTCACTTTTGTGACTTAGAGACCTTGTGTCTCAATGTGGCCTCTAAGAAACCATGACTTTGTTCTCTTCGATGCTTATTTCTTCAAATTTATCTGGTGTCCCTGTGTCTTCTCCTGGAAGCTACCTTTGATTGTGTTCAGGGCAAGGTCTTCTGCATAGAAATTCTCACCAGTATCAGTTTTCTTGCTTCCTTTCCACTCCGGTTCTGTCTTACCCGTTCTATAATGGAATGTTTATCAGATTTAGACAACTGAAGGAAGTGATAGCTCAAGACATGGCAGTGTTTAGCAGTAGAATTTTGATATTTACCCCATTATTTCTTTATTTCTCTCGTTCTTCAATGGTAGATTTCTCTCTAAGCAGAAGTGACAAGTGTTAGATGCATGGGGTAGAGACAAGCCTGAGTATCAAAAAAGAAACTCACTGAAGCATCAAGATAATACAATTCATTATAATTTGTATTATAATGATTTGTAAATATTTACCTCGGCATCAGGGCTGCCCTTATAGGCATGCCATTTGTGTAGCTGCACAGGCCTCATGATAAGAAAGAAACCCGCATTTGGTTTAATGCTCTACTGTCACTGACAACATTCTTAATAATTTTGAACAAATGTCCCACATTCTCACGTAGGCTAGATCTTGTGGTAGCTTCTCCTGTGTGTCATAATAGGGATTTAAAAAATAACAATTTTCAGGTCAAACTAAGATAAACTATGAAAAATTGTTAGTATAAGTAAAATAACCTTTTTATTCAATGTGCAACTATTTTCGGAAACTATAAATTGAGCACAACTAATTTAATAGATGTGAAAAACAGAATTGAAGATTTTGGTTAATGATATTAATCAAAATATAGCCAAAACCGAAATGAATCTTTTCAGTTGAATCAGTCAGGTCTGCTGTGTTCAACTGCTCAAGATCCCTCACCTGGATTCTCTCTCTTTTTCGGAGTTTCTGTTTCTGTACTTGCCATTTTACCATCCATGAAAGACTTTAATATCTATGTAGATAGATAAACCATCATCTTGAATCCTCAGTTGGTTGAGTTCTCTTGTACAGTGATATTTTCTCCATATTATCCTCATCACCCAGAAAAATTACACACTAGACCTTTTCATTCCGATACTTGTATTCTTCTTGATAAAATTGTTCAGAAAATCTATTGAATATCTGCAGTGCCTCTTCTTCTATTTTACTTGCCCAGTTACTCTTTATACATTTTAATTGATTAATGGAGAAATTAAAACATATTCATCATTACACTAAATGCTCTCTAATTAAAATCTAAAAATATGGAGTTGTTAAAGTGAATTAAGAAACACATCAAGTTTATTATTATGCATGTAAACTACAGATTTAAAACAAATTGGTAAAAAAAAAGGCAAAAAATATTAAGTTAATCAAAAAATAAGACAAAAAAGTAGAGAAGATGAAGGTTTTTTGGTTTTGTTTTTGATTTATTTTTGAGACGAAGTCTCACTCTATTGCCCAGGCTGGAGTACAATGGCGTGATCTCAGCTCACTGCAACCTCCGCCTCCCAGGTGCAACTGATTCTCCTGGCTCAGCCTCCTGAGTAGCTAGAATTATAGGTGTGCACCACCACACCCAGCTAATTTTTGTATTTTTAGTAGAGATGGGGTTTTAATATGTTAGCCAGGCTGGTCTTGAACTCCTGACCTCGTGATCTGCCTGACTCAACCTCCCAAAGTGTTGGGAGTACAGGCATGAGCTACCCCATCTGGCCAGAAGATGTATGTTTTTTAATTATGCAGGGTAGAATTTTAGAAAACTATCATTGAAGAATCTAAGGAGAGTAATGGCATAGTGATAAAATGTATACTAAAAAAAAAAACCGACCTATAGAAACCAAATAACTAGCAATTAAATTATAGTAAGAAAATGGTAGAATAATAAAAATAATTAACAAAATTTCAAATTGTTTTTGGCTCAACAGGAATGAATGTATTCAAATGAAAATGTCCAAATAAAAAAGTTGGAGGTAAGTTAACATACAAAGCATTTGAAAAGTGAGTAAGTATCTCCTATTAAAAAGTTTTATGAAAGGAATGAAACCAATCTAGTAGTACTAGGTGAGTTCTCAAATTTTTGAATTGACAACCACATAATCTCTTAAAAATTATTGAAAACCATAAAGTTATTTTATTTATGTGAGGTGTATCTATCAATACATGCCATATTAAAGCTTAAAACTGAGAAACATGAATGTATTTATTCTTTTAAAAATAACACTATTATTTATTAAGAAGAATTTTTAAAAAATCTATTTCCTATAACAAAAATTTAGTGTGAAGAGTAGCATTGTTACACATTTTTAAACATCTGTCAAATATTGGACAATAGAAAGCAGCTGAATTTTCATATCTTCTCTATTTAAAATGTTTCAATATGCTATTTGTTTGAAGTATATGCAGAAAAACATAACACAAAAAACCTTGCCTCCCATAAGTATAACATTGAAGAAGAAAGAAGTATTTAAACAAATTTTAAAGATAATTGTGACTATTCAACTTTAATACTATACCAAAACTTGACTATTTGTAGTTTCTTAAGGGTTAGTTACAATGTGGAATCCAAAACCATATCAGAGAACGTTTTCTGTATTGTTTCCTTAAAATCTACTGATCTGAGGCCAGGTGTGGTGGCTCATTCCTGTAATCCCAACACTTCGGAATTACACTTTGGGAGGCCAAGGCGGGCAGATCACTTGAGGTCAGGAGTTCGAGACCACCCTGGCCAGCTTGGTAAAACCTCATCTTTACTAAAAATACAAAAATTAGCTCGGCGCGGTGGCTCACGCCTGTAATCCCAGCTACTCGGGAGGCTGAGGCAGGAGAATCGCTTGAACCCAGGAGGCAGAGGTTGCAGTTAGCTGAGATCGTGCCACTGCACTGCAGCTTTTGAGACAGAGCGAGACCTTGTCTCAAAAAAAAAAAAAAACAGAAAACAAAAACTACTGATCTGTGTTGCTCTTCGAATTTTATCTATGCATGATTTTTATATTGTCATTTGAATAATCTTGGTTCAATAATTCTGCAGATCTTCCAAATGTTGACATCTTCGGTTAAACAACATCAAGATCATGTTCATTGTTAATATCATGGCCAATGTCATCAGAAAATTCCTTAAGCATCGAGAACATGTCAATTTTAAGAAGGCAGATACAAGTTTTCTGCAATACTAGGTTTTGTACTTGAAAGCTCTAATTTTATCATTGGCAAAAATTCTGTTTATTTTTTAAAGTGATAGGCTCACTTCATTCATTTTCAAGAGAATATCTGTCAAATGTCCACTTCTGAATAATCAGTTTGTCTGTTTTGATACTTTCCAAAGTGCTTTTTCTCAAAACATCTATTGGTGTGAAGCATAAGTTCTTTATATGTATATCTCATTTCATCACATGGCATATTAAAATGTATTGAGATTATATATATGCATACATATGTATGGATATATATTATATATATGTATACATATATTCATATATATTCCCTATTTTATAATGGGTATTTCTTACTGAAACTGACCTTATAATTTTCTTTTTTTTTTTTTATCTGAGTATGTAACATTGAAAAACATGGCTACTAGGTCAATTGTCATTACCTTAATTTGGGCTAAGGCACCAGCAGTTTTGTCTCACATCTGGTTTGCATCATCAAACTAAATGTCAACATAAAGACAAATAATAAAAATACCATGTTAATCTTAATATGAAATAGTTTTGACTTAACAGACTTCTGCTGATATCTAAGGATAATAGTAACTGATTTTTTTTCCTTCTTCAATCCCTATGATCTGCTTGGCTGTAGTCACACAACCTGTACTTCATCAAATCTTGATGTTTATTTGAAAGACCTTCCCTTATAAAAAATATCCCAAAGCAGTTATTAAATGCTCAATCTGGTTCCCAACTTAACTGGGACAAAGGGAACCTGCCCAGCTAAGCTGAAGTTCTTTAGGTAAAGTTAACAGGAGAGTCCTAACCATGAAGCAGAGAGAAGGGTTCTGTCGCTTTATTCTCTGGGGACTGTGTTCAAAAACATCCTCGAATACAATAAAAGGAAAAGCTGAGTAAGCACCTATAGTAACAGGTAACAAAGTATTCTAGGGATCAGCTGCTGTGAGTTAGTTCACAAGTGCTTTAAGTACGTGTTAATCAAAGATGATGTATTTTTCATTTCTGACAATAAACATCTGGGGCATCCTACATTTTTCCTGGGCAATTTGCCTTTATCATTATATTTTAATCTCTGATGCAATCTTTTATCCGTTCTTTAGACTTTTTCAAGGATATTGAACGACTTGCTTAATCATTTTAATCTTCAACCTGCTACCTAAAATTTAGGACAATATCACTGTCAAACTGTTACTCTAGACGAGTGTCAGTATTAAAGGCTATTAATTTACGTAATCGAAGTTTCACATCAAGGAGCAACATTTTGGAAATATTTATAACTGTTATCAAATGTTAATATATTTTAGAGAGGAAGTGATCTTCATCTTAACATATTCCACACTAATAATACATATCTGTAATGTTCACTTTGTAAGGAGAAACTAACCAAAAATCCAGGGGTTCTGTTTAAATGCTGCTACTCATGCACAGAAAGCCAATCACTAAGACAATGAGTATTGCCAGGGAAGAGGCTTTAATTAGGAGTTGCAGCTGAGGAGATGGGCGATCAGTCTCAAATCCATTTACCTAACCAACTAAAATTAGGAATTTATATAGCGGAAATGTAACTACCTGAAGGAACAGGAATTAGGGAGGGGTAATGAGGAAGAGTTGGTCAACAGGAAACAGGTGGTCGGTTAGGCAATCATGCTAGGGGAGAAGTCTGACATCTCATTGTCCAGATGCAATGATAAGTTTCAGTTCCTTGATACTATTTGGGAGGCCTGCTAGTTGGTCTCCTGAGAAAGAAACTCAGATAAGACAAATGTAACTTTCTCATATTTCAAGACTGACAGAGTCCATTTCTAGGTGTATTCAAAAGAAACCGTTCAGTTCTATGGGAAAATTGGGTTGGTTTTAAAACTACTTCACTATATGGTCACATAATGCCTTCAGCTTAAAGTACCAAAGTGGCTACTGTAATCATTTTCTTTTTAACTTATAAAAACATATTTATTAATAAAAAAGCATACTCTTTACTTTTATTAAATTATAATCTAGGCCATTATATCTTATCTGAATCCTGTTTTCTTGAAATTAACTCCTTTTAGCTTGATTTTTTAAAATTAACTGCTCTTTTTTTCTGTAAGTGGCTAATTTTAAAACATTTAAGCTGATTAGAAATTCTTTACCCCTTATGCTGTATAATTATCATATATTTTCCATTTATCCAACTCTGCATGCAGAACAACTGAGTATTCTAGAATATGAACTTCCTGTTGCAATTTAATTTATACATTATTGCCATGTTTTAAAAGAAAACAGCAGGCTTCACAATGGCAATCACTTTTCATAGCTACTAAAATTTTCAAATACCTTTAATTTTTCTACATCTATCCACAGGGGTTCAAGTACTCATTTCGTTCACATTCCTTTAAGATTTGAGATCCACTTTCACTTCACCCAAGGTGTCAGCAATATAATGCTATAATCAGACATTATAATTTTTTTGCTTTGCCTCTTAAAAATTCCCTCCCTCCCCAAAATATATTTTCCCAAATAAGCAGGATGAAGCAAAATTCTTCAATGAGGGGAAAATATAATGCCATTAGAGAAAATGATTACCCAAAATTCAAAGTAATTCTTACCACTGTAATCAATGGCTGCCAATATGCACATATTATGACTTATACATGGCCTTTTCCCAACAGAAATGAACTATATGTAATTATTTTGTGCTTTGACAATAATCATAAATCTATTTACATAATTATAAATCTATAAACATTATGTACTGTTAATTTTGTGTGTGTGTACTGGCTGTAATATACATTTATGAATTGTGCTAAAAAGTTTGTTCTCTTTGTCACTTATTTTATTCAACATTTCTTTAGAACTGTCAACATTTCTAGCCAAACACGGTGGCACATTCCTGTAATCCCAGCCCTTCGGGAGGCCGGGGCGGGCGGATTACTTGAGTTCAGGGGTTTGAGAACAGCTGGGCAACACAGGCAAAACCCCATCTCTACAAAAAATACCAAAAAATTAACTAGGCATCCTGGTACATGCCTGTGGTCCCAGCTACTTGGGAGGGTGAGGTGGGAGGATCACTTGAGCCTAGGAGGTCAAAGCTACAGTGATGCAGTGAGCCATAAGTCATGATCGCCACTGCACTCAAGCCTGGTTGAAAAAAATAGACCATATCGGCCGGGCCCGGTGGCTCACGCCTGTAATCCCAGCACTTTGGGAGGTCGAGGTGGGCAGATCATGAGGTCAGGAGATTGAGACCATCCTGGCTAACACAGTGAAACCCCGTCTCTACTAAAAATACAAAAAATTAGCCAGGCATGGTGGTGGGCGCCTGCAGTCCCAGCTACTTGGGAGGCTGAGGCAAGAGAATGGCATGAACCCGGGAGGCGGAGCTTGCAGTGTGTGGAGTTTGTGCCACTGAGCCTGGGCGACAGAGTGAGACTCCGTCTCAGAAAAAAAAAAAAAAGACCATGTCTTCAAAAAATAAATATAAATAAATCAACATTGCTCCATGAAAAACTAATCAATTTAAATGTATTTTGAAAGTTACACTGTTACATGGTGCACGTATGCCACATTTTATCTATCCTTTTAAGAACTGATGAACATTTACGTTCTTGAAAGACTTTGCTATCACATAAAATACTCTAATGAATATTCTCACGCATGTCCATTTCTATGATTATGCTAGAGTTTTATGAAGTATATTCCCAGGAAAGAAATTGTGGAGTTAAGTTTCACCAAATAGTGACAAACTGCTCTCTAAATGGCTGGATCATTTCATGCTGTTAGCATTAACACCTAAACTTTTCACTTCACCATTTCTTGCTAATATGTACATTTTCTATGTTTATTTTATTTTGGATGTAACCTGATATTACATTGTTTAAATGTGCTTTTTGTTGACTAATAAAATGTTTTATTTTCATCTGAATATCCTAGTTTATATTCCTAAAAATCTACTTCATGTAATTTTCCTAATTTATTAGTTTCTTTTTGGTTGTAAATAGAAGTTTTAATTTTCAACTTTCCCAATTGTATGTATATTAAATAAATAGCACAAACTTTTTGTCAATCCATCAACTGCCCCGTTATTTCCATTATCTGCCAACCATATTCTAAACAATTATTTAGGAAATTGTGCATTCAATTGCATTTACTAGTTATTGTCTATTTTTTAATATGATTCTTTAAAATATATTTTTCAAAACTTTTCTGCTGATATAGTTTATATTTTGGACATAAGCCTTCATGATAATAATTTGGAAAGTTTATTTGCTTTTTGAGTCATATATATTTTCATATATAGAACCTAAACCGCTTTTTGAGATTTTAGAGATGTTACAGCATTCTTTTCTGTCCATTAAAGATTCTACTCTCTGTGTTCTTGACTATAAGGAGTGTTTTGAGGTATTTTCGCATTATATCACCTTTGTCTGTAACATATTGAAAGCATTCTATTTTAAATTTACAACAGTAAAATTTTACGATTTTATTTATTTTGTTATATCCTTTTTAAAACATTCTTATTATTCATAGATTGGATCTACTGTTTTTTTCCTGCATGTAACTTTGTTCCACCTCTAAAATATCTTCTACCTCATTATTCAGTGGGATGATTGTTCAGAGGATACTATATTTTACTCAGAAAGATGGAGTTTCAGGTTTTTAAACTATAGTTAAAGTCAGTATGGTGACTGAAGCCAGGGACCTGTGCTCAGATTACCAAGACATTGGGGAAAAGCAACAAAAAATAACAGAAACAACAAATTGGAGACATTAAAAACCAACTTCAGAATCTTGTATTCTGTCAACAAATAAAATGTTCGCTTAAAAGAAAATGGAGCGTTTAAAGAATAACTTGGAGGTCCCCTTAATGTAAAAACACATATTTACAAAAAGCAATTCAAAATAAACAATTAATAGGACAGTACAAAATATGGTCTGTTTAGCCACAGGTTGCAAAAATGTAGGGAAGACTGTAAGAAAGGATTGTGCAAATTAAAAAATATGAGAAACACTTTAGGTGATATGTAAAATAATTTCTAAGAACAACATATTAGTTTTTTTTGTGTGTATATATTTGATCAGTAATTGTGCCAGTAAACAAATTATTTCACACCCACATTATTTTACGGCTACTATTCACTGGCCTTGCTGGTTGCAGAGAATTTGGAAAGTAGCCTAGTAAATCCCTCTGGAATCTGGCCTTAGGATAGTATTTGGCTGTATTAATTTGCATGTAACTCAGTAGTAAATCTTGTAAAAAGGAGGAAATAAGAGGAGCTTTGATTCAGTGGAGGGTGGGGCTCAAGATTTTGCTTTTTAAGTAGTTCCTAGAAGAAACCGATTTTGCTGGTTGAGAACCACTCTTTGATTACCAGGGATCAATTTACTCATACCCTAGAGAGTATCATTACTGGTTTAAGGCTTGAGATTACAACTTTTTTTTCACTACCTGCACCATAACTTGAAATCAGAAGTTGTAAGTTATTTTTTTCTCATTCTTGGGTATGGTTTTTCTAATTTGATTTTTTTCATAAACCTTTGTTCTTATTTCACATGTACAATAGCTTCTTAAATTCTATTGGAGGTACGACTCAAAAATTTTCAAAAGTTATCTTTGTTACCATTAAATTAATGGCACAGTGAATTGTCATTCATTTTTAATGAAATATATTTGACACCTATTTTTACATTTCCTAATTGCCTCACTATATTTGACACCTATTTTTACATTTCCTAATTGCCTCACTATATTTGAAGCAGTCCATAAATTTACAATTGTCATCTGAATTCCTTTCTAGATATGGAGTCAGAAATAATTCAGTATGGACTCTACTTGAAAATATTAAAGTTTCCGTATGCATCCTACTTAAAAAAAAAAAAGGTCTCTTTTTTTTTTTTGAGATGGTGTCTTGCTCTGTCGCCCAGGCTGGAGTGCAGTGGTGTGCTATTGGCTCACTGCGACCTTTGCCTCCTGGGTTCAAGCAATTCTCTGCCTCAGCCTCCCCAGTAGCTGGAATTATAGGCACCCGCCACCACGCCCGGCAAATTTTTTAATTTTTAGTAGAGATAGCGTTTCACCATTTTGGCCAGGCTGGTCTTGAACTCTTGACCTCGTGATCCACCCACCTTGGCCTCCCAAAGTGCTGGGATTACAGGTGTGAGCCACCATGCCTGGCCTAAAGAGTCTTATTTTCATACACAATACTTTTACTTTACATTTCAGAGTTCAATGGTTGGGGAGTAGAGGAGGAAGTTTTTATAGTATAACTTTATAAGATAAGATGTTATTTAAATCATAGATATTTATCACCTGTAATGTATAATGTTTTTCTTCTGCTTAATTTAAATATTACGACAAGCTACTTACTTTCACTTCACAATCTCACTAGCGAATTTAAATTTTGTTAGAGGTATGAGATAGTTTAGTTCTTCCAGACCCTTGTAGCCTGTCTTACATGGAAATCCTCAAAAATACATGATACAGATTTAACTCAAATTCTATCTTTTTCCATTGGATAGTGAACTTGTGCATGGTACTTAAATATGATTCTCCCTCATTGTTAATCATAAAGATTTCTTTGAATTCTTCATACGTAGAATTGTTACTAAATCTTGTAGAATGCTTCAGCATGTAACATTTTTCAGCATGTTTCTAGAAAATCTATTTCTAGATTTTCATATTCAATTTTTAATTTTAAGAAGGACATGTGATTGGGAGAGTATGCCAGATATCTGTTAGCTTGTTCAGCTATATTCTGTCCTAGTCTTACTAGAAACGTCCTGAAGAAAGCCAGTTCCCTGGGGATAGAGTTAGTTTTAATCAAATTTTATTTTTCTATTGAGCCTATTTATTGGCTGTCTATATTGTGAACCGCAGATATTTACATTTAAAACTTAAGAAATAGGCTGAATGCGGTGGCTCACACATGTAATTCTTGCACTTTGGGAGGCTGAGGCGGGTGGATCGCTTAAGGTCAGGAGTTTGAGACCAGCCTGACCAACATGGGGAAACCCTGTCTCTACTAAAAATACAAAAATTAGCCAGGCATGGTGGCGGGTGCCTTTAATCCCAGCTACTCAAGAGGCTTAGGCAAAAGAATCGCTTGAACCTGGGAGGCGGAGGTTTGCAGTGAGCAAAGATTGCACCACTGCACTCCACCCTGGGTGACAGAGCCAAGACTCTGTCTCAAAAATAAATAAACAAAACTTCAGAAATTTACTGTACCACTGCATCAAGCACATTTAATCACTAGTAGTTTTTCTTAAATATTTCAATTACACCTTTTACATTTTTTCTTATTGCATGATTATACTAATAGTAGACTGTAACTGGCCATGCTTTAGAGGCTATTTCACTGAGATTCTTTGCAGAGACTTGCATTTCATACTGCCACCATGATAAATTAAACAGCTAGCCTAAGGAGGTGATTACTACTGCTTGCCTTCTTGTGAGCTATCCATGGTTGCTAGTGTGATTAGGAAATAACTGTTTGATTTATTTACTTATCTAAGCAGCTGTGGGAAATGCTGTGCATTTGGCCATAACATCTTTCTTAATTCATTCATGTGAAAATGTAGCATATAGCATAATTAAATAATCTCTCCAAGTATGACAGTGGATAACTATAATCATTGTATGTCATTTGTCATCCACAATGTGAAACAAATCTGCAGGTTAAGAGAATTACAGAGTTTATCATTTCTGTGTTAGTGACTGTATCTCTATGTGACTTATTTTTTGTTTGTTTATATTTTCCTATGGGTCTTTTATGACCTGTGAAAAGAGCTTCTATAATTGTGATTTTCAGAGCATATTCATAAACAAAATATGAAACATAACAAATGTTTCTGTTATCAGTGGTGGGTATCTGAGTTATTGGCAGTGAATCCATACAGGTCTGCAAGAACCTCAATTCTTGCCCCTCAGAAGAAAGAATTAGACTGAGGGGCATAAGGAAGAAGGAGAGGCTAAGGCACGTTTTAGAGTAGGAGTGAACATTTATTAAAAAGCTTTAGAGCAGAAATAGGGCCAGGCACGGTGGCTCACGCCTGTAATCCCGGCACTTTGGGAGGCCGAGTTGGGCGGATCACAAGGTCGAGAGATTGAGACCATCCTGGCCAATATGGTGAAACCCCGTCTCTACTAAAAATACAAAAATTATCTGGGCATGGTAGCACGCACCTGTAGCCCCAGCTACTCGGGAGGCTGAGGCAGGAGAATAGCTTGAATCCGGGAGGCGGAGGTTGCAGTGAGCCGAGATCGCGCCACTGCACTCCAACCTGACTATAGGGCGAGACTCGTCTCAAAAAAAAAAGAAAAAGAAAAAAAAGAAAAAAAAATTGCTTTACAGCAGAAATGAAAGGAAGTAAAGTACACTTGGGAGAGGACCAAGCAGGCGACTTAAACGGCAAGCGCGGGGTTTGTCCTTTTGACTTGGGGTTTTTATATGTTGGCCTGCTTCCAGGGTCTTGCCTGCCTTCTCCCCTGGTTCTTCCCTCGGGGTGGGTTGTCTGCACGCATGACGGCCTGCTAGCACTTGGGAGGGGAGTATGCACAGTGTGTTCACCGGAGTTGTACACATGCTCACTTGAGGCGTTCTTCCCTTTACTGGTGGAAAGGGAAACTCGCTGGAAAGTCATATACCGGTTAAACATCGCCATTTTGCCTCTTCGTGTGCATATGTGAACCCACTTGCCCAGTTCCTGAGATCTTATCTGGAAGCTGCTGATCACCAGTTTCAGGTTTTTTCTATCTATAGGGAGACTGCCTTTTCTTTTATTTTTTTTTTACTGAGACGGAGTCTCACTCTGTCGCCAAGGTTGGAGTGCAGTGGCGCGATCTCGGCTCACTGCAACCTCCGCCTCCTGGGTTCAAGCAATTCCCTGCCTCAGCCTCCTGATTAGCTGGAATTACAGGCACCCGCTACCACGCCGGGCTAATTTTTATATTTTTAGTAGAGACAGGGTTTAACCATCTTAGCCAAGATGGTCTTGAACTCCTGACCTCATGATCCGCCCACCTCAGCCTCCCAAAGTGCTGGGATTACAAGCATGAGCCACCGCGCCCGGCTGGGAGACTGCCTTTTCCAAGTGCTGCCTGTGACCAATTATTATTTTAAAGATACAGTTAACAACTGTCTGACCATCACGTGATGGTCGCCTGACACTCCTGGTTGGCGGGGGGCGGGAGTGGTTGTGTGTGGGGGGGCTCTCCTGCCCTGCTCATGTCTGCCTGACTACCTACTGTAATATTTATATGTTTGTATTAACCATATTCATGTTTTGGGAAAAGTATATGATCAAGAAAACACCATGGACTACTGAAAAGTTTAGTAAAATACATATAGTAAGTTACTATAGTTTATGTGGATCGCTTCATTATACAGAACTGCCATAAATGTTTTTAAACTATTTAAATCAACTATTCATTTTTTCTTCTTAGACTTGGCTAGTCTTCCCTTATCCATGTTTCTGTTTTCCATAGCTTCATTTACCATACCCATGGTCAATCATATGGAGAGAAGAGAAAAAGAAAGAGAAAGGAAGAAAGAGACCATGCTCATGTAACTTTTATTATGGTATATTTTTATCATTGTTCTGTTTTATATTGTTAATCTCCTATGGTAGCCTAATTTATAAATTAAACTTTATAATAGGTATGTATATATAGAAGAAAAAAAACATAGCATATATAAGGTTTAGTACTATGCATGGTTTCAGGCATCCACTGGTGATCTTGGAATGTATCTGCCATGGTTAAGGAAGTGGGGAACTACTGTATTGTGGTTTTAGAGAATCCAGGTTGAAATAGATATCTGCAATTGATTCATGTAAATACAACAGCAAACTCTTTTTAAGTAAATAATGAGTTTCTTCTATGAATTCAGTAATATTTATTTTAGTGCATTATATTGCATATTTAAAAACATTTGTATATTTTTGAAAATTTAAAATTTATATATTTATAAATTATTGATATGATAATTACTGATAGATTAACAATTAATAGCTTGAGTTAAATTTATAAGGATAATAGGTGAATATTTTTCCCAGGTCTTTCAATATATTGACGGTCAATGTTTCCTATAAGTGTTTGAATATTCTTTCACCCACACAAAGAATCTTCCCTAGGTACATAAAATGAAGTAGACCATTCATCCAAAATGGTATTGTTTACACATGCAGCTTGCATGGAACATCTTTCTCTGTTTCACTTTCTCTCAAATTTAATATGTCATCTCATTAATCCAGCAATTTGAACAGTTATTAAAAACCACCGTTTTCTGTTTGCCTTTTCCCTACTTCTATGAAAGTTTTACATGTTTCAAACATGAGTTACATTGAATACTGTGTTTACAATCTTTTCAGTAGGCTGAAATTACCTATTTACAAAAAATTTTGAAATAATAACTTCAAATATTCAATAAGAAAGATTATAAATGAATGATATCAATCAGAATTAAGTAATTCTACTTGACATTTTATTTTAAATCACCAAATTTGCAAAGTTTGAAAAGCAATCATGTTAATTAGTGCAAAAGCATGAGACAGTTGGCACTCATGCACTACTTGTGGAAATGTAAATTGTTTTGGATTACCTGGATTGCAATTCAGAAAATTTTATTTTAAATTATAAAGCATTAGTAACCTTAATATCTGTAATCGATTGTCATTTAGTTCTCCCTTCCTAGAAAATCTTTTATATAAACAGTAAGAAAATTACTTCATCACCACTAAAATTGTAGCAAGGCCTCATTTACACAACAAAAATATTTGAGGATATTCTGGTGGATGCAAAGTAGATGAAGTAATATTTAAAAATATTATGTTTTCGCACACTTTTTATAAAATGTCAGACAAAAGAAGAGTCATGGTGTAAAAAAATTATCTGAAGTCACTGAAGAGCATCACAGTTTTCTCTGGCTTCAGTGTATTGTAATATATTACATATATCGATGTCCCTTCTGATAATCAGCATAAGCATCATCGCTACCATTGTTTTATTCGTTATTGCTGTTATAACAAATTAGCACAAATTGAGTGCATTAAACCAGTAAACACATCTTCTGTATAACAGAAGTGTAAAATGGGTCTCAAGTTAAAATCATTCCTGGAAACTTTAGAGAATTCATTTCCTTGCCTTTTTCAGCTTCTAGAGCTCACCAGTATTCCTTGGCTCCCGGCCCTTCCCTCCATCTTCTAAGCCAGCAAAGTCGAATTCCCCGATTATTTCTTCCTTAGTCATCTCTCACTCTCTGACCATGATTGTGAAAGGTTCTCTGCTTTTAAAGACTCATGTTAGATTGGGCACACCTGGATAATCCAGGCAAGTCTTCCTGTCTCCAGGTTCTTAAACATAATCACACCTACAAAATTTCTTTTGCCATGTAAAGAACATACTCACAGATTCCGGGGATTCAAACATAAATATATCTGGGGTGGAGGGAGTGCTGAATGTTTACGTCCACCATAATTATCTAAGGATTTTTCTTTTCTTTTCTTTTCTGCTAAGACATTAGCGGCTTCTCACTACATAGATACATGAATAAATTCTCCACTTACTTGGAAGAAGTCCCCCAACTAAACAACTTAGTTATTAAGTAGAAAGTATTCCATTCATAAATATTTTTATAAATTATTTTTTAAAAAATCATATTCTACATACAACAATCCCTTTTGGTTAGGATGGGATTACACGTGGTCTTTTATTTACTTTTGGTTCAGATAGAGAAAAAAAAAAAAATATATATATATATTTAACAGGGATACAGAAAACTGCTGCAGCTAACAACCATGGAAGGAGGCAGAGAATTCCTACCCCTGGGCTTGAAAGAACAAGGGTGAGATGAGGTGAGAACAAGTTGCAAACATGAGAGACCATGTTTCCCCATTCTGCTTGCCAGCAGGATGTCACAAAATCCTTTGCCAGCAGAATTTCAGAAAGCCCCCGCCTCAGTGACTAAGCACAGCCCTTCAGAAGAATGCCATGGAGACAATAAGCAGCTCAGAGCACAGGTGCCCATGTCTTTTGCCTGAATCACTATATTTTTTAGAAAAGATTAGTTCAATGAGCCCCGGTCTTTTCCTGTAAACAAAATAACATCTGACAGGATTAATGACTATGCCTGTGTGATTTAGAACTAGGAAGACACGCAGCTCCTCCTGGGTGAGCCTTTGTTAGAGCTCCCCCTAAAGTTTGTAAGTATAGTTTCAGGTATAGCGTCCGGGGGCTCCAAACTGTCAGGGGAGAAAGGGTCTGGGAAGGCAAATGAAATAGATGTAGTTTATTCTATATACGCAGGGAGTTTTCTCTACCATGCTTTCACATGCTTTTCTCTTTTTTTGGAAGTTCTTCCCACTCCTCCATACACCCCTCAACTGATTACTTACCTCATTTAGAATTCAAAGGATAAATGCTCGAGGGGATGGATACCCCATTTCCCATAATGCTTATTTCACATCACATGCCTGTAACAAAACATCTCATGCACCCCATAAACATATACACCTACTATGTACCCACACAAATTTTAAAAATTAAAAAAAAAACTAAAAAAGAACTTTGAGAACATTGTGTTAATATTTATTTGATTATCCAACACAAAATAATAGCACCCCCTCCCCATTATTTTTGTGTCTTTTAAATTCTCCCATTGTTTCACAT
Organism: Homo sapiens; assembly: GCF_000001405.40. Taxonomy (NCBI): domain Eukaryota; kingdom Metazoa; phylum Chordata; class Mammalia; order Primates; family Hominidae; genus Homo; species Homo sapiens. Next base: position 22,574,763 of record NC_000021.9, on the reverse strand, counting down.
TTTATATTAGATTGCAGAAACAGATTAACATTTGTGGTCATTTTTGCCTTTTAGCTTTTTTTTTTTAATGTTTCTGGAGTTGGTATAGTGAATAAAAATTACTTTGATATCCTATCAAAATGCTTATTGTTGTTGGACCTAATTATAAATGAAAATAGTAAAAGGTTCTTTTAAGATTAATGTAAACATCTGGGAGAATATAAACTTCACAGAAAATTAAAGTTGTGGAGTTATCTTTTAGATGTGGAACTAGAATACATAAGAATCATTATCTGTTTAAACATATTAAGATTTTTCAAACACAAATGTATTTTAATGTTCAAGATTAATTGCTTCAAACTTCTGGAGCCAAGAGGGAAATTGAAAAGATAAAATTCAGACACATACTTAATGCAAAGTTTACCATGTACCTTTTAAAGTTTTCATCTTAAATGGATTCCAACATAACTTTCCTCAAAGAAAAAATTCAGATAGACATTACTCAGAATTTCTGTGCATTTGAACTTAGTTGCTTGGAGCAATATGCTGCTGTATTTCTTGATTGTGGAAATCAGCAAGATCTAGAGAGAGTGACAGAAAAGAATAATGTGATTAAGAGAATAAAAAATGTAAAATAACATACTCAGATTACAATTAACTTAGTAAAATGATAAATGTTTTAAAATGATGTAAAATATGGCTTAAGTAATACAAATGAGTAATAATTACCTTATGAAATCTTGAATAATGCTGACTAGGCAAGGCGGCTCATGCCTGTAATGCCAGCACTTTGGGAGGCAGAGTAGGAGGATTGCATGAGGCCAGGTGATGGAGATTAGCTTGGACAACATGATGGAACCCTGTCTCTACAGAAAACACAAAAATTAGCTAGGCATGGTGGCATGTGCTTGTAGTTTCAGCTTCTCAGGAGACTGAGGTGGGAGGATAACCTGAGCCTGGGGAAGTCTGGACTGTAGTGAGCTGTAATTGTGCCACAACACTCCAGCCTGGGCAACAGAGTGAGACCTTGTCCCCCCAAAAAACAAAAACAAAACAAAACCTTAAATACATAGCATTGCATATAGAATCATGCTTGGTAATATTGTTTCATAAGAAAGCACAATATTCAAAATGGGATAATCATGAATATTATTTGATTATTGTAATGAGGTCAATATTATATAATTTCCCTGTCAATTATAAACATAGTAATTTTAAGAGACGCACGTTTGAATGTCCCAGTATGTACTTCACACCCACACCCAACCATACATATAATCTCTTCTGCTAAATATCTACTTTGACTTTTCGTAAAAAATTGAGATTCTTACAAATTGTTATAAAATGCTACTGAGTTTTAAAATTTATTTTCCATGATTATTACTGCATAGATTAATACTTTCAGATAAAAATATTGACTCCTCATAAGAAAACCTATTTCCTGAATGAATATTAAATTTGTGTCAGTAAATTATACAACTATCACAGCTAAGAAATTAGTGTTAAAATAAAATAATTTATATTGACAAATAGAAATTTTATCAGAATTTATAAAATTCAAACGAATGACTAATATTTGAAAAAAATCACCAAGTTAATGGAATTTTTGATGTTTGATCTACTTTTTAAACTGTTCCTAAATGTTATAAAATACTGATTTCTCCTTGTAATAATTTGTAATTTTATTCTGTGCTATAATTTAATGTATAATTGTATGCTCCAAGATTTTCAGTACAATGTTAAATAGAATAATAGCTACTTTTTTAAACTTTTCTTAAGTCAAAGGAAATGTCTTTTATGTTTCAACAGTAACTATGATACTTGCTATAGATTTTTGCTACATTCTTTAATCATAAAATAAAATTAACAGATTTTCTCCTTTTTAAAAATAATCAGGACAGGTTTAGGTTAGAATAGTTTCTTTCTTGGCTGGGCATAGTGGCTCACACCTGTAATTGTAGCACTTTGGGAGGCCAAGGCAGGCAGATCACTCGAGGTCAGGAGTTCAAAAGCAGCCTGGCCAACATGGTGAAACCCCGTCTCTACAAAAAATACAAAAAAATTAGCCAGGTGTGGTGGTGGGCACCTGTAATCCCAGCTACTCGGGAGGCTGAGGCAGGAAAATCGCCTGAACCTGGGAGGCAGAGGTTGCAGTGAGCTGGGATCATGCCATGGAGGAATTAACATTTATAACCTTGTGAGCTGGGTATATAAATGAAATCACTGACTAAATGTTTTTAATGTTTATATACAAGTTGAGTTTTCTGTTTGCTAAAATTACTTTGAAAAAATTAGTGTATTTTCTATTACAACTAAGAATTAAAATGTATGAGTGTGACATTGTTCACAGTGCCTCCTTGTTACCTTGTGATTCTCTACCGAAACTATTTTTCACAAGTCAACCCCCGACCCTCTGTCTCCCATTCTTGCTTTGACTCTTATGTATTTATGGCTGTCTCCCCCGGCCTTTTTACCTTTCTTCAAAGTTTTTCCCCATTCATTATTTTAAATTATCTTTTATTTTCTCTGCTTCTGAGTCTTAGAGTTTGCTGTCTTTTTTTTTTTTTTTTTTTTTTTTTTTTGAGAGGGAGTCTTCCTGTGTCACCAGGCTGGAGTGCAGTGGCATGATCTCAGCTCACTGCAACCTTCGCCTCCCAAGTTCAAGAGATTCTCCTTTCTCAGCCTCCCAAGTAGCTGAGACTACAGGCACATGTCATCATGCCAAGCTAATTTTTATATTTTTAGTAGAGACAAAGTTTCACCATGTTGGGCGTGATGGTCTCTATCTCTTGCCTTTGTGATCCGCCCGACTCTGCCTCCCAAAGTGCTGGGATTACAGGTGTGAGCCACCGTGCCTGGCCTGCAGTCATTTTTTAATTTTTATTTTTATTACCACTTTATGGTTAGAGCCTATTTTGTTTTTCCTAACTAGCTTAAATGTTTTTAATGTTTGCCCTTTTTATTCATCAATTTTGCTTTCCTTCTTTTTACTTTTTACCTTTATCTGTTGATCTACTTTAGAATGTCTCTTCTAAAGAAGAATGAAGTGTAATGTTTTCTATCCAGTTACAATCGTTATTATAAGAAATACATTTAGCCCAATTACATTAATTGTGATTACTTATATATGTGTACATTTCTACCGCTTAAATGTGTGCTTTTTATTATTCTGCCTTCTGCTAAATTGATTCCATTTTTAAGATTTGTAATCCTAAAGTCCATTTTTATTCTTTAGTAACACGTTTAATAATAGAACATGTAGACTTAACCTACTACTCATTTAACATATATATTTACTACCTTTCCAAACAACACAAGGAAAATAAAGGACTTTCTCACCCACCCATTCTCCCCTTGTACCGGTTTATTTGCTTGTATTGCCCAGTAACTTAATCTGGTCCTGCTGAGTATCATCATAATTTAGACCTTTTTTGTGTGTGTTTTTATACTAACAACTAATGTTTTGATTTATTTAGAGGTTAATTTATTCCTTTGTTAAACATTCTGTATTGAATCTTACATATTCATTTTGAGAAACCTTCTTGTTTTCATTTTGAAAGTTATTCATTGAATTTTCGTGAACCTCTTATAGTTCTAAATGGCTTCTTTATATTTTTTTCTTCTGAAAATGTTTCTGTTTTGCCCTAATTCAAAAATTTTAATTAAATTGGTTACTGTAGTGTAGTAAGTGTGACAATTAATAAACCCTATAAACAGTAGAAAGGCCTTAATCAACTGCAATTATTAGAGTGGAACTGTGCAATAGTAACATAATATATAATGACCCAGAACACGTGGACCTGACACTGCCATTCTTTAAATGTCAGATTTATGTTCCTGTGCACATGTTCACTGGTTAACGAATGTCTGGAAGCGACTTTCAAAGTATATCCTGCCTCCAGTAACTCTGGGGAACATGCATTGGGAAACTTGCTGAAACTGATAAAACAAACTTTCATGGTAACCCCAGACAAGCCATGATTTTTTTTTCTATAATCACTAAATCATTTTCTATCAAATAGAACATATTTTAATGAATCCTTGAAATTGTTTATTTGTCCTGCCATAAGTACACAGTTCTACTGGATGAACATTTTCTTTCAGCATCTGGAAGACATTCTCTAATTGACTTTTGGCTTCTTTTTTCATTGTTGAGAAATTGCTTGTCAGCCTTGTTATCATTTTTGAAGATAATTCAACAGATCTTGCTTCATAAATTGCTCTCTAGTGATACTATTGTTTATCTAGTTACTAAGGTATTTCTGTTAGTGCTAATGAACAGATACTGTGCGTCCTGCATCATGGATTTATTCGGTACTAGAAAATTCTCAAATAGTGTATACACACACACACACACGCAAAATTGTTTCTCTTATGTTATCCTGAAATCATCTCCTTCATTAATTTATATGAAAAGCATATTTTAAAACATCTTTTGTTTCAGTATTCCATAGCCCTTTTCCTCTGTAATATGTGGTGAAATCTCTTTAATTTTTTCACGTTTTTCTCCCTCTATCTTCCTCTGTCTGTCCTCTGTCTGTCTCTCTCTCTGTCTCTCATTCTGTTTTCGGTCTTGTCTGTTTAATTTGCTGTTTAATATTGCTATTTGATATTCTCAATAGCAGAAGTCCTTGGAGAACTATTTGTTTGTTTCTATTGATTTTTATTCATTGTGTTGTCCCTCTAGCCCAGTGCATTACATTTAACACCCATAATTTCCCATAGATGCTGGAATGGTTAATTTCATGTGTCAACTTGCTGGGTTAAGGAATACCCAGATAATTGATAAAACATGGTTTATGGGTGTTATCTGACCCACAAGCCATATAGATGGGCATGTGCAGCAATACTCCACTATTGAAGTGTAAACATACTTACAATTTTGTTTCCTTTTCTGCAAAAAACAGTAGTGTGTTTTTGGTTGTACGAAGGATAGTTGTATCATATTAGATGAAATTATGATTTTGTTATTGTCTTTATTGGGAGATTAAATATGGCATAATAAAATACACATGGGTGCCAATTTGACACAGGATGGACTTGTGATGGTTACTCTCCTATATCATTTTTTTTTTTTTGAGACAGAGTCTCGCTCTGTCGCCCAGGCTGGAGTGCAGTGGCGGGATGTCAGCTCACTGCAAGCTCTGCCTCCCGGGTTCACGCCATTCTCCTGCCTCAGCCTCCCGAGTAGCTGGGGCTACAGGCGCCTGCCACCACGCCCGGCTAATTTTTTTGTATTTTTAGTAGAGACGGGGTTTCACCGTGTTAGCCAGGATGGTCTCGATCTCCTGACCTCGTGATCCGCCCTCCTCGGCCTCCCAAAGTGTTGGGATTACAGGCGTGAGCCACCGCGCCCAGCCTCTTCTATATCAATTTGACTGGGTTAAGGGATATCCAGAAGCTTGTAAACCATTGTTTATTCTGGGTGTGACTGTGAGGGTGTTTCTGGAAGAGATTAGCATTTGATTAGGAAACTGAAAAAGAAGATATGCCCTCATAAATTTGGTTGGGCATCATCTAATCTATTGAGGGATCAGTATAACAAATTGTCCACAAGAAGAGCAAATTTGTTCTTTGTTCTTGAGCTAAGACATCCATCTTCTCCTGCCCTCATACATGGAAGCTTCTGATTCTCAAGCCTCTGCCCTCAGGTTGAGTGACAGCATTGGCTCCCGGCTTCTCCATCCCTTAGACTCAAACTGAATGACACCCCCAGGTGTTCTGGTTCTCCAGCTTGAAGACAACATATTGTAGAACTGCTCATCCTCTGTAATCACTTGAGCCAATTCCCATGAAACATTCTCTCTTAAATGTATATATATACCATTGCTTCTGTTTCTCTGGAGAACCCTCACACAAAAGCTATTATATTTAAACATATAATACCACACAATTATAAATTGAATTTTCTGTTTATCTTCTTCACTGGAATCTACAATCCATGCATGCAGGGATTTTTTTTTCTTTGTTGCTTACTATAGCATGCCTAGAATCTAGAACAGTACCTAGTATCAAGTACTCAAATAATATTTGTTGAAATAGTGTTGAATAGAGTTGGTTTACAGTATGATTTTTTGTTTGTTTAAAACATGCTTATTTGAACTTTATCTGGCAAAATTTTAACTAATCTGTTTTAGGATTTATTCCTACAGAGAAAGTTTTAATGCATTCTCTGAATAGGATTGTGGGCAATATGGGACATTTTAAACAAAAGTTATCATATTGACATTCTTCGCATGTGTCACATAGTGTGAACACTGACCTCAAACTCATATGGATGCCAACTACCGTTTAAGAATTCCCAAAGAAAACCTTCTTGTCAGTCACTCAGAAACTAGTGGCAAGTGTCACTTTCTTTCCTTTCGTATATAAGTTGTTTCCTTTGTTTTTTGTTTCACCTGGTAGACCGTCTTTCATTGAGGGTTTTGTTGGCATAGACTTTCTATTTTTTGATAATTTGGCCTTATGCCCAATCTCTTCCTACCAGCACAACCATGAAAACTCTTCCCATTATGATACAGTATGATACAGTGACTGGTAGTTGGCTTATGGTAGTCCCTGGCTTCAGCAGCCACTTTAAATTTATGGTGACATTTCATAGTTGGTATTTAAAGATCTTATGCTTTCTTTCAGTGTTGTGCATGCTTTTAAAAAAAACCTTTAGGCCGGAAGTGGTGGCTCACACCTGTATTCCCAGCACTTTGGGAGGCCGAGGCAGGCGGATCACGAGGTCAGGAGATCGAGACCATCCTGGCTAACACGATGTAACCCCGTCTCTACTAAATATACCAAAAATTAGCCGGGCGTGGTGGCGGGCGCCTGTAGTCCCAACTACTCGGGAGGCTGAGGCAGGAGAATGGTGTGAACCCAGGAGGTGGGGCTTGCAGTGAGCAGAGATTGCGACACTGCACTCCAGCCTGGGCGACACAGCCAGACTCCATCTCAAAAAAAAAAAAAAAAAACCTTTTAAATAATTACTTTTTAGCATTTAGTTATTTACATTAATCATTTTTCAGGTAACTAAATTTAAAGATTGTTGGAATTGTTTAAAATTTTTAAAAATCAAATTAAAATTAAGATAAAAAATTTTAAAAATCGCTAATTGGCCATTTTAGTAGCTATGTCTATTCTTCTCCATATTTTTAAAAATTTTCACTATCCTAAAGACACAGCACCAATTGAGACAGCCAGTTTTGTTTATCCCATCAATTTTTCTTATGTGGAAGACTACTTATATTTTTGATGGCCTAAAACATATGAAATATCAATAATACTGAGAATATCCACTACTAAGAAAAAAATAAATATTCTTTCCTGGCAGGAGGTTGAGTCCTATTTTCCCTTGCCTCTCCTGCAATAGTACTTAAAAACTAGTACATTTTAAAACTCTCTTGAAGAATTGATCTGACAACCTCTTTAATATTTGACCTACGCTATATGACATGGGATTGGCTCTTTGATTTGTTGTAAATTTATGACATTAGTTATGTTTTGATCACAGAAGTCCTATATATATTTGTAAGCAACAACAAAGAACCAATGCTTTACACCTAATTTTGAGGTTAGGGCTAGTATTCAGATTGTCAAAGAGATTAAGAATGTTAACAATTACTGTGGTAAAAGTTTAAAAGGCTTCTTGAGGAGTACATTAGTTATTAAATAGACACACTTATTTTCTTTATAAAAATAATACAAAGTAAACAAATGGTAGTCAAGTGTATTTTACCACATTTACATTTAAATAATTTCATTGAGAAATGCATAGTTCACTTTGTTTTTTTAAAGAAACATTTTAATCTTTAAAGTGAATAAATTTTCTGTTACCATTTGGACATGAAAACAGATTTATCTTTTTTCCCCCAATTCCGTGACATGAATAAAGCAATGAAATTGATCACTAAAAAATTTGAAGTATACTTTCTAAACAGAAAGATATGTATTGAAATTAAAAAAAAATCAATTAATTATTCATTTAATAATTGCCGGCAAATTGGATGCCACTTTTAATCTTAGAAAATATGTGGGTCGGGCGTGGTGGCTCATGCCTGTAATCCCAACACTTTGGGAGGAGTCCTAGGTGGATGGATCACGAGGTCAGGTGTTCAAGACCAGCCTGACAAACATGGTGAAACCATCTCTACTAAAAATACAAAAATTAGCTGGGTGTGATGGCGGGCGCCTGTAGTCCCAGCTACTCAGCAGGCTGAGGCAGGAGAATCATTTGAACCCGGGAGGCGGAGTTTGCAGTGAGCTGAGATTGACTCACTGCACTCCAGCCTGGGCAACAGAGTAAGACTCAAAAAAAAAAAAAAAAAAGTGAGAGAGAAAATATGTGGTGACATTCTAGTTAAGATAATAAAAAATTTACCACTTTGAAAAAAAAATTACCTGGCTGTGTAGTTGTAAGAGATAAAGATGCAATTTGTGACAACTCCTTCTTTATTGGGATTCCAGTAAGATATCATGGGTTAAATTACCTACTTGTCACCTTCTAAGTGTTGATTAGCTTATTTTTCTCTCACCTTTTCCTTGACACTATTGATTTTTAACTTAAACTAGAAAAAAAAAAGAAATTGGAAGAAAAATGTAAAACCAAAGCTGTTCTTATTTAGTATAATCAGTTTTGAAGCAAAGAAGAATAGAAGAACAGAAATATCATTCTATATATTTCACTCTATGTACACATTTTTTCCTTGTAATAAACATTTATTTTCCACATTTAAACATTTTCATGAACAAAGGATTGAATTCTTCACTTGTTTGTTGTCTTGTTTAATTTTCTACTGCTCTGGCAGAATACCACAAACTGGGTAACTTATAAACAATAGAAGTGTATTTGATTCATGGTTCTGGAGGCTGAAAGTTTAACATTCAGTGGCCACATATGGTGAGGACCTTCTCACTGCATCATAAAATGACAGAAGAGCAAGTGAGTGCACAGAACCCTCACGACCTAATGACTTCTTAAAGGTCCCATTTGTTAATATTGTTACAATAGCAATTAAATTGCAACAGGAGTTTTGGAGGAGACATTCAAACCATAACATTTGCATTCCAAAATGTCAGCAATTTCACAATTTGTTTTTGACAAAATTTTCTGCCTTGTGATGACCTATTATAGGCAATGGGAAAAGAGTAAGTTAATGTTAATTATTTTTCCATACAGCACTCTCCAGACTGAATAGGAACTTTTTTCTGATAAATGCTTGTGATTATTTTTACATTTTTTTCTTCCAACTACTTTTGGATTTTTCCTTCCTCACTGCTCTCATTAGTAATTTCTCATAAAATTATTGTAAAACATTATGTAGATTTTTTTCTTCCAATACAATCTTACCATATATTGTAATGTCAGGAACCAACTAAACTATCTGGAAATGGTAGGCAAAATGTTTGCCTCTTGATTTTCTGCAACATTTCTATAGAAAAGTAAATATTTCTGTAATGCATATGTGTGTATATAAAAAGGTAAAGATTGTGAATCTGTTTAAAAGAAAATAACCTAAAGAGTGACTCCTCGTATGTTAGAGAAACTACTAGAATCATAGAGCACATATGCCAGAGAAAAAGACCAAAGGAACTTCATTTTAAACAGAAAATAGACATGGATAAGAACTTTTTGATTGTTGTGATTATTAAATACAAGAAAATATTATTAGACAAGTTTTTTGGAATATAAATATTAAAGGATTAATAAGCTGACCAGAATATCTGACAAAAATGTTTTAGATTTGGGGAATGATATGGGGCATATGCCTGAATATGAACATTCCACATAAGTCTAGTTGATGTTCACTTGGAAATAATTTTACATGCCAACAGGTCTGTGATAGAACTATTCTGAACACCTATAAAGGGAAAACACTGAATTCCAAAGGTTAAAAGGAAAACTGAACAATTTCACTCAGTTTGGAAAGCCTTTTGTCAAAATCAATAACGCTGAACGCTACTAGTAAAAGTGAAGACAATAGGGTTTGTTGGACAGATGTAATCCTTTTCTTCTTCTCTCTTTTTTTTTTCCTTTGTCAAACAAACTGTTTGGAAATCAGCCATTTACTTTTTGTCCTTTTCCTCAAGTGTCTAACAAGCTACTTTTAATTAGCATCCTTCTATTTTTTGAATTGTTCTATTATTGTGACTGTTTCTAAAGTTTGAGATATTATTCATTTTTTTCATGGACCAGACTTAAGGAAACTTTTTACAGCTGTTAGAAAGGGAGAGTGTGAGGAATACAGATGAAAAGGTGGAAAGAGCGAGAGAAAAGGAGAACACAAGAGGGAAGATAGATTGATTCATGGTTCTCTAAACAGTTATTTAAATTAGACATAATAGAGAAAATCATAGAAAAAACACTTTTGGCCGGGCGTGGTGGCTCACACCTGTAATCCCAGCACTTTGGGAAGCTGAGGTGGGTGAATCATGAGGTCAAGAGATCGAGACCATCCTGGCCAACATGGTGAAAACTTGTCTCTACTAAAAATACAAAAATTAGCTGGGCATGGTGGCGTGTGCCTGTAATTCCAGCTACTCAGAGGCTGAGGTAGGAGAATCACTTGAACCCGGGAGGCGGAGGTTGCAGTGAGCCGAGATGATGCCACTGCACTCCAGCCTGGTGACAGAGCAAGACTCAGTCTCAAAACAAAACAAACAAAAAAAAATTATAATAAAATGGTAACATATTTTTTAAAGAATATGAATAGAATATCTCCTAAGAATTATTTGGATTTGGAGAATTATTTGAGCCAAGTGTCTAGATATCTGTACATTTCTTCTAGGTTTCTAACATTAGAAATGAGTACTTCTTTCTAAAATATTATAATTAAGTAGACATTCTTAGGAAACATTTAACTGCAAAGGATTGTGGGTGTGGCTTGCATTAATTTGCATTTTGATAAGCCCAGTTTGAAATACCATACATACTGTGAATGACTGACTTTTGGATGAGAGTAGAAATCTGTAGCTGTTTTCCTAAGAAGTAAACCAAAACACAATAAGAAACTTAGATACAGCTGAAATTATTAATGAAGTCATAATCACTACAAATAAATTTTAAAGAAACTATTTTCAGTTAGCTTAAGTGTAAAAGTAGATTCACAGAAACTTAACATAAAGTTTTTCTCTGGTGAACGGCATGAACCCAGGAGGTGGACCTTGCAGTGAGCCGAGATCACGCCACTGCACTCCAGCCTGGGCGACAGAGTGAGACTCCATCTCAAAAAAAAAAAAAAAAAAATTCTGTGGCATTGCCCTAACCCTTTATTTTTCAATTACCAAGTCACTGTCACTACTCAGATGTACGAATTTTCCTTAGATTGATTATCCTTTCTTATCTTTCTTTTTAGGATATATTCCCTCACAACATAATCATTAATTTCCTGTTAAAATATATACATTTCTGTTATCTTTTATAAAAAACCTTCAGACGTTTTTATATCCGTGGAAATGTTTTAGTGAGTAGAACTTTGCCGGCCATGCTAAGGCTTTTGGAGTAATCATTACAAGACAGTTAATGATTTGTCACTGTCTGTTCTAAATTGTCATGGCTTTAGTGGTAGCAAGGCAATCCTTTTGAGGATGTTCAAAATAGGATTTGGGATGGAATCCAGTCTTCAAAATCCTGCTGTTATGCAACCGTCAGGAAGGTCCTGAATGTTTCTGATGCTTTTTTAGTTCTTCCAAAGAGTATTATACTTCCTCCACAACAGAGGCCAGATGCAGATGAACGTAAAAATTTTAGGCCGGGCGCGATGGCTCACACCTGTAATCCCAGCACTTTGGGAGGCCGAGGGGCGTGGATCGCGAGGTCAGGAGATGGAGACCATCCTGGTTAACATGGTGAAACCCCGTCTCTACTAAAAATACAAGGAAAAAAAAAATTAGCCAGAGGTGGTGGTGGGCACCTGTAGTCCCAGCTACTCGGGAGGCTGCAGCAGGAGAATCGCTTGAACCCAGGAGGCAGAGGCTGCAGTGAGCCGAGACCACACCACTGCACTCCAGTCTGGGTGACAGAGTGAGACTCCCTCTCAAAAAAAAAAAAAAAAAAAAAAAAAAATATATATATATATATATATATATACATATTATACATTATATATATATATATAGTAGAGAAAGTTATAGATACTTGAATAGTTAGATCCTTTGAAAGGAGCAAGTATAATTTTGATAATTTTTCCTATATTTCAAACCTTGAGAATAAACTGCAAAATATTTTCAAAGCTTTAGTGAGGTATAATTGCCAAATAAAGCTGTATATGTTTAAGGTATATAATGTGATGATTTGATGTATGTATACATTGTGAAATTATTACCGCAATCTAGGTAGGTAACACATTCATCACTTCACATGGATGACTTTCTATCGTGTGTGTGTGTGTGTTTGTGTGTGTGTGTGTGTGCATGGTGAGAACACTTAAGATCTACTCTCTTACCAAATTTCCAGTATACATATAATGCAGGAATTTTTCAGTTCTTCTCCAGCCGGAGACCTCTGCGGCTGGAAATGCCCCTGCCCAAGGCCTCTGTTGGCTCCGGGATTGCCTCTGGAGATATCCTGCCCACTCAGCCCAGTCCGCTGAGCATGGCTTGCGCCCCGGCCTGGATCTCACACCCACCAAAGGCGAGCCAGGTGCGGAGTGGCGAGGGATGTGTCAGCACTGGCTGCTGCTGCAGGGCGGGGAGCTCCAGGTGGCCACACAGGTGCCGGCGCTGCGTGAGGCTGCGGCTGGACCAGGCATACTACAAGTTGCTTCTGCCTTGGGTGTTCGTGTCTAGATGAGAGGAACATGGTGGCGCCCCCCAAATTTGGAGATGCCAGTGGCCCTGGAGCCCCAAGGGGTGTGTTACAGAGTGTTACAGCTCTCGCTCAGGGATCCCCGAGGTCTAGGACCCCAGAAGGGTCATAACTCTTCTCTCCTTCCCACCACCCCCCTCTAGCCCATGGCTTTTGGGCTGGCCCAGCCCTGCCATTGCCTGTCTTCTGGGGCAGCTGCCTGGTGCTTCCAGAGGGTGGAGGACTACAGTGTTTCAGCATTTTTTGTACTCGTGTTCCGCAGGTCCTGGGTTCTTGTCCTGCGTCTAAGAAGAATGAGGTTACACTGACAGCTGAAGGGTGAGCAAGGCGAAGAGTTTTATTGAGTGACAGTTCTCAGCAGAGAGGGGACTTAAAGAGGGCAGCCCCCTATGGGAAGTCAGGTAATCTCCCAGTGTGTCTGATTTGGGGTTTATGGGCTTAGAATGGGGAATTGTGTGCTGCAAATATGCAAAAAAGGTTAGAAAAAAGCACCACTCAAAAGATGGGCACAACAGGGCAAAAACCAATTGGGAAGCCTAGGTATATGTAAAATAGGTGAAGGGTGGGCATCAATGAGAGGAAAGCACACCAAACAGGAAGAGAGGTTCTCAATCTGGTCAACAGATTTATCTGAGACTTGTAGCTTGGTTTTCAAGCTTTAAACTGTCTTCGGCTTGAAGGTCGGTTTCACTGGGCACCCACCCCTGTCTGCCTAGGATTTGCCTGCCTCCTGCTGCTATCACATACACTATTTCTACTAATATGTTTGTAAAAGTAATGTTTCTTGAAGCTTTATTTCTGGGAATGGTGGCATGAAGAGGTCAGACAATTTATACAGAAAATCCATACAAAATTGGAGTACATATGAAACAATCATTTCGTTGCACTAGGTAACAGAAGACATTTATTCATGAAAAACTTTCACTGTCCCTGGTAAGTATGGCAAATTTGTTGCCTTCTTCCCTAGGGTTATTCTAATTTCCTTCCCCAGATAGAGTGGTGAAAATTTTACTAGCCAGGTTCAAGTAATAGCAGAGCAGGTAGAAATTTAAAAAGTAGATTTTGGAAGTTGAGAGAGCGTTAAACAATGGTTTGAGTAATCTCTGACGTACTTATACATGTTTCATGTTCATGGGAGAGTCCAGAAAGAGGAGGGAAATAATAAGGCTTGGGGATACTTGTGAAGTTGTTGACACTTTGAATATGTTTCTCAACTCATTCACAGTTGGAGAGACAGAGTGCTGTAGCCAAAATAGTTTGAGGTGCTTGTACATAATCATGGAATAATAGTGAAACTCTAAAAGCCCAGATACAACCTCTAGGGACTCAGGCAGATAGATTAACAATCGAAGATAGGTATATACATATATGCAAACAGACAGAGAAGCTGAGCAGATAAATCAATGATTGCTCACCATGCAGGAGAAAGAGTAACTGCAGTCAAGTTAATGACTTCTTAATATGAAACATCTAAAAATAAATGAAAGAACCATTAGAAGAACAAAATAAAATCTAGAATGACTCCAACTAATTGTACACTCTTCCCAAGTTTTAACACATACTACTGGACATTGAGAAACCATGGAAGTAAAATATTTTGGAAAAAAATATAAGTCAATAAAAAATATCTCCAAATGAGTCATTTGTAGATAAGTAGGCTTCATCCCTGGGATGCAAAGTTGATTTAAATATGCAAATAAATAAATGTGATTCATCACTTAAAGAGAAATAAATTTAAAAAACCCATGATTATATCAGTAGATGCAGAAAAGTCTTTCAATAAAATTCAATACCCCTTTATGTTAAAAAAAACTCTCAGTAAACTGGATATTGAAGAAACACCTCAAAATAATAAGAACCATCTGTGACAAACCCATAGCCAACATTATACTGAAAGGGAAAAATCCGGAAGCTTTCCCCTTGATAACCAACACAAGACAAGGATGCCCTCTCTCACCACACATATTCAAAATAGTATTGGACATCGTAACCACAGCAAACAGGCAAGAGAAAGAAAAAAGTACATCCAAAAGAAGATAGGAAGCCAGGCCGGGTGTGGTGGCTCACGCCTGTAATCCCAGCACTTTGGGAGGTTGAGGCAGGCGGATCACGAGGTCAGGAGATTGAGACCATCCTGGCTAACACAGTGAAACCCTGTCTCTACTAAAAATACAAAAAATTAGCTGGGCGTGGTGGCGGGTGCCTGTAGTCCCAGCTACTCAGGAGGCTGAGGCAGGAGAATGGCGTGAACCCAGGAGGCGGAGCTTGCAGTAAGCCGAGATCATACCACTGCACTCCAGCCTGGGCGACAGAGCAAGACTCTGTCTCAAAAAAAAAAAAAAAAAAAAAAAAAAAAAGGATAGGAAGCCAAACTATCTCGGTTTGCAGATGACATGACTCTAAATCTAGGAAACCCCATAGTCTTGTCACAAAAGTTCTTTGAGCTGATAAACAACTTCAGCAAAGTTTCAAGAAATAAAATCAATGTACAAAACTCACTAGAATTCCCATACACCAACAACAGTCAAGCCGAGAGCCAAATCAGGAAGGCAATCCCACTCACAGTTGCCACAAAAAGAATAAAATACCTAGGAATACAGATAACCAGGGAGATTAAAGGTCTCTACAGTGACAACTACAAAACACTGTACAAACAAACAGAGATAATGCAAACAAATGGAAAAACATTCCATGATCATGAATAGTAAGAATAAATATTATTAAAATGGCCATACTGCCCCCGGAGCAATTTACAGATTCAATACTATCCTATCAAACTACCAGTGACATTCTTCACATAACTAGAAAATTCTATTTCAAAATTTATATGGAACCAAAAAAGAGCCAAAATAGCCAAGGCAAACCTAAGCAAAAAGAAAAAAGCAACCTAACAAAAAGAACAATTTGCTACCAAATTTCAAACTATACTACGGGGCTACAGTCACCAAAATAGCATGATATTGTACAAAACCTGACATATATACCAATGAAAGAGAATAGATAGTAAACAGACAACCTACAGAATAGGAGAACATTTTTGCAAACTATATCTGACAAAGATCTAATATCTAGCATCTATAAGGAGCTTAAACAAATTTATAAGCAAAAGCCAAACAATCCCATTGAAAAGTGGGCAAAAGACATTAACAGACACTTTTGAAAATAAGACATACAGCCAGGTGCGGTGGCTCACGCCTTTAATCCCAGCACTTTGGGAGACCAAGGTGGGCCGATCACCTGAGGTCAGGAGTTCGAGACCAGCCTGGCCAACATGGTGAAACCCCATCTCTACTAAAAATACAAACATTAGCCAGACGTGGTGGCATGTACCTGTAATTTCAGCTAGCCAGGAGCCTGAGGCAGGAGAATCTCTGGAACCTGGGAGGCAGAGGGCTGCAGTGAGCCGAGATTGCACCACTTCACTCCAGCCTGGGCAAAAGAGCAAGGCTCTGTCTCAAAAAAAAAAAAAAAAAAAAAAGAAAAGAAATAAAATAAGACATACATGAGACCAACAAGCATAAAAAAATGCTTGCTATCACTGATCAATAGAGAAATGCAAATCAAAACCACTATGAAATACTATCTCACACCAGTCAGAATGGTTATTACTAAAAAGCCAAAAAATAACGTGCTGGCAAGGTTGCAGAGAAAGAGAACATTTATACACTGTTTGTAGGAGTGTAAATTAGTTCCACCATTGTGGAAAGCAGTGTGGCCATTTTTCAAAGAGCTGAAAACAGAAATGCTATTTGACCCAGCAATCCCATTACAGGGTATATACCCAAAGGAATATATATCACTCTATCATAAAGACACATGCACGCGTGTTTATTGCAGCACTATTCACAATAGAAAAGACATGGAATCCATCTAAATGCCCATCAGTGGTAGACTAGATTTTAAAAATGTGCTGCACATGTGCGATGGAATACTATACAACCATATGTTCATAAAAAAGAATGAGACCATGTCCTTTGCAGGAGCGTAGGTGAAGCTGGAGGCCATCATCCATTATTTCTACATTAGCAAACTAACACAGCAACAGAAAAACAAGTGAGAACGTATAAGTGAGTGCTAAATGATAAGAACACATGGACACTTACAGGGGAACAACAGACACTGGGTTCTATCTGAAAGTGAAGAGTTGGGAGGAGGGAGGGGATCAAGAAAAATAACTAATGGGTATTAGGCTTAATAACTGCATGGCAAAATAATCTGTATAACTAACACCTGTGACATGCGTTTATCTATGTAACAAATCTGCACATATACCCCTGAACTTAAAAAAAGTTAAGAAATAGAAACAAGTATCTATACACCTATAAACCCATCACCAGAATGAAGAAGTAAACATAATAAATAAACATATGGCTATCACATACAAAAGTTATCTCATGGTGCCTTGTACTTTATATAACTACTGGTATAATTTTGGCTACCAAAGATCAGTTTGAATTTTCATACAATATGTATTCCTTTTTACACAGATTTTTTTCACTCAGCATAATTATTTCGTGATTCATGTTTTTGTTTGTATTCATATTTCAGTAGTTTTTATTTTTGATGAATATCCTGTTGAATTTGTTTATGGAAGAATTTTTGAGATAAATTGTAAAGTTAAATAATTTAGCTAGATGTACAATTGTTTCTATATGAGTATCCATAATCTGTTTCATTGTCTTATTTATCAAAACAATTAATCAAATAACAAATTGTCAATGTAGATATTTGATTGAATGAACCAAAAATTCACATAAACAGGTTGATTCTGAAATGTTTAGACAAATCAGTATTGCCATAGATCTGTTACTTGGGTAAGTAAAAAGAATAATTTTTGTTAAGGATTTTTAATTTATTCAGATTATATTTTAGTTACAAAGTATTTATATGTGCTTTTTTAAATCAAGATCACTATTAATAAAATATTTATTTACATGACCAAATTGGCCAATAGGGATTGTGAAATCTGGACTTTGAATGGAAACAAATCTTACAATTGAGAACTATTCCAAATTAAGGCAAAGCTAATTTAGTAGCAAAATATTAACTTTAAATTATTAACTTTAATAATTCAAAAGTAGAATCACTAATTACATGTAACCATAATTTCAATGATATCTAAGGAAGCAGAAATGAAGATATCAAGTTAATAAAATGTTTGTGAACTACTTTTTAAAAAAGACATATTTCATCTGCTTTTTTGTTAATATAAAAAGAAAAATGCATAGTGGCAATAATTTGACAGAATTTCTAGCAAAATCGTGGGCAATATTATCAAAGGAAGGGAGATGGGATATCAGACCAAATAATATGTCCAATATCTTATAGTTGTTACTTAAGAGTGCAATTATGATCCTAAATATCTTCTTATTATTTATCTCTTAAATTTTTGCCAGGTTTTTTAAAAAACTAATTCATATTAAATACATTTCATCTTTTTCATTTATGTTACTTTTTTGTTGCAGGATGAATCATAGATTATAGCAATATCTATATATTGTAGATACATGATGTTATGTTGTCTAATACCTAACAGAACCACAAATTTATTAAAAGTTGAAATTCCTTCAATTTTTAAACTTTTAATACATGTTTAAATTATGTCTTGTCTTTTGATTGGTATATTATTCATCAAAATATTAATAAATTCCAAATTACACCATGTATATGATGATGAACTTTATAGATATAGTATAAAAACCAGACCTAAATTTATATATTTGACAAGAGAAAAGGTAGTCTTTGGGTTTTACATTACATAAATATTCATAAAAAGAATTATTCTTTTTTCTTTGCATAACAAAATTATATATACATATATGTGTGTATATATACATATGCTTGTTTATATATACATATATATATACATATATATATATATATATATATATACACATACACATAGCCTCATTTTTCCACATATGATTGGAGTATTGGATTCCATGTTCCATTTTAAGGAAAATATTCTACCACAATACTTTGCTGGATAAACAAATATAAATATCAGATTTTGTATTGATTAAGGTTTAAGTACCTCTTTTGTGAAAAACAAGTATTGATTCACTAAGGTTCATAAGTAAAATGATATATCTAAAGGTGCTGGTTGAATATTATAATAATGGTTTTATCCTAGTGGTATATCACTACGGAAATATGTTAGAAACTTCCACCACTCCTAAATTTTTAAAACTTGATCTTTAGAGAAAGAAGCTTCCTTCTTTTATAATAATCTACATCATTTTTCTTCTTTAAAAACATAATATCCAGTCCAGCACTTTAGTAAATATTCAGAACATAAGTAACTTCAGGGGATCTGAACAATGTCTGAATGTTAAGTCGAGGTGAAACATGTAGAAACTGGCTGTCAGCTGATTTTCAGCCATTCCTTTTACTTTTACTTCAGTAAAGATTTTTGAGTATTAACCTCTCCTATATTAGCATCAATGAAATGATTCTGATATCCTAAATCGATTAGGAAAGAAAGATAAATATATGTAATTGTGTCAACTTCCAACTTACTTTGGTCTGAAGCAAACGCAAATATAGACCAGATCCTAAAAAAAAAAAAAAAAAAAAAAAAAGCGAGAGAATTTTTAAATAACCATATTTATTCCTAGTATTTCCCCAGAGATCTACCCTCTTCACCAAATAACTCTAATCTGTTAGAAACTCACCCAAGCTTTAGTTCCTGGCTGCTATATTTCATTACTGGAGACAGTTGAAGAGTAAATCAAGCATCAAATAGACTGTAATTCACCCACCTTTACACTGGTGCGCCTTTTACTGCAAGGTTATATAGATGTCGTAGAATTACTTGATTAGCATTATTTTAGGGTGAGCAATACTTCAGTGCAAACTCGCGAAGCTGAACTGAATCAATAAAGTTTGTATGACATGAAAATGAACTTTATTGAACCCTACAGAGTAGTAGCTATTACAAAATTCAGAATAGGAAAGAAATGGAAAATGTTTCTTCCTTTTTTTATATTTTACTCTTAATAACATTATTTTGAGAATGAATTTGTCATACTTTTTTATGACGAAGGAAATTCTTTCCAGCCCTGCTTTAGACTCTAAGAGGCAGTGATTATATGCCCAAAGTATGTGTGGAGTATTGGATGATCAAAACTCTTGGACATCTGAAAAGCCAATGAGTGGCAAAATCATTTAGAACTAGAGACTCCAATTTCAACGGTTTGTTTCTTTATCTCATCTGCCTACTTTTCTCTGCATGCTGGCTCCATTCTCTCTTACTTCCAACCAGCTTTCTTAACTGACATATTAGAAATTCCAGCAGAGAATAACAGGCAATCTTGGCTTCAGTTTAATGGTTTCCAGGAAAAGACATTCCTTTCTGTAATTATACCTAATAAACAGGGAGTTATATCAGAAATTAGCAGATCATATAGAAAACATATTTGAAACATGGAAAAGTTTAATTAGCACATAGAAAAGTACTCTTCTAAAGGAAGAGTAAATAAATGAAAGTAGAGTAAATAAAAGAAAGATAGATAAAAGATAAAATGTACAGTAAATAAAAGAAAGATAGATAAAAGATAAAATGGGAGAAAACTTAAACAGCTATCCATATTCGAACTACTACATGTTGAGTACGACTCAGCCATACTTGTCAATGCTTTCTAGTAACATTTATAGAGATCTTAGTCAATGTTTTTTTTTTTCCATTCTCCTCAAAGAATAAAAGTTTAAGTAATTCCTCATAAACATCTCAATTTTACCATGATGTTTGTACTTTTATTTGAATTCTACTTTATATGAAATGAGGAAGTAAGGTAGAAAAGTGTTAAAATGTGAATGCCATTTGCCATATAATTTTTTTCTCTCCTTTTAATATATCTCCTAATATCAACCTGTTCCTTTTCTGTCATAGAGATCACTAAGCACTTAATTTTCTTGAATCAAAGGTCCAGGAAATACTAAAATAGACTGTATATTATTAAATTAGCTCAGAAATTATTCTTTGATTATTAGGACCCTCTGAAAATTCTTCCTCTCCAGATACAAATAACTATAACTTTATCACTGTCAACTTTCCTTTTTGTGATGGTGGTATATTCTGTCTATATTTTCATCAACTTTACTTGTACCCTTCCCTTCATATTAGTGTGTGTATGAGTGTGTATGTGTGTGTGTGTGTGTGTACTACATGTTTTGTCTTAATCTTTCCTGCCATTTTTAATCATGAAACCTTAAGAAACTTAGTACTGTGTTACTCAAAATGTATTTTGAGTGCTGCCAGCATAAGCCTAACCTGGGAGCTTGCGAGAAATGTAGAATATCAAGCCCAATTCCATACCTGTAAAATCAGATTTTAATACAATCTCTTCACTATTAGATGTACATTAAATTTAGGGTTAAGGAAGAATAAACGTCCACATGGTTTTCTCTCTTTATTACCCTGTTACATTGAAATACATCATCAATTAACAGAGCCCATCTTCTGAATATCTATCTTGTGTGTGTCTCTATTTCCCAGTGGCATGCCCTTTCTTTAAATCATCAAAACTTCTTACCTGGATTATTGTAGTGGCCCTTTGACTTTTGTGCTGATGATAGTCCATACTCCCCTAATCATTTCACTACATCAGTGGAAACTTGTTACCCCTAAATATTGAAATAAATTGATTAAATTAGGCAAGTACAATTTACCATTAATAAAAATTATGTTTTTTTTCTAATAACTCTTAGAAAAAAATCAAACATATCCTTCCATAATCTGACCCATTCCTCACTTTTAAAACACATCTTGGCCGGGTGTGGTGGCTCACACCTGTAATCCCAGCACTTTGGGAGGCCAAGGTGGGCAGATCACAAGGTCATGAGTTCGAGACCAGCCTGACCAACATGGTGAAATCCCATATCTACTAAAAATACAAAAATTAGCTGGGCATAGTGGTATGCACCTGTAATCCAAGCTACTTGGGAGGCTGAGGCAGGAGAATTGATTGACCCTGGGTGACGGAGGTTGCAGTGAGCCAAGATCGTGACATTGCGCTCCAGCCTGGGCAACAGAGCAAGACTCCATCTCAAAAAACAAACAAACAAACAACAAAAAAAAAACCCCACAAAAACCCATCCCTTGATATAACCCAGGTGCATAACAATTTCCTGAAGATTTCAAGTGATTCCATACTTCCATGAATCATTTTCTACTAGTCCCACTGCATGAAAATCTTCATTTCTAAAAGACCCTCCTCACCTCACTGATGCTCTCCAGTCTCCAGAAATTAACTCTAACCAAAGTAAACCTAAAATTATGTTTACTAAAATAATTTCTTAAATGCTGAATTTGAAATTTCACTATAAATATATAATATGTAAATATTATATATTTATATTTAAATAATATTTATTTAAATATTTAAATACAAATATTTAAATAATATCTAAAATTATTAATATTTAATATTTAAATATTTAAAACTTTAATTTTAAATATATAAATATAAGAGAAAAATAAGAATTGTACCAAGCATGTTTACTGAATTTCAAAATTATCTTTAGGACATTTCATAGGTGTTGAGCAAAGAAACAGACTTAAAAAAATCTGCTGGCTTTTTGTTGTCTGCTGGCTAATTTATCTAGCACTTTACCCTGAATGGAAGCCTCTGAGAGATGAATTTTATATTTGGTCCTCAGTAAAAATAAAGAGTCTTAAATATTACAGATGGTTGATTTATTTAGAAGTACACAAACAATGAGTGTGAAAACATACATACGGTAAAAAGAACAGAGAAGGCATTAAACTATGGAGATGCATGCACATGTGTAGCCTTTAATAAAGATTATAATAAATAGTGCACATCATTTTAATATTTTATTCTGGTAAAGCTATTAATTTGTGTTTTAAGTACATTTATCTTGGCTGAAATAATTATCCAGGTTTGCAAACCTCATTCATATATATTAATAGTATAATGGGCAATATTTAATGTTAGAATTCCTATTACATACATATTTCTCTGAAATCATTGAGGAAAAATCTAGTTTTCAAAGAGTAATAACTAAGGAATTAAACATACTATAAAAGAGTATGAGAAAAGTCAATGAATAGTGTGGGAGGTTGTATGTGGGTAGGGCAGGGAGTGTATGGGAACTCTGAACTTTTTATTCAGTTTTACTGTGAACCTAAAACTGCTCTAAAAATTGAATGTGTTAACTTTTGAAAAATAGATTTCAGGGGTACAATTTTGTTACATGGACATCATGTAGTGGTGAAGTCTGGGCTTTAGGGTACCCATCACCCGAATAACGTACATTGTACCCATTAAGCAATTTCTCACCTCTCATTTAATAACAAAACTAATTTTTAAAAATATCAAACATCTTAAGAAATACATTAAATAAATTATGTATGTACAACTCTTTTTAGGCCGGGCACGGTGGCTCACACCTGTAATCCCAGCACTTTGAGAGGCCGAGGCGGGCGGATCATGAGGTCAAGAGATCGAGACCATCCTGGCCAACATGGTGAAACCCCCGTCTCTACTAAAAATACAAAAATCAGCTGGGTGTGGTGGCATGTGCCTGTAGTCCCAGCTATTCGGGAGGCTGAGGCTGGAGAATGGCGGTGAACCCAGGAGGCGGAGATTGCAGCGAGCCGAAATCGTTCCATTACACTCCAGCCTGGGCGACACAGTGAGAATCTGTCTCAAAAATAAATAAATTAATTAATTAATTAATTTAAAAATTAAAAATTAAAAAGTTATATATGATCAACTCTTTTTAATGATGATTTATGAAATTGATGCACAAAAGCATCAGTTTAAACTTACATGACTTTGGACACATCAAACACTTGATTTTGTAAATCAATTATTAATCAATGAAAAAGCATAGTGAGGCTCAGCTTAAATAATCCTCATCTTAGAAACCTGTTCTGAATTTTGCAGGCAAACTTAAATGCATCCTTACAGATTCTTTTATATTGATTCTTTTATTTTTATATTACTGTTACAGAATTTATGTTCTCTTAAAACAAATATATTGTGTGTTATTAGTATCATCATATAGTCAACCAATTTTCTAACACATGAACTATATTAGATAATTAATAAATGTTTTAAAATATTGAATACACAACTGATTACAAAAAGTCCAATTCAGAAGTGGTTATTGTTTTGGGTCCAGGTTGATATAATTAGGCCTGGTTATTTTAGGTCCAAATAAATAATGATAATAAGACTATAGTCATTATTTTGTTTCTAAATGGATGCAATCAATAGAAAGTAAAAGTAAGACTGAGAAAAATGGAAATAAAATTAACAAAGAGCAACAACACAAAATATTACATAAATCTACTGGCTAATACTCTTAAGTGAGCTAGTGTTTATATTGTATTACAATACAGCATAATGTATTTTCTAAGAATTGTAACTTTTATCATATATAACTTTTATTTTTCACATTTGCTTATAATAGTTTTAGATATTTTTCTTATTAAATAGTCTTATTGTTTTATTCAAATCCGTTTAAGTAGTATTTCCTATCTATAATAATGATATTATAATAAGATGATAATTTTATCCCAAATAATTATTTTTATTTAAACTAATTCAATCCATATAATAGATGAATTGTTGTTTTTAAAAGGAAAAAATTTTTAAATATAATTTTTATGATGAGATACAATGTCTTTCATGATAATCTTCATAAATTCCCCACATTGAGCTTTTTTCAAGTGACGTCTTATTCCAACACATATGATTCCATAAGCCTTTAAATTAAAATGTGCTTATTTTAGAAATATTTATGTGTTTTCATTAAAATATATTCTTTAAGCATATAATTCATGTCAGAAAACATAAACCATCACATTCGCCAATGCTGGCTTAAGAAGAAAAGAGTAGAAATAGAATTAAAGTTTCTATAAATTTATTTTCGGTTTATTATAAATACTATTTGTAAAAATCTGACATGCTATCTAAAGGATGGAAAGCAATTGATGCTATTTCTTTTGAAGTTATTAAATGTTATGCTTCCTATATTAGTTGTGCCATTAGGCTAGCTTCTGCTTTAGAGTCCATGGTATTTTGAACAGAAATGATTAAAGAGGTTATTAGTAAATCTGCAAAGAACAGGACACACAGTGTTTAAACATTACCCTATCATCTGAGCACAAATGTTCAGCATCATTATGTTTTCACAATAGTAATTTGCTATAACATTGAGAGTAAGTAATCAATATAGGCAGGTAGTGCTTGTTACAGTTACCAAAAAGAGTAAAGCTTCTTCTGTTCAACCTTTGCAAAATCAATAAGCAGATATCTTTATAAGGAAGACCGTTAGTCTCAGTTTCAGATGACAGTGAAGGCATGAGCTACAATTACCAAGCTAAAAACTGTTTCAATGATCACATTGCTGTTTGCAAAGTGTTACTTGATTTGCAGCCCAATGAGAAATAAAAATAAGATGGATCACTATGCAAAAAACACCACTTGATTGTATAAAATGGTAAAATACTGCACATGTACATGTGTTTAAACCTGTCCTGAAAATGTTGGATATGAATATTATAAATATTAAAACTCAAAATGAATTAGCAACCCTAAAATAAATATTTTTAAAATGTAAAAATACTCTAGTTTATATGCTGCCATATACTTCTATCAAATAGAGCTGTTGGTTAAAATTGGAAAATGTCAACTGGTAGGCAGTATCCTTATAGCGGATAAACACCACTATGTGGCATAATAAATAATGGGTCTTAAAGTCACTACCAAAATGGAATGTATGATTGTCATTTAAATGGATATTAGAGACATTCAAGAACATATGTTTACTGTTAAGATGGAAAATCTAAGGCCTTGAAAACCTAAGCAACCGGAGCAGGATTCATATTGTTTGTTTCTATATCCATGCTGAAATCTGGCTCTCTTGATTTCCTGTGTTTTCCTTATACTCTCATGCTTTGTGGTGATGACTTCCAAATTATACTGCCATCATTAAGCTACAGTTGGATTAAACATGACTTATTCAGGCATAAATCTATACCATTCATATAAATAAACACTGCTTAATACGATGGAACTATACCATGCCAAAATCTAGTAGCCCTAGAGGTTCTGAATTTGCTGTGGTTTGATCACAGCTGAAAATTTTCAGCTTGGTAGAGACAAAATTTTGTTAGAACATGAGGGTAACAATGTTGAACTAGAGAGTTCTATAATACTGGAACTATAGTGTCCATTATGCCTATTATTACAATGAGTTAAATTTATTTGACCTTTATTGTTGTAGACCATTGAAACCACTATGGAATAGAGGGTCAATATGTTGCTAATTGATGAAATTTTTTCTATCGTTTTAGAAATAAGAGGAAGACTAACAAGAGTCCATCAACAAACTGTATTAGTTAAGCATCCTATAGAAGATTCTCCCCAAATGTATCTGTGAACAGTGGTTAGGAAAACTTAAGAGGAGCATCTGTAGACATGCTGAATGAGAAGGAGAGATTGTACTCAAGGAAACCAAGAGCCAATGACAAGGCTTAAACAATAAAATTGTAAAGCGTGGGTGACTGGATCTTAGAGCTCATCATTCATTGAGTTTACTTTTTGATCTCATACTTTTCATACACTAAATTTTCGCTACAGTAATAAGAATTCTGCGGTTGGTAGTGGTGAGTGTTAAGTTGAAAAAAAATGAGTGACAGTTTTGTTTTTGTTTGTAGACCTAATTTTAAACAGTGTTTGAGGAGTGAAATGGAGAGTGAAAAGCAAATAAAATTGTTCATAGCTTATAAGCTTACTTTCCGAAAACAAAATGTTTCATTGTGCTCATTTCAATTAAATGTTAAGTACTAATTAATTTATAATGATTCTTACACAGCACTTTTGTCTACAACTGAATATAAATTTGACTGACGCAGTTCATTGATTATATGTGCAAAACTAGCCAATAGTTCCCATATAGGTTTTATTGTATTCAGTGTTAATTAATAATTACCAAAGTTGCAAAGTTTCTTCACAAATTCCATTAAGCCTGTACTGTTAATGATTTTTTTTTGCAGAGAATACCAAATATCTGATTTACAGTACATTTCTAGTTATAATAATATTTCTAATTGACATTTTCTGTATTAATAAGGTCACATATTTGTTAACAAATGGGATTTTCTAAGATATTCATCATGACTCCATCGATGAAGTGCTACAACTAAAGTTGGAAATTTATGTAAGTCAGCACAATTCTGATGATTTAATGCATTCTGATAAGTGAATGATTAAAAATGAATATAGAAGTGTTAATTGTTCTTTCTCAAATTTAAATCCCTTTGTTTATTACTAATGGCTCATCTCTTTCCTGTGTTATATTTATTTAAGTGTCTGAGTATATACTAACATAAAAACGAACAGATAGAAAGATCATGTCATTAAAATTATTTATGGCTTTAAGAAATGTTAGAAAGGGAACAACATATACTGATTACAGATTTAAACTCTATTTTAATTTCTGCAAGCAGAAGGAGGCTTTAGTGAACCTGGTATTTCATTTTTTTTAAAATTAGATCCACATCATCATTATCTTCAAATGGAATTTCCTATATCCATTCTTCTGGTCAAGAAAAGCATTCATTTCAAATTCCTATCATGTATTTTATGGTTATAATCTCCTACTTGAATTACTTACAACATTTAATTTCCTTTGTTACTACTAAATATATTCTATATCAAACTTATTCATCTGAGTTTTTAATATGTGCATATATAAATATTGAATTCTTTAAAAATTAAATATATGCTTAAATCTTACACTTGTTCCTTAAGTAGAATGCTTTTTTGAAGATAATTCAGAAGTAATTACTCAATTATTTAGTTTATTTGTGTAATAATGAAAAACAAAATGAAATGGAAAAAGACAAGGCCATGCAGAAATGTTTTGCAATCTAGAAAGTTCATAATTTTATTGAGCTCTCCTTTCCAAACCATCCATAATAGGAAGGGAGGCCTACAAAATCTATAAAAACCCTTAGAGCTTTAATAATGTAACAATTTGGTTTCTATGAATAAGAAGCTCCTGCTTTTTCATTATCACAGTAGAATAAATTGTTATGCCGTATGAATATTTAATATATACAATCTTATCAATATACATTTATTTGAAAAGTATTGCCAGTAACATTAATTTTTTTCCCAAATTCTCTCATATTTCTTGGGAAAACACCTACTTTGAAAACTTATTTGGCTAGGCCAGACGCAGTGGCTCATGCCTGTAATCCCAGAATTTGGAAGGCTGAGGTGGGCGGATCACTTGAGTTCAGGAGTTCAAGACCAGTCTTGCCAACATGGTGAAACCCCATCTCTACAAAAATACCAAAAAAAAAAAAAAAAATTGGCTGGGTGTGGTGGTAGGCGCCTGTAATCCCAGCTACTCAGGAGGCTGAGGTGGGAGAATCGCTTGAACCCAGGAGGTGGAAGTTGCAGTGAGCCAAGATCGTGCCACTGCATTCCAGCCTAGGCTACAGAGTGAGACTCTGTCTCAAAACAAAACAAAACAAAACAAAACAATGAAAATTCATTGGGCCTCTTCCCCTCAGTCTTTTATTTTTGCCCTGTAGTTTCTTTCTTCTTTCTGTAATCAAGTCTGGTGTACTACATGTTGTTACCAAAATACCAGAGGTTTAGTCTATGTCCTGCTGCTTGCTGCACAGAAAGCCAATCACTGAGATGACAAATATTGCCAAGGAAGAAGGTTTCCATCTGCTGCCGCAGCTGAGGGGATAGGAATACAGTCTCAAATCCATCTCCCTGACCAACTCAAACTAGGAAATTTATATAGCAGAGAATAAATGTAACAATGTGTATGAAAACAGGAGCTAGGGAGGGGCAAGGAAACAAGCATGATGAATGACGGGTCCTACATCTCATTGTCAGTAAGTGGTGATCTGGTGAGTTTCAGTTCTTTAACACTTTTTGAGATGCCTGGGGGATACTTTCCTGAGGAAGGAACTCAGATAAAACAAATATAGGCTTCAAATTTTGTTTTTTTAGACGGAGTCTCGCTCTGTTGCCCAGGCTGGAGTGCAGTGGCTCCATCTCGGCTCACTGCAAGCTCCACCTCCCGGGTTCACGCCATTCTCCTGCCTCAACCTCCCGAGTAGCTGGGACTACAGGCACCCGCCACCACGCCCTGCTAATTTTTCGTATTTTTAGTAGAGACAGGGTTTCACTGTGTTAACCAGGATGGTCTCGATCTCCTGACCTTGTGATCCACCTGACTCGGCCTCCCAAAGTGCTGGGATTACAGGCGTGAGCCACCGCGCCTGGCCGGCTTCAAGTTTTAAGACCAGAAAGGGGCAATTTCTATGTTTATCCAAAAACAACTGTCCATGAGACTATTGGGTTGGTTTCAATATGATCTTTTGGTCTCTGTCTTTGAATATAATGATGAATTGTTGTAGTTAATTATTGTAGTTACTATAACAATATTCGACTATACTGTTTTCTTATTCTCTCTAAACTTCTTTATTAAGATATGTCATTTCATGCTGTAATATTCCCTAATACCTCCAGAAGACCCGGGCCATTGCTTGAAATAGTTTCCCACAATTCATCAATTGGTTTTCTTTTTTATTTTTTTCTGTCCACAGATTCAATCAACCAAACTACTTGCATGCATATATTTTTCCTCTGCCACTGAATACTGCTGGAGAAAATTATGCCACGTTCTTTATTGCTACTTAAATTTACAATTTTCCTTTAGCAAGACCGTCTCTATACCTTTGTTTCTCCCACTCAGAAAAAAGTGATTTTTTTTCACTTATTGTTCTTAGTTTTAGTGGTTCATTTTATCATCATCATACTTTTCTTTTTAAAATTTTTACACTCAAGTTCCTCATTGTGCTCGTTTATTACATGCTACATAAAATGGTGGCTTTTTTTTTTTTTTGAGACAGGGTCTCACTCTGTCACCCAGGCAGGAGGGCAGTGGCAAGATCACAGCTCACTGCTGCAGCCTTGACCTCCTGGGATCAGTCAATCCTCCCACCTCAGCTGAGTACCTGGGACTACAGACACGAGCCACCCCTGCTGGCTATTTTTGTTGTTGTTGTTGGTAGAAACAGTGTTTTGCCATGTTACCCAGGCTAGCATCAAACTCCTGGGCTCAAGCAATCCAGCTGCCTCCACCTTCCAAAGTGCTGGGATTACAGGGGTGATAATTTTCCTTATCATCTATATATTTCTGCTGGAACAGGGGAGTGACTTTTGAATAAATCATATTTTATGAAATGTGCAGTCTTGTAAGAAAACACATATTTTTAAAAATGACTGCACAAATAAACATTCGTTGTATATTTGGTAGGTGCAATAAAGGGAAATAGTGTGTGTGAAAAGACTAAATAACCATTGTTACCTAACAGTCAATAAAACAGGGCCTTTTTGACAAAGTAATTTTGAGCCAAAACCCAAAATGAAGGAAGAACAGTAGACAAGTGAGAACTAAGTGGAGGAGAATCTCAGACAAATGGTGTGACAAACGCAGTGGTCCTGGGATGAGCGATGTTTTTGTATTACGGAGGGTAATGAAGACTAAGAGTATCAACCCAGGACATTTATTTCTCATTCTATTCTGAGTAACTCTTAAGTCGGGTCTCTGAGATTCATTTTCTGGAAATTCTGCATGTGTGGGTCAACAGAGAAAAGGAGCAAAGATGGTGGAAGAAATCATCTAAGTAGCTTTAAACACAGCCTGGAAGTAAAACCCCAAATAAGAGTAACACGGCCCAAACTAACTGCAAAAGAAAGAGGAAATGTAGACCTCTAGAGTGCCCGGTAAGATGCAATGGGTTATGACGAGTTAGAAATCTCTGCTCAAGAAAGACTAAAGAGACTAAAAGAAAATTAATGTACTTCGTGCCCAAAAAGTAAACTGGAAAGTGTTGTGACATTAGCTGGAGTGTCAGACAGAAAGAAATCATGCCCTTTGAGTAAACATGATTATGTGTTCTCAAATTTATATCCTTCTCACTGCAAAATGCATTCAAGCCATCCCAATATCCACAATAGTCTTAACTTATCCAGCATTAATTCAGAAATCTAGTCTAAAGCCTCATCTAAATACTTTCTAAATCATACATGGATGAGACTCAAGGTACATTCATCCTGAGCATGTTTTCCTACAGTGTGAGACCATGTAATCAAACAGGTTATGTGTTTTGAAAACATAGTGATAGAATGGTTGAAGGACAAACATTCCATTCCAAATGTGAGGAATACAAACAAACAAACAAAAATTAAAAAACGAAAAAACAGAAGTAAAACGTAAGAAGTAAGTCCCAAAGCCAACAGAGCAAGTAATATTAAACTAAAGGCTTGAGAATGGTCTTCGTTGGCTTAATGTTCTGCCCTCTAGACGCCATGGGTCTGCAGTCCCACCTTCTGGACCCACTGTGGCGGGGGTCTTGCCTTTAGGAAACACTGGGGCAGAGGTTCTGCCTTCCTCGGATTCTGGGATGGGGGGTCTTGACGTTATGGCTTTGGGAAACTCCATCCTCAAAGAAGCTCTCTGCCTGGGCCCCTTTCCCGAAGGAATTCTCTGCAGTGGCTTCACTTCCAAGGTGGTCCTTTGTCTGTGTTACACACCAATGGCTTCTCAGGCTGGAATTCTGCAGATGTGGGGTAGTGGGAATTGAATCCTGTATTCTGTGCCATATTCCTGATCTATTGGTCTGTCCCCTTACCAATGCAACATTGTCTTGACCACTGTAGCTATACAGCAGGCCATAATGTCAGGTAAGGTGATTCCTTCCCCTTTTCCTCAACAGTGTTTTAGCTAAAAGAGATTGGATCTTTTCATATGATATCTTTGAGTGAGATTGGCTATATCTAAAATGAGCCAAACTGGAATTTTTTCTTGAAATTCATTAAACTTAGAGATGAATTTCAAGAGAATTGACATCTTCACTTTGTTGAATCTTAGTATGGTATGTCTCCACGTATTTACATCTTCTTTGATTTCTTTTGTTAGAATTTTTTAGTTTACAGAATATAGATCTTATACATACTTTAAGTGTCTACTCAAGGATTTCATTGTCATTGGAGCAATTGAAAATGGCATTGTAGTTTTTAATTTTTGTTCTTCACATATTCATTGTTAGTATAGTCGACCCTTAAATGAGGCAGGAGTTAAGAGAACTGTCCCCTGCACGGTCCAAAATCTATATGCAACAACTTTTGACTCCCCTAAAACTTAACTATTAATAACCTACTGTTGACCAGCAGCCTTACCAATAACATAGTCCGTTCTTACATATTTTGTATATGTATTATATAATGTATTCTTACAATAAAATGACTAGCAAAAATAAAATGTTATTAAGGAAGCCATAAGGAAAATAAAATATATTTACTATTCATTTAGTGGAAGTGGATCTTCACAGATATTCATCTACACATTGAGTCTTCACATTGAATAAACTGAGAAGACGGTGGAAGAGGTGGGGTTAAACTTGCCAGCTCAGGGATGACAGAGGTTGAAGAAAATCTGCATATAAGTGGACCCACACAGTTTAAACCTGTGCTGTTTAAGGGTAAACTATTTATATTAAAATGTGAATGACATATTTGTTGATCATATGTCTTGCAACATTGCTGAATGTCCCTATTAGTTCTAGGAGATTATTTGTAAATTCTCCCTACACAGAGAATTATGTCATTTTCAAAGAAAGTTTTATTTTTATTTTTATTTCCCATCTGTTTGCCTTTTACTTCTTTTTGCGTGTGCGTTTTCTCATTAAACAAGAATCAGAAAAGGAGAGAACCTTTCTTTCTTCTTGGTCTTAGTGGAAAGGCATTTAGTCTTTCACCATAAAGTACTTACTTCTTTCTTTTCATTTTCCTGATGTCAGAACTTAGGTTAACGACTTTACACCTTTCTTCTTTGTTAGTGTGTGCAATGATCTCAGCAATGCTTTAATTATATCCAACTTATTTTGAGATGTTGTATTATCATTTCCACTAAATTTTACATATTTATGTTTTTTGTTTGTTTGAATTTCCTTTGATACTTTTCTTTTGATGCGTGGATTATTTATATGTGTTTTTGTAGTTTAATTTCCAAGTGCATAAAGATTTTTTGTTGTCCTTTCGTTATTGATTTCTAATATGATTTCATTATGGCCAGAGAATGCAATCTCTGTAAAATTTTTAATTATTTTATATTTGTTGAGGACTGTCCTATGATTACAAATATTATCTATTTTGATGAGCTTTTCATTTGTTACTTTATTTTTCATTCTATAATTTCTATTGACTCTCTTTTATAAATTGTAATTTTTGCTTTTTTCCATTTCTTAATTTGTTTCAAGATAACTTATAATTGCTAGTTGAATTATTTTCATGATATTTACTTTAAAATGTTTGGCATATAATTCTAGTAGATGATTTCCTTTCGTGTCACTGTTATCTAATTGTTTCTTTCCCATTCAAGTTGTGATTTTCCTGGTCCTTGATATGAGAGATGATCTCTCTTGTCTTCCAGCTGTAATTTAGGTTGAGGTTGTACATGTGTAGGTTTATTGCACATATAAATTGCATGGTGTGAGGGTTTGGTGTGCAGATTATTTCATCGCCCAGGTAATGAGCATAGTGCCTGATAGATAGTGTTTTGTTCCTCACCTTCTCCTCGCCCTCCACCCTCATGTAGACCCCAATATCTATTGTTCCCCTTTTTTTTTCCCCATGTGCACTCAATGTTTAGCTCCCACTTACAAGAGAGAAGAAGTGGTATTTGGCATTCTGTTCCTGTGTTAATTTGCTTAGACTAATGGCCTCCAGCTCCATCTGTATTGTTGCAAAAGATATGATTTTGGTTTTTATTGCTACATAGTATTCTATAGTGAATATGAACCTCAGTTTTATTATCCAGTCCACCACTGCTCGACATCTAGATTGATTCCATGTCTTTGCTATTTTGAAAAGTACAGCAATGGACATACACTTGCATGTGTCTTTATGGGAGAATGATTTATATTGCATAGAGTATATATACAGTAGTGAGATTGCTGGGTCGAATGTTTGTTCTGTTTTAAATCCTTTGATAAGTCTCCAAACTGCTTTTCAAGTGGCTGAACTAATTTACATTCCCACCAGCTGTCTATAAGCATTCCCTTATCTCTGCAACCTCACCAGTATCTGTTGATTTTACTCTTTAATAATAGCCATTCTGACTAGTGTGAAATGATATCTCATCGTGGTTTTGATTTGCATTTCTCTAATGATTAGTGATGTTGAAAATTCTTTCATATTCTTGTTGGCTTCATGTATGTCTTTTTTTCAGAAGTGCCTGTTCATGTTCTTGCCCATTTTTAAATGGGTTGTTTGGTTTTTGTATGTTAATTTAAGTTTCTTATAGACTCTGGATATTAGACCTTTCTCATATGCATAATTTGCAAACGTTTTCTTCCATTCTGTAGATTTTCTCTTTACTCTGTTATGTCTTTTGATGCGCAGAAGCTCTTTAATTAATTAGGTCCATTTGTTGGCCGGGAGTGGTGACTCACGCCTGTAATCCCAGAACTTTGGGAGGCTGAGGAGGGCAGATCATGAGGTCAGGAGATTGAGGCCATCCTGGCTAACACAGTGAAACCCCGTCTCTACTAAAAATACAAAAAATTAGCCAGGCATGATGGCAGGCGCCTGTAGTCCCAGCTACTCAGGAGGCTGAGGCAAGAGAATGGCATGAACCCAGGAGGCAGAGCTTGCAGTGAGCCGAGATCGTGCCACTGCACTCCAGTCTGGGTGACAGAGCGAGACTCCATCTCAAAAAAAAAAAAAAATTAATTAGGTCCATTTGTCAATTTTTGTTTTGATTACTCTTGGTTTTGGTGTCTTTGTCATGAAATATTTGCTAGTGCCCATATCCAGAAGAGTATTTCCTACATTTTCTTCTAGGATTTTTATAGATTTGTGTTTTACATTTAAGTCTTTAATTCTTCTTGAGTTGATTTTGTATGTGGCAAAAGCAAGGAGTCCAGTTTCAATCTTCTGCATATAACTAGCCAATTATCCCTGCACCGTTTTTTAAATAGGGAGTTCTTTCCTCATTGCTTTTTTTGTCAACCTTGTTGAAGATTAGATGGGTGTAGTAGGTGTGCAGCTTAATTTCTGGGCTCTGTTTTCTGTTCCATTCGTCCATGTATCTGATTATGTACCAGTACCATGCAGTTTTGGTTACCATAGCTTTGTAGTGTAGTTTGAAGTGAGGTAGTGTGATGCTTCTGGCTTTGTCTTTTTGCTTAACATTGTTTTGGCTATTCAGGTTCCTGTTTTGTTCCATATGCATTTTAGAATAGTTTGCTGCTGATTCTGTGAAAATCGTTATTGATAGTTTGATAGAAACATCATTTAATCTGTAGATTGCTTTGGGAAGTATGTCCATTTTAACAATATTGATTTTTCCTATCCACAAGCATGGAATGTTTCTCCATTTGTTTGTGTCATCTCTAAATTCTGTTAGCAGTGTTTTGTAATTCTCCTTGTAAAGAATTTTAAGATGACCTCCCTGGTTAGCTGTATTCCTAGATATTTTATTCTTTTTGCAGGAATCGTGAATGGAATTGTGTTCCTGATTAGGATTTCAGCTTGGATGTTGTTGGTGTATAGGAATGGTACTGATTTTTGTACACTGTTTTCGTATCCTGAAACTTTGCTGAAGATGTTTATCAAGTCTAGGAGACTTTTTGGTAAAGTCTATATGGTTTTCTATGTTTAGAATTTTATTGTCTGTGAAAAGAGATTGTCTGCCTTTCTCTCTTACTATTTGGATGAGTGCTACATATTTCTCTTGCTTTACTGTGCTGGGTTTCCAGTACTATGTTGAATGGAAGTAGAGAGATTGGGCATCCTTGTCTTGTTCTGGTTCTCAAGGGGAATGTTTTCTGCTTTTGTTCATTCAGTATGACATTAGCTATTGGTTTGTTATAGATGGCTCTTCTTATTTTGTGGCATTTTATTTCAATGCCTAGCTTTGACAGTTTTTAACATGAAGGGATGTTGAATTTTATCAAAAGTCTTCTGTGCATCTATTGAAATGATCATTTTTTTAGTTCTGTTTATGTAATGAATCATATGTACTGATTTGCATATGTTGAACCAACTCTACCTCCCAGAAATAAACCTACTTGATTGTAATCTATTGGCTCTTTGATGTGCAACTGATTTGATTGACTACTATATTGTTGGGAAATATCAGGAATATTGACCTGAAGTTTTAATTTTTTTGTTGGGTCTCTGCCAGTTGGTGGTATGAGAATGACACTGGACTCAGATAATAAGTCAGGGAGGAGTCCATCCTCAAATTTTTTGAAATAGTTTCAATAGTGTTGTCACCAACTGTTCTTTATATGTCCAGTAGAATTTGGCTATGAATCTGTCTGTTCAAGGGTTTTTTCTGGTTTGTAGGGTTTTTATTTTTAATTCAATTTTGGAACTCATTATTGGTCAATTCCATGTTTCAATTTCTTCCTGGTTCAATCTGGGAAGTGTTGCAGAAATGTATCCATTTCTTCTAGGTTTTCTAGGTTGTGTGCATAAAGAGGTTTTTTTTTTTTCCTGTATTTCTGTGGGGTCTGTGGAAATGTCTCCTTTGTCATTTCTAAAATATTTGTATTTCTCTCTCTTTTTTTTTCTTTATTAGTCTAGCTGAGGGTCTGTTAATTTTATTATTTCAAATGACCAACTTTTGGTTTAGTTGATATCTTGTTGGATTTTTCAAATGTCAATTTTGTTCAGCTCAATTCTGATTTTGGTTATTTTGTTCTGCTAGCCTTGAGGTTGGTTTGCTCTTGTTTTCTCATTCCTTTAGGTGTGATGTTAGGCTGGTTATTTGAGATCTTTCTAACTTTTGATGTGGGCATTTAGCACTGCCTGAGTTGAGTCCCAGAGATTCTGATATGTTGTACCTTCATTTTCTTTAGTTTCAAAGAATTTCTTGATTTCTGCTTTAATTTCATTCTTTACCCAAATGTCATTGAGAATCAGATAAGTTTTATTTTCATGTAATTGTATGGTTTTGTGAGATCTTCTTAGTATTGATTTTTGTTTTTAATTTAGTTGTGGTCTGAGAGTATGGTTGTTATGATTTCCAGGTTTAAAAAAATTGTTGAGAATTTCTTTGTGGCTGAATGTGTGGTTGATTTTAGCATATGTGCCATGTACAGGTGAGAAAAATTTATATTATCTTGTTGTTGGGTGCAGTGTTCTGTATTTATCTATTAGGTTCATTTGGTCAAGTGTTTAGTTTAGGTACCAAATATCCTTTTTTTTTATTTTCTGCCTTGGTGATCTGTCTAATACTGTCAGTGGTGTGTTTTAAGTCTCCCACTATTACTGCGTAGTTATCTAAATTCCCTAGATATCTAGATCTCTTCCTAGATTTCTAAGAACTTGTTTAATGAATCTAGGTGTCCTAGTGTTGGGTGCACTTATATTTAGTATAGTTAAGTCTTATGGAATTAAATGCTTTATCATTATGTAATGTTCTTCTTTGTCTTTTTTGATAATTGTTGGTTTAAAGTCTATTTTGTTTGAAATAAAAATGGCAGCCCCTCCTTTTTTTGCTGTTTTTTTTTTCATTTGCTTGATAGAATTTTCTCTATCCCTTTACTTTTAGCTGATGTGCGTTCTTGCGTATGATATGGGTATCATGAAGACAGCATATGGTTGGGTTTTGCTTCTTTATCCAACTTTACCCTCTCTGCTTTTAAAAGTGTATGTTTAGCCCATTTATTACTATGTTCAAGGTTACAGTTTATATGTGGGTATTTGATCCTGTCATCACACTGGTAGTTGGTTGTTTTGCAGACTTGTTTGCATAGTGGCTTCATAATGTCAATTGTCTATGTACTTAAGTGCGTTTTGTGGTGGGCAGTAAGGGTCTTTAGTTTTCAACTTTAGCATGCCCCTAAAAACTTCTTACAAAGAAAATCCAATGTAATGAACGTCCTTAGCATTTGTTTGTCTGAAAACAATTTTATTTCTCATTCACTTATAGAGCTTACTTTGGCTAGATATGGAATTCTTGGTAATTTTTTTTTTTTAATTTAAAGATGTTGACTTTTGGGGTTTCTGCTGAAAGGTCTGTAGTTAACCTAATGGGGTTCCATTTGTAAATAACCTGCCCCTACTCTCCAACTGTCTTTAATATATTTTTTTAACATGTTGACCTTGGATAATCTGCTGAGTCATAGTCTTGTAAAAGGTTTGACTTGTGTAGTATCACACTGGGGATCTCTTTAGCAAGGTTGGGGAAATTTTCACAGAGGATATCTTAATATATGTTTTCTAAGTTGCTTGTTCTCTCTCTCCCTCTTTCAATGAGTCATAGGTTTAGATCCTTTGACTCCAGTGAGTTCCTTTGACTCCAATGAGTCATAGGTTTAGTTTCTTTGCATAATCATATATTTCTCAGATGTTTTGTTCATTCTTTTTTCTTTCTTTTTGTCTGACTTAGTTGATTCAAAGAACAGGTCTTTGAATTCTGAGAATCTTTCCTCAGCTTGGTCTGTCTATTCTGCTGCTAATACTTCTGATTGTATTATAAAATTCTTATAGTGGGTTTTTCAGCTCTCAGGTCTATTTTTTTTTCCTTTCTTTCATCAAATGGCTATTTCATCTTTTAGCTCTTGTATCATTTTATGGAATTTCTTACATATCTTGGATTGGGTTTCAACCTTCTCCTGAATTTCGATGATCTTTGTTGTCATCCAGATTCTGAATTCTATGTCTGTCTTTCCAGACATTTCATTCTGGTAAGGAAAGAGTTCTGTGGAGTTAATGTGGTTATTTGGAAGTAAGAAGAAATTCTAGCTTTTAGAGTTGCCAGAGGTCTTACACTGGTTCTTTCTCATCTTTGTGGAATAGTGTTCTTTTAGTGTTTGTAGTTGATGTTCTTTGAATGGGGCTTTTTTATATGTATATATTCATGGATACCCTTGAGGTTTTGACTACAGTATAAGTTGGATTGTGTTGACTGGCTTCACTTCTGGCCAATACTAGGGAGCCAAGGCTCAGCTCAGCACCCATGGATGGCCTGTTCTGACCCTGGGGAGTTGGAACCAGGCCCAAAGCTTTGTTCCCTGGCCCTGTGACATTAAGAATCTGCTGCACTGGAGGGGTCAAGATGTTCTCGATCTGCTGCCAACAACATTCCAATAGGGGGTGCCAGCAAAACAACTTTGTTGGAGCAATGGCAGTGGGGTTCATGCTCACACACATGCAGTGGTAGCAGCAGGGCAGCTGCAGTGAGGTCCACACCCTTGTTCTGACAAAACATTTGGGGGATGCTATGGTCAGTGTTTGCCAGCACAGGCCTGACTGCAGAAGCTCTCTGACAGTTACACAAGGTTTACCACCAAAGGCGCTATTGTGGTGGTCCCTGGGAAGTGCCCTGCTTGGACATCAGAGGCTGCGCTGTAAGCAGGTGTGACCAGGCATGACCCTTAGAAAAGCAGACAGGGGGACACCCAGATCAGACTGGCCCCATCTCACTGGAAAGGTAGCCCTGTTCTGTCCAGATAGTCAACAAAGGTCAAAGCCACCTACAGGAGCATTGTGAGCCTAGGAAATGGATATCCCTGGACATGTTCCACTGCAGCTGTTTGTTTGTCAAACCCTCTGGGTCCTGCACAGGATAGAGTCCTGTCCCAGCCAACTCTCCAAGCAGCTCTCTCGGCCAGCCCAAATGTCCATGGGGTGCATGGGATCTCCTGCGTCTAAGATTGTGGAGGTTCTTGGCTAGAGTGGCAACTACATGCCTGTGTAACTCACCCCTTTTCTCACAGCTGCTGTTAGCCAGGAATCAGTTGTAGTGCTAGATAACCCTGTGAAGCGTTCCCAGCTTTCTCTCCCTTAGCCCAGGGTCTGCATCTTCCCTGGGCTGTATATTCTCAGTGCCTTCCTTCTGAAGATCTTGGACTGTGCAGGTCTTCTTAGTGGTCTGGTCTCTGAGTATGAGAGGCTCTTCCATCTTGGCCATCTTGGCTCTTCCAATAGATGATCGTTGACTGTGATCTTGATATTTTGGCTATTGAGTCAGGAGATTCTGATTACTGTTTATTTAACTCTTGTTTGTGAAAAATCATTTTTCTTAGGCTTATTATACAGGTCCTAGCCTATTTTGGGGAGCTGTGTTTCCAACAGCAACCTTAGTTTCAGATGCAGTGTAATACTATTTTGATGTGCTTGTGTTATCTTATGCTTTTGGGCTCCTGTTGGTCTCCTAGCTCTTGCTGGTGCTGCTCAGGAAGACAGATATCACCTCCCCAGGCCTGAAAGCCTGTTGTGTCTACATTGAGGAACAGAGTCTCCAGAATGCAGAGAGAAAAAAAGGCTGAAGGCCAGGCACTTGTGGTGAGGATGACACCCAGCCTTGGGTCCCCTAGACTGGGGAGGGAACTTTAAGCCTGGCTAAGGAAAGATCTTATGGCTGTCCATTTATTTTTAGTGGGGCATACAATTGCTCTCCCTTGTCAATACTGCTGTACTTT
This sequence comes from Homo sapiens, assembly GCF_000001405.40. NCBI lineage: Eukaryota > Metazoa > Chordata > Mammalia > Primates > Hominidae > Homo > Homo sapiens. The sequence continues at coordinate 22,534,483 of NC_000021.9, read as the reverse complement.
CCTCATGTCATGGGCTTGACTCCCCTTCAATTCAGGGAGGAATGAGCATACATGGACTACTTTCTGTTGACAGTCTTTAATATAAAATATTAGACCAGCAAATGTAAGATACCCCTCCTTCATGTTTGGGGTCCCTAACTATTCTGCCTTTTTCTTTCCAATGTTTGGAGTTTTCCTTTGCTTCTCTTTTGCATTGGTTCCAGGATTTGTCATTTTATGTAGTGGAGACAGAGAGAGATGAATATATGCCATCTTTCCCAGACTGAAAGACCTCTCCCTTGTATTTTAAAGGCTCATTCTGATGACTATGTTGAGAATACACAAGGGGCAAAGGAAGAAGTAGAAATACTTATTCAGAGAATACTGTAATTTTTCAGAAGAAAAATAATGGTGGATGGTACTAGTTGTAGAAGTAGGTAGATTTTGGATGTATTTTCAGATTAGGCCAATAGTATCTCTTAATAGATTTCAGATGGAAAGTTTGAAGTAGAAGAAATAGAGAACTCATTTATTGGTTCATGACCTGAGAAATAGAAAAGGCAGATACATTGAAGAAGAAAAAGGGCGGTATTGTAATCTAGAGTTTGACTTTGATCTTGTTGATTTTGAGAGGTGTTTGAGACAAAAAAGAGAAGATATCAGTTAGACAATCAATTTTCATGTCTTGTCATTAGGAGAGAGATCTGAGGTAGAGATAGAAACTGGGGACTATTGAAGCTGTAGGTGATATTTCAAAAGCACATGCACAAAGGTAGCTCTGAAGGACAAGAATGGCCACATTATACAAAGTCAATGTCAGTCTGATTACAAAGTAAAGAGATGGGCATCTCTTTAGAAGATCTACCAATCACTTCCATAGCAATTCCTTCACTTTCAACCTGACAATGTAGTCACATGCTACTGAAAGTACTAGAAATATGGTATTCTTATCAGAGTAGATGCCTAGCTTGAATGCCTGTCTAAAAAAAACAGCAAATAAATGTATTTATTGTTGACAAACACACATATATAAGCATCAGATAAATATTTTAATATTATTTGTACATTATATATCTATCAGTGATTGTAATTTGGGATCACTTTTCTTTCTTCCAATTTCATAGTCTCCTTGAAAGCTGAAAATACGAAAATACAATTTGAATTAATTTCCAGGTGCTGCTATAACAATGTGGGTGTCATAAAACAATAAAAAATGGCTCACGCCTGTAATCCCAGCACTTTGGGAGGCCGAGGCAAGCAGATCACAAGGTCAGGAGTTCAAGACCAGCCTGGCCAAGATGGTGAAACCCCGTCTCTACTAAAAATACAAAAAAAAATAGCCAGGTGTGGTTGCGGGCACCTGTAGTCCCAGGTACTCAGGAGGCTAAGGCAGAGAATTGCTTGAACCTGGGAGGTGAAGGTTGCAGTAAGCAGAGATGGTGCCATTGCACTCCAGCCTGGGTGACAGAGCTAGACTCTGTCTCAAAAACAAACAAACAAACAAAAAATAAAATAAAAAATATTGTTTCCTTTTCTGGAGGCTAGAAGTCCAAAATCAAGGGGATGGGTGAGACATACTCCCCTCTGAAACCTGTAGGAAAATCTTTCCCTGCCTTTTTCTAGCTTCTGGTGGTTTTCAGGCAATCTTGGATGTTCCTTCGCTTGCAGCTGCCTTCAGTCTCTGCCTTCAACATCACATAGCGTTCTGCCTCAGCGTGTCTGTTTTTACTGCAGTTTTCTTATAAGGATAACAATCATATTGGATTAGGGTCCACACTACTTCTGTATAACCTCATCTTAACTAATCACATCTGCGATAATTATATTTCCAATAAGTCCACATTCTGAAATGCTGGAGCTTAGGATTTCAAAGTATCTTTCCTTGGGTGACACAGTTCAATCCATAATACCATTCATATTTGAAATATATACAGTTTTTTAAATTTAATAAACAGGTATGGGAAGAAATATTTTCATTTTTGTATTAATATTCATGAACCCCATATATACAAGAAATACTTCAGTTTTTAAGACTCTTTTGATACTTTCATGATATATCTGCTACAGATCTTTTTATCTTTCATTATAGATGGAAAATTAAAATGGCTTAATGACCACTTGTAATATCATTAAAATCATTTAAATTATGCCACAAATTTCAGCAATGTTTATGAGTGTAAAAAAATCACAACACAATCTGTTTTAGTCCATTTGCATTGCTATAAAGGAATACTTGAGGCTGGATAACTTATAGAGAAAAAAATTAAATTGGCTTATGGTTCTGCAGGCTGTACAGGAAGTGTGAAGCCAGCATGTGCTTCTGGTGAAGGCTTCAAGAAGCTTATAATCATGGCCAAAGGTAAAAGGGCCCCGGGCACATCCCATAGTGAGAGAGGGAGCAAGAGAGACCTCTTTATACACAACCGTATCTTGTGTGAACTCAGAATGAGAACTCATTTATCACCAAGAGAATGATGTTAGGCATTTCATGGAGAATCCACTCCTATGATTCAACACCTCCCACCAGGCCCCACCTCCAAAACTGGGAATCACATCTCAACATGAGATTTCGATGAGGCAAACCTCCAAACCATATTATAATCTTTACATTTTTGTTCAGTATATTTATGAATTAGTGCCTCAAATAAATTAACAAGAATTTTATCTTAGGAACAATGTATATTTTGAATGATTCATTGGTAATTATAACAATTATCAATATTTTAAAGTGTTTGAGTAATAGTTATTCTTTTTGAAATGACTCTTGCTTCTGTGATGAGACTAATTATTTTAGTTATTCTGATGATTTTAGTAGACAGCATCATTTATCATATCAGCTTTCATTTTTTCAAAGATTTAATTCCTTTTAATACAGTATATTTTGCCTTTTGAAGTTGTAAGGTATGTTTCATTTTTGCAATAGAAAAACAGTTGAACTCTACACTATATAAGATCAACATCCTGTATAATGAGGCAATAACTGTGTTAAACTATAGATATTTAGACTAATATTGTTTAATAGCAGAGTAATGGTTTGTATCCAAGTTTGCAATAGATATCCTGTGTATTTTCAAGGAAGTGTAGTGAGGATAGTTGTAATAACCACTTTCAATTTATTTTTTTCCACGAATGTTCAGGCAACTCTGCTCCATAGTCTAATGATGCTGATCTTTACCTATATCATTATTATAAAAAATGCTGTTAGTTCAAGAATCAATGTTTGCAACTTCAACAAACTGAAGAAAAATTTGCTGTACTAATTTCAGTTTAGTCAATTACATATGGGCAACGAGGAATAAAACAGAGATGAGAAAGATTATGCCGTTTATGTTGGGAATATAATAGTGAATGCATTCACTAAATTTAAATGACTTAAAGGCTAAAGGGAAAGTCATTCTTCATCGAAGTTTTCCAGTGTTCTCTAAGAATGGAATTGGTAAAGAAGAATGTTGTCTTTACATAAATGTAGATTTATTATATGTGTTTCACATATGTTAATCATATAATTTGTAAGTCAGTTTAACTCAGGCAGAAACGGAAAGATAAAACCGTTTACTCAATTGTTTTTAGAAGAGCACTAACTTGGAGTTAGGAAATATAGGTTATAATTCTATTTCTCTAAATTGAGAGAAATAATTTAGTCCTTGCTAAGAGTTAAAGTTCAGTAAGATTATATTCTTTCACATGTAATTCCCAGCCTAACATTCTTTTTTTTTAATTTTATTTTTATTTTGAGACAGAGTCTCACTCTGTCACCCAGGCTGGAGTGGTGCAGTGGTGCAATCTTGGCTCACTGCAACCTCCGCCTCCCAAGTTCAAGCAATTCTCCTGCCTCAGCCTCCCGAGAAGCTGGGATTACAGGCACGCACCACCATGCCCAGCTAATTTTTATATTTTTAGTAGAGACAAGGTTTCACCATTTTGGTTAGGCTGGTCTCGAACTCCTGACCTAGTGATCTGCCCACCGCTGCCTCTGAAAGTGCTAGGATTACAGGCGTGAGCCACTGCACCCAGCCAAGCCTAACATTCTATGATTTAATATTCAGTGATATTCAGAGAAGAATTTTTAGACATTAAAATAAATTTGTGTTTTTCTTTGCCTTTGTTTAAATCAATAAGACTGCATATTGACTGGAACTACTATCACATAGAGAGTAATCTCTTCCATTTGGTTAATCTTTGAACACATATTTTCTTTTAGGAGGCTTTCAGACATTCTTAGGTACTTTAATAAAATTTACTGTATTTCAACTTCAGATCTCTTTTTAAAAAAAATTCCTTAAGTCTACTATTTAGACAATAGCTAAAATACTTTGGGGCCTATGGTAGCTTCCATTAGTGTTGCAAAGGGGTGCACTAAACAACTGGGGTTGATTATGCAGCAGTCATCTTATATTGTTCATGGTGTTCATGTATCCATTTTATTCCTTCATGGGAATGAGTTAAAGTTTTCATTAACCCCATTATTTGGGAAAAAGACTAAAATTCCAGAGAGTTTTGAGCAATAGCTCCTCTGGACAATCTATTATCTGTACAGATATTTGCTGGCATATTTAAAATAGTTACTTTGTAAACAGGGACAATTTGACTTCCTCTTTTCCTAATTGAATACCCTTTCTTTCTTTCTCCCGCCTGATAGCCCTGGCCAGAACTTCCAACACTATGTTGAATAGGAGTGGTGAGAGAGGTGCCTGTTTGCAGATGACATGATTGTATATTTAGAAAACCCCATCGTCTCAGCCCAAAATCTCCTTAAGCTGATAAGCAACTTCAGCAAAGTCTCAGGATATAAAATCAATGTGCAAAAATCACAAGCATTCCTATACACCAATAACAGACAAACAGAGAGCCAAATCATGAGTGAACTCCCATTCACAATTGCTTCAAAGAGAATAAAATACCTTGGAATCCAACTTACAAGGGATGTGAAGGACCTCTTCAAGGAGAGCTACAAACCACTGCTCAACAAAATAAAAGAAGACACAAACAAATAGAAGAACATTCCATGCTCATGGATAGGAAGAATCAATATCGTGGAAATGGCCATACTGCCCAAGGTAATTTATAGATTCAATGCCATCCCCATCAAGCTACCAATGACTTTCTTCACAGAATTGGAAAAAACCGCTTTAAAGTTAATGTGGAACCAAAAAAGAGCAAACATTTCCAAGACAATCCTAAGCCAAAAGAACAAAGCCGGAGGCATCACGCTACCTGACTTCAAACTATACTACAAGGCTACAGTAACCAAAACAGCATGATACTGGTACCAAAACAGAGATATAGACCAATGGAACATAACAGAGCCCTCAGAAATAATACCACACATATACAACCATCAGATCTTTGACAAACCTGACAAAAACAAGAAATTGGGAAAGGATTCCCTATTTAATAAATGGTGCTGGGAAAACTGGCTAGCCATATGTAGAAAGCTGAAACTGGATCCCTTCCTTACACTTATACAAAAATTAATTCAGGATGGATTAAAGACTTACATGTTAGACCTAAAACCATAAAAACCCTAGAAGAAAACCTAGGCAATACCATTCAGGACATAGGCATGGGCAAGGACTTCATGACTAAAACACCAAAAGCAATGGCAACAAAAGCCAAAATTGACAAATGGGATCTAATTAAAGAGCTTCTGCAGAGCAAAAGAAACTACCATCAGAGTGAACAGGCAACCTACAGAATGGGAGAAAATTTTTGCAATCTACCCATCTGACAAAGGGCTAATATCCAGAATCTACGAAGAACTTAAACAAATGTACAAGAAAAAATCAAACAAGCCCATCAAAAAGTGGGCAAAGGATATGAACAGACACTTCTCAAAAGAAGACATTTATGCAGCCAACAGACACATGAAAAATGTCCATCATCACTGGCCATCAGAGAAATGCAAATCAAAACCATGATGAGATACCATCTCACACCAGTTAGAATGGCCATCATTAAAAAGTCAGGAAACAACAGGTGCTGGAGAGGATGTGGAGAAATAGGAATACTTTTACACTGTTGGTGGGACCGTAAACTAGTTCAACCATTGTGGAAGACAGTGTGGAGATTCCTCAGGGATCTAGAACTAGAAATACCATTTGACCCAGCCATCCCATTACTGGGTATATACCCAAAGGATTACAAATCATGCTGCTATAAAGACACATGCACACGTATGTTTATTGGGGCACTATTCACAATAGCAAAAACTTGGAACCAACCCAATTGTCCATCAATGACAGATTGGATTAAGAAAATGTGACACTATACACCATGGAATACTATGCAGCCATAAAAAGGGTGAGTTCATGTCCTTTGCAGTGACATGGATGAAGCTGGAAACCATCATTCTGAGCAAACTATTACAAGGACAGAAAACCAAACACCACATGTTCTCACTCATAGGTGGGAAACGAACAATGAGAACACTTGGACACAGGAAGGGGAACGTCACACACTGGGGCCTGTCATGGGGTGGGGGAAGTGGGGAGGGATAGCATTAGGAGATATACCTAATGTAAATGATGAGTTAATGGGTGCAGCACACCAACATGGCACACGTATACATATGTAACAAACCTGCACGTTGTGTACATGTACCCTAGAACTTAAAGGATAATAAAAAAAAGTTACTTTGTTTAAAAGTTATTTTTGATAGTGTAATATTATGTGACAGTGTATTTCACTCTTTTATTTTTATAAATTTCTTATATTTATTATAATAAACATAATTTCATTTAAAAGTCATGTTAAAAATAATGATAGTAAACACAATTGCATTAAACTGAGGAGTGGACATTAAAAGACCTTATATGTAATTGTTGACCTTATCTTCTAGAAGCAAGTTATGAACTGTTTTTGGATAAATTTTATTTTTTAAAAAAGATTATACCATGTTTACACAAAAACATTTTAGGATAAACCTATATTATTAATATATTATTAATATTATTATTCTTTTTTCTATTATTCCTCAATTTATCAATTTTCCTGTGCCTCAGAGGGTGTCACTAACTTATTTACTGTGATTTCAAAATGTAGAGGTGGACATGATGGAAAAGAAAGCTTCTTAAAAATATCCCATTGTAATCAGCATAATTCCTAGACAGTCACATTTTAGGGATGACTGAAAGAAATTCTCTTCCCAACGCCTGAAAGCATTATTTATAAAATACATATATGTCTTCTGATTCATTAGTTGTTGTAGATCAAAGGTCACCTCAATGGTCAAGAGAAAAAAGGGATCCTGAAAGGAGGAAGAGAAGAGGCACAAGTAAGCAAATAACATATGAAAAAGCTCTGATATACCTGGAAGCATATTTCTCATCTAAATTCTTCCAGGCCCTGAGGGAGTGGGATGACATATACAAAATGCTGAAGGAAAAACAAAAATGCCAACCAAGAATACCCTATCCTGAAAAGAAAAATATAAGAAAGTTCCTTTAATTTCTTATTTTTCAGATAATAAATGTTAAATTTTATAAAGTTAATTTTCTATATCTATTTATATGTTTATATATTTTGTTTACTAAATTGATGCTACAAATAAAATAAGTTAATTTTTGAATGTTGAATCAATGTTGCATGCTTGGGATTATCTCCACCTCACCCAAATAATGACATGTTATTTATATTGCTAAATTTGATTTGCTAATATTTATTAAGCATTTTTGCATTTGTTTTCTTGCCATGGTTTGCCTTTTTCTAGTATTAATATATTGAGAGCATCATATAATAAGCTGACAAATATGTTTTCCTCCTCTGTTTCCTGGAAGAGCTTATATAAAATTTGTGTATTCTTTTATTCTTTAAATGTAGGATGAAACTAATCAGTAAAGTACTCTGATACTGCATTTTCACTCTCATAAAAATTTAATGATTATTTTAATAGAAACTTGAATAGTAAGGTGACTTCTATCTGATTTACTACAATAGTATATGACATTTAAAAAATTTGTACATTTTTGAATTTGTTAAATTTATTGACAAAACTTTCCTTACTATAATTTTACAGGCTCAGTAATCTGAGTTGATATCCCTTATATCATTCATGATATTATTTGTATCTATTCCCTTTTTGTCTTCATCAATATGGAAAAAGACTTGTCAATTTTAAAATCTCAGAAATGAATACTTACCTGCATTAATTTTGGTCTATATTTTATTTTGTTTTGAATTGAATCATAATTACCTTTTCTTTTTTTATTATTTATTCTTATAGCTTTGAATTTACTTACTCTTTTTCTATTTTCTTCAGTTAGAAAAATTAATTTGTTGATTAATTTTTTTTAGTAGTAATAGTATGTGTGCTAATGTTATACATTTTCCTCAAACCATTGCTTTATCTGCACTCAAATTTGGTATATTGTATTCTAAGTATTTTGTAAATATCCCTTGTAGCTTTTTCTTTGACCAATATGTTATCTAGAAGACTGTTGTTTAATTTTTAAATATTGATGGATTTTACAGGTAAAATTTTGTTAAATTATAAAATAACCAAACACTTTTGTCTTTTTTAGTCTATTAATACATTAAATTGAACTGGCCAATCATATAAAAAGGGATAAACTCCACTTATGTTTATTAATGATAATTTAAAAATATTACTGTATTTAATTTGCCAAGATTTGAGTAGGAATTTGCATCTATCTCCCTGAGGGTTATTTGAATATAGTTTATATTATCTTTGTAGCAAGTTTTTTTTTTTATTAATACATTTTCAGTCCTTTTATAGGTGAACATTTTTGTGTTATCTTCTCATGAGTGTACTTTGCTTAGTTATGTTTTCAAGTTAACTTAATTTTCTATCATGCCAAATTTATGCATGGAAAGTCTTTCTTAAATTATTTGAAAAATAATTTTAGTGTCTGTTGGTTAGTGGTCCTCGCCTTTCCTCATCAGGGGCCGCTTTAGTGGAAGACAACTTTTCCATTAATGCAGGGGTGGTCTTGGCATGACTCAAGCACATTACATTTATCATTAGATTCTCATAAGGAGCGCACAACCTAGATCCCTTGCATGTGCAGCTCACAATAGGGTTTGGGCTCTTATGAGAATCTAATGCCACTGCTGATCTGTCAGGAGAGGGAACTCAGCTTTGTTCCTGGCCTGCTGCTTACCTCCTGCTACACGGCGCGGTTACTAACAAGCCATGGACTGGGACTAGTCTATGGCCCAAGGGTTGGAGACCCCTGTGTTAGGTGATGGCCTCTTATTTTATTCCTCACAATTTGTTAAATTTGTTCTTCTCTCTTCATTTTTTCTCTAGCTTATTATAGGGAAGCCCCAATCATTGATGTCAGACTGTTCTTCCTTCCAAATATGTGTCATATTCCACAAGTATCCCTATAAACACTACTTTAACTATGCAATTGTAATTCAATTCTTACAAAGATACCAAAGAGTGTAGTATTGTCGCTTTCTTATCTTCCAGTGAGAAGACCACAAACTATTTTACAAATTTGATAATGCAATGAAACAATTGGCCAACAAATAAGGAAGTACAGGAAATGAAAAATAAAAACAATAATAAAAGAAAAAAATTGAATGCAGGTAGAAAATTGGTGCTCATGGGAATGTTGAGACTGTCACCATTTGAGAGATTCTAGATATGCATTTAAAGGAACATACTGAAGATGAAATTGTCAACATAATTGAAAAAAAATGGTTGTTACCAAAAGGATAAAGAAGTCCCAAAGAAAATGACGCTAGCAAAAAAAACTTCCAATTAAACATTCTCAGATATCAAATGAACAAATTTTCATAAAAATACAATGAATAAATTGTTGAAGGCTGATCCAAACTTAAAACGATGTATGTTGCCTCAATATAGAAAACATACTTGGTCTATATTGTAATGTATATCACAAGAATAAGAAGACCAGCACAATTTACAGAGTACTGATAAGTTTCTTACAAATAAATGAGAAGTTTTAAATGAGTTCTACATTTTTTTGTTTCCTATACCTTTATAATCTACAGTAAGATAATTCTTAATGTTTTGATTATGTATCCAAAAATTGCATTTTCTTTTTCATTAGGTGTAACTTTTGTTTATTTTTCTTGTATTATTGCACTGAGTAGAGAGTCCAGGCCTCTATTTTATTCCTCACAATTTGTTAAATTTGTTCTTCTCTCTTCATTTTTTCTCTAGCTTATTATAGGGAAGCCTCAATCATTGATGTCAGACTGTTCTTCCTTCCAAATATGTGTCATATTCCACAAGTATCCCTATAAACACTACTTTAACTATGCAATTGTAATTCAATTCTTACAAAGATACCAAAGAGTGTAGTTTTGTCGCTTTCTTATCTTCCAGTGAGAAGACCACAAACTATTTTACAAATTTGATAATGCAATGAAACAATTGGCCAACAAATAAGGAAGTACAGGAATGTTAACAGACATGTTGTAAGCAAATATTCTTGCTTACAAATGTTAACAGACATGGTGTAAGCAAATATTCTTGACTTATTCCTGATTATAGAAGAAAGATTTTTTTAAAATTTACAATTAAATCCAATATTTACTATGTGTAATTATAGTTGCTGGTTTTATAGCTTTAGGTAGTTCCGTGTGTTTCTTGTTCTGAATGTAGTTTGTCTAATATTGATATACCATTCTTGGTTTATTTTGATTAGTGTGACCACAATGCATCATTTTTCGTTAATTAGTTTTTAATGTTTATACCTTTATAGTTTGAATTATATGTAGATAGAATATACATTGTTTTTTCCTCCAATTTTACAATCTTTGCCTTTTAGTTAACATTGTAAACTATTTTATTTATTTTTAATTTATATTTTTTATTTTTAAAATTTGAGGGATACAAGTATAATTTTGTTACATGGATATATTACATGGTGGTGAACTCTGGGCTTTTCAGACACCACCTGAATAATGTACATTTTGCTCATTAAGTAATTTCTCATTATTCACCTTCCTCCAACTCCTTCACCCTTCCAAGTCTCGATTGTCCACACTCTATGTCCATGTGTATATATTATTTAGCACTCACTTATAAGTGAGAATATGCAGTATTTGGCTTTCTACGCTTATTTCACTTACGATAATGGCCTCCAGTTCTATCAATGTTGCTGCAAAAGACATTCTTTTTGTTGGCTGGGTAGTATTTCATTCTGTATGTATACCACATTTTCCTTATCCAGTCACCCATTGATGGACACTTAGGTTGATTCCATATCTTTTTATTGTGAATAGTGCTTTGATAAACATTCAAGTGTAGTGGTCTTTTTGATACAACAATTTATTCTCCATTGGGTAGATACCTGGGAGTGTTATTGCTGGGTCAAAAGGTAGTTTTATTTTTAATTTTTTGAGAAATCTGCTTATTCTCTTTCTCAGATGTTGAATTAATTCACATTTTTACCAACAGTGTATAAGTGTTCCCTTTTGTCTTTATTCTTGCCAACATCTGTTATTTTTTTTTTAATAATAGCAACCCTGACTGGTGTAAGACAATAGCTCATTGTAGTTTTTTGTTTTTGTTTTTGTTTTTGAGACGAAGTCTCACTCTGTCACCCAGGCTGGATGGCGTGTAGTGGCATGATTTTGGCTCACTACAACCTCTGCATCCCAGTTTCAAGCAATTCTGCCTCAGCCTCCCAAGTAGCTAGGACTACAGGCGTGCACCACCACATCTGGCTAATTTTTGTATTTTTAGTAGAGACGGGGTTTCACCATATTGGCCAGGCTGGTCTCAAACTCTTGACCTCATGATCTGCCTGCCTCGGCCTCCCAAAGTGCTGGGACTACAGGCGTGAGCCACTGTGCCTGGCCTATCTCATAGTAGTTTTAATTTGCATTTATCTGATGATTACTGATGTTAAGCTTTAAACTATATTTAACATTTTAACTACCATTTTTCATGTATTTTATTCTTATTCTGAATTTTGATATATTCATTTATTTTCTACTTTTTTTCTAGAGAAATTATTTTCTATTACTTTTATTTCTTTTATTGATTTTTAGTTGTACTATTTTTTAGGTTCATCTAGAATTTACAATATACATCATTAACTTATTGGGGTCTAGCTCAAATAATATTTTATATTTCCCTAGATAATTACCTAATGCAAAATATCAAACTACCATGGTATTATCAGTATTCTCTATTCTGGCCTTTTAGTATAGCTTCACATTTACCTCCATATTATAAACATAGCAATTCATTTTCAATGTTTTCTTCTAAATATTCAGTAATTATTTTTAAAAAATTGAAGGCAAAAGCAAAAAGCTCATTTATGTGTACCCATGCATTTAATAATTCTTATGCTTTTCATTGATTTGTATAGTTCTACATTTTCCTTTCATATATTATTCTCTGTAACAAGAAATCATCAATATTTTTTGTAGAACTGATATGGTGACAATACATTCTTTCAGCTGCAGTATATGTGAATAGCCTTTATTTTGTCTTCTTTTTGTTTTAACAAAAAATATGTATTTCTGAGTTTAGAATTCTATGTTGTCAGCTTCATTTTTCTTTCTACCTTTTAACAATGCCCTCCCATTGCTTCCTGGCTTGCATTGTGTGATGACATATATTCTGTATTTGTATCTTTGTCACTCTCTACTTATGATGCCTTTTAAAAACATTTCTCATCCTAATTTTGAGTCATAAGCTATTGTTTTTTCCTGCATACCTGTTAGTTCTTGATTCAATTATGGTAAGTTTTAGATTGTCGCATACTTGAATTTTTTGACATTTTGGGACTTTGGAGTACAGTTAAATCAATTAAAATCAATTTTACCTACTTGAGGGTTGATTTTAAAGCCCAGTGAGGGCAAAACTAAAAGCAAAAACCAAAATTTACTGTCCATTTTGAAAGGTTTCAGCTCTGGCTGATAAGAAGTCAACTATTCTTGGCTCCGTTTGGGTGACATAGATTGTTCTGTTGCACCTGCTTGCTTCTATTAATTCTTTTACGGATGTCTTGTTTTCTCAAATAACTTATGTGTTCTAAGTCAGCCAAATATTCAAGGACACTCTTCCTCAAAGCACTAGAGCTCTCTTTCTTAGTGTTACTACTGCCATTTTGTTGTAGGACTTTCTCCTTAGTTCATCCAAAAACAGGGTCCTTGTCACATGACCATGAAAGATTAAGCTCACAGACATTTTGAAGGGTGCGAAAAATGGAATTTATTGGGCAAAGAGGAAAAAAAAAGAAACAGGGACTCTCAGCAAAGTGAGAGTCCTGCTAGCCCATTTCCCACCTCACAGACTGAATCCCAGGTGCCACCCTGGAACAGGAGAGGCCAGGCTCCCCCGCCCCCACCCCCGCACACAACGCCAGCTTCCCAAGGCTACATCCCAGTGCACACTCCTCCCTGCATGCAGGCTGGTCAGAGGTTCGCTGTGGACCTCTTTATTCTTGGTTGTCTCATTTCCCCTTCTAAAGAAGTACGTCTAACTGCTGTTAGAATAAGGATAAGGACGAAGACCGATCTTAACTGCTTCCTGCTGACAGGTGGCACTGCTTTGGGAAAACAGCAGTCAGACCTCTCTCAGAAGCCTGTTTAAGGGTTCCCAGCAGAAGGCACTATCATCAGAGGCTCTGGTTGCTTGACTGTTTGGAGTTTGAGGGCCTGAAGGCAAGAAGAGACAAACCGGGTTATTATAAAACATGTATCAAAATGAGAAAAAGGGAGTTTAAACATCCTGAGGCCTTTTACCAGCTTGCACAGAGAGAAGGAGGCCAACAGCCCGACACGTTAAAAAAAAAAATCAACAACAACAACTTTACCCTTTTGCCAGCATGTTGGGTTTCTGGGCTCCCTTCCCTGAGTCCAATCCTAAACCAACCAGCTTAAGGTTTGGGAAATTAACTCTTTCCAGTTTGGAGAATGCAACTAAGGGGAGTGTCCCATAGTACAGAGACACAATTACCTATCAGTGAAGAGAGGACAAAGGAGGAGGAAGGAAAAAAGAAGACATTTTTTCAAAGGAGACCCAGGGGTTCAGGATGCATTTGAAAGGGGTACAGACTGAAGATGAATAGCTACTCAACTAGAAAGAGGGGAGTAGGCATCCCTGGTTCCCTTTTCTTTCTAGAAAATACCCGGGGTACATGAGGGAGAGAAAGAAGAGTATCCTCTTTCCCTCTTTCATCCTTGCGTCCTCAAGTCCCTGTGACCTTGGCAGGTGCCACCCATGGGTCCCAAAGCTGCTTGCACCCAAGAAGCAGAGAGGGGCTACAAAATAGGAATTATCTGCTCTCACCTATATCTCTCTCTCCCTTACTGCCAGTAGCCTTGGAGTTCCCTAGACCTCATTTATGCCATGGATATTAGCATGACATTTATTCATGAAATGGGAGGCTTGGCTTAATCAGTGGGAATTAGCCATGCTCACCTTTTAACTGTGCCTTTTAACTTCAGTCATCATCTGCCTCTGGATTTCTTTGACCCAGTTTTCTTTCTTAGGGCTTTGACCTAAAGCTTGGAGTTGAGTTTGGAACAAAAATGTGTCGTGAGGGGGGTTGCATGGACTCCTTATCATACGCCAAATCTAAGATGAAGCTGTGGAATTGAGTCCTCCTCCAACAAGGGAAAGAAAAGGATAACTTACACCTGTAATCCCAGCGCTTTGGGAGGCCGAGGCGGGCGGATCACGAGGTGAGGAGTTTGTGACCAGCCTGACCAATATGGTGAAACCCCATCTCTACTAAAAATACAAAAATAAATTAGCTGGGCATGGTGGTGCATGCCTATAATCCCAGGTACTCAGGAGGCTGAGGCAGGAGAATCGCTTGAACCAAATAATTTTATTAGCAGGTAATAGTTCCAATTTTTATCTTTTTTCATATATAGTATATTTTTGTATATATAGCATATATATAATTGTATATCTAGTAATTTTTCATATATAGTAATTTTTATTTATGACAAATATGATTATTTGACTTCTTAAGCATTAATGCTTTATTTTTAAAATAGGCTTTTATTTTTCCAACAAATTCTATTAGTACCCTTATTTGAAGGAACTGTGTTAAAGAAATTTGAAATTACTTATTCCTTAGCTAGATTTACCCTAAACAAATTTCAGCATTATGCTTGATGATAATTATGATTATTGTGTGCAAAAATTATCATATGAAAAATTTCAGTGACTTGGTTTTAAACACACGACAACGCTATTATACGGCTTATCTGGGTTATACAGGTAATTGATGCCAAAATTGTTTTAATAGTTGTTCTATTGAGTTAAAATAAAATGGAAAATTGACTGATTATAGTTTTTGGATAAATGAATTGTAAAAGCCACAGCTATTCACATCTAAAACTAATGACCATTTGCAATTATCTTTTGTATCAATGTATTTTAATAGTAAAATGAATTAGATTCTATTAACTTATTTTACAATGAATACAGTTAAAGTTATTTAACAACATGATCTCCTAGGTTGAGCATAATAAATTTTTTCTATAATGCAATTAAAGAATAGTTTTGTCCTTTGAGAAGAGACACAGGTGATGGCTTTGTTTTTATTTCTGTTTAGCAACTGTGATTTGTTATCTTGTATTTCCTACCTCAAGATGATGCACATTTAACAGTTGCGTCTTGCCAGCTGCTCACTAGACTTCTGTGTTACATGGCTATTAGAATATTATATGGATTCCTCAGAACCTGTCACTACTGATATTGTCAATCTTTTTACAGATGCCCGTGAGTTGACAAGTTGTTTAAACGCAGATGTTACAATAAGTCAGTTTAAGATTTGGTGAAGAAAGTAGATAAGGTAAACTCCTTGTTTGTTTTTATTTCAAAAAAGAACACATAATTTATCTTTCATATTGAATTATAGTGGTCAATTAACCTATATAAAATATAATTGTTTGCAGAATAAATAAAACTACACATAGCTAAAATTATAATTGTTGACCTGAATTTATAGAATCAATTGAAAAATAGTATATATAAAGTGATGGAAGGAAGACAGTTTTGTTTTTTTTTTTGAGACAGTCTCACTCTGCAACCCAGCTAGAGTGTGGTACCACTATCTTGGCTCACTGCAACCTCCATCACCCAGGTTCAAGCGATCCTCCTGCTTCAGCCTCCCAAGTAGCTACGATTACAGGCGCCTGCCACCGCACCCAGCTCATTTTTGTGTTTTTAGTAGGACGAGGTTTCACCATTTGGCCAGGCTGGTCTTGGACTCCTGACCTCGTGATCTACCTGCCTCAGCCTCCCAAAGTGCTGGGATTCCAGGCGTCAGCCACCACTCGCGGCCAGAAGATAGCATGTTTAAAAATATACTAAATCAATAACATTTCAATATGCCAGATACAGTGTGAAAGTTTAAGGATACTACAATCCTCAGCCAGAGAGAGGTACAGAGAGAATAGTAATGTCAATGAGTGAGATTCATATCACTTCTTATGAAAACTGTCCCTCTCCTCATTTGCTCTTTTGCCCCTTCCTGCTTTCTCTCCCTCTCTCTCTCTCACACACACACACGCACCTGAGTCAAAGTAAAATCTACACTATCAATCTCAGTGTTTTTGAAAAATACACTACTGTAGAAGATAGTATGCCATGGTACGTTGAGGCATGATCATCTCTTTGATCTAATGCAAATATAATAACTAAAGATTTGCATTGTTGATTTGAATTTATAGAATCAAAATGCGAATGCGTTTTGCTCATGTGCTCTCTTAGTGTTTGAGATGAAGAAACAATGCAAGGACCACTTACAGGAAAAGCTTTGAGAGTATTGTTCAAAGCCTCTTTGGCTAGTCTGTGGTCCATTCTAGCTATATTTCTGTTTAATAACATCACTCGGCACAAAAATTGTGTCTGTTTTAATGATTTAAGGTTTAAAAAGGAAAGATATAGACAAAATCCCTCCATAAATGCCTCTCTTTAATGAAGGGCAGAATGCAAGCGGCTATTTTGTTATAAAAGACTTGGTTAAAAGATTTATAGAAATCTCCTTTAGTTGTGATTGGGAAAATAACATTATTTGTTATGTTATAGAGAGATAGAGAAAGATAACGAAAAAGGAGATTCATATAGTTATATGACTGCTGAAATATGGTTTTCTATTTTCTAACAGATATTAGTTAATTAAAAAACTGAAAAAACAAGATGATAATTCTTAATCATACCCCTACCAAGCACAGTTGACAGTAGATATTTATCGGCTCTTTTGAGATGGGATATTTACAAATGCATTTTTTAAAATTTTTATGAGCTATATTAATTTATTCACAAAAAAATTATAAATTTTTTTGTCTACCAAAATGATTCAACCAGATAAAGCGGTCATTAACCCCACACAATATAAAATAAAGATGAATAAAATTTTTAAATACCCATTTTTTGAAGGCAATCATGCTAAAATTGTTTCCATCACCCAATCTTCTAACTCTAAAATTCCAAAGAGAGATCTCACTATCTGAACATTCTTTCTCTGGGAGCATAGTCTCATTTCCAGCAAGTATTGGTTATTTTTGTCTTCTTATTCTGTTTGGTTTGCTTGTTCTATATGGGAACAAGAAGTGTATATTAGGATCTCAACACTTAAACAAGCAAGGTGTCAAATAACCACCTTCAATATTTTGTGGGGAGCTGAACTTTATTATTAGGTTACTTCTTACTGTTGCCGTTTCCTTACTCCTTAGTTCAGCAAGGTCTGAGTTCTTGTCTCACGACCTTGAGGAATGGGGTACTTGGACACAAGAGGGTTGGTAAGGCAGAACAGAGTTTTATTAAGCAGCAGAAAGTTCTCAGTAAAGAGAAGGGACCCTAAAATGGGTTGCCAACAACAAACTTGTCCCCAGTGGTTTTTATACCTCCTTTCTAGGGGCATCTTTCTCATTTGCATCTTACACAACCCTCTACTTCCTAGTTACTTCCTGGTCTGCACAGGTGCATTCTTGTCCATAGTTACTTCATCTTAATTATTACCCATAAGCACCACAGAAAAGCCCAGTCAGAGAGGTGGGGGCAAACAGCAATGCAGATGTCATGTTAATGATATTATAATGAGCTTGGGTCAGGTTAAGGACATTTAGTTGATTTATTGCACTTGCACCTAAGTCAGGACAGTCCCTTCTGAGCAAATATCCTGGTATAAGAGGAAGTTCTTAACCACATTTCTATCTGCCAGTTGCATAACAGGGGCAGTGCGAGTGTGTTCCCACAGGCGTTATTGGTCTCCCGAGGCCATCCCTCTCTATCTGCCTAGCCAGCCTCTAACTCTTTCCTCTGTCATTACCAGAGAGTTAACCCCTCACTGTATAATATTCTTCAAGGTTATGAAAGTAAAATTTTTTATCTTCCACAGACCTAAATTTTCTCATAATGTACAGATTTGGGAAACAATATTTTTCTCGCCATGTCTTAATAACATACTTTTCTGAAATCTCTTATAAAATTTCAATTCAAAATATTTTAGTGACCAAATCCTCAAATAAAAATAGCCTAAATTTTCTAAGGTGAGGAAGATGATATTTGGCATTGAAATATCTCTGTCATCTCTCTTTGTTTTTCTTATATTATCCAACTTAGAAAATCACAAAAAGCATTTTAAAGATGAAATAATCTAATATATATTTAATTAGGTAATTCTTAAAATCCCTCCTACTCAGTTATTTTTTTCCTTGAGTCACAAATAGAGAAATATAAGGTTTTACCCCAAAATGTATCCTCTTTATTTTTTTCTCTTCTCTCACACACATACACATCATTTTTATCTAAGTAATGTCATATGAAAATTTAAGCTTGAATAGGACAGTAATGTAATTGCTGCAAGAAAACAAAGATGAATAATTTGTATGATCCCAAGGAGCTATTATGTAATAGAAATGATGGAAATAATATTATGTAACAGAAATGAAGTCCCCTATTTCACTTAGTTGAAGGTGAAGAAAACCAAAACATGTGACCCCAAAATATACCTCTTTCACATACATTTTGTTTTAGCACAAAGCAATTTAGAAACACTGAAGCAAAGACAGGAAGAGCTCTTTTTGTCTTTCCTGCCTTTTTCACCAACAGAAATAAATTATTTACTGTACTGGAAACAAGTCTTAGCAGCTCACAGACAGCACTAGAGGAATCTTCAAACAAATCTTATTCTGTTAGTTTACTCCCCTGTATTTACCTTTCCATAATTTTCCACCTCAAGAAGCCCAAAATTGCTTTCCTTTGTCTTATCACTTCTCTAAATTCTATTGCACTTTATGAAAAATGATATATAAAGCAGCATTATAAGCCACTACTCTGTTGCCTTTTATTGCATCTTCTCTCTTACGATGTACTCTACACATATTAATACATTTCCCTCTTTTTCTCTTGTTAATCTTTCTTTTCCTTAAAAAGTCTGTCCCAACTTTGAACTTATAAAGCTTTAGGGGAAATTGTAGTTCTTCCAGAACAAAGTTTTTTTTCTTAGAAAATATTTGCTACTTAAAAACAATATTCAGTAAAATTTTTATTTTTTAACATTTTTCTTAATTTTTGACATTTTTAAATGACCTCACTTTTAATTTTTGTTCTTTCTTATCTCTTTCTATTCCATGTAAATTGTTGATATCAAGAAAATGAACAGAAGTCAATCTATTTTAACAGATTTTTTAATATTTTACAAGAAAGAATAATAAAAAATACCCCCTTTATATAAACCAAATGTATTCTATATGAAGTCCACTCTTTTAAAACATTCTTTAAATGGGCCGGGTGTGGTGGCTCACACCTGTAATCACAGCACTTTGGGAGGCCAAGGCAGGCAGATCACAAGGTCAGGAGTTTGAGACCAGTCTGGCCAACATATTGAAACCCCATCTCTACTAAAAGTACAAAAAATTAACCAGGTGTGGTGGTATGTGCCTGTTATCCCAGCTGCTCGGGAGGCTGAGGCAGGAGAATCACGTGAACCTGGGATGCGGAGGTTGCAATGAGCTGAGATCACGCCATTGCACTCCATCCAGCCTGGGCGACAGTGCGAGACTCCGTCTCAAAACAAACAGACAAACAAACAAAAATCCTTTAAATGAAAACACCAATCATCTTTCAGTTATTTCTTCTTGTATTCTAACGTTGACGTAAATGTTCATTGCAAAACTTATCAAAGGCAAGTTTAAATGTGTTTTTCTAATGAAAATTAGCAAATTATTATTGTTATTTTGTTAACAAAAAATGCTACTGTGAAAGTGTGCATAACAGTAAGGAAAATGTCTTCAGTATTAATGCTAGATACATAAAACAATTATATTGTCAGGCCAGATGTGGTGGCTCACGCCTCTAATCCCAGCACTTTGCAAGGCGAGGGTGAGAAGATCACTTGAGCCCAAGAGTTCCAGATCAGCCAGGGTAACATAGGGAGACCTCATCTCTACAAAAAATGAAAAAAATAGCTGGGTGTGGCGACAGACGCCTGTGGTGCCAGCTACTCGGGAGGCTGAGGTGGGAAGATTGCTCGAGCCTGGTAGGTTCAGGCTGCAGTGAGCTGAGACTGCACCACTGCACTACAGCCTGGGCAACAAAGCCAGATCTTGTCTAAAAAAAAAAAAAAAAAAAAAAAAAAAAAAAAAAAAAAAAATTCTACTGTCTTCATGCTTTATTATACAATATTAAGTTAAAAGTTAGTTCTATATATGCCCTTAAATTTAAGTAAAATTGGACTTTATGGCATCTTATTTTCTATAAAATTAAAGGCATGCTGTATTTATAACGAAGACAGACAAGTGTTTATAAAAGTCATTCAAATTTTCCCGAAACTTTCCATTTTCTTAGGAATATTTTTTGTAAAACGAAGCCATATACATTTATTTATTAAAATGATTCATTATAAAGTATATGTGTTTGTTTATGTGTGTGTATATATATAAAGATAATTCATTAAAGGAGAATATGTAAAATATATATTACATTATATACATTTTTGTGTATATGTATACATTTTAAAAGTATATCCCAGAATGCCTCAAGTCATAAGTTTCATATAGATACATAACAAATTTGATATAGTGTTTGCCCCCCAGATAAATTAATATCCTAAAATAAGTCAAAAGATGCATGCTTAACAATCTTTGGTTGCTACAGCAGAATATATAGTAGAGTGTTCATCTTTTCCAAGAGGCAATTAGATAAAAAGCAATAAATAATGTGCTAATGATATGTCTCTAAAGTGTTAGTGAGAAGATCACAGTGTGTCATAATTAGTTGAGATTTAACAAAAAAGGAAAAGAAAGCCTGCTGAGAAAGCAAATGACTTAGTAATTGGCATTTAAAAGTATCAAAAGTCATCTTTTGTAATTTTAAAGTGACAATGATTTAGCTACTAAATCTGTTCATAGGAACATATGTTCCATTAAAAAATTATAAAAAGTAAAGTAAAATCTTGTCCCCATGCAAAAATCCTTACAAATAAAATAAAAATTATAAACTTTTAAAAAATTTTATTAGAATAATTAATAATGATAGCAGCATACCACTTTAGAAAAATAAGTAGAATTATAAAGGATGATCTCAAGATAAAAAGAATTATCTAAAATTTCAAGGTCAGGAATATTTTTCTCTATTAATTTCTTCTTACTCCTCCTTCCTTGTTTGTGTTTAATGCTACTTCATTTCAATGAATTCACTTATTCCAGCACAACACTTCATTAGTTTTGCGAGAAATTTTTTGTTCTTTTTCTAATTTTTTCACTTTATTCTAAGATCATTGGCAGAAAAGTCTATCTCCATTATTTAGATTTATTGTTAGTATTTTGTATCTATCATCTCAGGAAATTTATTGTACAACTGTTTGGAAATTTAGCTAGTGAGAGATGAATTTGCTAAGACAACTCAGGTTGATATCACTTTGGACAACAAAGAGGGTCTTCTTTAGGATCTGCAGCCTCTTTTATTAATTGTCCTTTTCCCTTGTTTTCAAACTTTCCCTCCTTCCCCTTTCCAGCACACAATTATTTACCTTTCATCTTGTCCCCACAAACTAAATTACTTTAGTAACCATTTAATAATTTTCTATTTTATGTTGTCTATACATTTCAAAACCATAAAATATGGATTCTAAATGGGCAGGCTTTTCCTACAAAATTTCACATATCTTGCAGAAAGTGAAAAACACATGGGAGAGATTGGGCATATGTAGGATATTCCTAATGTCCCAGGAATCTTATTAAATTAAGAATAATCTGTTCCTACTTATGATTGCTATCAAACCATTTGAAGATGGTTGGTTTACTGGTTACAAAAGTACTTCTATCTCTGTCATTCTCACTCTTATCTAAGCATTGATTTCTAGGGAAATTTAATAAAGGACTGAGAAAAGCATGTGCAAATCTACTAGCACACTACAAATAATCCTTCGATACACAAAAGTGAAATGTTAATAGGTGTCTTTCTGAATAATAATAGTAATAATGATTCAACATACAAAAATGAAATGTTAGTAGGTGTCTTTCTGAAAACTGATAGTAATCCTTTAAAATATTCTACTTAACTTTGAATTTTTATGTGTTATCTTGTAAAATATATCACAAGAATCTAAGATGTCTTCACATACACTGTTATCAGATTAACAGATAATATAGAAATAGTTATCAGACAATATATAGAAAGTACTGAATGTCATACAATTTAAATTTGAATAAACTTTGTTTCCTGATAGAGTGTTGTAGGTAGCACCAGGCTAGTGTTTTTACTTCAATAATGAGAAATAAATGGAAATATTGAAATGTGGTCATACTCTTTAAAACATTTGAGGAGTGTGCAAAAAACAAGGTGTAAATAAACTAAAGTTCTAGATAAGGAAGAGAGTTTTCTTAGAGAGCTGGATCTACAGCCATTTTCTTGGATTAGTGTACAATGTAAATATATGGCGAAAATGGATGAAGGTAAACAACAACCCTCTTTTTTTTTTTTTTTGAGACGGAGTTTCACTCTTGTTGCCCAGGCTGGCGTGCAATGGCCTGATTTCGGATCACCGCAACCTCCACCTCCCGGGTTCAAGTGATTCTCCTGGCTCAGCCTCCCAAGTATTTGGGATTACAGACGCCTGCCACCACGCCGAGCTAATTTTTTGTATTTTTAGTAGAGATGGGGTTTCCTCATGTTGGCCAGGCTGGTCTTGAACTCCTGACCTCAGGTGATCCACCCACCTCTGCCTCCCAAAGTGCTGGGATTACAGGAGTGAGCCACCGCACCCAGCCCAGCAGCCCTGTTAATGTCTATCTCTTCTGTATGTCTAAAATTATCCAAAGATAGACATCTTTTTTATAAGACAAAGATTTCTAAATGTGACAAAGAAAATTCATGTGATTGCCATGGTCATGAGAGACACTGTAAGAACATAGATTAAAACTAGAAGGAAGAAAAATGTTATATTTCATAAAGTTTTATATTGTGAACACTAATGAATGGAAGGGTTGTATCCCTCTATTAATAACAAAACACGTAAGTCCCAAGACCAAATATATTATTTAAAGGACAAGAGATAATGATTTAAGGTTCAATCAATAGGAGCTCAGGGCATTTCTAAAAACTTTTTTTTTTTTTTTTTTTTTTTTGAGACGGAGTCTCCCTCTGTCACCAGGCTGGGAGTATAGTGGTGAGATCTCAGCTCACTGCAACCTCCAACTCCCTGGTTCAAGTGATTCTCCTGCCTCAGCCTCCGGAGTAGCTGGGATTACAGGCATGCACCACCACATCCTGCTAGTTTTTGTATTTTTAGTAGAGACGGGGTTTCACCATGATGGCCAGGATGTTCTCAATCTCCTGACCTTGTGATCCGCCTGCTTCCGTCTCCCAAAATGCTGGGATTCCAGGCGTGAGCCAATGCGCCCGGCCTATGCTTCTTATAACATAGTTTTAAAGTCTATAATACTTAAAACAAAAATAGTAATGGAATTCAAAAGAGTAATATAAAAATCAACAAACATAACTGAAGATTGAAATAAATTCCTTTAGTGAAAGATAAGGCATGCAGAAAAAACATTCATGATATCTGTACTTTGAATGCATGATTAATCAATTTACATTTTATACATGTTTAGAATACGAACATCTAAAATGTGCAGAAAACTTCCTTCTCTTGTTGAAATAGATCATATGATGAACTATGAAAAAACAAAGCAAAACAAAACAAACTTTAACATTTTGAAATAATGTAGCATATTCTCCGACCATAGTGAACTCAAACTAGAAAAGTAAAAATAAAAATGAGTGAAAATCATCACATATTTGCAAACTAGCAAGATATGTTATGTAACCCTTATGTCAAATAAAAAAATTTAAAGCATATTTGAAAAAAAATTATAACAATGCTACATGAATAAACATATATGCCAATTTAAAGGGTTGAAAGGCTAAATAGTTATTTAGAAGGCTTCTTTCTTAATTTTCAAACATTTTATAGATTCCATAAAATTTCAAGCAAATCATCAGAAGGCTTTTATTGCCCCTAAAGGGCTTTACAGTCTGATTTTAAAGTTTAAATGGCAATATAAAGGACCAAGTTACTACCAGATTTAAAACGTTGGTAAAACTCATGTCATTGTAGGGAAGTGAAATTTACAAAGACAGATAAATCGACCAAAGAATTAAAATAGATACATACATTGTCACTTTACTTATTGCACTGTTCCAACTACAATTTAGTTAGAAAATGATTGATCTTCTCAATCAAGATTGCTGGAGCAATTGGGTATTTTCACAGCATCTATGATGAACTCACAGCCAACATCATACTGAATGGGAAAAAGCTCAAAGCATTCCCCTTAAGAACTGGAACAAGACAAGGATGCTCACTCTCACCACTCCTATTCAATATAGTGCTAGAAGTCCTAGCCAGAGCAATCAGGCAAGAAATAACAGGCATCCAAATACGAAAAGAAGTAAAATTATCTCTTTACTAATGATTTTATACCTAGAAAAACATAAAGAGTCTGCTAAAAGGCTTATGGCCCTAATAAATCATTTCAGTAGTTTCAGGATACAAAATTGATGTACAAATTCAAGTAGCATTTCTATACACCAAAAGCGTTCAAGCTAAGAGGCTAATCAATAATGCAATCTAATTTACAATAGCCACATATACACCAAAAAAGTACGTGAGAATACATATAACCAAAGAAGTGAGAGATATTTACATGGGTAACTGCCAAACACTTCTGAAAGAAATTATAGGTGACACAAACAAATGGAAATACTTACCATGCTCATGGATTGGAACAATCAATATTGTTAAAATGACCACAGTGCCTCAATCTACAGATTCAACACTATTCCTATCAGACTACTAATATCAATTTTCACAGAATTAGAAAAAACTATTCTAAAATTCATATCAAACTGAAAAAAGAGCTACAATAGCCAAAGCAATGCTAAGCAAAAACCACAAAGCCAGAGCCATCACATTACTCAACTTCAAACTATACTACTGGTCTACAGCAACCAAGACAGCATGGTACTTGTACAGACACATAAACCAGTGGAAAGGGTAGAGAACCTAGAAATAAAGCTGCACACATATACAGCCATCTGATCTTTAACAAAAGTCAAGAAAAACAAGCAATGGGGAAAGGACTTCCTATTTAATAAATGGTGCTGGGATAACTGGCTAGTCATATGCTGAAGAATGAAACTGGGTCACAACCTTTCACCATATACAAAAATTAACTCAAGATCAATGAAAGACTTAAATGCAAGACCTAAAACTAAAAAACCTTAGACAAAAACCTAGGAAATACCATTCTGGATATCTGCCTTGGTAAATAATTGATGATTAAGTTCTCAAAAGGAATTACGATAAAACCAACTGTTGACAAGTGGGACCTAACTAAACTGAATAGATTCTGCAGAGCAAGAGAAATAATCAAGGGAGTACACAGACAACTTACAGAATGGGAGAAAATATTTGTACACTATACATCTGACAAAGGTCTAATGAAATATCCAGAATCCATGAAGAACATAAATGATTCAACAATCGAAAAGGAATGGCCACATTACAAAGTGCTCAAAGAACATAAACACTTCTCAAGAGAAGACATACAGGTGGCCAGCAAACCTGAAAACGTGCTCAGCATCACTGATAATTACAAAAGTGCAAATGAAAAAATCACAGTGAGATACCATCTCAAACCAGTCATAATGGCATTAAAAAGAAAAAAAATAACAGATGTAGGTGAGGTTGCAGAGAAAACGGAACACTTATAGACTCTTGGTTGGAATGTAGTTTAGTTTAGCCACTGTAGAAAGCAGTTGGAGATTTCTCAAAGAACCTAAAAAAGAGCTACTTTTTAACCCAGCAATTCCACTAGTGGGAATAGACCCCAAAGGAAAATAAATTGTTCTACCACAGACACTTGGACTTGAATATTTATAACAGCATTATTCACAATAGCAAAAAAAAAAAAAAAAAAAAGAAAAGAAAAGAAAAGAAATCAACTTAGATGCCCATCAATTGTGGACTGGATAAAGAAAACATGGTACCTATATACCATGCAATATGTCATAGCCATAGGAAAAAATGAAATCCTGTCCTTTGCAGCAACATGGATGCATCGGAAAGCTATTACCCTAAGCGAATTAATGCTGGAACAGAAAACCAAATACCATATGTTCTTACTTATAAATGGCAGCTAAACATTGAGTATGCATAGTATAGATGAGAACAGCAGACACTGAGGACTACTAGACAGTGGAGGGAGGAAGGGAGATGAGGGTTGAAAAACTAACTATTGTGTGCTATGCTCACTCCCTGGGTGACAAGATCATTCAAACCCCAAACCTCAGCATCACAAAATATACCCATGTAACAAACCTGCACATGTACTCCCGAATCTAAAATAAAAGCGAAAATTAAATAATAATAACAATAATAATGTTGATGCACAAATATCTCATTCACAAAAATTATTGAAGTTCTATTACAGAGTTATATATATTACTTTTTGGCTTTCCTGATCCTAGGTCATACAATCAAACTTACTTTTATTTAAGCAACTTTATGTATTATTATATAGTTAATGTTAAGTCCTAGAGGTTAATGATATCACCTAAAAACATACTTTTAACTGTCAGAATAAAAACTCTTGTCTTATATAATTTCACTTTAACTAGAACTCTGGTAGTAACTGATAGAGACTGGATTTTAAATAAGTTTGACAAAAAATACTGTCTTGCCTTACAAAGTGAAAAGATTAGATATCAAACAGAATTTTTGGTGATGCAATATTTCTTTCTTCTGATAACTATGATTTCTCAAAGATTGCAAATATTATCTATACCATTTGCAAATACACCTATTATCCCTGGGAATAGTACTTTAAAGACTTCAGATACACCAAACTATGATTCAACAAAACAAATCATAGAAGTTATCTTAAAGATAATAAAATTTAGAAGTCACCAATTCCTTCGTTTTGGAGAATTAGGAATGATGGGAAACCTTTAGCTTTCTTTCATACAAAACGTTCGTCTTCCTCAACCCAACTATAAATAAATTGAGACAGCCTTTTATGTCCACACAGCTGGATAAAATATTTCCACTTAAAACAAAGAAAAAAAATAAAATCTAAAGTTATTTTTGGACTCCTTATGTCTGATTACAGGTGGTGGCTCACACCTGTAATCCCAACATTTTGGGAGGCTGAGGCAGGCAGATCACTTCAGGTCAGAAGTTCGAGACCAGCCTGGCCAACGTGGTGAAACCCCAACACTACTAAAAACACAAAAAATAGCTGGGTATGGTGGCACATACCTGTAATCCCAGCTACTCAGGAGACTGAGACATGAGAATCGCTTGGACCTGTGAAGCAGGGTTGCAGTGAGACGAGATCGCGCCACTGCACTCCAGCCTGGGCGACAGAGCGAGACTCTGTCTAAAAAAAAACATGAAAGGAATTGTAACATTGTAGGATATCCTCTGAAAAACGTCTTCTGTCATTATATGTTTCTGGTCATTTTCTTTCTCCTCTGAGATTTTGATATTTATTTATCTTCTGGAACCATGGTATCTCTAGAGTTTTTACTACAAATAAGAAATCAAAACAGGACACTTTTGTGATCTATGGGACCCATCTATTTTCTCTGTTGACTTTGTCTTCCCTTTTCCAATGTGTCATGGTATTGCATGAAGAAAATTTCAGTCACCAGTAGCATGCTATGATACCAAACTTAGTAGTTTAATAGTCAGCATTTTGAATTTCTGCCCAAATTTATTTATTAACAAGTAAAATTCTCTGATGGTGTCTTCTCGATTATCATATGAAGTTAATTGTCCCTGACTTATAGTGGCTTTTTAAAGCTAGTAAAATACAGTAAGTAAGAAATAATTTCAAAAGAATTAGGCCAAAAATGAATATTAAATTAACAATTATTAATAATTATTATGTGAATGTTAGTATTGTTAACATTTTAATATTAATGTTTAATGGTATATATTAGAATATATTTATACTTGTCATACTGATATATTTAAATGTTACTTTTATATCAGTCCTTACTATATTGCAGACATATTCTGATAGGATGGGGCTGTTCTTGTGGTCAACATTTTTGGACAGTGCTATACATAATACCTTTGGCATGTAATTAGAAAAGTTATATTATTTGTAATGTCCTGAAAATTTATATTTCTTTTACAAGTAAGGCTTAAGAAAATGCCTTTTTACTGTAAATACATGATGAAAGCAAATCTGCTTATCTCATGCTCTATAATTACACTACCATATATACATTTGTTTAGGCCAAACCCTTGAGGCAGATTATTCTTCTATTCCATCCACTAACACCAGTCATCCCAAACAATGGCATATGCTCTCTGTGTTACCTTCAAATATAGCTCAAATTCCTCCATTTCTCACTATTTTCCATTATAAATAGCTATTCTGAGTCAATAGCCTAATGTACCTTGCACCTGCCTTAGGGATCTTCCTTCCATTCTTCCCTGCCCACAGTTGTTTTTCTAAAATGCAGCAACCTCCTCAAAAGGTAGGTGAGATCAGATTATCTCCCTGTTTATTGTACTATTCCAATAAATTTCCGTTGCAAACATCTTTTCATGCTATACATGTGCCTATACAAACTGGTTCCATCTCTTTCTCTCCAATCTAATTTCATGCTTAGCTTCTGGCATCCTCAGCCAAAAAGGATGTTCATTCTCCTCAATTTACCATGATGGTTTTTATTGCAGAAAATTGCTTTTCTATATCTAAAGTGCACTTGATCCAGATTTCCATAATATCATTTCTGTATGATCATTTTCTCAGTTCAAGTATCACTATTTCAAGGTACCTCCTTTACTTGCTTCTTGCCATTACCTTGCTTAATTACTTCATAGTATTTATATATCATTGAATTAAGAAATTATTGATTATAGCCTTAACAACTGTGGCATGAAGTTTTACAGTCTTGTTCATCAATATACTTACTGTGAGTGGAACAGTACTGGGCATATAGAAAGTCCTCTACAAAGAGTTGTTCAACTATTTCATATGTCATTTAGGTTAGGTTACAGTGAGATACAAAACGTCATATCAGGACCAAATTGACCTTTTCTTAGATACCTAACAACAAGGGTTAATTTCTCACTCTTGTTGTCGCATGTTCATTTCAGACAAAGTAAGGATTGTGCTCCATATCTCCTCACTCCAGGGATCTAGGCTACTAGAGCAACTAACAGATTGAAATTTTTCTGTGACTGTGGCAGAGGAAAAGAAATCGCAGTAAGCTTTTCTAGTGGCAATTAAGTGCTCATCTGGCATGGCTTTGACTCACGCTATTGCCTCTTACAATTAATTGGCCTAAACTAGTCAGATGCCCCACCCAAACACAAAGCAGTAAGTTATAAAATACCATTAAATAGGAAGAAGGAGGGATGAAAATGTATAACTGTGTTCTAAAAGCAATTTGGTCTTAAAATTAAATTTTGAAAGTTTTCATATCAAAATTCAGTCATCTGCTTAGGTTAAACCAGACATAGGGCAAATTTTATTTAAAATACATCCTACAACAATTGTCAGATGTAAACCTGTAATTCACATCTGGTCCTATGACCCAGTATCTAGACATAAGTCATTTTCTATGTTTTATATTCCTTATTCAAGACTGTTATAATTTAATGTAATATAACATAAAATGATGTAAAATTTAAAATTAAAAGTATTCAGCTGGGCGTGGTGGCTCACGCCTGTAATCCCAGCACTTTGGGAGGCCGAGGCGGGTGGATCACCTGAGGTCGGGAGTTCAAGACCAGCCTGACCAACATGGACAAACCCCCTCTCTACTAAAAATACAAAGTTAGCCGGGCGTGGTGGTGCATGACTGTAATCCCAGCTACCCAGGAGTCTGAGGCAGCAGAATCACTTGAACCTGGGAGGTGGCGGTTGCAGTGAGTCAAGACCCTGCAATTGCACCCCAGCTTGGGCAACAAGAGCGAAACTCTGTCTCAAAAAAAAAAAAAAAAAGTATTCATGTCACAGTGAATTTGAAAAATAACAAAATTGCAGCATTCAGAAAGGTAAGACAGAAACGTTTCAAAGTAAATATTTTTATAGGAAATATATTTTGTATAAACAGGGTTCCTGCACAATGATGTAATAGTTATGGAATAGAGGTTTTATAACTTTCTATTACATAGCAAAGGACAAAAACATCCTTATATATTTCAGCTTGCTTCTTATAAAATAAGGGGTTAGACTAAATGTATAGTTATTTTCAGAAAGAACATGTGTTCTTTGATCACAAATATGCCGTTTTTGATGTTTTCCTGTCTCAGGTAATGGTATCAACCTCTTCACAATTATTTATAGATCTGACATTGAAGAGATTATTTCTGGAGCAGCCCTCTGAATATCCCTCCCCATATAGTCAGCTGTAAAATTTATAGATTTATAACCAGAAATTTATCATTCTTGCCTTTTCTGTCTGAAATATTCTCACTCTGAAAAATCTTTATGGAATAAATACCACCAAGAAATTGAACATATAAGTCTAACTCAGAGAATAGGGAATACGCTTAGCAGCCTCAAGGAAGATGAGAGCAAAAAGAAGACAGTGATGGAGACAATGTACTCTCATACCAAGACTGGATGTTCTGTAGACAGAGATACAAACACAGCACTCTTCTCATATTCGATTGCAATGTATACCAGAAAACAACAATGTACTCTTAGAATATTAATCAGCAATGAAGAAGTTTACACAAAGTAGAATTACCTACAACAAAATTACAGTTATATGTATTTGTTTATAAATGTAACGTTATGTACAGAAATGTACAAATTCCCAACAAATGTAAAGTAAATGTAAGAACTAAAGGAAATATGCTTTCACGTACATCTAGGTAAAAAGGTGTCCTTCAGAAAGAAGTAAATTTTGTATCGTTTCCTCATAATTTGCATATACATTTTATACTTATTGTTAAAACATAAAGAACAATTATGAGCAGCAGCTTTCAAATGAACATTGATTTAAATGTGAAGATTCTCTGGAACATTATGTAAATTCTACACTATAAAATACAACTTAATATTTTTTAAGAAGAAAAAATGAGAAGAAACATATAGTGTCCTTCTGAGGCCACTACTTATTTTGCTATATTTAAACTACATATTGAAATTATAGTCTTTGTTCTGGGAAATAAAGGACAGTAAGGTGAAGTATGTAAGTATTGGGACCTATAACTAAATCTTTGTGATATTTGCCACAGCAATTTGAGAAAAGTATCATAAAACAATTGTACTGATATACTTATTTTAAATAATACTTTGAACTAAGGCCTCCTTGGGTGATAAGACGGTCATTTGGTTACATATTCTGTTTGAAGCCTAGCAGGTTCTTGTTAACAGGAGCCCATAGCACAATATTTAAAATATAACTATTCATACATTCATACATATATTAAACAAATAGTAGTACTTAGTTTGAGAAACAGGAAAAAGGAGTTATTTTATTTTATTGTACACACACTTGTTTATTTTCTTGAAATTGTAAAATTGGTAGACATCACACAATGAGATACCCTGCACACAGAAATGCGACTTTTTTGGAGTATCAGGAACCTTTAGTTGTGAACTGTAATAGTGGGGAGATCTGACATCTTGACAAACTGTTACTGAAACTACCAAGTTGTTACATATGTCAGCATGCCTTCTTTATCATCCTGCTCCTCACTTTCTCTTTGTCAAAGCAAACTCTATTTCTCCATTGAAAAAGTTGCTTTACTATAGTTCAAAAAATCATTGCAGACTAACTTCATTTGTCATTGACCACTCCATTTCCCCCAAATATGGTCTAAGCTCCATGTAATGTATTTATTCAGTAAAATGGAGCTACCCAGACACTAATTTGGTATGCACTTATATTTGTATTAAACTCAAAATCTCTATTTGAATGCAAAAATAATTAGAAAAGTGATTCTAAAGAGAAAAATCGGTCACTGTGTATTCTGGGTTCTTCAGAGAGATTTCTATATTTTTGTTAACATTTGTTCTAAACCTTAGTGGCAAATTAGAACCACTTGGGAAGATTTTTAAATCCTCATGTCCAAGTCACACTTTAGGCATTAGTATTTTGTAAAGCCATCTACCTACTGTCTCAGATATTATAATGCTAATGTGTATAAATTTTGCTGGAGGTTAATGGATGGAATAATTTTAAATGGTGGAAAAAATACCAATATCTATATTTCAGAATTTACTTTAAAATATGTAAGTTGCCTAATAAATCTTGCATAAAAATGAATAATGATTAAGTGACTAACAGAATATTTACTACTGTATCCTACATATGAAACTCTTGGTGAAATTTATTATTTTGAATTAACTGGTTAAATGTTTACTCTGAATGCCAACAAAAATCCGTATACATTTGTCAAATAAAATAAATTATAAGTAAATTGAATGAAAGGGAAAATTACTTGTTTGCTTCCTTTCAAGTATACTAAAATATGAGGTTTGTTATAGTTCCTGACAAAAGATAGGGTAATTTTTAACAAAGGTTAGAAGTATGTTCCTTTCATTGAAGGCTCCAAATTAATTGAAACTTTCTGCTTAGGCATTTAATAAAAAGCACACAATTTCTCAAATCCAAAACAAATATCAAAAAGTAATATTTTTCTACCACATTTAATTTTTGATGAAGATATATAGTTGGCTAACACCTTCCTTTTATACGGTCATTTGCTAATGGGGCTCATTTATTAAATTGTTTCTAGAGTATACACAGAATTGAAGACCTTAGCATCACTACTATTCGTCTGCTTAGGAGGAGCGAACAGAAGAGAATCAGTGAGTTTAATTCTCATGCATACAAACTGGTTGATAATTTTTTCATCAGATCACATCCAGTATGATTAATGTTTCTCTTTTTTCATTTGGCCAACTATGAGGTGGGCGAGTAATAACAGTATCACAAAATAGAAGAATATATGAATATTAATGAACAGTTCATACTTTGTCTCCCCCCAACCCCTCACATGATAAAGCAAATAATCTCATGGTTCAATCTCTAGAGTACTAAGTTTATGGCTGGAGAAAGCAGTAGTGCATGGCATATGGGCAAAAAGCATCTCTGGGTAGCTAAGGCAGGGGTGCCTTGTTACAATTATTCAGACTGAAGTCCAGCATATTGTATGTAATATGCTATTTAAATAAGAACAATTTTGGTACAGTTATTATCATACACAATACACAATACTACATGTAATTATCCTTCAAGTTTCCTGTGAATATTCTATATTGGAAATGTTAAATTCTATAATTGGAAGGAACGTCTGTAATTTAGTTGAAATAAAAAGAAAGTGTGTTAACTTTATTTTAAATTACCTCTACATTGTCAAACAACTAGAGAGGGAGCATGTATGATTAAACAAAATTGTAATTTAAATCATGTAAAGTACTAATCAATTAAAATAATAAACATAGAACTTGATGCAAGAAAGTTTCCTATTAAATAATAAACCTGGGCTGGACACAGTGGCTCATGTCTGTGATTCCAACACTTTGGCAGACTGAGGAGGTTGGATCATTTGATCTTAGGAGTTGGAGACCAGCCTGGGAAACATGGTGAACCCCATCTCTACCAAAAGTACAAAAACAGACAAAAAATATTAGCCGAGAGTGGTGGCAAGTGCCTGTGGTCTCAACTACTTGGGAGGCTGAGGTGGGAGGATCACTTGAGCCTGTGGGGACGGAGGTTGCAGTGAGCCAAGATCATACCACTGCACTCCAGCCTGGGTGACAGAGCCAGACACTGTCTCAAAACAAAACAAAATAAAATGATAAATTAATTAATTAACTAACTAATAATATATCAATTTCTTTGATTTTACTATACTCTTCAGGATATTTTGTTTTGTTATAATAAAAATTAATTATACAAATATTTTAAAGTAAAAATAATGTTTCTAAATTATTTTCCTTTTTTGAAAATAAACTATTTTAGGCAAGTTACAGTGATTTAAAGTTTTTTATAAATAAAAATATATTTAAGTTTCCCATGTAGGCTGGGTGTGCTGGCTCACGCCTATAATCCCAGCACTTTGGGAGGCTGAGGTGGGTGGATCACGAGGTCAGGAAATCGAGACCATCCTGGCCAACATGATGAAACCCCGTCTCTACTAAAAATACAAAAATTAGCTGGGTGTGGTGGCCTGTACATGTAGTCCCAGCTACTCTAGAGGTCGAGGCAGGAGAGTTGCTTGAACTTGGGATGCGGAGGTTGCAGTGTGCCAATATTGCACCACTATGCTCCACCCTGGCAACAGAGAGAGACTCCATCTAAAAAAAAAAAAAAAAAAAGTTTCCCATGTAAATAACTCTTCATTTTTATCAAATGCTTACCAATATGAAATAAATTTTAAATGAAATATTGAAATACATATACATTTTAAATTTTTTAAAATTATACTTTAAGTTCTGGGATACATGTGCAGAACGTGCAGGTTTGTTACCTAGGTATACAAGTGCTATGGTGGTTTGCTGCACCTATCAACCCATCATCTAAGTTAGGTATTTCTCTTAATGTTATCCCTCCCCTTTTCCTCCATGCCCTGACAGGCCCCGGTTTGTGATGTTCCCCTTCCTGTGCCCATGTGTTCTCATCGTTCGACTCCCACTTATGAGTGAGAACATGCAGTGTTTGGTTTTCTGTTCCTGTGTTACTTTGCTGAGAATGATGGTTTCCAGCTTCATCCATGTCCCTGCAAAGGACATGAACTCATTTTTTTATGGCTGCATAGTATTCTATGGTGTATATGTGCCACATTTTCTTTATCCAATCTATCATTGATGGGCATTTGGGTTGGTTCCATGCCTTTGCTATTGTGAATAGTGCTGCAATAAACATACGTATCCATGTGTCTTTACAGTAGAATGATTTATAGTCCTTTGGGTATATATCCAGTAATAGGATTGCTGGGAGAAATGGTATTTCTAGTTCTACGTCCTTGAGGAATCGCCAAACTGTCTTCCACAATGATTGAACTAATTTACACTCCCACCAACAGTGTAAAAGCATTTCTATTTCTCCACATTCTTTCCAGCATCTGTTGTTTCCTGTCTTTTTAATGATCACCATTCTAACTGGCGTGAGATGGTATTTCATTGTGGTTTTGATTGGCATTTATCTACAACGAACTTAAACTTTTTTCATATGTTTATTGGCTGCATAAATGTCTTCTTTTGAGAAGTGTCTGTTCATCTCCTTTGCCCACTTTTTGATGGAGTACTTTTTTTTTCTTTTAAATTTGTTTGAGTTCTTTGTAGATTGTGGATATTAGCCCTTTGTCAGATGGATAGATTGCAAAACTTTTCTCCCATTCTGTAGGTTGCCTGTTCACTCTGATGATAGTTTCTTTTGCTCTGCAGAAGCTCTGTAGTTTAATTAGATCTCATTTGTCTATTTTGGCTTTTGTTGTGTTTGCTTTTGGTGTTTTAGTCATGAAGCCTTTGCCCATGCCTATGTCCTGAATGGTATTGCCTAGGTTTTCTTCTAGGGTTTTTATGGTTTTAGGTATTACATTTAAGTCTTTAATCCATCTTGAGTTAATTTTTGTATAAGGTGTAAGGAAGGGGTCCAGTTTCAGTTTTCTGCACATGGCTAGCCAGTTTTCCCGACACCATTTATTAAACAGAGAATCCCTTCCCCATTGCTTGTTTTTGTCAGTTTTGTCAAAGCTCAGATGGTTGTAAATGTGTGGTGTCATTTCTAAGGCCTCTATTCTGTTCCATTGGTCTATATATTTGTTTTGGTACCAGTACCATGCTGTTTTGGTTACTGCAGGCTTGTAATATAGTTTTACGTCAGGTAGCATGATGCCTCCAACTTTGTTCTTTTTGCTTAGGATTGCCTTGGCTATACAGGCTCTTTTTTGGTTCCATATCTAATTTAAAGTAGTTTTTTCTAATTCTGTGAAGAAAGTCAATGGTAGCTTGATGGGAATAGAATTGACTCTACAAATTACTTAGGGAAGTATGGCCATTTTCACAATTTTAATTCTTCCTATCCATGAGCATGGAATGACTTTCCGTTTGTTTGTGTCCTTTTTCATTTGCTTCAGCAGTGGTTTGTAGTCCTTGAAGAGGTTCATCTCATCCCTTGTAAGTTGTATTCCTAGGTGTTTTATTCTCTTCATAGCAATTGTGAATGGGAGTTCACTCATGATTTGGCTCTCTGTTTGTCTATTATTGGTGTATAGGAAAGCTTGTGATTTGTTCACTTTGATTTTGTATCCTGATATTTTGCTGAAGCTGCTTATCAGCTTAAGGAGTTTTGGGGCTGAGACAATGGGGTTTTCTAAATATACAATCATGTCATCTGCAAACAGATAATTTGACTTCGTCTCTTCCTATTTGAAGGCGCTTTATTTCTTTCTCTTGTCTGATTGCCCTGGCCAGAACTTTCCATAGTATGTTGAACGGAAGAGGTAAGAGAGGGCATCCTTGTCTTTTGCTGGTTTTCAAAAGGAATGCTTTCCACTTTTTCCCATTCAGTATGATATTGCCTGTGAGTTTGTCATAAATAGCTCTTGGTATTTTAAGATACGTTCCATCAATACCTAGTTTATTGAGTGTTTTTAGCATGATGGGGTGTAGAATTTTATCAAAGGCCTTTTTCGCATCTATTGAGATAATCAT
Source organism: Homo sapiens (assembly GCF_000001405.40). Lineage (NCBI taxonomy): Eukaryota > Metazoa > Chordata > Mammalia > Primates > Hominidae > Homo > Homo sapiens. The sequence goes on along the minus strand of NC_000021.9, from coordinate 22,497,388 downwards.
TTGGTTTTTGTCATTGGTTCTGTTTATGTGATGGATTACATTTATTAATTTGCCTAAGTTTAGCCCGCCTAGTATCCCAGGGATGAAGCTGACTTGATTGTGGTGGATAAGCTTTTTAGTGTGCTGCTGGATTTGGGTTGCCAGTGTTTTTTTTTTTTTTGAGGATTTTTGCATCAATGTTCATCAGGGATATTGGCCTGAAATTTTCTTTTTTGTTGGGTCTCTTACAGGTTTTGGTATCAGGATGATGCTGGCCTGATCAAATGAGTTAGGGAGGAGTCCCTCTTTTCCTGTTGTTTGGAATAGTTTTAGAAGGAATGGTTACAGCTCCTCTTTGTACCTCTAGTAGAATTAAGCTATGAATCCACCTGGTCCTGGGCTATTTTTGGTTGTTAGGCTACTAATTACTGCTTCAATTTCAGAACTGGTTATTGGTCCATTCAGGTATTCAACTTCTTCCTGGTTTAGTCTTGAGAGGGTGTATGTGTCCAGGAATTTATCCATTTCTTCTAGATTTTCTAGTTTATTTGCATAGAGGTATTTATAGTATTCTCTGATGGTGGTTTTTTATTTCTGCAGGATCAGTGGTGATATTCCCTTTATCATTTTTTATTGTGTCTATTTGATTATTTTCTCTTTTCTTCTTTATTAGTCTGGCTAGTGGTCTATCTATTTTGTTAATCTCTTCAAAAACCAGCTCCTGGATTCACTGATTTTTTTGAAGGGTTTTTCATGTTTCTATATCCCTCAGTTCTGCTCTGATCTCAGTTATTTCTTGTCTTCTGCTAGCTTTTGAATTTGTTTGCCCTTGCTTCTCTGGTTCTTTTAGTTGTGATAATAGGGTATCAATTTTAGATCATTCCTGCTTTCTCATGTGGGCATTTAGCAGTTATGAATTTCCCTCTGAACACTGCTTTTGCTGTTTCCCAGAGATTCTGGTATGCTGTGTCATTGTTCTCACTGGTTTCAAAGAACTTATTTATTTATGCCTTAATTTTGTTATTTACCCAGTAGTCATTCAGGATCAGGTTGTTCAGTTTCCACGTAATTGTGTAGTTTTGAGTGAGTTTCTTAATCATGAGTTCTAATTTGATTGCACTGTGGTCTGACAGAATGTTTGTTATTATTTCTGTTCTTTTGCATTTGCTGAGGAGTATTTTGCTTCCAATTATGTGGTCAATTTTAGAATAAGTGCTCTGTGGTGCTGAGAAGAATGCATATTCTGTTGATTTGGGGTGGAGAGTTCTGTAGATGTCTACTAGGTCTGCTTGGTCCAGAGCTGAGTTCAAATCCTGAATATCCTTGTTAATATTCTGTCTCATTGATCTGTCTAATATTGATAGTGGGGTGTTAAAGTCTCCCACTATTATTGTGTGAGAGTCTCTCTTTGTAGATCTCTAAGAACTTACTTTATGAATCTGGGTATTCCTGTATTGGGTGCATATATATTTAGGAGAGTTAGCTCTTCTTGTGGCATTGATCCCTTTACCACTATGTAATGCCCTTCTTTGTCTTTTTTGATCTCTGTTGGTTTAAAGTCTGTTTTATCAGAGACTATGATTGCAACCCCTGCTTTTTTTCCTTTCCATTTGCTTGGTAAATATTCCTCCGTCCCTTTATTTTGAGCCTATATGTGCCTTTGCACATGAGCTGGGTCTCCTGAATTCAGCACACTGATGGGTCTTGACTCTTTATCCAATTTGCAGTCTGTGTCTTTTAATTGGGGCATTTAGCCTGTTTACATTTAAGGTTAATGTTGTTATGTGTGAATTTGATCCTGTCATTATGATGCTAGCTGGTTATTTTGTCCATTAGTTGATGCAGTTTCTTCATAGTGTTGATGTCCTTTGCATTTTGATATGTTTTTGCAGTGATCTGTATCGGTTTTTCCTTTCCATATTTAGCACTTCTGGAGCTCCTGTAGGGCAGGTCTGGTGGTGATAAAATCCCTCAGCATTTGATTGTCTGTAAAGGATTTTATTTCTCCTTCACTTATGAAGCTTAGTTTGGCTCGATGAAATTCTGGGTTGAAAATTCTTTTCTTTAAGAATGTTGATTATTGGCCCCCCACTCTCTTCTGGCTTGTAGGTTTTCTGCTGTTAGAGATCTACTGTTAGTCTGATGGGCTTCCCTTTGTGGGTAACCCGACCTTTCTCTCTGGCTGCCCTTAACATTTTTTTGTTCATTTCAACCTTGGTGAATCTGATGATTATGTGTCTTCGGGTTGCTCTTCTTGAGAAGTATCTTTGTGGTGTTCCTGTATTTCCTGAATTTGAATGTTGGCCTGTCTTGCTAGGTTGGGGAAGTTCTCCTGGATAATATCCTGAAGTGTGTTTTCCAACTTGGTTCCATTCTGCCCATCACTTTCAGGTACACCAATCAAATGTGTCTTTTCAAATAGTCCCATATTTCTTGGAGGCTTTGTTCATTCCTTTTCATTCTTTTTTCTCTAATCTTGTCTTCACACTTTATTTCATTAAATTGATCTTCAATTTCTGATATCCTTTCTTCTCCTGCTTGATTGATTTGGCTATTGATACTTGTGTATGCTTCACGAAGTTCTCGTGCTGTGTTTTTCAGCTCCATCAGGTCATTTATGCTCTTCTCTGAACTGGTTATTCTAGTTAGTAATTCCTCTAACCTTTTTTCAAGGTTGTTTCCTTGCATTGGGTTAGAACATGCTCCTTTAGCTTGGAGGAGCTTGTTATTACTCATCTTCTGAAGCCTACTTCTGTCGATTCTTCAAACTCATTCTCCATCCAGTTTTGTTCCCTTGCTGGTGAGGAGTTGTGATCCTTTGGAGGAGAAGAGGCATTCTGGTTTTTGGAGTTTTCAGCCTTTTTGTGCTGTTTTTTCCTCATCTTCATGGATTTATCCACCTTTGGTCTTTGATGTTGGTGACCTTCGGATAGGGTTTCTTTTTGGACGTCCTTTTTGTTTATGTTGATGCTATTCCTTTCTGTTTGTTAGTTTTCCTTCTAACAGTCAGTCCCCTCTGCTGCAGGTCTGTTGGAGTCTGCTGGAGGTCGACTCCAGGCCCTCTTTACCTGGGTATCACCAGCGAAGGCTGTAGAACAGCAAAGATTGTTACCTGTTCCTTTCTCTGGAAGCTTCATCCCAGAGGGGCACCTGCCAGATGCCAGCTGGAGCTCTCCTGTATGATGTGTCTCTCGACTCCTGCTGGGAGGTGTCTCCCCGTCAGGAGGCACGGGGGTCCCTTAAGGAGACAGTCTGTCCCTTAGCAGAGCTCAAGCGCTGTGCTGGGAGATCTGCTGCTCTCTTTAGAGCCGGCAGGCAGGAAAGTTTAAGTCTGCTGAAACTGTGCCCATGGCCGCTCCTTCCCCCAGGCACTCTGTCCCTGGAAGATGGGAGTTTGATCTATAAGCCCCTGACTTGGGCTGTTGCCTTCCTTTTAGAGATGCCTTGCCCAGAGAGGAGGAATCTAGAGAGGTAGTCTAGCTACAGCAGCTTTGCCAAGCTGCAGTGGACTCTACCCAGTTCGAACATCCTAGTGGCTTTGTTTATACTGTCAGGGGAAAACCACCTACTCAAGCCTCAGTAATGGCCGATGCCCCTCCCCCCACCAAGCTAGAGCATCCCAGTTCAACTTCAGTCTGCTGTGCTGGCAGCAAGAATTTCAAGCCAGTGGATCTTAGCTTGCTGGGCTCCACGGTGGTGGGATCCTCTGAGCTAGACCACTTGGCTCCCTGGCTTCAGCCTCCTTTCCAGGGGAGTGAATGGTTCTGTCTCAGCAGTGTTCCAGTTGCCACTGGGGTAAAAAAACAAAAAACAAAAAACAACAACAAGAAAAACCTCCTACAGCTAGTTCAGTGTCTGCCCAAAAGGCCACCCAGTTTTTGCTTTAAACTCAGGGCCCTGGTGATCTAGGCACCCAAGGGAATCTCCTGTTCCGTGGGTTGCAAAGACCATGGTAAAAGCGTAGTTTTCTGGACCGGATAGAAACGTCCCACACAGCACAGTCCCTCATGGCTTCCCTTGGCTAGGGGAGGGAGTTCCCTGACCCCTTGCACTTCTCAGGTGAGGTGACACCCCACCCTGCTTCTGCTTGCCCGCTGTGGGCTGTACCCACCGTCTAACCAGTCCCGATGAGATGAACCATGTACCTCAGTTGGAAATGCAGTAATCACCCACCTTCTGTGTTAGTCTCGCTGGGAGATGCAGACCAGAGCTGCTCCTATTCGGCCATCTTGCCTGGGAAACCTTAAATGAAATATTTTAAAGCAACTTCAGCAAGTAAAGTTTTGTCTTCCCAAAGTATGAAATATAATTCAATTTTGAATATAATTGAATAAAAATATAATCTCCCTTATTCACAAAATAAGTTCCTTATGTCTACTCTCCATGTAAATAAATACATACATACACACACACGTATGTATCCACATACTACACACTCACTAATTCTATACATTCTAATACAAATGTCTGATGCTAGTAATATATACTTATGTATATTAGTTTAATGAAAGTTATTTGCATTTGGGAGATGATGATATTCTATAGTCATGATTCAATTTATTATTTTTTACTTTCTGTTTTAAAAAAATCCCAATATTTCTGAATGAATGTAAATTTATTTTAATATTTATAGAGCTAATTTTGGCTTCGTTAAATCTGAGATATACACTTTCCTGTGAAATACAATAAAATGCATACCATGAAATGAGAGTTATTAGGACTTATAGTTGCATTATTGCAAATTCTGCTTATTTTCCTAGGTTGCTTGTGCAAATTCATAAGAACATTGAACTTAGAAATGGGAGCTATTTGAATGAAGCCCATTTGAAATGTCATTACTAATCTGTCTGTGCACCAGTCTTCTTCAAGGGCGACCTTTCTGATTGCCTGTTACAGCTTGACATAAATGCACTGCAACCACCCCAGTGCTGTAATCCACCTTTAGCCACAGTATAGTCATGATCCCTTTTAGTGAGCTAATAATTCAGTGGCACAAACATAATTCACTTATTTAAATAGTTATTGCTGACACCTGTATTGTGTGTATCGTTAAAACAGAATGAACAGGAATAGATGGTGAATCTTATATTTCATCTAGATTGTATCATTGAACTATAATCTTCGATTGCATTCTTCTTTTTATATAAGTTACATTCGTTTTTTAATTTGTGCATGTGAGAAAAAAATGAAGAGACATTTAAATGTCTATATCTTTTCCCAAGGTTTTGTGTGTGTGTGTGTGTGTGTGTGTGTGTGTGTGAGATGGGGTGTCACTCTGTTGCCCTAGCTGGAGTGTAGTGGCATGATCACAGCTTAACTGCAGCCTCCACCTCTTCCCACCTGAGCTCCCCAAGTAACTAAGACTACAGGAGCAGGCCACCATGACTGACAATGTTTGTTTGTTTGTTTGTTTTGGTAGTGAGGGGTTTCAACATGTTGCCCCAGCCGTGAAGTTGGTTTTTATTGTGAGAAAATACACATAACATGAAATTTACCATGTCTATTTTTAAGTATACCATCCAGTGTTATTAAATGCATTAATAACGTTGGAGAGCCATCACCATCATTCATTTTCAGAACTCTTTCTTTTTTGAGATGGAGTTCCTCTCTGTCAGCCAGGCTGGAGTACAGTGGCACCATCTCGGCTCACTGAAACCTCCACCTCCTGGGTTCGAGGAACTCTCTTGCCTCAGCCTCCCGAGTAGCTGGGATTACAGGCATGCACCACCACCCTTGGCTAATTTTTTTTGTATTTTTGGTAGAGACGGGGTTTAGCCATGTTGGCCAGGCTAGTCTTGAACTCCTGACCTCAGGTGATCCACCTGCCTCGGCCTCCCAAAGTGCTGGGATTACAGGTGTGAGCCACCCCACCTGACCCAGTACACTTTTTATTGTTGTAAAACTGAAACGTCCTACTCATTAAAAAATAACTCCCCATTATTTCTTCCCCCAGCTCGGGGGAACCGTTCTACTTTTTGTCTCTATGATTTTGACTACTCTCAGTACCTCATATAGGTGAAATAATATAGTATTTCTCTTTTCATGAATGGCTTATTTCACTTAGCATAACGTTTTCAAGGTTCATCTATGTTGAAACTTCCTTCCTTTTTGAGGTTGAATAATATTCTCATTTGTATATCTGTACACATTACACACACACAGCCCACATTTTGCTCATCCATTCATCTGTTGATGGACTTTTGGGTTGTGTCCATGTTTTAGCTACTTATGCTGCTGCTATGAACATAGGTGTACAACTAACTCTTTAAGAGACCACTTTCATTTGTGTGTGTGTGTATTTACCCAAAAATTGAATTGCCGGATTATATGAAAATTTTATTTTTAATTTTTTGAGGATCTGCCCTACTGTCTTGCATAGTGGCTATATTATTTTACATTCCCACCAACAATGTAGAAGGCTCTTAATTATTCCACACCCTTAACAACACTTGCTGTTTTCTCGATTTTTGACAGTATCCACGCTAATGGGTGTGAGGTGATATGTCATTGTAGTTTTGATTTGCATTTGTCTAATGATTAGTGATATAAAACATCTTTTTATGTGCTGTTGGCCATTTGTATATATCTTCTCTGAAGAAACATCTAAGTTCTTTGCCCATTTATGACTTTGGTTGTTTGGTATTTTGTTGCTGACTTTTAGGAGTTCTCTGTATATTGGTTGTTTATCAGATATATGATTTGCAAATTTTTTTCATTCTATAGGTCGCCTTATCAGCTTTACTTCACTCATTTTATTAAATCTAAAGAAATAGTTAATTATAATATATAATATAGTTTCTGTCCAAATAATACATTATGTTATATATAATATATATAACTATTGTCATAAATAAATATTGTCATAAATATATATATATGGTTTATGTTTGCTCTTACTGGAGTTTTTTTTTTAATTCAGTTCACTTAGCTAATAAGGGATGTTAATTAGAAGATAGACTCAATATTAAAAGAAAGGCATGGAGAACCATAAAGTTTCCTAGGGTAGCCTTTATTTATAAAACAAAATACAAATAAACACACAAAAGCAATGAATTAGTGGTTTTATGACAAATGAGAAAAAGTTTGACCTTGCACGCAGTGACATAAATCAATGTTGACCTAATCCCAGTGCAGTGAGATCATCTGAGGACAGAAAAGATGTATTGTAAGAATTCTGTTTATATCTGCTAAGCTTTGCTTAATGTATGGTTTTCAGTTTATACTTTTATAGTTTATAGTTTTAGACAGTTTATAGTGTTGTTTGTCTAAGCATTTGTCATTCAACAAGTATGAAGTGAATTTAACTATTAAGATAATATTAACACCAATAATCTAAGTCTTATGTCCCTAAAAGCAAGGTTATTGTTTTATAGTGTGTAGTATATCAATTTTACATTGTTTAGCATAAAATGACTTGATTTATATCACATAACACTCAAGTAGTAAGCGCCTGATAAATTAATATGAATTTATTGATATGAGAAAAATATAGATAACTCCAGCAAAATTTTGACGTGTATTTTTTTATGAAGGGACATTTAACAACATGCATTAGAGATACCTTTTTCTATTAATTTTTCTTACCAATTAGGTAATTTTAAGATATATTAAGACAACTTACTTTAAAGTAGAAAATAGATTCCTATGTTGTCCTATATTAAGCAGTGAGAGCTGAACTATCACAGAAGTTTGTTTTTGTTCCGTTTTGTTTTGTTTGGTTTGGTTTTGTTTTTGAGATTGAGTCTCACTTTGTCATCCAGGCTGGAGTGCAGTGGCATGATCTCTGTTCACTGCAGCCTCCGCCTCCTGGATTCTAGTGATTCTGCTGCCTCAGCCTGCCTTATAGCTGGGAATTACAAGCACGAACCACCACCCCCGGCTAATTTTTGTATGTTTTGTAGAGACGGAATTTCACTATGTTGGCCAGGCTGGTCTCAAACTCCTGACTTCACATGGTACACCTGCCTCAGCCTCCCAAAGTGCTGGGATTACAGGCATCTAGAGCCTGTACACCAGTCTAGAACTATCACAAAGTTTTTGATGTTTTCATTTTATCATCTCACATTTGTTTCTTAGTAAATATTATCATAAATAGTACTAGCCATATTAAAGTTTCTAGTTAAGGCTGCATTTTACTTATGAAACATATATAAGATTCTTCTTAGTTATTAATACTAAAATATAAAACAAACAGGAAAACATATTACGTTTTTATGTAATGTGAGGCATCAATAATACTTACTACAGGTTTACCTATTACAGGTTACTTATCACAGGTTTTAATCAAATGTTAATGATGTCCTACATACAAAAATCTTCTGGACTATTTTCATAGCAGAGAGGAAACTTTAGCTTTCATCTTAGCCCGTTAGTGCACTAATTCTGCCATGTATAGCTGCTAATTTCTACTACAGGTATAATTGATTAGTTCCCCTCTCCAGTAGTGTTTGCAGATGACACTGCTTTTCAGGAAAGCTAGTCCACCCAAAGTTTCTCAGTTCCATAGAAAAATAAATAGTACAACAAACAAATTGAAGTATCAATCAAAGAATTCTCCATGCTGCCCTTATAAAATGCAGATAATAACACCTCAGGCACAGGACTATGTTTAAGATCAAGTGAGATGATATCTGTAAGTTTAAAACAGAATATGAACATAATTTTATATTCCTTTGCTGGAGAATGCTCCAGTATAATCTTATGGAAACCCTGGCAAACAGTGAGGTGAGAGGCTAGGAACAGAAAGAGACAAAAGAGCTAGTTATATTCAGAGATGGTATTCAAAATGTTTGGAATGCAAGATATCTATTACCTTCTGGAAGTTATTTTCTTGCTTAATGGTCTGGAGCTTCTTTTTCCTGCTCACCCATCTCCAGAATGATGCTATTGAAAGAGATTATCTGGAGGGTCTTCCAGACACTCTTGGGAGTAATATTAGTAAATATCTCTTAAAGCATCGAGATAAGATGACAGAGGTGGTCCTTAGGATGCCTGGAAATATGTAGTGGGTGATGGAGAAATGCCTTTCAATGACAGCCCTAAGACATCCAAACAACATGCTAAGTGAAAATATATATGGATATATTATGTACTTGCTTGTATTTTAAAATTAATAACAAACTACAAAAACATTTCCCCATTCTATTCGGAAAAATAATAGTTTCTTGTTTAAGCAAAAAAAAAAAAAAATGTAATTGCAGTGCCAATTCTGGAAACACAACTTTCTTTAATCTTTTAATAACGTCTATTTGTCTGATGAAAGACTGCTCACATAATTCAATATGACCACAATTTTAGGCATTTTAGATACACATACATGACATCTGGTTGCTAGGTAAATGCCCATGAAATCAATCTTCCATGCCTTCTTTAAACCATTTATGCAAGTTATTAACTTATAAAACTATAATTTTTATGTTCACCCGTGTTCTAAATAAAATGCAATCACTCCCTGAAGAACTGTAAGTTCTCAATTATAACAGTCTGTGCTTGATATTAAAGCTAAAAACCAAATATACAAATAAATATATTTTGTTTCTCCTCTCTTTTGAAATATATGCTTTTCTATGTCAGCTATATATAACATTTTGAAAAAAATGGAAAAAATCAGTAAGCATTTCTGAAAATTAGCAATAAGAGAATGGCCCTGAATACGAAAATGTACTATTTAAAAATTCAGAGGCACACATAAGTAGAAAATAGGTTGTTACCAGAAGCTGGGATAGTTAGAGGAGGGGAAGGTTGGGGAAATATTGGTCAAATATATAGCTACAGTTAAAGAGGAATACATTCAAGATATCAATTGTATGGCATGGTGAATTGTATTTTTGAATAATGCAAAGGAAATGGATGTTAAGTATTCTCACCATAAAAAATGAAAAATATATGAGGTAATGCATTTCTTAATGCATGTAAGCTAGATGTAACCATTCCAAACACCATGTTGTGTACAATAAATATGTACTATTTTATCTGTCAATTTAAAACAAAAAGTTCTGGGTCTACTTGACCCATAATGTTAAAGTACTTTCTTTATGAAACACTATTAAAATCTCAGAGTCTGAAGCCTAGCTCTACAGGCTTATAAGATTTATTATAAGAAGATATATATGAAGAGTGCTTAAAAATGTGTCTGGTATTTAGTGAATGATATGTAATATTTGGCAATTACTACACCCATTTACCAATGATTGTGAGTCAGAGTTGCTTTGCATTGGTATATTCAGTTTTAGAGGGCTGCATGGAGTAATTTTTTCATAATGTACGTCATAAACTGTTAGTGCGTCATAAAGACAATTTAGTGGGTTGCAGCTCTCACTTCTATATTGCATGTTCTCACTCATATGTGGGAGCTAAAAAAGGTGATCTCATGGAGACAGAGAGAAGACTACTGGATGCCAGAGGTTGGAAAGGGTAGAAGGAAGGGAGAGATAAAGAGAAGTTAGTTAAAGGATGCAAAAAGCTAGTTAAATATAAGGAATAAGTCCTAGTGTGTGATTGCACAGTAGCATGAATATAGTTAACAATAATTTACTGTATATTTCAAAATAGCTAGAAGGGAAGATTTGAAAATGTTGCTAAAACTAGGACATAAATGTGTGAGGTGATGGATATTTCAATTACCAAAATTTGATCATTACCTATAGTATGCATGTATCAAAATATTACATGTACAAAATATGTACAATCACTATGAATGTATTATGGATATATATGTGTGCATATACATGATATAGATAAGTTAACTATGTGGAATAAAAAATAATGCATGTTGTATTAGAAAAGTACAGGTATTGTTTCTCATGCATGACAGACATATGGGTAGCAGTGTAAATTTTTTTTCATACTATGTTTAAATATGACTAAATCAAAATATAAAAATCTTATCTAATCATTTAAGATAAGACATGTTTGCTATTTTTTTCTGAAAACGTGTTCTTAAAACATAATTTATTTTGCAGAGAACTTTTACTGATTAATAATATATTGTAAATGTCAAGAAAGGAAAAAAATGGAAGATATCATTTACATATGTCATTACTGATTGTTTTATTATCTTATAATAGAGCACAATAACCATCTTCAAAAGGTCTAAAATAAGTATTGGGAAAGGATAACAGTGAGCATTCTGGTAATTCATAGAAAAACTGTGCATGTATGCATTATTGTTCTCCAGATTCTGCTAACTTATTAGATTTCTATCTGATTATTTGAGTTTACAATCCACTTTGGTAATCTTTGAATGTCCAAGTTAGTTGTGTTAATGCTATCTTATTTTCCCTTAAAAACAATTTTATTGGTAACATTTAAGTTTTAAAGAGATAGACTTCAGTTTTTTTTAAGGTCAAATTGATTTTTAGTAGTGAGATATTTTCTTCTCAATTGTCCCCTGTAAATTGGATTTTTGCTCTCTAGGATTCTGTGCAGAAGTTAATAAGAAAAATGTTCTTGGATTAATCTGTATTATAGTGTATCTAATAAAAATTGTAAGCCTAAAACTTGTCTACATGTAATGTTTATTAATTTCAGAAAACAGTAAACCTTGAAATGACCCTATTGATTCCAAATAATTGCATGTCCCAAAAAAAAAACTAGAAAACACAAAACACCATTACTTCAAATAATACAATAAATTTGACACCCAATCCAAAATTGCCAATTATGCAAACAACAGAAAATTCTAATAAACATACAGGTAAAAAATATAGCACATTTCTCATGACAGAGAGGATGGAGCTAGCAGGAAATTACTTTAAAATAACCATTATAAATGTGTTTCTTCTTATGTTCCAGAAGGTAGGGTACATATGAACATGTGAAGAAAAGAAAAGGAGGCTGGGTGCGGTGACTCATGCCTATAATACCAGCACTTTGGGAGGCTGAGGCAGGCGAATCACAAGGTCAGGAGTTCGAGACCAGCCTGACCAACATGGTGAAACCCGGTCTCTACTAAAAATACAAAAATTAGCCGGGTGTGGTGGCACAAACCTGTAATCTCAGCTACTCAGGAGGCTGAGGCAGGAGAATTGCTTGAACCCGGGAGGTGAAGGTTGCAAGGTTGCAGTGAGCCAAGATCACATCACTGCACTGCAGCCTGGGTGACAAAGCAAGACTGTGTCTCAAAAACCAAAAAAAGAAAGAAAAGAAAAAAAATCTCAAAGAAAATGCCTCATAATTAAAACTACAGTTTGGGGTTTTACATTGAAGTCTCTAATCCATCTTGAGTTAATTTTTATATGAGGTGTAAGGAAGGGGTCCAGTTCCAATTTTCAGCATATAGCTAGCCAGTTTTTCCAGCACCATTTATTAAATAGGGAATCTTTTCCCCATTACTTGTTTTTCTCAGGTTTGTTGAGGATCACATGGTTGTAGATGTGTGGTCTTACTCCTGAGTTCTTTCTTCTGTTCAATTAGTCTGTGTGTCTGTTTTTGTACCAGTACCATGCTGTTTTGGTTATTGTAGCCTTGTAGTATAGTTTGAATTCAGATAGCATGATGCCTCCAGCTTTGTTCTTTTTGCTTAGAATTGTCTTGTCTATACAGGCTGTTTTTTCGTTCAGAACATTGGCACGGGAAAATATTTTATGACAAAAATGTCAAAAGCAATTGCAACAAAAGCTAAATTGGCAAACATACAGGTAAAAAATATAGCACATTAAGCTGAAGAGCTTATTTAAACTAAAGAGCTTCTGCACAGCAAAATAAATGAACATCAGAGTGAACAAACTACCTACAGAATGGGAGAAAATTTTTGCAATGTATCAATATGAAAAAGGTCTAATATCCAGAATCCACAAGACACTTAAACAAACTTAGAAGAAAAAAAAAACCCACTAAAAAGTGAGTAAAGGACATGGACAGGCACTTCTCAAAAGAAGACATTTATGCGGCCAACAAACATGAAAAATAGTTGAACATCACTGATCATTAGAGAAATGCAAATCAAAACAACAATGAGATACCATATCACACAAGTCAGAATGGCGATTATTGAAACGTCAAAAAACAACAGTTGCTGGTGAGGCTGTGGAGAAATAGAATGCTTTTACACTGTTGGTGGGAATGTAAATTAGTTCAGCCATTGTGGAAGACAATATTATAATTCCTCAAAGACCTAGAACCAGAAACACCCATTTGACCCAGCAACAGTATTACTGATTATGGGATATAAATCATTCTACTATAAAGCTACATGCACTTGCATGTTCATTGCAGTGCTGTTTACAATAGCAAAGACATGGAATCAACCCAAATGCCCATCAATGATAGACTGGATAAAGAAAATGTGGTACATATACACCACAAAATACTATGCAGCCTTAAAAGGAATACAATTATATGCTTTTCATGAACAGGGATAGAGCTGGAAGCTATTATCCTCAGCAAACTGATGCAGGAACAGAAAATCAAACACCACATGTTTTAACTTATAAGTGGGAACTGAACAATGAGAACACAGTGACACAGGCAGGAAAACAACACACACTGGGGCCTGGCAGAGGGTGGAGTTGGGGAAGGGAGAGCATCAGGATAAATGGCTAATGCATGCAGGGCTTAATGCCCAGGTGATGTGTTGAGGGGTGCAGGAAAACACCATGGCACACATTTACCTATGTAACAAATCTGCATATCCTGCACATGTATCCCAGAATTTAAAATTAAATTAAATTAAAATTTAAAAACAGCTACAGAATCTGGAATTAAAATGACACTAGATACAAAAAATGGCAGATACCATGCTACAGATAAAGACTGCTGACCTTGAGCATATAATAATAAAAGTTATTCAAAGTTAAGGACAGAGAGAAAATACATAGAACAGGAAATCAGTGATCTGTGAGGCATTATCAAGCAGTCTAAAATAAGAGGAATTAGAGACTCAGGAAGAGAAATAAGAAGGAAGAGACTCAACATTACTAAAACATGTACTTTTTTTTTTTTTTTTTTTTTTTTTTTTTGCTTAAACAACAGGCATTTATTTCTCACAGTTATGGAGGGTGAGAAATCCAAGATTAAGGTGCTAGGCAATTTGGTTCTTGGTGAGAATTATTTTCCTAGCTAACAGACTGCTTCCTTCTCATTGTATCTTCAAGTGTCAGATAAAAGAGAAAACTCTGCTTTGTTTCTATAGGAACACTAATACCATGATGAGAACCCTTCCCTCATGAACTCCTCTAAACCCAATTACAGACACACCTTGGAGATATTATGGGTTCAGCTTCCAACCACTGCAATATAGCAAATATCACAATAACACTAGTAACATAAATTTTTGGTTAATCAATACATATGAAAGTAATGTTCACACAATATTGTAGTCTATTATATGTAGTAGAATTATGTCTAAAAAAGCAATGTATATACCTCAATTAAAAATACTTCATTGCTAATAAATGGTAACAAACATCTGAGCCTTCAGCAGTTTTAACCTTTCTGCTAGTGGACAGTCTTGCCTCCATATTGATGGTTGCTGATGGATCAGGGTGGCGGTTGCTGAAGTTTGGGTGACTATCAAAAATTTCTAAAATAGGACAACAATAAAGTTTATTGTATCGATTGACTCTTCCTCTGAAGCATGCCATGCTATTTGGTAGCATTTTGCCAACAGTAGAACCTTTTCAAAATTGGATTCAATGCTCTAAAATCTTGTCACTGTTTTAACAACTATTTGTGTGATATAATGTTTTGTGGTCATGTTAACTATGTTTTCAGCATCTTCATCAGGAGTAGCTTCCATATTCAGAAACCACTTTCTTTGTTCATCCATAAGAAGCAACTTCTTATCCATTTACATTTTATTCATGAGATTGCAGCAATTCAATTACATTTTCAGGCTCCTCTTTGAATTCTAGTTCTCTTGCTATTTCTGTCATATCTGCAGTTCCCCCACTGATGTCTTAAACCACTCAAAGTCATCCATGAGAGTTAAAATCCTGCCAAGTTCCTTTTAATGTTGATATTTTGACCTTCTATGAATCATAAATGTTCTTAATGGCATCTAGATGGTGAATTCTTTCCAGAAGGTTTCAATTTACGTTTTCCATGTCCATCAGAGGAATTAATATCTATGGCAGCTATAGCCTTCTGAAATGTATTTCTAAATAATAAGACTTGAAAGTTGAAATTACTCCTTGCTCCATAGACTGCAGAACTGATATTGAGTTTGCAGGCATAAAATAATATTGATCTTTTTGTACATCTACATCAGAGCTCTTGGGTGACTAGGTGCATTTTTAATTAGGAGTAATACTTAGAAAGGAATCTTATTTTCTGAGCAGTAGTTCTCAACAGTAGGCTAAAAACATTCAGTAAATCATGCTGTAAGCAGATGTGCTGTCATGCAGGCTTTTCAGTTCCATTTAGGGAACACAAGCAGAGTAGATTTAGCATAATTCTTAAGGGACCTAAAATTTTCAGAATGGTCAATGAGCATTGATTTCAACTTGATGTCAGAAGCTGAGTTATCCCCTAACAAAAGGGTCAGTCTGTCCTTTGAAGCTTTGAAGCTAGGCATTGACTTCACCTCTATAGCAGTGAAAGTGCTAGATGGCATCTTCTTCCAACAGAAGGTCATTTCACCTAGATTGAGATTTTCTTCTTTAGTGTAGCCCCTTTAATCAAGTATCTTAACTAATTCTTCTAAATAATTTGCAGCCGCTTCCACATCAGCATTTGCTGCTTCACGTTGCAGTTTTATATTACAGAGATGGCTTCTTTCCTTAAACCTCATGAACTGACCTCTGCCACCTTCAAGCTTTTCTTCTGTGATGTTCTTACCTCTGTCAGCCTTTATAGAATTAAAGAGAGTTAGGGCCTTGCTCTAGATTAGGATTTGGCTTACAAGTTTGTCTTTTGATCCAGCATAAAAGGCTTGTCACTCTCTTATCCATGCAATCAAAAAAGTAACACTTTTAATTTTCTTTCTTTTTCTTTTTTTTTTTTTTTGAGACAGAGTCTTGCTCTGTGGCCAGGCTGGAGCGCAGTGGCACAATCTCGGCTCACTGCACCCTCCTCCTCCCGGATTCAAGCGATTCTCCTGCCTCAGCCTACAGAGTAGCTGGGACTACAGACACGTGCCACCATGCCCAACTCATTTTTGTATTTTCAGTAGAGAAGGGGTTTCACCATGTTGGCCAGGCTGGTCTGAAACTCCTGACCTCGTGATCTGCCCGCCTTGGCCTCCCAAAGTGCTGGGATTACAAGCATGAGCCATCGTGCCCAGCCAACACTTTTAATTTTCAAAAAATTTTCCTTTGCATTCACAACCTGACCAATATTTTGATACAAAAGTTCTAGCTGTTGACCTATCTTGTCTTGGGGCATGCCTTCTTCGCCAAGCTTAATCACTGATGAAGATTTTGATTTTAAAGTGAGAGTTGTGCAACTCTTTCTTTTACTTGAATCCTTCAAAGCCATTGTAGAGTTATTATTTGTCCTAATTTCAATATTTTTATGTCACAAGAGATAGGGAGGCCCAGGAGAGAAAGAGATATGGTGAATTGTTGACTGGTTATACAATCAAAATACACTTAACATTTATGTATTAGGTTCATAATCTTATAAGGGAGCAGTTTGTAGTAACCCAAAACAAAATGGTAACATCAAAATTCACTTATCACAGACCACCATAATAGATGTAATAATAATTTAAAAGTTTAGAAAAGTAGTGGAATTACCAAAATGTGGCACAGAGACATAATGTAAATGAGCACATGCTATTGGAAAAATGGCAACAATAGACATGCTTGATGCAGGATTGTCACAAACCTTCAATTTGCAAAAGACAGAAAATCCATGAAGTGCAATAAAGCAGTGCATGATAAAATGAGGTAGGCCTGTGTATACATCCCAAAGGCCTCATCTTCCAGTACCATCCCATTGGAGGTTAGTACTTCAGCATTTAATTTTCAATGGGCACAATTCAATCCACAAAAATTTATTATGTTCAGAATTGTGCTATGAGAATTATTTTAAAGGAATTTCTTCACACAAAAGGAGAATTACACTGGAAGGATATTTAGATCTTCACCAAAGAGTAAAGAGGGCTGAAAATGGTAAAGAAGTGAGTAAATTGAAATATATTTTATCATTTTTAATGCTTTAAAAATGTGTTTCAGGCATTTCATCACTCTTTTGCTATAAATCCTGCCCCCTGCCCCCACACACACGCACACAAACTCTCTATATCAGGGAATGAAAACATCATTTGTCAAGCAAAAGACATACTAATTATATAAATACCCCTGATTCTTTCACCGTACCAAATTAACTGCTAAGTCTAACTGATGTGTTCTTTCTACATTACTAATATATGTATTTACGTTCATTGACAACGTTATTTTCTTTATTGTTAATCTCAATCATTGTGCCTAACTTTCTAAATTCATACTCTCTTTTTTACTTATATTATGCTCACATCATACTAACCGTTGTTCCTTAAAAACCCTGATCTTTCTTTACCTAAAGCTCTAAAGTGATTGTAGATGAATGAGATTAGTTTCTTGATTTCTCTTACAGATTGTTTGCTGTTGGCATATAAAAGTGATACTGATTTTTATATTTTGATTTTGTATATTGTAACTTTACTGAATTTTTAAAATCAGATCCATTAGTGTTTTGGTTGTCTTTAGATTTTTCCAAATATAAGACCATATCATCTACAATGGTAATTTGACATCTTCCTTTCCAGTTCGGTTACCCTTTATTTATTTCTCTTGTCTGATTGCTTTAGATATGACCTCCAGTACTATGTTGAATAACGGCAGTGAAAGTGGATATCCTTGGGACATCCAGATTATAGGTGAAAGGTTTTCATTTTTTCCCATTCATTATGATAGTAGTTGTGTTTCTGTCATACATGGCTTTTATTATATTTAGGTATATTCCTTCTACACCCAGTTTTTTTTGGGTTTTTATTGCTAAGGGATGTCAACTTTGATCAAATGCTTTTTAACCATCAGTTGTAAAGATCATATGGATTTTATCTTTCATTCTGTTGATATGATGTATCACATTGATTGATTTGTGTATGTTGAACCATCCTTGCATTCGTGGGATAAATTCAACTTTGTCTTAATGAAGGATCTTTTTAACATGTAGTTGAATTTGGTGTGCTAGTGTTTTGTTGAGGATTTTTTGCATCAATGTTCATCAAGGATGTTGGCCATATTTTTCTTTTTTTTTTTGATATGTCTTTTTCTGGTTTTGGTATCAGTTCTCATAGAACGAATTTTGAAGTATTCCCTCTATTTTTCAGAATCTTTTAAGTAAGATTGGTATTGGTTCTTTTTTAAATATTTTGTAATATTCAGCAGTGAATCCATCAGGTTCTGGGTTTTTCTTTGCTGATAGACTTTTTACGACAGTTTCAAACTCATTACTTGTTATTAGTGTATTCTGGTTTTGGATTCATTCATGGTTAAATCCTGGTAGATTGTTTCTGTCTAGAAATTGATCCATTGCTTCTAGATTTTCCAATATACTGGAATATATCTGCTCATTGTTGTCTCTAATGATCCTTTGAATTTCTTCAGTATCAGTTTTAATGTTTCTTTTTTCATCTTTGATTTTATTTATTTGGGTCTCCTCTCTTATTTTTCTTAGTTGGTATGACTAAAGATTTGTCAATTTCTTTGTTTTTTAATTTTCTTTCATTAACCTTTGTATTTTTTTATTTTAACTTTATTTATTTTGGCCCTAATCATATTTCTTTTCTCCTGCTAATGTTGGGTATGGTTTGCTATTTCTTTTCTAGTTATTTAAGATGGATCATTAAGATGTCTTCTTTATGTTTATCTATTTTTTCTGATGTAGGTGCTTAAAACTGTAAACTTTCCTCTCAGTACTGATTTTGCTGTATTTCAGTGGTTCTGGTATGCTTGTTCCTATTTTCATTTATTGTAATTTTTTAAAATTTTCTTCTAAATTACTTAATTGATCCACTGGCCATATAGAAGCATAATGTTTAATTTTCATGTGTTCATACAGTTTCTAATATTTCTCTTGTTATTGATTTTGTCTCATTTCATTGTGGTCAGAAAATTACTTGATATTATTTCAATGTTTTGGATTTTTTTGGCCATAGTTTTATCACTTAAAAATGTATTTTAAGTTTCAGGGTACATGTGCAGGATGTGCAGTTTTGTTACATAGGTAAATGTGTGTCATGGTAGTTTGCTGCACCTATCAACCCATCATCTAGGTATTAAGCCCAGCATGAATTAGCTATTCTTCTAAAGGAAGGAAACCCATGAGCAAGCAGGGAATACAAACTACTGTCTGGCTGGTGCCAGTGTTCACTCAAGGACCAAGGGCTCAGTAGTCAGCTTGTACTGAATACTCCAAGGCCTCCTTTAAGGACAGTTTGGTGCCAATCTGGCCAAGGTCTGGTCCATAAATGCCATCCAGGAGCCAAGGCTTGGGATCAGGGAACCCAGGAGCCCACTTGATATTCTACATCACTGTGGCTGAGCTCGTACGTGAGCTGAAAGACAAAGTCCCCTTTACTCTTTCCTCTCCTTTCCTCAAACATACGGAGTAACTCTCCATGGCCACTATGTCTAGGAATGCCCTGGATCACATATGAAATCAGCACAGCATTGGGTCTCACCCAAGGCCTGCCGTGAGTACTACCTGGAAACCACTGATATTTATAGAAGGTTCAAGTGCTCTTTAGTCAGTAGACAATAAATCCTTCCAAGACTGTGTCCTTCCCCTCAAGGCAGTCATTTCCCCTGTTGCCCAGGGTTGTCTAGAAATGGCATCCAAGAGCTAGGGCCTGAAATGAGGGCTTCAGGACTCTGCCTGATGCCCTAATTTACTTTGTCTGAGCAGGTATCCAAGTTGTTAGGCAAAGTGCTCTTTACTTTCCCCCTCTCCTCTTCTCAAATGGAAGGAAGAGTCTTTCCCAGAGCTGCAAGCTGTGCTGCCTGGGGCTGTGGGAGGTGTCAGGCAAGCAGTGCCTTGCCTGCTCCAGCTGGTGCCTCACTAGTTCATGTGCAATCCAAGCCCACTTGCTCCAAGGCCAGCCCAGCATCAGGAGTTGCCTTGAAATATTTTGCTGTGATTATGGCCCAGACTGCCTTTCAAGTTTATTTAGAGCTCCACAGCCCTTTAGCCTGCAGTGGTGAGATTAACCAGCAATCAATTCCAGCCACTGGGAGTGATAATTCTTCTCGTGCTAGGGCTAGCCTAAATGCTCCCTCTATGGGTGCCAGCAAATTTCTGCCCCATGTTGCTTTCCACTGTGACAGAGCAGCACTGAATTCCAATGCCAAGTCCTACAATTACTGCACTCTCCCTTCCCAAAACACACAGATTCTCTCTCCACACCACACATGACCACTGCTGCTGTTAAAAGATGGGAACAGGGCAATTTAAGGCTCTCTTCCCTTCCCTCCTCCGTGCCTCTTTTCTTGATACTAAGTTAAAACTAGGTGTTATGATTGCTCACTTGATTTTTGGTTCCTGTGGAGGTGTTTTCTTGTGTGGGTGGTTATTCAATTTAGTGTTCTTGTGCAGGGGAAGGTTGCTGGAGGGTTCTCTGTTCATCTATTTTACTCTGCCTCACCTCTATTTTATTTCTAAGCATTTAAACATGTAAGCATGAACTCTATTTAAAACATTAAGATGCTTTTAATTTAATTTAATTTGCAGTCTACAAAGAGGCTGGATTTAATACCTTTCAATTCAAGTTCAAATGAATGGAAATTACTTCAAAGACAGCATTTTATTGTACTGAGGCTGTCTAGCCCTTTCAAACTATTCATTAAAAACATTATATTTAATTAAAAAGATTTTGCTTTTGTCAATTTGTAAAGCTTGTTAAAAACCTTGAAACATTTTTAAAAAAATGTGTGTCTGTGTAGAGTAATTTAGGCTACTAGGTATCCTGCGTTGCTTTTGAAATGCTTCAGCTGTACCATGTAAGCAAGTGTTCCTGAGGTTTGAAACAACATCAGTTAAAACTATTGTGACCTCATCTGTCAAAGTGATATCTCAGTTACACAAAAACTTCTATCTACATCAGAAATCCATTGACAACTGATGCTGAATAACACAGCTAACATAATAGATGGCTGAGTCTCTGCCTGCAATTGAGGTTGGCTTAAAAGGCTGACTAAGCAAGCACAGAAAACTGAATGTGGCCAAGAGGTACATAGTTTATAACTTGGACGAAATAGCCAGATATCATATTGGACAAAATATTGCTTAAAAATTTAAACTACAGAATATAGAATGGCATTTAATTATATATTTAAATAATATGACTATTATTTAAAATGAGAGTGTTTAAACCAAATGTTTAAACCGAGTTTATGATTCTCCAGACACTGTTCTAAAAGCTTTATAAATATAAACACATGTGAACTACACACAAACATTTTGAGGTAGACACTTTTACCATCCTACTTTTACACACAGAGAAACTGAGACCCCAAGAGTTAAGTGACTTGAACTTGTTCACACAGCTATAGAAAGTTGAGGGGCTAAGAAACTTTCCTAAACATTCTGACTCCAAAGACTATGTGTCTTAGCCTCTTGCAATATTGTCTTTCAAGTCAATCATTAGTAAAATTTGTTTAGTAAAACAATGCTAGATTATGTCTCACCCAAAATAAAAGATCAAATTTACATAAAAATATATCTACCTATTATCTATCTATTCTGTACTCAGATCATTATGTTTATATACAGAAGAGTACAGTAAGTGCATCATTTTTCATAAGAATGAGCTGAATTTTGAAAGTCTTGAAAATACAGGGCTCTGGTATCATATGCTACAATGTGGCAAGGTTTGAGGGACATAAGTGATAGTCAATTTGGCATGTAAATATTTTAGCATAATTGAAAATGAAAATTGTAGTCTGACATTTCCAAATGTATTAATGTGAACTGAAGATTTAAACAAACTGGTGAGGCTGAATGACTATTATAGAGCCACTGACTGTGAACAACTTTGTGTAGACTATTAGCCAAGGGGTTGAGGTTTCTGGCTCTGGGTCTCTGTAGTGAAACAGACCTGGACTTACTTTCCAGTCCAGTCACTTACTGTTACCTCATATGTATATTACCAATAGTATCTACCTCAGAGAGTGCTTTTCATTATTTTTTTAAATGAACATTAAATGCATAACTTATGTTCTGATACATAACTAACACTCAATAGATATTACCATGCTTATTAATTATGAATTGTTACTATTAGTTAATCAAAGGGGCCTCAACTCATATTTGCAATAAAACCAAATTTAGTAATTAGCAATGCTCATTAGTTTGATTGTCTTTATAATTTTATGTTTGAATTTCAAATACTTCTATATATTTACCCACATAGTTTGCATGAATTCAATATTTTTTAAACACAATATATTTAGTCAAATTCCACCGACACTCCGATATGATAATGAGAAACCTGAAAATGATGTCAGCTATGATGTTAGCAGGTGCTAAGGTGATTTAGAATGTTGATCTCTCTGTTGGAACACAACTTGGCTATAGTTTTCTAACAGCCTTGTCTACACATGTAACCAGTTTACTCTTAAGTCCCTGGATTAGTTAGTCAAAAGGTGCTCTAGAGAAACAGAACCAAAGAATGTGTATACAGAGGCATATTTATTTCAAAGAATTGGCTCATGTAATTGTGAAAGCTTGGTTAAGGCCAAAATTAAGCAGGGCAGAGACTTAGGAAAGAGTTGCAGTTGTGTTCAAAAGCAGTCAGCTGGCTGAATTTATCCTCACTTGGAAAAGGTCAGTCTTTGTTCTATTAAGATTTTCAATTAGATAAAGCCCACTCACATTATGAAGGGCAATCTGCTTTACTCAAAGTGCACTGATGTAAATGATAGTCTTATCAAAAAAACAACTTCATAGAATCATCCAGAATGATGCTTGATCCAATATCAGAGCATCATAGCTCAACCAGGCTGACAAAAAAAAATTAACCATTGCAGCCCCTTTATACTATATAAGCTTCTATCCGTCATTTTTGAAGTGTCATAATGTTAAATTGCATAGCATGCCTGGACATTTAGGTTAACTTCATGTTTTTTCTGCAGGGTTTTTGAGATACAGCCTCTTTCTCAAAAATTACTGGCTCTAATTTTTTCCCATTAAATAATCTTTAATGATATAACTGGGTACATTCAGTTAATACTTAATATATTTATTTTCATATTTATATTTATGGACAGATAGATACATTTGGAATTCCAATTAGTGTTACTGAGACTGTACATATGTGTGTATGTATGTATATATAGTACACTTTTTACTTAAATGAGTTAAATAATAAATTAGAGGTGGTATCTTACAGCTTCAGTGAATGAATACATGTTTTATTTGTTAATAACAAGGATTCAATAATGTAAATGCTCTGTTAAGGTTTCTGCTTGAGGTTGCATTTTTAGGGAAAACAATGTACTCAATTTGTATTGCAAAGTATGTACAGCACATTAGATAATTCCTTGAATATCATTATGGTTTTCTTTTTTTCTTCTGTATAAGCAGAGCAGCAAGGAACCTTTCTCTATGTAAGTAAATAGCTTGGTGTTTATATCTTGGTGTGCAAAATATGCCATGATGTTGCAATAGGTGTTTACTTTATATACTAGCCACTGAATATGTATTAGACTAGTTGAAACAGATAAAGAACTAGTACATAGAACTGTCATTTCAACAAATATATTTTGGATGCCTATCTCATTTGTGCCATGAACTGTGCTGGAAAGAAGAAAATGGTGGAAAATACCACCAAAATTAACGTACAGAAGTTTTCCATCATCTCCAGATACCCTCATGCTACCCTTTCATAGCCAGTCATCCTTACCTCCTGCCCCCACCCCAACCACTAGCAACTTTTTTTTTTAAATGAATGTTATATAAATAGAATCACACAGCATGTGACATTTTAATACTGGCTTTTTTTTCCCACACAGCAGAGCTTTGTTGATATACGTGTAAAATTTATTAATGATTTGTTTATTTTTAGTGCTGAGTACTATTGCACGACACGAATGCATCAGAGTTTGTTTCATTTACCCATTAAGAGATACACGTATTATTCCCAAATTCTGGCTATTACAAATTCTGGCTGCTATAAATATTTGTATTCAGCTTTTATGTGAACATAATTTTATTTTTTGGTAATAAATGTCCATGACTGCTATTGCTAGGTCATGTGGACAGATGTATTTTTAGTTTTAAAAGAAACTGCTACATAATTTTCTAGAGTATCTTTACTATTTTCCAATTTCACCAGAAATGAATGAGTGATACAATTACATCACATCCTCATCAGTTTTTGATGTCATCGCAATTTTTAGGCCATTGTGAAAAGTGAGTATTGACATCTGTTTTTTATTTCTGTTGATTTAATAGCTATCGATGTGAAACATATTTTCCTATGCTCACTTGCTATCTTCCTCAGTGAAAAACAACTTTTTATGTATTTTTTCATGTTCTCATTTTTAAAAACTGTCAAGTACTTTGTTCTTTACATCTTAGTTTTGAGAGATCTGAGATATTTTATTATTTGTCTTCTCTGTGTTTCTTCTGTTTCTTAGTACATTTCTTCTTTGTTTTGATAACTTTTTTTGGAGCAGTTTGAAGTTCACAGAAAAATTGGGATGAAGGTGCAGAAATGTCCCATATATATACACTGACTCCACATATGCATGGCTCCCACATTATCAACATCTTCCATCAGCATGGTACATTTGTCACAATTGAGGAACTTATATTGACACACCATAATCACTCAAAATCATGGTTGATATTAGGGTTCACTCTTGGTATACATTCTATGGATTGGGACAAAATATAGTGACATGTATCTACCTATATAGCAGCACACGTAGTTTGTTTTTTTTTTTTTAACTGCCCCCAAATCCTTTGTGCTCCACCTGTTCATACCTTTCTCCCTCCCCACCCTTGGCAATCACTGATCTTTTTACTGCCTTCATAGCTTTGCCTTTTCCAGAATGTCCTAAAGTTGAAATAGTAGAGTATGTAACCTTTTCACACACTGGCTTCTTTTTTTTTTGAGACGGAATCTCCCTCTGTTGCCCAGGCTGGAGTGCGTTGGCACAATCTCGGTTCACTGCAAGCTCCACCTCCCAGGTTCACGCCATTCTCCTGCCTCGGCCTCCCGAGTAGCTGGGACTACAGGTGCCCGCCACCACGCCCGGCTAATTTTTTGTATTTTTAGTAGAGACGGGGTTTCACCGTGTTAGCCAGGATGGTCTCGATCTCCTGACCTCGAGATCTGCCCACCTCGGTCTCCCAAAGTGCTGGGATTACAGGCGTGAGCCACCGCGCCCGGCCCACACTGGCTTCTTTAACTTAGTAATACGCATTTAAGTTTTCCCTGTGTCTTTTCATGACGTCATAGCTCATTTCATTTTAATGCTGAATAATATTCCAGTCTGAATATACCACAGTTTATTTATTCATTCATGTATTGAAGGGCACTTTGGTTGCTTTCAACTCAATGGTTACGGATTCATATGACAAACGCACGTTTACTTTTGTCAGAAACTGCCAAATGTATTAGTCTGTTCTCACACTGCTAATAAAAACATACCCGAGACTGGGTAATTTATAAAAGGAAAAGGTTTAATTGACTCACAGTTCGGCATGGCTGGGGAAGCCTCAGGAAACTTATGGTGGAAGGGGAAGCAAACATTTCCTTCTTCACATGACGGCAGCAAAGAAAAGTGCCGAGCAAAAGTGGGAAAAGCCCCTATAAAACCATCAGATCTCGTGAAGAACTCACTCATTATCACGAGAACGGCAGCATGGGGGTAACCACCCCCATGATTCAATTGCCTCCCACTGGGTCCGTCTCACAACATGTGGGGATTATGGAAATTACAGTCCAAGATGAGATTTGGCTGGGGACAAGGCCAAACCGTATAATTATCTTCAAAAGTGGCTGTACCATTTTGCCGCACCCCCACCCCCAGCAATAAATGAGCATTCCTATTGCTGCACATCCTTGTCAGTATTTGGTGTTGACAGTGTTCTGAATTTTGGTAATTTTAATGCATTTGTAGTGGTATTTCATTGTTATTTTAATTTGCTTTTCTCTAATGACATGTGATGTGCAGCATCTGTCTATATGCTTATGTGCCATTTCTATATCCTCTTTGGTGAGGTGTCTGGCAAGGCTTCTGGCACATTATTTAATCAGGTTGGTTGTTTTTTTATTGTAGAGTTTTGAGAGTTTTTTTTTTCTTGGCTTCCTTTAGATTGCCTAGATATGTTTACTGTTCTGTCTTAATTTATAGTGTTTTCAATCATATTGCTTATATAATTTTTTAGTGGTTTCTCTAGATATCACAATATATATGTGTAAAAACACAGACTACATTATACATGTTTTAATACTTCAGTAGAAGTAGTAAACTCTGATTTAGATCCCTTTAGTTTTCCTAATTTTTAAATATAATTTTCTTAAGTATTTACACTACGTATAGCTGGTAACACATTATATGTCATAATGTTTGCTTTAAATATAAAATATAATTTAAGAAAGTCATAGAGGAAAGAATTCTGATATCTGCTTCTATTTTTACTTATTATTTTCCTCTTCTTTCCTTTATGAAGATACAATCCCTTCCCTTATTTATTTTTTCTTTGTAGAGAGGTTTATTTGTCATTATTTAAAGATATATCCTCTTCTGACAAATTCTTGGTTTCTCCCACCTCTCACTCTGCCAGTCTGGTTTCTTGTTTTCCTTCCTTCTGATCTTCATGTTTTCTGGTATAAAATCCATTGTCATTCAAGTTATGTATTCTTATAGAAAAGAGATCATTATTCTCTTGCTGTTTCCAAGATTTTATCTTTGTCTTTCCTTTCTAGAAGTTTAATAATGACATGGTGTGGCATAAATTTCTGTGGACTTGTTCTATTTGGGATTTTCTCTCAGTTTCATAAATTTATAGATTTATGTCTTTTGCTATATTTGGTGAAATTTTAGTTCTTATTTCTTCCAATAACTTTATAGCCCTGCTTTTTTCTACCATCATTCTAGGATTCTAATAATATTAACAATAAAATGTTAGATTTATTGTTATAGTCCCAGAGGTCTTTGAGCCTCTGTGCTTTTTGCTTTTTCAGGCTATATCCTCTCTGTTGTTCAGACTGAGTAAATTTTGTATCTGCCCTCAACGTCACTGAGTCTGTTCTCTCTCATCTCCAATCTACTATGGATCTTATCCAAGAGTCTTGTATGTTTGTTTTGTTACTTGCAACTTTCAAGTCTATAATTTTTGCTTAGTTCATTCTTATATAACTTTAATTTATTTGAGGAGAATATCTATTTTTTCTTTAGTTTCAATAAAAATTTATAATCGCTTGTTGAAGCAAATTTATGAACCATTAAATCCATGAAGTTGTGATTTAACGGTTCATTGTATGATCACTGGTTTTTGGTTGTATCCTGGACATTTTATAAAGTACATTAGGAGAATATGAGTCTTATGTATATCTCTCCTAATAGGCAATCACTTTAATTAGGTTTAGTGTGTACTTTCTAGAATACTCTGTAGGCTATGGTTCCAATTTACTATTCTGAGCTCCTGACATCATATTCTTATCTGCTTTGTACTGAAGGCTTTGCTGCAACACTTGCTGAATCTATTCTGGTTCCAACTACCTTGGTAGCAAGGTTCTTCCCTAGGCCACCAGGTATTGCTACATTGGGGGCGGGGGTGGGAGGTAGATGTTGGGCCTGCAGAACAGAGTGTGTCTGTTGGTCTATTCTCCAACTGTTGGATGCTCCTAGCTTCCTATTTTATCTCCACCATTCTCTTTAGGGAGAAGAAGCACCACTTTAGCTGTTTCCTGATCCAGGTGTTGGGAGGAGGAAAATGTTTGGCCTTGGTCTTCTTCTGTTGCTAAATGAATGGTCAGGAACAGCTGCATCTAGATAACTCTGTAATTAAGTGGAGCATCATGAAACACTTGACTTAGTTTACCTGTTGCTGTAAGTTAGAGAGGTGGAAGGTGCTGGACTTATGCTGCCTTCTGCCACAGAGTGGTGGGCCAAGAGTAACTAGGCTTGATAGTAATGCAGATGCAGGCCAAGGGTTCTGCCTATTTCTGCCTCTCATGGAGCAGGTCATGGTTCTCTCTATCTAGGGTCACTGACTCACATGGTAGGCATCACACCACATTTCCTGTGTGATGGATAGAAGAAAAGTCACCCTATCTTGCCTTTGGTGACACCGCACTGAAGATAGACAAAGCCTGCCATTGCTCAGACTTCACTGACTCTCTAGCTGAAGACTGATGGGGCCCATCATGGTTGGTTAGTGTGGGATGAGTAAAGCATTGGTTCAACTTGACCATGCTGATGTCACCTCTAAAACAAATCAGTCATCTCTGCTGGTGGCTGTGGCACATGGGATTAGGTCAGCCTTGCCAGTGAGACTGACACCAGTCTCTGTGGATCATCAAGCTCATAGTTACCATAGGTTGTGGGTCTTGAGTTGCTTCTCCCTGCTAGATCTCCACTGGACATTTTTGTTTCCAATACTTTGGCCGAAGAGTCTAGACTTGTCTAGGTTTTGTTATGTCTGCTTGTTTGTTGGTTTGATTTTATCTATTCTTATTGGTAGTTCCTGGTAGGAGGCCTCTGTGGTGCTTGATTTGATATATATGGAGATAAAATGGGAGATAAAACAAATGAACAAAAGCAATTTTATTGTTTGACCACAGTATCATTCTTCAAGTTCTGAGCTTGCTAACTAGTCGTCTTCTACTTTTCAATTCTTGAAGTCCTTCTATGGTATTCTTGTTTTAAAAATTATTTCCAGGGTATTTAGTTGTATGAGAGGTTAGATGAAGGAAAAAGTGAGTTTATGACATCCAGAAATCTAAGACAAAATAAACTGTTTATTCTAAATCCAACTATAGTTCTTACATGAATTCTATTTTCTCTTGACTCTCTAATCACTTTTTTCTACTATCAATTTTTATTGTGGTATCCTCTTTTGTTTGTTTGTTTGTTTCTTTAGATGGAGTCTCACTCTGTCACCTGGGCTGGAGTGCAGTGGCTCCATCTTGGCTCACTGCAATTTCCGCCTCCCGGGTTCAAGCGATTATCCTGCCTCAGTCTGCTGAGTAGCTGGGATTACAGGTGCCCGTCACTACTCCCAGCTGATTTTTTGGGAGGCCGAGACAGGCGGATCACAAGATCAGGAGTTTCAGAGCAGCCTGGCCAAACCAGTCTCTACTAAAAATACAAAAAAAATTGTTTTTAAGTAATCCATTTTACCAGGAGGTTTATTAATATCCATCCCTAAACACACACACACCATTTGTTCCTAACATCTCGACAATGCGTTATCCCAGAACCCACAGTCCCTCTACTCTGATATTGACTACTCCCACTTCTGCATAGTTCTCATCCCGAACTTTCCTTTAGGACATTCGTGAGTTTATCCAAAATTTTCCACACACCACATAGTCCTTCTCTTTCTCTGTCCTTATTTATCCAGGGTACATTCTTAATTAACTCTCTGCAAAGAAAGTAGATCCAAATGAAAATCTCCAAATGCTTAGAATAAAAATACTTCTATTTTAATATCCTATTTTATTAATTATTTAGCTGGGTGTGGAATTCTAGGTAAAAATTAATTTGTACTCAGGCAGTTGTGTAGTGCTGCTGCCGAGATGCATTGATGGCATATTTAATTTGAACTGTCTTATGAGTTTCTATTATTATTATAACTTATTGAAGGGCAATATACGGGCCAAAATGTGCACATTTTTGAAGTAAGTAACTTGGTAAATGTTGATCAACTAAGCACATCTATGTAGCCTTAGTCTGCTTTGGTTTACTTCTACTTTTATTTTCTGTTGGTGCAGTTAGTATCTTTCTATCTTTGTGGAGTTTTAAATTTTATAATCCAATTCATAACTTGATGCAGGTCTTTTTTTTCCTTCCTTCATTTTTCGTGTTGGAAATATTGATTACTTTAGGAATTTGTTTTACTCAACCAAAAGCTTTCCTTTCTGTTTGTTTGTTTTTTGGTACATGGGTTCAGTGGCACTCACCAATGAGCTCAGGATTCCAGAGGAGGGCAACAGCAGAAATAATAATCCAAACAACACAACGAATGAGGAATTTCAGTATCAGAACAATCATATAGAGAAACAATGGAAAAGGGATCCTGATTATTTTCCAGTTCATGATTGTCACCATACACTGATGTAGATAGATTATAAGACAGTTGAAGTGACCAAATGATATAATGATATGGTTTATTATAAAAATAACTTGCCCAACTTCATATTGAGAAGTACTAAGTCAGGAAAATCACAGATCTCAAAAACTCTGGCCTGTATTTATATACTTATAGAAACCTTATGAAGACATTGTTCTTTCTCTTACTTTGACTGGATTCTGCCTTCCAGTACTTACCTGCAGCCAGTATGCTAATTCTATCTGGATCCTTTAGTCTTTTGTGTATACATACTTATTTTAATGCATCCTTAAAATATAAAGAAGGGCCGTAGTTTGCTTTTCTTAATAAATGTCTTTTGCATCTGGTCAGTTCTTACCCTACTGATTATTTATTTTATTATCATATGGCTTTTGTAATCAAATATATTCCAAGATATAGACTCAGTTTTCCAGACTTCATTAAACCAATCAATCTCTTTTTATTTTTTCACACCATTTATAAATTGTTTTGTGCAAGATTTTTTCCTCTCAGATTTTTGTCTGTTGATTTCTAAAAACAAGTTTGCATCTGAATATCTATACTTGTCTTCCTATCTATCTATATATCAATTATTTCTAATTCTAACACTCTTCATTATACTCCATACCATTCTTCCCCTCCCCTTCCACTGTCGCCCAGAGCTGGAGTGCAATGGCGCGACCTCAGCTCACTGCAACCTCTGCCTCCCGAGTTCAAGCAACTCTCCTGTCTCAGCCTCCCAAGTAGCTTGGATTACAGGCGTGCACCACCACACCTTGCTAATTTTTGTTTTTTTTTTTAGTAGAGATGGGGTTTCACCATGTTGGCCAGACTGGTCTCAAACTCCTGACCTCGTGATCTGCCTGCCTGGGCCTCCCAAAGTGCTGGGATTACAGGCATGAGCCACTGGGCCCAGCCCCATTCTTTAATAATAGCGTTTATATTGTTTTCTTTGTTATCTCTCTGAATATCATAAATAATCAGATACTGAATTTCCTGGTCCTCTAGCTATACTTGATGTTTTTCTTAATGTCATAGTATATACAATTGCTATTCTAACTCTTTAATTGATTTATTGTCATTGATACTCTATTCCTATTAGAATTCCTCTACGATAACTTTATCACTTTTTGGGGATTGATATATGCATGTGGTCAATAGCTTAATCTAACTAAATGCCTGTTGTAAAATATATAATACACAATTCTTATGAGCAAAAGAAAAATAAATATCTTTTGAACATTAAATTGAAAAATAATAAAAACATTAATAGACACAAAATAATAGCAATACACTTAGCTGCATTTGAGTGAATAAGTAATCTTAAAAACAGTATAATATGTAAATTGGTAACTTTAAAAAGTTGCAGTTTTTTTCTTTAATGGCTGACTAGAAGCATTTCAAGTACACCTGATCTACTTAGAAGAACCAAAAATAATGTGCAGGCAATCATGTTTTGAATACATTTTACAAGAGGTGACATGAAAGACCAACAGAAAAATGAAAGGATACACCAAAATCTAGGAAGGGTAAGGAAAACAGGTAGCCTGCATGCCTGAGGCCAGCTGGGAACCAGGAATGATCCCCTAGTATGGGAGAGGATGAGTGTTGTTCTTTGGTTCTTGTTCCCACTGGGGAACCCACAACCAGCATTATATTGGATGGAAAATTTAATTTTCTCTAAGAACTAGAACAAGACAATGATGCCCAGTTTCACCACTGTTATTTAACATAATACTGGAAGTCCTAGCCAGAGCCATCAGGCAGGATTAAAGGCATCCAAATTAGAAAAGAGGAAGTCAAATTATCCTACCTTGCTGATGATATAACCTTATATTTAGACAAACCTAAAGATTTCACCAGAAAGAGCTCTTAGATTTGTTAAATGAATTTAATAAAGTTGTAGAAATTAAAATTAATTCACAAAAATCAGTAGCATTTCAATACACCAATAACTATCTAGCTGAGAACAAAATCAAGAAAGTAATCCAAGAGATTAAAAACAACCTCTTGGCCGGGTGTGGCGGTTCATGCCTCTAATCCCAGCACTTTGGGAGACCAAAGCAGGCAAATCACCTGAGGTTAGGAGTTCAAGACCAGCCTGGCCAACATGGTGAAACCCTGTCTCTACTAAAAATACAAAAAATTAGCCAGGCACAGTAGCACGTGCCTGTAGTCCCAGCTACTCGGGAAGCTGAGGCAGGAGAATCACTTGAACTCAGGAGGCGGAGGTTGCAGTGAGCCAAGACCATGCCACTGCACTCCAGCATGGGTGACAGAGTGAGACATTGACTCAGACAAACAAACAAAAATCTCTTTTAATCTCCAAGAAGATAAAATAGATCTTTATCTCCTTGCTTAAATATTCTACTTAGCTTTAAAAATAAAATACCTAGGAATATATTTAACCAAGGAGATAAAAGATTGCTACAATGAAAACTTCAGAACACTGATGAAAGAAATTGTGGATGCCACAAACAAAGAAAAGCATACCATGCTCATGTGTTGGAAAAATCAATATCGTGAAAATGACTAAATGGCCCAAAGAAATCTGGATTCAATGCAATTCTTATTAAAATGCTAACTTCATTTTTCACAAAAATAGAATAAAACAATCCAAAATTTTATGTGGAACCAAAAAAGAGCCAAACAGTCAAAGCAATCCTAAGGAGAAAGAATAAAGCTGGAGGCATCCTACTTCAAATTACATCACAGGGCTATAGTAAACAAAACAGCATGGTACTGGTATAAAAATAGACACACAGATAAATGGAACAGGAATAGAAAACTCAACAATAAAGCCACATATTTACAGTCAATTGATCTTTGACAGAACTGACAAGAACTTACATTTGGGGAAGGATATCCTTTTCAATAAATGAGGCTGTGAAAACCGCATTACTATTGCATAAAAATGAAACTGAACTCCTATCTCTAACCATACATAAAAATCAACTACAGATGGATTAAAGGTTTAAATGTAAGAATTAAAACTATAAAAATACTAGAATAACATCGAGAGAAAACCCTCTTGGACAATGATCTGGACAAAGAATTTATTACTAGAACCTCAGAAACACAAGCAACAAAAACAAAAAACACCAAATGGGGCTTAATTAAACTAAAAAGCTCCTGTATAGCAAAATAAATGATCCACAAAGTTGATGGGTAACTGGTAGAATGGAAGAAAATATTTTCAAGTTATTTATCCAACGGTAGACTCATATCCAGAATGTATAAGGAACTCAGCTCAACAAAAACAATAAAAAATAATAATAATCCCATTAATACAGGGGTCCCCAAACCCTGGGCTATGAAGCAGTACCAATCTTTGGCCTGGTGGTTCACTGGGCTGTGAACCGGTACCAGTCTTAGGAACTGGGTGGCACAGCAGGAGGTGGGCGGTGGAGAGTGAGCATCACCACCTGAGCTCTGCCTCCTGTCAGATCAGTGGCAACATTAGATTCTCATTGGAGCACGAACCTAATTATGAATTGCACACATGAAAGATCTAGGTTGCGCATTGTTTATGAGAATTTAATTAATGCCTGATGATCTGAGGTGGAAACGTTTAATCCTAACACCATCCCCCCAAAATTCCCTGTCCATGGAAAAATTGTCTTCCATGAAAATGGTCCCTAGTACCAAAAAATTTGGGGACCACTGCGTTAAAAAGTGGTCAAAGAAACTTAATAGGTACTTTTTAAAAAGAAGACATATAAATAGCCAATTGATATATGAAAAAACGTTCAACATCACTAATCATCAAAGAGATGCAAATTAAAACTACAATGAGATACCATTTTATCCCAGTGAGAATGACTATTATTAAAGAGAAAAAAATAGCAGATGTTGGCAAAAATGTGGAGAGAAGGAATGCTTATACACTTTTGATGGGAAAGTAAACTAGTACAACCTGTATGGGAAATGATAAGGACATTTCTCAAGGAACTAAAAATAGAACTAAAATTCAATCCAGCAATCCTACTACTGAGTATCTACCCAAAGGAAAAAAATGAATATGTCAAAAATTACCTGCACTTGAATGCTTATCACAGCATTATTCACAATTGTTCCTATTCCTTTTCACAATAGGAGTCAAAATAAGTGTCCATTAATTGATGATTTTATAAAGAAAATGTGGTATACTTACACATTGGATTACTATTCAGCCATAAAAAAGAAAAAAATGGCCGGGAGCAGCGGCTCATGCCTATAATCACAGCACTTTGGTAGGCCAAGGCAGGAGGATCACTTGAGGCCAGAAGTTCAAGATCAGCCTGGGCAATATAGTGAAACCCTGTCACTACAAAAAATTTAAAATATTAGCCAGGTATGATGGTACCTCACACCTGTAGTCCAAGCTACTCCCAAGGCTGAGGCAGGAGGATCACTTGAGCCCAGGAGTCTGACGTTGCAGTGATCTATGGTCATGTCACTGCGCTCCAGCTCAGGAGATAGAGTGAAACCCTGTCCCCCAAAATATAATAAATAAATAAATAAACAAACATTTTTGGAGTAACATGGATAAAACTCGAGGTCATTATCTAAAGTGAAACATGCCAGACACAGAAAGTAATCACATGTTCTCAGTCATTAATGGGTACTAAAATCTGTGTATACATAGTCAGAGAAAGTGGAATAATAGATAATGGAGACCCAGAAGGGTGAGAAGGTGGATGAAGAGAAATTACTTAATGGGTATAATGTACATTATTTGGGTGATGATTACCCAAAAAGTCATGACTTGACCACTATGCAAAATACGCATTTAAAAAAATTGCACCAAACTCCATAAATTTATTTTTTATATATATATATACACATACACATACATATGTATGTCTGCTTCTACAGAACTGGTTAGCAAATACAGAACACTTCTGTAAATTTCTTGCCACTCAGTGTATACACTAATGATGTTTTTCATTATATTCATTTGATTATTCAAAAGCATCATTATACTGACTCACTAATAAATGGAAAGATTCTCATATTAAGAATGGTCACATTGATTATATTGATGTGTATAATAATATTTTACCGTACAATACTTCAGTCATTAAATATAAGACAAGTTTGTAAATGGAAGATGTCTAAAGGAAGAGTAGTAATTACTAACAACTGTTACAAAAATTATAATAAAAGCTAATGTATTATATTCACAAATATAGTGAGTAAAACTTTCTTAATGCATATTGATGCATCAAGAGAGTTTACAGAAAAATAAAAAATAAGTTAACTGTTTAAAACGTCTTGGTTTATACTTAAAAAAGCATGATTCCATAGTACCACACTACCATTAGAGTTAAATACAATTACATTTAGTAGCATTTGCATTAACAGAAATATACCTTATTTTAATTTTATTTCAATTCATGGCATCGCAATTTTTAAGTGTATGTATCTGTAAAAATGTATTTGTACTAGGTTACTATGGTAAAAAACAGTTTTTACAATAGTAAAATATATTCTTATTAGGTTACTATTGTAAAAACCAGTAACAGAAGTATATATTCTTACTAGGTTACCAGTTTATATAATAGTAATCTAGTGGCCGGGCGCGGTGGCTCACGCCTGTAATCCCAGCACTTTGCGAGGCCGAGGCGGGTGGATCACAAGGTCAGGAGATCAAGACCATCCTGGCTAACACTGTGAAACCCCCGTCTCTACTAAAAATACTAAAAATTAGCCGGGCGTGGTGGCGGGCGCCTGTAGTCCCCCCTACTCCGGAGGCTGAGGCAGGAGAATGGCGTGAACCCGGGGGGCGGAGCTGGCAGTGAGCCGAGATCGCGCTACTGCACTCCAGCCTGGGCAACAGAGCGAGACTCCATCTCAAAAAAAAAAAAAAAAAAAAATAGTATCTAGGAAAAATGTATACTTCTGTTACTTTTTAAAAAATAATTTCAGAAAAAGAAATAACACAAAAGAGCCAATCCATACTATTCAAGCAGAATTAAATTTCCTATCATGTGTTTTCTCAGAGTTAGAATAAAACATATTATGATATGCTTCTGTACACAAAGCTTTATAGAATACCGGGCCATATGTAATTTTTGTTTGTTTGCAAGCACTTGTATTGGAGATACAGATATTCATAGTTAAACAACTAGAGTTCTACCCAACAGATGCTGAAAAACAACAGCACTCTCCCACATTTCTCACTTCTCTAATTTCCATCTTGCAGAGGCAGAAGCTTTATAAGCTTTAGCTACTTTCTTCTTGTGTTTGTCTCCATTTAAAAAAATATGTAAGGCCGGGTGCGGTGGCTCACGCCTGTAATCCCAGCACTTTGGGAGGCTGAGGTGGGCCGATCACAAGGTCAGGAGATCGAGACCATCCCGGATGACAGGGTGAAACCCCGTCTCTAATAAAAATACAAAAATTAGCTGGGTGTGGTGGTGCACACCTGTAGTCCTAGCTACCCAGGAGGCTGAGGCAGGAAAATCGCTTGAACCTAGGAGGTGGAAGTTGCAGTGAGCCAAGATCGCCACTGCACTCCAACCTGGTGACAGAGTGAGACTCCATCACAAAAGTAAATAAATAAATAATATATATAATTATATTTTTAAATATAATTATATATATATATATTTGGCTTGTCTCCTTGAGAATATTTTTATGTGAAAACAAGGAAAAATACAATTACCTCTCTTATATCTGTCTTCACATGGGTGTGCACATTGTCTTAACTTTTGAAAAATAATTGTATCATAATTTTGTGCTACTTCAGCATTAGATGTTAACATTATAGACTAGATAATTATCACTTATAGATGCAAATTTATTATATCGTGACTTCATTCTCTTACTTGTAAAATTTATGTTTTCCCTAGAATAAATAATCGATTTTTTTCTGTTTGCTTGGTTTTCCATGTATTTGCAATAAAATATATTTTAACTTTCCGCCAGAAATGTCACTTTTCTTTCAGTACTTTCAACTAGTTTAGCAACTTTTTCTATTACTTGTTGAAAGTCCTGTTGAAATCTTTCTTACTGTTTCTTTGT
The DNA here is from genome assembly GCF_000001405.40 of Homo sapiens. Lineage (NCBI taxonomy): Eukaryota > Metazoa > Chordata > Mammalia > Primates > Hominidae > Homo > Homo sapiens. Next base: position 22,460,188 of record NC_000021.9, on the reverse strand, counting down.
AGAGTCTTTTGGTGTTTTGTATGGATACTCTGTTATTCTTTCTTCTAGGATATAAATATTGTTTACTTACTTACATTTCCCTTTTTCCTGCTTCCTTTTCCTTTTTCCTGAGATTTCTTTTGTGTCTTTATGCTTTGATATCAGTGGTTCATGTTAGATGTTTTCTGCTACTGTTTACAGAGTCTTGGTTTTCTCTTCATATTTAAGAGTAGGATGGTCTTTAAGCTGAATGAAAGCTCTGTGTATATTGGAGGAGCTTCTTGATTTTTATTTTATTGGAAAATGATCTTTCCAGACCCTTACATTAAAGATATCAACCAAGAAAGTATCTGCACATTTCTTTTCATAAACTGACAAGTTTTACTGGAGAGGAATCCTTTTGTCTCTGTGGAATTTTAAGCCTGGCTACCATTGCTCTCACAGGTTGTTTCAGAAAGTGTCTAGAAATTTCCACCTCTGTTCTGAAGATAGACTTTACAATTATTCCCATGATTAGAGTGCAATTAGTTTCAGCTGTGTCTTGCAACCTCTTCAGAGTCTATCGGGTTCAATGTCCCCAGAAAGTAAATTTATAGTCTACTGGCAAAGGGAGAAGAACCCATTTATCAGATTGAATGTATGATAGTTGGTATCATGGATCTAATCTTTGTTTAGACAGATTTCATATGATTTCTCCTGTGCAGCTTCATAGGCACCGCACAATTTTAGAGATATTTGGGTCATCTGTAATAATTCCCAAGACATTCTGAGAATCTCAGCCTTATTTTTGGTTTCTGATTTCCCACTATGTCTGTTTATGTCTTGTTTCTTTTATCCCTCTGCTTTCCTGTTTCCAAAGCCTGGTTTGTCTTCTCTGCTCTCATTGTCTTCATCATTTTGATCTATTTATTGTTTGAAACCACTATTTTCATGTAAGTATACTTTTAATGAAACAGCCCTAAACTGATGTATTCATTCCAGAAAGTCTAATTAATGCCCCTCTACTTACTCCTATAGTGTTCTACCAATTTTTTTAAACTATGATAAATTACTTTGTTCTAAGGTCTTCAAAGCATGCAACAAATGAAGATTTTTATGGGATAAATAATATATCTTACCAAAAAGGACAGTTATTAATTTAATGGGAGGATTAACATCAATTGAATTTTGCCCATCTTCCAAAATCAAGTGAATTACAAGATAAAGTATACTAATTCATCATGTAGTCCTCTTGTATGTAGTATGCATTAATAAGATGTTTGAAATGCACTCGTGTACAAAATATATCATTCCTTCTGTCCTAGGGCTTACACTCTAGTGTGGTGACAGTCAAATAGGTTATGGAGTGCGTTACATGTTTTATAAAATGTAAAGTGCAGCATGCTATGTGTATTAATCGAGGTTCTCTAGAGGGATAGAACTAATAAGATTGATGTATCTATTGAAAAAGAGTTTATTAAAGAGTAATGACTCACACAACCACAAGAAGAAATCCCACAATAGGCCATCTGCAAGCTGAAGAGCAAGGAAGCCAGTATGAGTCCCAAAACCTCAAGAGTAGGGAAGCCGACAGTGCAGCCTTCAGTCTGTGGCCAAAGGCCCGAGAGCACCTGGCAAACCACTGGTGTAAAGTCCAAGAGTCTAAAAGCTGAAGAACTTGGAGTGTCATGTTGGAGGGCAGAAAGCATCCAGCATGGGAGAAAGATGAAGGCTGGAAGACTTAGCCAGGCTAGTCCTTCCACATTCTTTATTCCACACCTGCTTTATTCTAGCCACTCTGGCAGCTGATTAGATGGTGCCCACCCAGATTGAGGGTGGGTCTGCCTCTCCCAGTCCATTGTCTCAAAAGTTAATCTCCTTTGGCAACGCCCTCAGAGACACACCCAGGAACAATACTTTGCATCCTTCAATCCAATCAAGTTGTTATTCAATATTAACCATCACACTATGAGACCATCTACTCTGGCTACTCAATCAATCTTAGTGGTCATTAAATGATTTATTTATAAAGTCACATTTAAGCAACTACTTAAATGACAAATTAGATTTAGCCAAAATAAAACTATGGAAAGAATTTTTAAAATAGTATGTAAAGCCTGGCTAGGGATTGCAATCCATATTTTCTCACGAGAAAACATGTTGGGAAGTTACATGGGAACATCATTATATAAAACCATAGCCAAGTAATAGATTATTTTGGAAATTATTTATTTAAAGTGGTTGGAAGCCCTCTTAGTATAAAAAGCACAAGAATGATTAGAATACATTTTTACTCAATAAATATTCATAATGTGGGGCTAGGAGAAGCATGGTTCATTTAGGGAAACCAGTAATAACTGCAATTATCATAATCCAGACAAATGATTTTGGTTATTTGGATTAACTTGTGAAATAGAGAAAAGTGGGTGAAATTTTAGATGATTATGAAATGAAATCTACAAAAATTTGTTTTTATTGGTATGATGGTTAATTTAATGTGCCAACTTGTCTGGGCTAAGGGATACTCAGAGAGCTGGTAAATCATTATTTCTGAGTGTTTTTGTGAAGCTGTTTCCAGAAAAGATAAGCATTTACATTGGTAGAATGAGTAAAGAAAACAATGCTTACCTGTGTGAGTGAGCGCCATTCAATCCTTTGAAGGCCAGAATAGAACCAAAAGACGGGGGAAAAGAGAGTTCTCTCTCTGTGTTTGAGCTGAGAAATCTATCTTGTTCTGCTAGCAAAGATTGGAGCTTCTAGTTCTCAAGCCTTGAGGCTCAGACTTGGACTTACTCCACTGACTTCCCTAATTCTCATATCTTTAGACTTGGATTGGGCCTACACCACTGGTTGTCTTGGACCTCTGGCTTACAGATGGAAGTTTGTGGGACTTTTCATCCATCTATCTGTGTGAGCTGATCCCTCATAATAAATCTCTTTGTATATATCCATACCTATATCTATAATCTGTTTCTCTCTCTATATATATAGATATATGTACTGTTGTATATATGTGTGTATATATATACATATATATGTACTGTTTTTTAAAAAGTATGCTTACATGAAAATAGTGGTTTCAAACAATAAATAGATCAAAATGATGAAGACAATGAGAGCAGAGAAGACAAACCAGGCTTTGGAAACAGGAAAGCAGAGGGACAAAAGAAACAAGACATAAACAGACATAGTGGGAAATCAGAAACCAAAAATAAGGCTGAGATTCTCAGAATGTCTTGGGAATTATTATAGATGACCCAAATATCTCTAAAATTGTGTGGTGCCTATGAAGCTACACAGGAGAAACCATATGAAATTTGTCTAAACAAAGATTAGATCCATGATACCAACTATCATACATTCAATCTGATAAATGGGTTCTTCTCCCTTTGCCAGTAGACTATAAATTTACTCTCTGGGGACATTGAACCCAATAGACTCTGAAGAGGTTACAAGACACAGCTGAAACTAATGGTACTCTAATATATATACATATATATGTTAGAAAAAATCCAGATATAGAAAAATTATACATATTATATATATATACACTCTCTATATACACTCTCTCTCTCTCTCTCTCTCTCTCTATATATATATATATATATATACACACACACACACTCTCTATATTTATAAAAGACTTTTGTTATGCAGGCAATTAGTATTCGTTTAGTTTCACTGGAACACCATGACTAATATAATTGGAGAAAAAAGAGACATCAGGAGTGGTTTTCACTTCCCAAGTTTATGGAGGTGTGAAGGCAGAAAGGATACAGAGAAAAAGCTGTTAGAGAGGCAGGAAGAAAATCGAGAGTGTGAAGACATTGCTGCCAAAAGAACAGTGTATTCAAAGGAATGAGAGATCTGCTCCAAAGTCAAAGTAGAAAAGACCTGATATACAGCTAGAGCTAGTGACCCTGATGTTACACAATCAAAGGAACAGCTCTAATTTGTTTTCTGTTTCTTACATTTCCTTGCCCCAGTGTTTTTATATAAATACATTAAAATACAATCTGAAATTAAGATAGTAACATAGTAAAAAAAAGTCATGTTTGAACACTGTGTTCTACATGCACATTAGGCAAATGTGAAAACTATGAATATTATTCTGGGTTATTTGTGCATTAATGAAATGCCTAGCTAGTTATTTTCTAATGACCCACTTTGGTTAACTGATCGGCTCTGATGAGAATATTAAAATGCCTTGGTTTTAGTTTGAATGCTGATAATCTTTGCAGACGTTTGAAACACCATTTAAATTATCGTATCTATTTGTTTAGAATGATGACAAATAATTAGCTCATTCCTAAGCCAGAGGGAGCATTTATTTTCTTCCCCTGAATAAAAAGGGGATTTTTCTTATTGTTAAAAAATTAAAAACCTCTTATTATATCATTTTAAAATATAAAAACCTAGCCATGCAATATGAGATTTTGTTAAAGTTTGTAATAATGAAATAGAGAAAATATTACTCGTGCCAATAATCAACGCAGATACATTAAACATGTAGACATATATAACATTAGATTCCTCAAATCTGAATCCTACCTTTACCCAGCCCTTCCAAATGCAAGAAAGACATTTGTGAAAAGACAAGGAAGCATGCATGACATTATATTTTAATTGTCTTGGTGTTTAGCTCCTAAAGTCAGTACAGAACATGGCTGGGCTATGCTTTTGCATGGAAAAGACTTTTGTTATGCAGGCAATATTAACCTCAGAATATAGGTTGGCCTTCAACTATCCCAAGCCCACACCTAAAATACAGATTCAGGTATACTATTGAAAAGAAAAATCTTAAATGTATCTGATAGCTAAAGAGGCTCATGAAAATGTCAGTGCATACTACATGCATTCAAAATTTAACCTTCTTGAAAGATTCACCTCAGACAGAATACTTCGTCAAGGCAGAGTATCATAGATGGTGACCCATTTTTGGTGTAGAGTGATAAGATAGAAAAGAAATAAAGAGATGAACCTTTAAATATAAACCAAAATTATCCTGAAACATTAACTCATATATTGGTTGGGTAAGTTTCCTTCCCCTTCCTTCTCCTCCTCCTCTTCCTAAAACCCTAGAGGATTGACGACCGGCTTTATTATTTTCTAGGAGTATGGCTTCTTTCTGGGATTTGGATTGGGGCAGTCAAAATCATGGAGTATCAAAGAAAATGTACTCATATTTATGGAAATATTTCCTTGTCAGAGTCATTGTTTCTATTTAACTCCAGACTTTTGTGAATCAGTTTTGATGTTAGGTCCAAAATCCTCTGAGGTGAATTAGGAGAGAGTTATGAGTAAATTCATTCTACAGCCTACTTTATCTAACGGCCAATAGCTATTCTAAAGGGTTACATAATACATGTCAGAGATAAACAGAGCCAAAGAATGTCTTTCCATCTTTAAGTCAATCTCTGGTCCACACAAAGAAACAAAGACCTACAAAATGTTTCTCCCTTTCCTTGTACTTGGAGATGTACCTTAAAAGTCTCCATTCTTCAGTCTATTTTTGATATTCTACTTCAAACATAAATTGAATTTTTCCTTAGATTTGTATTATTCCCAAACTGTCTTTCATTGTGTCTTAATTTTTCAAAGTGCCAGATAATTAATGGAACACATTTTCCTGGCTTATCCTCAAGCTTCTTTAAGTAATTGTTTTAATTACTCTCATCTTTGTAATCTACTATTCTCTTCTCAAAACACTCCACTTTGAATTTTCATCTTCTTCTTGTCATAAAATTATTTTTTGATCATCAATAATTTCTATGTTGACAAATTCCGGTGACCTCAGTTATGATACAATATTATTCTACTTCCTAATATTGTTTGATATGGAAGACAGCTCATATGTTTTTAAGTATTCTATTTGTTTACAGGAATATCAAAATTATTCATTTTCTTGCCATCCTTTTCAATGCCCTCTGTCATTTCCACATTGTGACTTTATTTATAAGCATTGGAAGAAGCAAGGGTTCAGCTCTGGTTTCTCTTTCTTTACTTTCTATATTATTCCCATAGGTTCTTTGTTCTGATTCACATTATCTTCCAAGGACTCTCAAAATTATATCTCAAATGCCACAAAAGTTATACATCCTATTCCCTACTTGATGTACTTAAGTGAGAAATTTCAAAATTTGTCTAAATCTTCTCCTTTCCCAAATATCCATTTTAGTTACTTGCACCCACATTCAGTCAATTGTCACAGCTAAAAATTAAGCCAGTTTGAAATATTATTCCCTTTCATTCACTAGCTCATAATACCTTATAGTTCTATTAATTCTAACAAAAAAATCTGTCCTGATTTATGTATGTGTTTGTGTGTGTGTGTGTGTGGTGTGTGTGTTTCTTTATCCTTCCCTAGCGCCTGTGTCCAAAACTAACTCTTACGGTTTACTGTAACAGCCTCTTAGGATGGTTCCCTCCGTTTACTTTTTACTCGTTAAAAGCAATGATCCACTGAGTGGATAAAGAAATGGCTTAAAAATATACATAATGTCAGTGTGACATATAATCTAAAAGAAGAATATTTTGGTGCAGCAGAAATGGAAAACTACATCAAATGATGCTGAGAAACTAATAAAGATATTGACAGACAAGCAACCATGCAAATTCAGCAATATGAGGGTATTTAGTGATCTTGATAAGAGCAGTTAGAGTGAAATGGTCTGGAATGGAATGGGTTGTGAAAAGAAGGTAAGTGATTAACCGGAGAGAATACGCACAATTATTTTAAAGAGTTTTGGGTGAAAGAAAGGGGAAATCGATAAATAGCTGGAGAGGAGTGTGAAAGAAGAGGGATGTTTTGCATGAATGCATATTTCATTATAAAGAACATCCAAGTATGTCTACATGATATAGAAAAATCCAGAAAAGGTAGAAATTTTAGGTACAAGAAAGAAAAAAATGGGCTGATGAAATTAAGACTTGATTTATATTTAGCCACAGCAGCTAAAAATAGAAGATAAAATTACAGAGAGGAAAATGCTCTGATGAAACATAATCTGAAAGTGTGACAGCTTTTTGCCCTTCAAATATATGCCTACCTGTAACCTACTAATATGCTAGATGAAACACCAAGAATTTCAGTAAATAGAGGTAGCTGCGGTGCTAAATGCTATGCAAAAAAGCTTGGTGAATCCAGACTGGTAATGTAAGACAATAAAGCTTGTAAAAATAAAAATAAAACAATATCTTTTTAAGCATGAGTAACATGAGGTAAAGTTTTTTTAAATAGAAGGTAAATAGTATCAGATATAAAAGATATACATTTGATTACATTAAAATTAAGAACTTTTGTTTGCTAAAGGAAGACCTACCTAAGAGAGTGAATAAAGGAATTCATAAGTACTCTTAAGTCTTTTTGAAAAAAATCATGCTTTGTTTTGTAACACTCATATCTAATGCTGTGTAAAAATCTGTAAAAAAATCTAACGTTCATAAAAAAGACAAAGATCAAAATGAAAATAGGAAAGGAGGGAATTCACACACATGAAACTAAATACAATTTCAAGGTCCAATAAACACATAAACTTCTTTTCAATAAAATTATTTTTTAGCAACCAACGTGATATACCTCCACGCAAGTACACAATTGGTTAACATTCAAAAGAAAGAATATTCTAACTTTAGATATAAATATGGAAAAACTTAATGTAGGTATGGAATAACTGAACTCTCATACATTCATGGTAAAATTTTAAATTCGTATAAACAACCATAAAAACTTTTGTCAGAAAAAGCTTTTTCAGTGAACAGTCTCATGACCTGTGACCCACAATTTTGCATCAGTGAACACACAACAGATGTCAATGCGATGCATGTGCCCATCAAAAGACACAGACACACATACTCTTAGAAGCTTTATTTCCAGTACCGCAAAACTGGATCCAATTCTAACGGCATTTATCAACTGAGTAGAGAAATAAGTTCGATTTCTTTCCTTCTTCTACAATAGTTTTGCCTTTGTAGAATTCTTCTTTTAATTTGTTTTAAATTTTGGCTTTGAAACTTCTATCCTTTTTTTTAATTGACAAGTGAAAATTGTAGATATTTATGGTGCACAACATAATGCATTGATTCCACATGTACACTTTGTGGAATGGCTAAAACAAACTATTTAACATATATTACCTCCTATGATTATCATTTTCATGGTAAGAACACATAACATTTTCATATTATTTAAAATTTGAATTTTATTTTTGAAAAATAGTGGTGTAACTGAATTTATACTGTTTTAAGCAATTTTTTCTTATTTTCAATACTATTTCCTACTTTCCATTGTTCTCCCTTGGCAAAGAAATAATAAAAAAGGGTGAGAGAAGAAAAAAGAAGAAGAAGGAAAACATAGGAGGGAGAGAGGGAGGAAAAAAAGAAGGAAGGAAGGAAGGAACGAAGGAAGGAAGGAACGAAGGAAGGAAGGAACGAAGGAAGGAAGGGAGGAAGGAAGGAACGAAGGAAGGAAGGAACGAAGGAAGGAAGGGAGGAAGGAAGGAACGAAGGAAGGAAGGAACGAAGGAAGGAAGGAACGAAGGAAGGAAGGAACGAAGGAAGGAAGGGAGGAAGGAAGGAACGAAGGAAGGAAGGAACGAAGGAAGGAAGGGAGGAAGGAAGGAACGAAGGAAGGAAGGAACGAAGGAAGGAAGGAACGAAGGAAGGAAGGGAGGAAGGGGAAAAGGGAAAGGGAAGAAAAAAGGAAGGAAGAGAAAAGGAAGGAAGGAAAAGAAAGAAAGATAAACTATTGAAGCAGAGAGATGTACATGTTGCTGCTGTTCATCCATTCTCAATGTCCTTTGATGTTTATGAAAAACATAAGATTGTGGGCTCTGACCGCATTTTAAAAGGTTTTCAAAGAATTTCAGGAAATAATAGGTATGCAGAGTTTTAAAGGTCATAAGGTTCTAATTTTCATATTTAAGAAAACTTAAGCTGGGAGCGGTGGCTCACGCCTTTAATCCCAGCACTTTGGGAGGCTGATGCAGGTGGATCACCTGAGGTCAGGAGTTCCAGACCAGTCTGGTCAACATGGTGAAACCCTGTCTCTACCAAAAATACAAAAATTAGCTGGGTGTGGTAGCTCTCGCCTGTAATCCCAGCTGCTCTGGAGGCTGAGGCAGGAGAATCTCTTGAACCTAGGAGGCGGATGTTGCAGTGAGCAGAGATCGTGCCATTGCACTCCAGCCTGTGCGACAAGAGTGAAACTCTGTCTCAAAGAAACAAAAAAAGAAAAAGAAAAAATAAAACTTAAATGAATCAAATATTATTATGTGATTTTTACATTTGCTACAAGTTGAGCATTCGAACCTCAAAATATATGGGTTTCAAGATAAAATAAACACAGCTAGACAGTGTAGACCAACTATACAATTTGTCTCCTGTCAATATTAGAATTAGTTCATTTTATTAAAAGAAATCAATCACTGACACTTTGAGAAAAAGAAAAAAGCAAAGTCAGTAAATCAGTCTTTCCATATAGAAATGACTTCAATTTGAAGATACGTAACCTATTTAAAGTGCATGCTGAGTAATTGCCCCATTAATTTGATGAATGTAGACAGTAATTTGTGATGATTTAAACCTCAAACTTCCATTTTTCCCTCAGATGCTTAGGATTTGTTTTACTTTAATTATTTGGGTCATTGCCTTAATTTCCCATTTAACATTACTTGTAAAAAGACTTTCTTATTTTTAAAATATAGCCTTTTTAATGAAGTTCTTTCTACTATCAACTTTAGCCTTTAGCTTACCATGTTATGACACTATATGTAAATAGCCACTTTAATAATGACATTTGGAATGGCTCCAAAAAGAAGAATAGTAGGAAAGCTGTGAATCAAGCTTTTGTGCCTTCAACTTTAAATGCATATTGTACAGTTACATTATTTTTCTTGGAACTAGAATATTGATCCTTAGATTTTTTTTCTTAATCTGTTTCTTCCTCTGTCTCTTTCTCTTCCCCCTCTTTCCTTTGCCTGTCGCTCCATTCTGTGATATTTTGAAGTACAGTTAAAAAATTATAAATCATATTTTAAAATTGGATTTTTTATTTTAATAATTATATATATTAGTTCATAAATTACTATTAACATTGACATGCACTTCATTAAATGTGTTTAAAATATGAAAATTAAATATTGTTTTTGTTATAAACTAACCCCTGTATATCTGAATTTTCAAAATTGAAACAAAATAAAAAATAAAGCTTAGTACTTTAATAAAATATGACCTTTAGGGTCAAGTTAATATTCACCAAAAGAAGAAAATTTTGTTTTATATTAAATTTTGTTTTAGAATGGCATACATATATGCCATTGTTCCTTAATTCTATTCAGCTTAAAATTTTCAACTTAGAAAGTTTTTAACGCCCTCCTTTGCCTTTGAGATTGGTAAATGTTCATGCATTCAGAACAGAAATAATGAATTAATTTTTACATTTAATTATAATGTAGTAATTACCAAAGACAAATTGACAGAAATAATTACTATGTCAAACATAATAAGTTAAATTTTAGCTTTAATTTAGCTAAATTTTAACTCTCTAGTTTTATCATCAATCAGAAAAGCAAGAATAATTTATTTGAAGTTATTAAGCAAGAGTTTGCAATAGCTAGGGTGATTTTTACGCTTTAGGGTTCAGTTTATCACTTCAGCCTATTTGTATGATATACTCAGGAGTCTTTGGCAGAGAAATTTACCCTAAAATAAACTAGAAGTAAATAAAGTTATATTTGATACTGTCATACACATGCATCCTTAAATCCTTGAATTCACCATGGTGATACCCTAGAACTTGACACTGCCAATAATGACACCTTCACTGACATCCAAGCTTCCTGCACTTCAGCCTACACCCATGACTTTCCAGTACATGTCCTCCAGTCCCCTAATATTTTGTTCTAGAGGTTTATTCTGGTCACAAAGTAACCAAAATCAAATACACAAAGCTACCAGAGTCACTAAGTCCCTAATTGAATGATGTACTAAGGTACTACCTGTTGTCCTGCCCAAGGCCAGGTCTTCTTGTGCACTGGATTGAGTACATTTGATAATCTAATCTCATTACATATGCATTTTTTCCCATTTACCTTTTCATAATTAACTGTTCCATCTTTCTTGAATTAGTCCTGAATGTACAAGCTTACATGAAAAAAAAAAACAAAAAAAAGAAAAAAATGCCTCCTGTGACCCTATATGTCTTGTAACTATTCACTTATTTCTATGCTCATTTTTACAACTGTAATATTTCTTTTATCTTTTCTGCCCAGGATTCTGTCCCTATAGTCCTCTCAAGCAGCAGTTTACTTCTAAATGTTGAATCCAATCGTAATTTCTCAGAAATTATCTTACTCAGCCTGCAAGCAACATTTGACAAATTTGATTCTCTCAGTTAAGGTAACACAACCATTTATAAGAAAATGTCCTTGTCTGAAGACCTCTTGTGGCACAAGATATTTCTGTCCAAATATCCCTTCATGAGGACACAGATACCTTTCCCAAATTCCCTTTCTATGTCCTCCTATGTCATGGCCAAGTCTTGTTTCATTTTATGTTCTATGGCAGAAGACACCCCCGCCCAGAATCTCACCTGTGTAAAGAAACTCCTCCCTGTAGAGTTAAAATGTAATAATTATTTCTAAACACAAAACTGGCTAGCCATATGCAGAAAACTGAAACTGGACCCCTTCCTTACACCTTATACAAAAATTAACTCAAGATGGATTAAAGACTTACATGTAAGACCTAAAACCATAAAAACCCTAGAAGAAAACCTAGACAATACCATTCAGGACATAGGCATGGGCCAAGACTTCATGAATAAAACACCAAAAGCCATGGCAACAAAAGCCAAAATTGACAAATGGGATCTAATTAAACTAAAGAGCTTCTGTACACCAAAAGAAACCACCATCAGAGAGAACAGGCAACCTGCAGAATGAGACAAATTTTTGCAATCTATCCATCTGACAAAGGGCTAATATCCAGAATCTACAAGGAACTTAAACAAATTTACAAGTAAAAAACAAACAACCACATCAAAAAGTGGGAGAAGGATATGAATAGACACTTCTCAAAAGAAGACACTTATGCAGCCAACAAACATATGAAAAAAAGCTCATCATCACTTCTCATTAGAGAAATGCAAATCAAAACCACAATGAAATACCATCTCATGCCAGTTAGAATAGCGATCATTAAAATGTCAGGAAACAACAGATGCTGGAGAGGAATTGGAGAAATAGGAACCCTTTACACTGTTAGTGGGAGGGTAAATTAGTTCAACCACTGTGGAATACAGTGTGGCGATTCCTCAAGGATCTAGAACTAGAAATACCATTTGACCCAGCAATCCCATTACTGGGTATATACCCAAAGGATTATAAATCATTCTACTGTAAAGACACTTGCATGCATATGTTTATTGCAGGACTATTCACAATAGCAAAGACTTGGAACCAACCCAAATGTCCATCAATGATAGACTGGATAAAGAAAATGTGGCACATATACACCATGGAATACTCTGCAGCCATAAAAAAGGATGAGCTCATGTCCTTTGCAGGGACATGGATGAAGCTGGAAACCATCATTTTCAGTAAACTAACACAAGAACAGAAAACCAAACACCACATGTTCTCACTCATAAGTGGGAGTTGAACAATGAGAACACATGGACACAGGCAGGTGAACATCACACACCAGGGCCTGTTGGGAGTTGGGGGGCTTGGAGATGGACAGCATTAGGAGAAATACCTAATATAAGTGACAGGTTGATGGGTGCAGAAAACCACCATGTCACATGTATACCTATGTAACAAAACTGCACATTCTGCAAATGTACCCCAAAACTTAATGTATAATAAAAAAAACTTATAAAGAGATCCTTCTTAGCTTGCTCATTAATTCCACAGACTGTCACAGATTGCCAAGAAATTACTGGTCACATTTTTTTCTTCATGAACAGATAGGCTAAAACATTTCTCAAGTTTCCTGTGCATTTGGTTTAGCACCAGGTGACTGAGTTCTGGTCAATATTATGGAGGAAGAAGTATATGGAACCCTTCAGTACTAGGCATAACTACTCCTATTTGGTATTCTATGTTCTCTATTGCTTTCTGTGATGGCTATATAGAGGTATTGTGCTTAAGATGATGGAATCACAAAATGACAGGAGACTTGTCACAGTGCCATTTAATGAGCCATGCAATATTTACTGAACTATAGTTTAAGAACTAAATATTCTGTAAAGACACAGAGATTTGGGGGTTAATTTAGTAGCTAAATATATATTCCACATATCATCCCTCCCTCTAGATGCTGATGCTCACATTTCAACCAGCTATCTAAAATAGGCTCTTGGAATACTAATTAGCATCTGTACAATAAAATAACCAATACTTAATTCTGGATTTTTCACTTTTCTAAAAGAAAAATAAAGATCGTTCCCCCAGTGTTCCCCTACTTTTTGTGTAGTTCAGGCAAAATCCTCAGTCAGCACGGAGTGTTTTTGTATGCTCTCACTCTATAGCCAGTGTTTTCAAATTATTTGGCTAAAACTTAAACATATATCCATAATGCAAATGCTTTTACTTCCTATTATTGTAATCCTAACCTTATTACCTCTTACTTATTACATAGCCACAGCTTTCTAAATCTTTGATTTTGAATATATTACACTTCTGAGTTAAGTTTTACAGTGGGTTTTCATCTCTTCCACGTAAACATCCATAACATAGCCTAGAATTATGTGCTGGATTTAGTCCTGATCTTATAAAGAAGCATGTGTAGGAGTCGTGGAAAAATATTTTGACCTAAGAAATAGATAGCTGTTTATATCAGGTGGTGAAACTTGGCTTTAGAGTGATAGCTAGAAGCAAGCAGTGTGGATTCTTCACCCTTGAATATTGTGTAAAAATAGGAGTTTTCCTTTCTTCTGAGTAGAAATTTCCTATAGACACAGAATATGTAATATTGAAGGTATTAGTGAAAGGTCTCAAATAATCCGATTTCCAAGACTTCTTCATGACATTCTGTATGTTGTCTGTGATACACAGGACAAAGGTTGTTAATTATGGCAGAGGCCACACAAATAACAATTATTATAAGGCAAGAATGTTTTTGAGATACATACTGAGAAGAAAATCTTTGCAAGTGATGATAAAGATTAAAAAATATAAACATCAGGAGTTATACATTTGGTAAGGATCTTTCGTCAATTGATCAGTGAGATAAATTGATGAGAAAAGAATAAGCCATCTACCAGAAGACACCAGCCAATGAATGATGAGGACTTGGATCTCCGTGGAGCAGTGATATTGTAGAGGAGATGATCACTGTGAGAACTATCCAACAAATAAAATTACCAGAATTTTATAATTTTGGGAAATATGGGACATCTTTAATTAAAAAAAAAGGAAGGGACAACAGTAAGTAATAATACACACTTTTGAAAATGTGGAGGCTTGTGTAACCATCACCTGATACGGATTCTGTAAGAAGCAAAGAATACTTTCTCGCTTACATATTGCCAAGGATCATTTTAACTTAGATTGCCAAAATCAACCTGGAAATTTAATTGCTGCTTATATGCAAAAATCAACTTGGAAATTTAATTGCTGCTTAAAATCTAAACTTCAATGGAGGCAAATGGAAGTTGGTAACATGTATGATCTGAAAAATAATTTACCCATTACAACTAATTTGTCTTCCTATTGTTCTAAGCACATGAATAAACAGCTTAATATACAAAAAAAGAGAGAGAGAGAGAGAAACATAATATTGAGAAGAACATCATCGGGTCCGTGATTCTAATAAGAAGTGGAGAGTTATTTTGTCTATAGCTTTTAAATTAAAAATCTAATATCTTTTCTTCTACAATTGCTGGGTATAATTGACCAGAGTGATATTATAACTAATTTGTGGCCCTCTCTCTCTCGCATACACGCACGAATTTCAGAAAGTAGCTATACTCATGGATCCTTACTCCTGAAAATCACTTGTAGAAGATTTAATTCCAGCCTCTGTCATACAGCTGGAAATGATTGTGAAATAGAGATGCTGCAGATACAAGATACAGCCATGCAAAAAGATTAAAACTAACATTTGTATTGCATAAGATTACGCAAAAGCTTTGTTAACCTGATATTTTTAATGCACATTAAATAATTAGAATCTTTTTCTGTCCGTTAGCTCCTATTTAATTATTTTAACAGACTACAGAGTCTCATTGATCTGTAAGGCTACATCACCATTTTATTTAAAAAATAAAGATATTGAGGCAAAATTAATTTTAGTTTTGTGAAATGTATATGCTGGGGGAATTATAATTAAAAATAAAATAAAACTTGTGATTGCATGTCCATTATATCACATTTTATCTCGATTTTGAGAGAAAGATAAAAGTAATGGGAATATCACTATTAATAATAATAATACCAAGAATAGTTATTAATATTATTATTGTTGGCCAGATGTGGTGGCTCACGCCTATAATCCCAGCACTTTGGGAGGCCAAGGTGGGCGGATCACCTGAGGTCAGGAGTTCAAGACCAGCCTAGCCAACATGGTGAAACCCCCTCTCTACTAAAAATACAAAAATTAGCTCGGTGTGGTGGTGGGCGCCTGTAATGGCAGCTACTCAGGAGGCTGAGGCAGGAGAATCGCTTGAACCCGGGAGGTGGATGTTGCAGTGAGCCGAGATCGTGCCGTTGCACTCCAGCCTAGACAAAAGAATGAGACTCCATCTCAAAATATATATACATATATATATATATGTATATATATATGTGTGTATATATATATGTGTGTGTATATATATATGTGTATATATATATAGTTACTAACACATTGAAAGCTTGAAAGCTGCCTATATGCCAAGTACTATTCTAACTGCTTTAGGCTTCTTATATGGCAACCCAAATATAGTATACTAGTTTTTAAATTTGTGATATTCCTGATATTTTATTGGTAGAAATAATTTATGACACTGGTCATCGTGACATTTAATATCAGTGATTTCCAAATTTATTTGTAAAATATGTCACAAATGTTTGTGTAGCTACTTAATTGTTCCTTCAAGTAGTTAAAGCAAGTAGGAATATTGTCTTTTGTGATAATGGCTGGCATAGCTTTGATGTCCTATGGAATTTTTTCATATGGTACAGTGATACCCAGACCCAGACCCTGTTTCTAGAGATTCTACTTGAATTTGTTTGGAGTGCAGCCTAGGCATTGGGGTCTTTCTTGCTCTTTCTCTCTCTCTCTCTCTTACACACTCTCTCTGTGTATGTCAACGGGGGCATAAATATTTTTTAATATATACAAATAATTCTATTGTTCAGTCAGTATTAGAAAACAATGATTTGGAATTTGAATATTTGTTACAGTGCTTACATTCTTGTAACAGAGGGAAGTGAATACATAAGATATACATATATGAGAATGAAACTGGTGATTTGTATGTTAAAAACAATATTTGTCTTTGTAAGAAACTCACAGATGTTTTCCCAAAGTGATTGTATGTTTTTATAAGATCACCAGCAATGTGTGAGAAAAATATGTTCCATATCCTTGTTAAAAATAAATACTCTCAGTCTTTTGAATATTATATGTTCTATTGTACATAGTAGAAACTCACTGTGATGTACTTTGTAATTTTCTGATTATTAAAAGTAGTAAACATGCTTTTATGTGGTTACGTTTCTGTATATTTAGTGAAATGTTTGTTCAAAATATTTGCCTATGTTTTGAGTTATTAGTCTACATACTATTGAGTTAGAAGGGCTTTTAAAAATATATATTCTGGGCCAGGTGTGGTGGCTCACACCTGTAATCCCAGCACTTTGGGAGGCTGAGGTGAGCAGATCATGAGGTCAGGAGATCAAGACCATCCTGGCTAACACGGTGAAACCCCGTTTCTACTAAAAACACAAAAAGAAATTTAGCTGGGCGTGGTGGTGGCTGTCTGTAGTCCCAGCTACTCAGGAGGCTGAGGCAGGAGAATGGCGTGAACCCGGGAGGCAGAGCTTGCAGTGAGCCAAGATCGTGCCACTGCCCTCCAGCCTGGGCAATAGAGCGAGACTCTGTCTCAAACAAAACAAAACAAAAATAAACAAATAAATAAAAATATATATTCTAGATACAATTTATTTGTCATGTATATGTACTTCAATTACTCTCTCCACAGCAAAGGACAGGTATGTTTATTGTCTCGTATAATAAATATATATTTTTCAAGAACAAAGGAAAGCCATGTTTAAGGCCCAGTATAAAATATCAGGGTTCCCAGAGCTGAGGGTTCCTTTCTTGCAATGGAACTCATTGTGGGTGATGGTGTCATCTGATCCTCTTGTCATTGTCCTGGGAACATCTGGGCTTGGGCAATTAGTAAAATATGTTGACACTCTGGCAACTGTAATTTCCATGAGTAATTAACTTCTCTTCATCTCTGACCAATGGATGTTAGTCACCAATATCCATGAGACTCTGGCACCCAAATTTGTTAGCTTGCAAGTTGGTTAAAATCTCAGGCCATTTACAACTCTTGAAAACGACTTCAACTTCTGGGTACCTACTTATGGTATATTCATATTTGTCCATCAGTCCCCTCTTATGGGCTCATGGAGAGTTCATAAAATGTGTCTGAGGAAAAATCAAAAAAATAAACAAAATCTTATTCGTAGATTTTAGAAGGTTGTGGCATCAGTTGAAGAGGTATGATGCTGCATTACAATGGCATACCTATGTGGTTATGTGAAAAAACTGGAAGGACATCCTCCCAATGTTTGGCATGTCAAAAGTGAAGCTTGTTGCTCAATTTTCTTTGCATAAAATATGAGCACAAGTAAGATATATACTGATTTTTAGATAATAAGGAATAGTTTAGTGCATGGTCATGGATTGTTGACATGAATACTTGTGATGGTTTTATGCTGATAGTAAGATGGATATTTTGAGCATGATTTGTGTTCTATTTGGAAGCTCATCAAAGTTCACCCACTGTAGGGGAGGGTTTTGATAATCAAGAGAACCAATTATCCAGTTCTCTATATGATTGTCAGCTTCTATTCTCAGCCATACCATGCTTGTTCATTAATTCATGACCTCTCATGACACCTGTCACTATTTCTGAGTGCCCAATCTGCCAAGGGTAGGAGCCAAAGCGGAACCACTAGTATGCTCCCTCTCCATGAAAGAACAAACTGGCTACATGGTGGCAGGTTGATAATATTGAACCTTTTTCAATATTTTATTTTTTGTGTTAGAAAATAAAATTAATGTTAATATTAGTTACTTTCCTTGCTTCCAATGCTTTTGCCCAAATGTAGATTGAGTGAATATCTTACTAATTGTTGTGCTACTTCAAACAATACTGCTTTTGACAAGTTAATCATTTTATAGCAAAAAAGGCAATGAGCAACACCTACCACAACTAATGGTTTTGCTATATATAGAAAGAGTTGTAACAGAATAATAAATCTAAGTCATGTCACAACTAGGTTATAAGAGCTTACATATTTAGGTTACCAATCTATGAGGAATATGCCACAGACTTGGTATTTTGGTAGTTTTACTGAAGCCGGAACATAGATATGAGAAACAAGAGATGCAAACAGAATACTCTCTCACTACTACTTTTATTTGCACTCTCAGTTATTCTTACTTTTTATTTTTCCATCTTTGTCCTCTTTTTATTTAGAGGTCTTGTTGTCTGCAAGATAGGAGTGCTTCCAAAAGAGAACACAACAAAGGTTTGATTGAACTAGAAGCTGATATTTTGTCCTACCTGTTCTGATATCTTCCTGTTCATCTGGCTATCTGTGGTTCCATATGGCCATGGTGGTGATTGATCCTGAATATCATAAAGAAATGAGACTCCTATGGGGTAACGGGTGTATGTTGGCAAACCAGAACATTCTCTAGAGCACCCAGATATGACTCCAATAATTGATGGGTTTTCGTGTCTTTCCTTTTAAGGAAAAGAATGATCTTTTGTTCACTTATGCAATTATACTTGGAACATATACATGATTTTATTATGATTGTTTCTATACTTTAATGTAGATAGAAAGGTGTGTTTCAAAGCTGATCATCCAGAGAGGTAGACTGGTTGTGTGGAATGTTTTCTTTTTGTATTAAAACAGCTATTGCCCTTTTAATGTCTTGCTGTGTGTCAAGCACTGGACATCTAGGAACTACATTTCCTGGACTCCCTTGCCAGTAGGATTCCAATATAGATGATAGAATCAGAGGAGCATATAAAAGGTTTGGAAATTGGAAGGAAAGCAGACATCATTCATTTCCTACCCCTGCAGATATGGCAAGTGCTGAACACATTGAAGAAATGCTGTTTGAGTGGCTAATTCCCTAGAGTACAGCTCTTCTTAATGATGCAGGCAGCTGGACCACTGGAAATAACTTCCCTGATTTCTACACTTCCAGATTTCCTCCCATGATTCCTCCTGATAGCTGTTCCTTATCCTTTTCCAATACTTTTAAAGAAAACAAGTTTCCTGTATATATCCCATTTTTAAATTATTCTGTCAACCAGGCTGGAGTGCAGTGGTGCAACCACAGCTCAGTGCAGCCTCAATCTCCAGGGCTCAAGCAATCCTCCTGCCTCAGCCTCCTGAGTAGCTGGGCCTATAGGTACATGGCACCACACCCAGCTAATTTGTTAATTATAACTGATTTTTTTTTTTTTTTTTGTAGAATTGGTATGTCTTTATGTTGACCAGGCTGTTCTCAAACTCCTGGGCTCTATTAATCCTCACACCTTGGACTCTGTCCCACAGTTTTTTTTTTTTTTTTTTTTTTTTTTTTTGTTTTTTTGTTTTTTTAAAACAGGGTCTTGCTGTTTTGTCTAGGCTGGTTTCTAGTTCCTGAGCTCAAACAACCCTCTTGCTTCAGCCTCCTGAGTGGCTGGGACTACAGGCATACACCACTGCTTCTGGCTTAAATTTCACTGTAATTTAAATACCTGGAGTGTTTTCTGTTTTCATAGCAAAGACTTTATTTAAATATTAATCTATTTTAGGAAATTAATAGTGTCCTTTTGATTTCTGCATCATTTCTTTTTGAATTGCTTAGCAAAATCAAGTATCTCTAAACCTTCATGACCTGTATATTAAGATAATCCTTAAATTAAAATAAACAGGCTGGGCGCAGTGGCTCACACCTGTAATCTCAGCACTTTGGGAGGACAAGGCAGGGGGATTACCTGAGGTTAGGAGCTCAAGACAAGCCTAGCCAACATGGGGAAACCCCATCTCTACTAAAAATTAAAAAAAATTAAAAATTAGCTGGGCGCGTTGGCAGGCTAATTTAAAATATACATCTATAGTTATTCAGTATCTACCTTCTGATAATTTTATATTCCATTAATTTCAGAATAAGGACCTGAAAACATTGTATTTTCATTTTCTCCCATCCATTCTTTGTGCTATTGTTATCATACATTTTAAGTATGATGTGGGCTGGTCGCGGTGGCTCACGCCTGCAATCCCAGCACATTGGAAGACTGATGGGGGAGGATCAGCTGAGATCAAGAGTTTGAAACAAGCCTGGCTAAAATGATGAAACCCTGTTTCTACTAAAAATACAAAAATTACCCGGGTCTGGTGGCACATGCCTGTACTCCCGGCTACTTGGGAGGCTGAGGGAGGAG
The DNA here is from genome assembly GCF_000001405.40 of Homo sapiens. NCBI lineage: Eukaryota > Metazoa > Chordata > Mammalia > Primates > Hominidae > Homo > Homo sapiens. The sequence goes on along the minus strand of NC_000021.9, from coordinate 22,439,562 downwards.
AATCGCTTGAACCCGGGAGGTGGAAGTTGCAGTGAGCCAAGATCGTGCTACTGCACTACAGCCTGGGCAACAGAGCAAGACTCTGTCTCAAAAAATAAATAAATTAATTAATTAAAACAATGAAACAACTAGATAAACAGCAAAGAGCCTTTCTAACCGGCAAAATTTGCTAAGTTACATGAGCCCTATTCATAAACATCTCCATTTTACTCCGTATGTCCGTGATTTTCAAACCTTTAAGCAAATCGGAATCATTTGAAAGGCTCGTTATAGCAAATTTCAGGGCCTTGTCCTCAGATTCATGTTTTAAAGGTCTGGAATGGGGCACAAACATTTAAATTACTGAGTTCCCGGGTAACGCTGATACTGCTGGTTCATGGGAGGCATTTGAGAATTACATCTCTCACTGTATTTTAATACTTCACTTTCACTTCCTTTTCAAATAAATATTGCCAACTGAAGAAAACGTCAAACTTTTAGAGAAATAGAGTTTGGCATGGCAGCAACTGTGGCAAAGCAGCTGCTGCTGCCAGTACAGCTGGAGACGTGAGCCCACGCTGGGGGCTGTCCATGGGCCCACACCCTCTCGATGAGTGGAAGTCCCGTTGGATCAGAGTAAGACGGACAGTAGCTTTGGTTGTGATTGTGGTGAGCCGGAGCCACCTGATCACTAACAAAAGACATCTGTTAACCAACAGCCGCCAGGGCTTTCTGGTGAAATATATAGCAACAAAGGAAGAAAAGAAACAAAATGGAAACAGTGCTTACCAGCACCTTAGAACAATGCTGCTCAGGGCCAGTCCAACACTGAATGTGTCTGCACTGTGAGGAGAATGTTCACAGAAGCCTGTTGCGTTGTGTGCATATTTATTCATATTTTTGTTAAATGTTAAATCATTTATCACAGTAAATCTGGGTGCATAGTACATAATTTCATTCCATTTGAGCTTCTTGAGTGTTTTATTTAAATGTCTGCAGAGCTGCTGCCCCTTTCTTGAACTATGAGTACTGCAATCTCTTAAATTCTCAATATGAGTAGAGCTTTTTGAGCTTTATATCTAAGGGGAACTGAACAAGCCTGTTTGGAAAATGCAATGAACATCAAGAAATCATCTTGCTGTGGAAGCATAATTATTTTTCTTCTGCCTGTATAAAAGATCTTTCCTTTTGATGTCAGTTTTCTTCCTTGTTTACACAAGTTCAACAATTCAAAAGGAAAACTTTTTTTTTCTGCTGTAGACGATGACTGTGATAAAAGAGAATCCATCAAGAAAATTCTCCTTACTGATCCCCAGAGTGTCAAAAATGCTCTACATGAAATCAAAATTATTAGAAGATTTGACATCGTGACATTGTGAAAGTGTTTGAAATTCCTAGTACCAGTGGAAGCCAATTAACAAACAATGTGAACTCTCTTACCAAACTTAACAGTATTTACATTTTTCAGAATTACATGGAGACAGACTTGGCTAATATGATGGAGGAGGGCCCTTTACTGGAAAAGCATGCCAGACTTTTCATGTATCAGCTGCTAACGTGGCTTAAGTATTCACTCTGCAAGTGTATTGCCCAGATATCTCAAACCAACTAATCTTTTCATTAATACTGAAGACATGATGCTGAAGATAGGGGACTTTTGTCTTGCACAAATCATGGATCCTCATTATTCCCATAAGGATCATCTCTCTGAAGGACTGGTAACTAAATGGTACAGATCTCCACATCTTTTACATTCTTCTAATAGTTATAGTAAAGCCATTGACATGTGGACTGCAGGCCACATCTTTGCTGAAATGCTGACTGGTAAAACCCTTTTTGCAGGTGCACGTGAACTCGAACAGATGCAGCTGATTTTAGAATCTAGTCCTGTTATACATGAGGAAGATCATCAGGAGCTTCTCAGTGTAATTCCAGTTTACATTAGAAATGAAATGACTGAACCACAGAAACCTTTAACTCAGCTGCTTCAGGGAATTAGCTGAGAAGCACTGGATCTCCTGGAACAAATTTTGACATTTATCCCTACAGATGGGTTAACAGCAGAAGAAGCGCTCTCCCATCATTACATGAGCATATATTATTTTCCAACGGATGAGCCAATTTCAAGTCATCTTTTTCATATTGAAGATGAAGTTTATGATATTTTGCTTATGGATGAAACTCACAGTCACATTTATAACTGGGAAAGGTATGATTGTTAGTTTTCAGTGCATGATTGGCCTATACATAACAACTTTGGTATTGATGAAGTTCTGCTTGACCTGAGAGCTCTGTCTGATATCACTGATGAAGAAGTACGAGTTGATCCCTGAAAATATTTGGATGGACATTCGGAAAAGCATAAAGTATCTGGAGGATCCAATTGCTCTACTGAGCCTTTTTGGCAGTACCCAGATCATCATAAAAACAAATAGGGATTTGAAGTGTAGTCATATTTGTAACTACAAAGCCAGGTCATCATCATATTTAGATAACTTAGTTTGGAGAGCGAGTGAAGTTAACCATTACTATGAACCCAAGGTTATTATAGATATTTCCAATCGGAAAGAATAAAGCAGAGAAAAATCTGATAAGAAAGGCAAGTGAAAATGTGAAAGGAATGGATTGGTTAAAGCCCAGATAGCGCTTGAGGAAGCCTCACAGCAACTGGTTGAAAAACAAAGGGAAAAAAATCAGGGGTTTGATTTTGATTCCTTTATTGCAGAAACTACTCAACCTAGTTCACAACATGAGCCTACTGATGTTGTTGAGAAATGAAATAACTCGAATAGGTCAAGGTCCCAACTAGAAATGAAAAATTTGATAACAAAGACAGTAAGCCAAGAAAAACAGAAAAAAGGAATGGCAAATTTGGCTCAGTTAGAAGTCTTGTACCAATCTTCTTGGGACAGCCAGTTTGTGAGTGGTGGGGAGAACTATTTTATCACAAATTAGTTTTGTTGTGAGGTAAGGAAGTGTGAAGGAGTTGAGGAGGACGACATTTACACTAGTTACTTAGACAAGTTATTTAACAGGAAAGAAGATACTGAAATACTAGAAACTGAGCTAGTAGAGGATGGGAAGCTTGGGGAGAGAGGAAATGAAGGATTTCTGAACAACAGTTTGGAGTTCCTCTTTAGCAAGCACCTCGAGTCCGTGGGCGTCCTGCAGCTTCGCAGTCCAGTTGGGTCACTACTTAAGTCAATACAGGCCACATTACCACCTTCTGCTATGGAATCTTCCCCTCAAATTCCTCATAAAACCTGCAGCAGCATTTTAAAACATGTGAACTAAAGCACTCAGCAAACATTTATCTTTGCATTCTTCATGAAATGTGTTTTGCCTTTATTTTATCACTAGTGTTTAAGTCATTTTTTACTTGAATCAGATGGTGTAATTTAGTAAGGATTAGCTCTTGGTTTTTAAAATCCAGACCTTATTTTCTACATATGAGGTAGTTTTCATTTTAACTGGCATGTCGTTTGCACACAAAAATAAGCAAAGAGCAAAATAATGCAATGCTAGAGGAGGCAAAAGAAATGCACTAAGACAAGTAAAAAACATCCTCTCGTAGAACAATGATCCGTTTTATAGGAAACAAATCTTACCTTGAAATTTACGCAGTGAGACTCTACATAATTGCCTGAAAATATCTATTTTTTCTAAAACATTTTTTATTCATGAATATTTTTTAAGTTTTTCACACTGTACACATTTCTTAAAACATATGATACCAGTAACAACTGAAAATGACTGCTGAATTGAGTACACATGTGTTATCTAGCTCAAGATAACAGAAGTATGTGGCAAAACATATACCACTCATAGTGCTTCACAATATGCACATCTATTTAGCCAGCATTTATTTTAGTAAACTATTCTTAATAAGACTCATTTACTGTTTATGAATATTCTGGTATGCATTCTTTATAGTGAAGTGTTAATATATCACATCTTATTTATTTTAGCAAATCAGTATATTTTCTGTATTTAATTATAAAAAGTAACTTAGTTTTTAAAATTTATTTGCAAATACACTTACTCCATCTGGCACTACAGCTTGTTGCCTACCTAACTGAATATATAATGTTAGCTCATCTTAAGCATGTCCATGTACTTAATTTACTTACGTGTTTATTTTAAGTAAACGATCACTGTATATAGGAATTTGTCTATGAAGAAATCACTGTATATAGGAATTTATCTATAAAGAAAAATTAGGAATTACTTTATTATAAATTACTCCTAGAAGTCTTGTGTTTATTTAAAAAGCTAATGTTAAAATTGTGTGTGTGGAAATAATTAAAGTCCATCATTATTGTAGTTTAAAAGTTGTATATGATACGACATTTTGATTTTACTGTATGTTTTTACTGAATGGTCTATTCCCCATCCCAAGGCAAACATGAATAAAATAAGATTAAATGTAGCATGTGGTATCACAGTCTCTTAGAATTTGTTTTGTCTATTTCATTGTATTGAATAGTCTGTATCTTTTGTTATCCTGTTTGAGGAAAAAGGACAAATAAAACATGGCCCACAAAAACAAAGCAAAGAAAAAAAGCTAGTTTTATCTGGAAGTCTTCCTGAGAATTATTCCTGAGGCCTACAGCCTAGGAGCAGTCCAAAAGAACCTCTCTAATGGGCTGGTTCTGTCAGAGGCATTTGAACCAAAGCAACTCCATCTTGAATAGGGGCTGGGTAAAATGAGACTGAGACCTACTGAGCTGCATTCTCAAATGATTAAGGCATTCTAAGTCACAGAATAAGATAGGAGGTCCGCACCAGATACAGGTCATAAAGATCCTGCTAAGACAACAGGTTGCAGTAAAGAAGCTGGCCTAAACCCACCAAAACCAAGATGGCGATGAGAGTGTCCTCTGGTGGCCCTCACTATTACACTCCCACCAGCGCCATGACAGTTTACAAATGCCATGGCCACATCAGGAAGTTACCCTATATGGTCTGAAAAAAGAAGGCATGAATAATCCACCCCTTGCTTGGCATATAATCAAGAAATAACCATAAAAATGGGCAACCAGCAGCTCTCGGGGCTGCTCTGTCTATGGAGTAGCCATTATTTTATTCCTCTACTTTCTTAATAAACTATCTGTCACTTTACTCTATGGATTCGCCCTGAATTCTTCCTTTTGTAAGATCCACAAACCCTCTCTTGGGGTATGAATTGAGACCCCTTTCCGGTAACATTTCCAGGCTGCAGGCCTCAGTCTATAGTCCTCAGTAGGACTTCTGAATAAAACCAACTTTAATTCTTCAAAAGCCCATTGTTTTTCTTTAGGCAACAGTATTTAATAAAGCTTTTTATGTTTTTAGAAGTCCTTATATTTTACTTTTCTTTGCTAAGTCAGACTTACTACCTGTCACTAAGTCCTCAAGGTCTTCTTATCCATTGCCCAAATCAATGGTCTCAGACATAAGGTTTTTCATTCAGCCAGTTATTTTTATAAAACAACCTTGTAGGCATGCAAAAATGTAAAAGTCTTACATTAAATATGCATTTTTTAATTATTAATATTGAAATATTAAGCAGGAGAATAAGGCAAAAATGTCAATTTGAAAATCATGTGTATATGTACCTCTGTGTATATGTCAGTTTCCAAATCTGGCCCTAATATAGTTTGACACCTCTCCCATTAAACCTGGGCTTTATTATTGCTCTTCAAAGATATACTTATGTGAAGCCAAATCAACTATTTAAATTGGTCAATTCAGTTCAATAGTCAATAAAGTTGATTAGCTAGTTCTATGAGGAACTGATTATTCCTGAGAATTTGTAATTTGATGGAGTGGTTTAATATCCTTTAAGGAACTTGTCTAATTGATACCTTCTTTATAGATTTTCTTTCCAAGGAGGAACAAAGCAAAGTGATTAATTTGTTGATCAGGGCCAATATATTACATTTAAAACATGATCTTTGACTTTCTTCTTTTTAAAGATAGGATCTCGCTGTGTCATCCAAGCTGGAGTGCAGTGGTGTGATCTTGGCTCACTGCAACCTCCTCCTTCTAGGCTCAAGCGATCCTCCCACCTCTCCCTCCTGAGTAGCTGGGAATAAAGGTGCACACCACCATGCCCAGCTAACATAATCTTGGACTTCCCTATCCACCACTTGCCCACTGTCACACAGATAATAAGTTAATTAATATATTTCTTCCAACTCTCTTGTCTAAATTATAATAATGATATTTAATAATTAATTCTAAGGATTATTAAAATATTAGGTTCTGATGATTAAAGGAGTAGATATAAAATGGTTAAGAAGATTCAATAAACAATAGGTAGTAGAAGAAAACCCCACATGATCAGAAAAGAGACTTTATTTTCTGTTTTTCACAATCTATTTGCTGATTGTAAGAAGGAAATATAGAAATTATTAAATACAGAAATGTATACATATGAAAATATCTGCAGTTGACTTCATTTATTTTTACAAATGTCAACTTTCTAGGCAGTTTTTGCATTTTAAAGATGTGCAATAAGAATGAAAAGTGTTTTAGATCAGGTTCCATAAAAGCAGAGTCTAAGTGAAGGATTCAAGTGCATACGATTTGTTGGAGGTGCGCTCCTCAGAATATAAGAGAGAATGTGAAGAAAAATTGGGAAGTGGGAGACAGCTGAGCAGGGATCTGGTCTCAGGTAAAACCTAGCCTTGGCTGTATCGACAGAGGGGCTACTATGGAGCATAAACCTTACTTGGAGGTTATCCCTGTTGAGGTCCTGGGCCAGCCTTTTATAACCCTACATCAGGCTGAGGGCTACAGATGCGATTGGACCCACTGGAGAGGCAGCTCCATTCAGCAGAAGACAAATCTCCAAAGAAACCCCTGTGGGATTTAGCAGCCGATAAGATGGTGAACAATAAGCTCCGGTGGGATCATGATTTATGTTCTTATAACTTTAATACAGTACCTTGTAGTGATGAGAGTTCAGTGCAGTGTTTAAGAGTGCAGATACTGAAGCAAATGCCTGAATTAAAATTCGGACTCTACCACTTACGGATTGTTAGGGGCAGGTTAATTAACCTTTCATGTCATACTTTTTTTGCAGATACAAAAATATAAATGATATTAGAATAATATTTAACATAAGGCAATTATAAAGGTTAAATAACATCATAATTATTATCAAAGATGTGGAATAAAAGGAACACATACACTGTTAGTGGAAATACAAATTAGTTCAGCCACTGTGGAAAGCAGTTTGAAGATTTCTTAAAAAAAAGCAATAAAATGGGACTACCATTAGGCCCAGCAATTCCTGGCTACCCTACCCAAAGGAAAATAAATTGTTCTACCAAAAAGACACTTGCACTTCTCTTTCATCACAGGGCTATTCACAATAGCAAGGATATGGAATTAACTTAGGTGCCCATCAGTGGTGGATTAGATAATGAAATGTGAGGCCGGGTACAGTGGCTCATGCTTGTAATCCCAGCACTTTGGGAGGCTGAGACCGGTGGATCATCTGAGGTCAAGAGTTTGAGACCAGCCTAACCAACATGGTGAAACACTATCTCTACTAAAAATACAAAAAAATTAGCCGGGGGTGTGTTGGTGCATGCCTGTATTCCCAGCTACTTGAGAGGCTGAGGAAGGAGAATCACTTGAACCTGGGAGGCGGAGGTTGCAGTGAGCCAAGATAGCGCCGCTGTACTCCATCCTGGGCAACAAGAGCATAACTCTATCTCAAAAAATAAAATAAAATAAAATGATAATAAAAATGCTGTACATATACACCATGGAATACTACACAGCCATAAAAAAGAATGAAATCATGTCCTTTGCAGCAACATGGATGCAGCTGGAGGCCATCTTCCACTCAGTGTTTAGCTCCTGCTTATAAGCAAGAACATGTGGTATTTGCTTAAGTAAATTAATGCAAGAACAGACAAGCAAATACCACATGTTCTCCCTTATAGGCAGGAGCTAAACAATGAATACATGAACAGAAAGATGGGAACAGTAGACTCTGGGCACTACTAACTGGGGAGAGAGAGAGATGAGGGTTGAAAATTACCTATTGGGCACCATGCCCACTACCTGGGTGACAGGATCATTCCTTCCCCAAATGCCAGCAACACACAATATACCCATGTAACAAACCTACACATGTACCCTCTGAATCCAAAATAAAACTTGAAAAAATAGGCCAAGTGTGTTGGCTCATGCCTATAATCCCAGCACTTTGGGAGGCCGAGGCGGGCAGATCACGAGGTCAGGAGATCAAGACCATCCTGGCCAACATGGTGAAACCCCATCCCTACTAAAATACAAAAAATTAGCCAGGCATGGTGGTGCGCAGCTACTAGGGAGGCTGACACAGGGGAACCACTCGAACTTGGAGGCAGAGATTGCAGTGAGCCAAGATCACGCCACTACACTCCAGCCCATTGACAGAATGAGACTCCATCTCAAAAAAAAAAAAAAAAAAAAAGGCAAAAAAACTTAAAAAAATAAGTAAATAGAATAAAATAAAAACAAACCAAAACAAATGTTGATTGTAATAATTAAAAGACAAAAATATCTTTCACTTTTCTCTGTAGAGAAATGTCACATGAGTTATTCAAAGAAAACAGCTAGATGAAAGGAAAACAATACTACAGAGTAGTATCTGGTAAGTTGATTCATATAAAGAGTGTATCACTTTTAAAAATTTCATAATATATGCAGTATGCGTCAACATTTAAAATTTTTTAATTTTTCTTTTCCCTACTTGAAATAACTATTTATGTATAGAGGCAACTTGGCATTTTATCTTAAATAGCCCCCTCTCAATCAAATTAGCTTGAGGCCCCATGAAAGCCGTAGGCATCCTTGAACTTCTAATTGATTCCTCTTCCTATATTCTCACTGCATTTAGTATTTTCTCTGTTTGCCCCCACTTTATAAAATCCATTGCTTTCCAACTACATACATGTGATGCATTTTGTAGTAATTCAAAAAATATTTTTGGTATGAAAGAATGAATTATTTAATTAAAGTATGCATTATTTTGTAAACATTGGCTTTTCTCTCTAGCCTATTAGACTGGTTGCCTGTTAAGGGCTTTTTGGAACAAATTTACCTTAAACATACTATTAGGTGTTTGATAAATATTTAATTAATTAGAGAACAATTAATGGATTAATAAACCTATAAATCACGAAGTTAAAAAGAATTCAAAACTGTGTTTGTCCTCAGTTAAACAGTACATGATTATTTTCAATTATCATTTTGCTTTTAGTATTCATAAACATATGTGAAACTATAGGTCAATAAAGAGAAAGTGAATTCAGTATTTCTCACTCCCACCAAAAAATATTAAGGCAATACTGAACAGGTGTTCATGAAAACTGGTTTACAGTTTGCTTTTGCATGCTGGTAAATGTTACCTCAAAGAAAGCATAAAACTTGTGCTTCTTCATGCCTGAATTCTTTGATTAAATTATACTGGTGAGATTTATCTTTGTAAACAGTTTGTAGCACTTCATTATTATTTATTGCTAAATATTATTCCATTGGGTGATTTATCCCAATTTACTTTTTAAAAGATAAATTATTTTAATGGGAACTTGGTCCATTGAGTTTTTACATTAATTTTTAAATTGATACCTAATATAGATCTAATTTACTTTCACATTGTGTCATCCACAGATATTTGTGTTGTTTCCAGGTTTTAGTCATAATAATTAAGTTACACAGAACTTCCTTATACGTATTTCATGGTGCAGATGAGCATACTTTTATGAATATATATTTGTTCAATTTCAGTAGATATTCCTAAACTTTTTAGAGATTTTTAAAAAGTAGTTATAGTAATTTAATTTACTGTTTCATCAAAGATCTATTGATCCACATTCTCATAAATTATTTATTTTTTAAATCTTTGTAATTTTATTCGTAATTGTAGGTGCATAGCATTTTTTAAAGTTTAATTTCCTGATAAGTAATGATGGTGAGGCCCTTTTTGTATTGGACTTTAAAATATTTTCTTTTTAAATGTAGTGGATGAGATCTCTTGTTGATTTTCATTTATTTTACATATACAGTTGTATATCTGTATATTGTATTGATAATATTTTAATTAAGTTGCTAATGTATATTCCAAAAAATGGTTTTTATTTTTAGTATCTTCTTGGTTTTTTGATGATGTTTTTAATATTAATAGTTTAGTTCACTAATCACTACATTTTTGATAAGCGCTTTCATGCCTTTTGGTTAAAAAACTATCCACAGGGCAAAAATATATTTTTATTGATTATGATACACAATTAAGATATACAACTTAGATTTGAACTTGAACATACAATTCACTTAGAATAGAATTTTGTGCAGACAGAAAAAAGGTGTCATTTCATTTTTTCTATATATGAATAGTGAATAACTCAGTACCAATTTTTAAAAAGTAGTCCATCTTCTTGTCTAGTTAATGATTTATTTCATTATCACACCTTAATTTATGCAATGTTAATTACTTCAGATTTATAATAATTCCTGATATTTGGAGGAGCAAATATTTTGTTTTCTCTTCTTCAAAATTATTTTGGTCATTCTCACTTCTTTTCTTCACATATACATTTTACAATCTACTTGTTAGAGTTTTGGTTAAGAATGATTGACCTCTTAGATTAATTTGGGGACAATGCAAATCATTCTAATTCTAAGTCTCTCCATCTGTATACATGAGGTCTTTCTTGTTAACTAAATTTTTTTTATTTTATAATTTTCCTCAGCTTTATAATTTTGTTACATGTGCCTTTCACATTTTGTTGAATATTTTTCTAGGTGTTTTATATATTTTCCTGAAATTAAAATATATATCTATTTACATTGCCAAGTTGTTTATAGAAACTTAGTAGAATTTTTTTATAGTGATCTTGTATCCTGAAAGGTTTCTAAACTCAGTTTTATGACTCTAAATTTACTGATAAATCCTTTTGAATGTTCTACATTTTTACTTTCTATGTCCTCTTGAAAAATCTGAGCTTTCTTTTTATATTATTTCTTCCTTTTGCATTACTACATTGTCTGGGAGCTTCCATTTAGTATTAAACCAAAGTTATGATATTTGGGATCTTTGTCTTTATTATTTTTTCTTGGCATGTATCACTGTCATCTTTTTAAAAACAAAAATTTGATTTTATTTTTTCTAGTATACTATTTCATTATTTCTAGTATACTATTTCATTAATTTTTGTGTTTATCTTATTACTTTCTTTCTTTTACAAATTTTCCTAACTTCTTCATATGGACCTTCGTTCAATAACTTAAAACCTTTCTTTTTTTTTTTTTGAGACGGAGTCTTGCCCTTGTTGCCCAGGCTGGAGTGCAATGGCATGACCTTGGCTCACCGCAACCTCCGCCTCCCGGGTTCAAGCAATTCTCCTGCCTCGCCCTCCCGAGTACCTGGGATTACAGGAATGTGCCACCACACCTGGCTAATTTTGTATTTTTAGTAGAGACAGGGTTTCTCCAGGTTGGTCAGGCTGGTCTCAAACTCCCGACCTCAGGTGACCGCCCACGTAGGCCTCCCAAAGTGCTGGGATTACAAGCGTGAGCCACCATGCCCGGCCGTATTTTTAAAAAGAATATTGATCTGCTGATGTTCCATCTGTTTCTCCATGTAGCTTTGCTTTAAATCTGTGAAGTTATGTTAATTGGAAAATGAAAATTTAGAATGTTAAATATCGTTGTATGTGGTATTATAATATTAATTTGTGAGAAAGTCCATCATTCCTAAATGTGCTAGGGTTGATGGAGCTGTATAGTAATTGGTATTTTTATTATATTTCTAAGCCCTACACTAAACTTGGGACACTTTATCTCCATTATCCTCATCCTTGCAAATAACCTATTATGTTCTATATTTTGATTAAATATACAATTTAAGTCCCATGGTAGTCTTATTATTTACATCGTCATACTGATTTATGTATACATAAATTATATATAGGTATAGATAAATATACCTATATATAATTTATATAAATATAATGTGAACACATACATTTATAAAATATATAAATATGTTTTACATATTTATATATAAATATATGTTTTACATATTTATATATATATGTTTTACATATTTATATATATATGTTTTACATATATATATAAATATATGTTTTACATATTTATATATAAATATATATAATATACACATATAATATTTCTCTAAGATTGTATATTTTATGTGTTTGCTATGAAAATAATCTATAAGTTCATTTTTTTAAATATTTAATGGAGATCATTGGATTTCTTAATTTTATAGGTTGGTATTTTTCATGAATTTTTCAAAACTTAAGCTATTAAGCTATTATCACTTAATATATTACTTTCATCACATCCTTTATTTTGTTTCTTTCTTTTTTTTTTTTTTTTTTGGGACGGAGTCTCGCTCTGTCGCCAGGCTGGAGTGCAGTTGCAGGACCTCAGCTCTCTGCAACCTCTGCCTCCCAGGTTCAAGCGATTCCCCTGCCTCAGCCTCCTGAGTAGCTGGGACTACAGGCGCGTACCATCACGTTTGGCTAATTTTTTATATTTTAGTAGAGACAGGGTTTCGCCATGTTGACCAGGCTGGTCTCGATCTCCTGACCTCGTGATCTGCCCGCCGAGGCCTCCCCAAGTGCTGGGTTTACAGGCGTGAGCCACCACACTTGGCCCTTTATTTTGTTTCTTATTGGGAATCCAATTGCATATATGTTGTCTTCTGTAACTCAACGTCTATTAATTTCTATCCTATCATTCAAGAATCAGCTCAAAATCCACTATGTGAAAAATGTTCCTCATATTCTCATTTATAGAAAACTTTTAATCTAATATAGCATCTTGTTTATTTTTTTATTTGCCAGTTATTAGTTCCCAATCCAACATCAGTTGTAGGAGGAAAAAAAATTATGTTTTGTTTTTTAGCTTATTGGGAGAGCCTAAGAAAGTACTGCTTAAACATCACTAAATAAATATAGCTTGGATAATATTTTAGATCAAAAAGGCAATAAAATACTGTATACTTCAAGAGACAATTTTAAATTCCAGTTCTACCACTTAATAAATTTTGTTATTAGCAAATCACTTATTGTTTGGGCTCTAGTTTCTTTATCTGTAAAAGTAAGATTAATAATAACTACATCAATTATTGTGGTAAGTTTCACATTAACTGACATTCATGTATTATTCAATAAAATTTTTGAAACATAGATAAGGCTTTATGTAATTGTATCCAGCACTAGAATAATATCAGACAAGCATACATTGACAAAATTGTCATTTAATAAATTTTGAGATATAATCAATATCTATATCCCTGTCTTAAACTTGTAGGTTATTTTTAGAAAGATTAGTTTTAACAAGCTCACCAAATTATTATATCCATTACAGATGATAAAATATAACAACAGACTTATTTTGAAAAGTTTAATCTTGGCAGTTTCATAAGCTGGATTACACCTTTACAAGTGTATGCCTTTGTGATAGGCAGCTCAGTAACATGTTTCAAGCTTGTATCTATTTTCTTGTCACAAACATCATCATTCTAAGCAGCCTTTTTTTTTCAGTAGTGTTCCAAGAGTTATTTTTGAGGTCAAAATAATAGTATTCAGAGATTTGAAACTGTATTAGAACCCAAAAGCTCTGTTACCTTTATCGATTTCTGTAGAGTAAAAATTCTGTAAAGCAAGACTCAAGTTGCCATTATAACTAGACTATTCTTCAGCATTTTCTTGGTGGTTGCCTTGTAAAGAATAGAAAGTTTGGCACAATAGAGATGAGGGAAAAAAGCTTGTGATTATAATAATGCAAGTTATTATCAGTGTCAGGATAGCAGCAATAAAAATACGCCATAGGGAAAAAATGAGCCAGTGATGGCATTTATCAGCTCAATAAGCATGAAAATCCTAGTTGTTTTAATGACATATTTTAACACAAACATGAAACATATTTTGTGGTGGCAATCTTAATTAATTTGTTTGGTCAGGCTGTATTCCGTTCCAAATTTAAAAATAATAGCAATTAGAATACTTAAAATTAATTGTGATAGTTAACATTATTTGCTACCCATTTACAAATGCCAACTATTGTAATCACGGGATTCCTTCCTTGCTAATATAGCCATGCTGAGAAATTCCATATACTACAATTTTGATGATCTCATGACTAGGGGTCCCCAACACTTGGGCCATGAACCATTACTGGTTTTTGGCTTGTTAGTAACCTAGCCGCACAGCAGGAGGTGAGTGGCCGTTGCGCATTTCTGCCTGAGCTCCGCCTCCTGTAGCCCTGGCATTAGATACTCATAGGAGCACAAACCCTACTGTGAACTGCACATGCGAAGGATCTAGGTTGCGCACTCCTTATGAGTATCTAATGCCGGTAATGCCTGATGATCTGAGGTGGGACAGTTTCATCCTGAAACCATCCCCTCCTCCACACTCCCTATCCATGGAAAAATTATCTTCTATGAAACTGGTCCCTGGCGCCAAACAAGTTGAGGACTGCTGCTCATGAGTGATTGAACATATTGTGCATTGTACATATACTATAGTATATGTGGCATGTATATTTATATATGCCCATGCTGATAGCTACTGTTTGAGTCTGATAGACAACAGTTTTAATTAAACTGTCCTATGCCTATCAGCCATGACTTGGTCATGAATGCCTATCAGTGGGATATGTTCTGAATTTGAAAAACCATGCAGTTCAGAATTGGTTTAAAGTATGTTTTAAAAAAAGCCAGAAAAGTCAAAAGTATTTTTCGCTGATTATTTTAGGAAATAGTTGTCAGTAAAATCACTAAAATCTCTTTCAATAACCATTCAGTAAAAGATAAAATTAAACCATTGTCCATATAATCACAGCCTTATTGACCAATTAATGATTCCAATCTGACAGCAACTGAGACAAAATTTTACCTTTATTTAATCACTCCTTGCCTGAAACATATTTCCATATTTATCCATCTGAATTTTAAGTTCCATAACAAGTATTGTTTTCCCTTTTCCTATGGATACCCGAACATAGCGCCTTGCCATGAAATTGTATTTTCTAAAGCATTTTTGTTTGATTTTATTGTTTTAGTAGAATAATTTATATTTTCCATGCCTCTTTATTTTAAATTCTAACCAAGGCTATTAAAACACAAATTGAAAATGTTACCTATTTTTATAATCTTAAATCCTAAATTACCAATTTTTAAATTATGATTTCTTTCTCCTACATAAATGAATTAATAGAAGACCTAACACCTTAAAAAAAAAAAAAAAAAACATAAGGGCCAATTAGCCGACCACAGTTACAGTTACAATCTGCCCCAGTGCTTTATTTCTCAAATCCTTTGAACTTTTTGATCGTCCTCATCTTAATTAGTTTGGGTTACTTTAACAACTTTCCACAAACTGGGTGGCTTAAACAACAAACATTTATTTCTTGCAGTTTTGGAAGCTGGGAAATTCTTGATCAAGGTGCACACAGATCCAATGTCTGATGAGGGCCCATTCGCCGACTTACAGAGGGATATCTTCTCATTGTATCCTCATATGGCCGAGAACACAGAGACAGAGACAGAGAAAGAGAGAGAGTGCATGAGCGCTCATGTTTCTTATACAGGCACTCATCCCATTCACAAGGGCTACACTCTTATGACCTAATCACCTCCCAAAGGACCCAGCTCCTTGTACCATCACTTTAATGGTGAAGATTTCAACATAGGGCCTCAGAGGGGACATGGACATTCAGTCTGTAACACTTGTGTCGGTGTCCACTCTTGTACAGTGCCTTCCATGTTCTTTCTCTCCCTAGTATGCCGAATCTGGAAAGACAAAACTAAGAACTAATCAGGCATTTTATTGCATGAGAACTTCCTCTAGGCATGTCTCTGCTGCTTTTGCTCTCAGAGATCCACTTTTTCTCATGGGAATAATTTTCCTTTTCTCAAAAGTTTGTCTTTTCTATAAAGCTATTCTGCTGAGGCTTCTGATTTCTCAAGGATCACAGGCTTCTCTAATATCCCTTTTTTGTCATTCTCCAATCATGCCTCTATTTCCACAGAACAGTGCAATTTCTAAAGAATGAAATTGAGAGTATTAGACATTTTATACACCATACACACAAAAAATAATGATTTCTGGGACTCACTAAGAATCATGGGTCTAATTCACGGTGAAATTCAGGACCCAGCTGCCACTGCTGGTAAGGGACAATTGTTCAATGTTAAGGTGTTTTGTGATCTCTTAGTGAGTTGGGAGTATTTACACCATGTGAATGCTACAAATAAGGATGCCTGTACGCATCACTCAGAACTAGTTGTTGAACCATCAATGACCTTGGGACATGAGCCAGGCTACTTAGTATAGAAAATTTAAAATTCCTAGAAGTCCTTTAACTTAGCTGAGCAGGTATATGAGGCAATACCAAAATTCTTTATAAGGTCTTAAAAACAGGTCTTAGAGTCTCAAAGTTAATTAAATCATTACACAAAGACCCAATTCTTTCTTTGGACATCTTTCCTCCCACCCCCACCCTCATTGAAAGGCTGGGGAGAAGAAACAATTTTATTTTTCAACCCAAAAGGTCCTATTTGCAACTGAGAGGGTGCCAGCCGACACTTTGTTCATTCTGCCAGGACAGTCCTCAGTGAGATTCACAAGCAATTTAATAAATATTCAATTTTTCCAAGTTACTGAAGGAAAATTTTTTTCCAAATTTCTGCCAATACCACACAGGTGCTGCTTTTTATCTAACCCTGAATAACAATTTTCTCAGTCCACTGCCAGCCTCTACCTACAGTCTTGTCAGTGACCTTTCAATCTCCACCTGCCACATAATCCCAAAGCCAGTGCCACACATTTTATTCCTACAGCAGCATCCTAACTTCAGTACCAATTTTAGTCATCCATTGTGTGAAAATCAACTCAATACCTTAGTGACTTAGAGCAACAGTACTTTATTACTTCTCATGATTCTGTGTGTTGGCTGAGTGATTCTCTGGTGGTTTTATGTGGTCCCAGGTGTGAAGGTTAATACTGAGTGTCAACTTGATTGGATTGAAGGACACAAAGTATTGATCCTGGGTGTGTCTTTGAGGGTATTGCCGAAAGAGATTAACATCTGAGTCAGTGGGCTGTAGAAGGCAGATCCACCGTTAATCTGGTGGGCACAATTTAATCAGCTGCCAGATAATATAAAGCAGGCAGAAAAATGTGAAAAGGAGAGATGGGCCTAGCCTCCCAGCCTACATCTTTCTCCCGTGGTGGATATTTCCTGCCCTTGAACACTGGACTCCAACTTCTTCAGGTTTGGAACTCGTGCTGGCTCTCCTTGCTCCTCAGTTTGCACACAGCCTATTGTGGGACCTTGTGATCGTGTAAGTTAATACTTACAAACTCCCATTTATATATATATATATGTGTGTGTGTGTGTGTGTGTGTGTGTGTGTGTATTATATACAAATTATATATATATGTGTATATCATATACAGATTTTATATATATGATGTTCTGTCCCTCTAAAAGAACCCTAATACACCGGTAGGTATGTGGCTAAATTCAGCTAGGAGTTTGGCTGGGATGAAAGGTTCAAGGTGGTTTTATTCACATCTTTAGCAGTTGGTGCTGCCGGTTAGCAGGTGTGCCTTGGTTTTCTTCCATGTGACTTTCATTGTCTAATACAAGGTTCAGCATTTTTTTCCCCATAAAGAGCCAGATGGTAAATATTGTAAGTTTTGGGGGCCATAGGGTCCACAAAATCATTGTAATGTGAAAGCAGCCATAGAAAATGTACAAACAAATTGATTGCAGCTATGTTTCAACAAAAATTTATAAAAACAGGAAGTTCTAGACTTAACGTGTTTCCTCAACATTTATATGTTGCTATGGTACTTAACTCACAATGTAGCGGTATCAGGAGGTGGAAACTTTAGGAGGTGATTAGGTCCTGTGGGTGCAGCGCTCATGAGTTTGTTTTACAAGAAGATACTACAGAGAGCTTCCTTATCCTTCTGCTATGTGAGGACAGAGTAGGACAATCATCTATGCATCAGGAAGTGGGTTTCACCACATACAGAATCTGCCAGCACTTTGATCTTGGACTCTCCAGCTTCCAGAGCTGTGAGAAATATTTGTTCTTTAAGCCACTTTCTCTTTGGTAGTTTGTTATTGAAGCCGAAACTCACAAAGAAACTAAGACAGGTAGCAAGCCAGATTTGGCCAATGGGCTGTATGTTTCTTCTCTCTGCTCTAGCAGACTACTGGGACCTTGCTTATGGTTTGGGGGCAGCATTCCAAGAGAAAAAGCCCTGATGCCAAATTCCTTTTTAAGCTTTCTTTATATAACACAAGATCCCATTGCTTCTCTCTCTCTCTGTCTCTGTCTCTCTCTATCTGTCTCTGTGTGTGTATGTGTGTGTGTGACATACTACTATTCATACTTTTTTTTTTTGAGACGGAGTTTCGTTCTTGTCACCCAGGCTGGAGTGCAATGGTGCGATTTCCACTCACTGCAACCCCCACCTCCTGGGTTCTAGCCATTCTCTAGCCTCAGCCTTCCGAGTAGCTGGGATTACGGGCACGCCACCATCATGCCTGGCTAATTTTTGTATTTTTAGTAGAGACAGGATTTCACTGTGTTGGCCAGGCTGCTCTCGAACTCCTGACCTCAGGTGATCCGCCCGCTTCGGCCTCCCAAAGTGCCGGATTACAGGCATGAGCCACCGTGCCCAGCCTACGCATACTATTATATAGAGCACCAAAAGTTCTGAATAACTTACTGTCACTCTTCACTGGCAAAAATCTAATCAGCACGTCCTGCACATGTATCCTGGACATTAAATAAAATAAAATATTAAAGTAAATCTCAATATTATGCCTACTATAAAATCAAAATTGTGCCCCATTAAATCTTCAGGCTTTTTTCTAATTTTTATGTGAAAATAATAATATATTATTTTTATTATTTCCTATGAGACGAGTTGGCAAGCTCTTTTTGCAAACAACTAAGGAATAAATATTTTAAGATTTACAGGACTTACATTCTCTGTTGCACATTTATATTTCTTTTTGTTTTTACACTTTATAACCCTTTGTAAATGTAAAAACCATGCTCATTTCTTAGGCTATACAAAATCACGTTACAGACTGAATGTACTTTATGGACTATAGTTTGCCAACCCCTATAAAAATTAACAGTAATTTTAATCCATATTTTTAGTTTCCTCAGGTTAGCTCAACAAAGAAAGGCCAGTAGCCTCATTATTATAAATAAATAAATATATACATATAATAAGGAGGCTATACACTTTATATATATACACACATAAATACATACATTTGTTTTAATAAATATATAATACACATATAATATTTATATTACATTGTTATAACAAGGTTATATATACTATATATGCACATAATGCGTATATATACACATATAAATGCATACATATATGTATGTATTTACATGTATATGTATGTATTTTCATATATGTAAAAGAAAGGTCAGTTGCTTCCTTTCATAAATATACGTATATGTATACATACAAAACATATGTATATGTATTTATGATAAGGAAGCGACTGGCCTTTCTTTTTTGAGCTAAATTGAGGTATCTAGAAATGTGGATTAAAATGACTGTTAATTTTTATAGGGGTTGGCAAACTAGAGTCTGTAAAGTACATTCAGTCTGCAGCCTGGTTTTGTATAGCCTAAGAACTGAGAATGGTTTTTACATTTACAAAGGGTTATATAGTATAAAAACGAAAAGAAAGATAAATATGCAACAGAGATCATATGTTGTGTGTATATAAAATATACATATATATATATATTCAATTTTTTCTTTACTTAAACTCAATGTCTTATTCCATTTAGGCTGCTAGAACAAATTACCATAAGTTGGGCAACTTATAACCAACAGGAATTTATTTTTCACGTTTAGGGGGTCTGGGAGGTTCAAGATCACAATGCCAGTAGATTTGGCATCTGGTGAGGGCCTATACCCTGCTTCATCTCACGTGCTTTCTTCCCTGTATTCTCACATGGTGGAAGGACAAGATATCTCTCAGGATCTTCTTTTGTAAGGGTACTAAACCCACCCATGAGAGCTTAACCCTCAGGACCTAATCAGCTCCCAAAAGCCCCAGTTTCTAGTGTCATTACCATGAAGGTTAGGTTTCAACACATGAATTTTGGGGGAAAAAACATACAGACCATAGTACTCAGGATAAATGTTTTCTGGTAAGGTTAGTTTACAGAATAAGTTCATTAAATAATTATCCATTTAAAATGTTAGATTTTACCTTAAATTGGCATGTGGAAAGTGGCAACTTTAGATTTGTTTTGAGAATGAAATAGTTATATGCTATGACTGCTCTTACTACATTTCAGAGTCATGTATACACATATAAAATTACATATAAATAGCTATGCTATAAAATACTAAGATTTAAAATCAATAATGTAAGTTTCACCTTTAGAAACTAGAAATATACAATCAAATTGTGCTTAAAGTTAAAAGATAATAAATATTAAATATATAATTTGAAAATAAACTGTAAAACAAACAAGAAAAATTGTTAAAAACTTAGTTTTTAAAAAGAAAATTAAAATTAATATACCTGAGTAATATTATTCAGATTTAAAAGAAGGAGAAAAAGTAAATTTCCAAAATCAGAAGTGAATGCTTAATTGTCCCAAAATAACATACATTTTAAATAACCAAGAATAAAACACACACATGCACATGATATTGTGCCAATAAATTCAACATCTTTCAGGAATAGATGAATTCATTAAAAAGCACAACTAACCAACAATAACATAACAGAACATAAAAATTTAAATGGGACATTGTCTATTACATAAATTTGATTTTATGATCAAAACCTTTCCAGTAAGAAAAATCCAGGTATGATAAACTTACTGTTGAATGCTACCCAACCTTTAAGAAAAAAGTAATCAATCCTCCTGAACGTTTTCAGAAAAATGAGAAAAAAGGTATAATTACTAAGTAATTTTATTGAGGCAAGCATGACTCTAGAAACAAAACAAAATGTTACAAGAAAAACAAATTATATACCAATATCTTCCATGAACATTGATGCAACAGTCTTTGGCAAAACATTACCAACTCTGTTTCTGTAATATACAGAAGGTAATACACCAAGACCATGTCCATTTTATTACGTTGGTTCATAATTGGTTTAATAATCAAAAAGACAGTATAACTGAGCACATTAAGGAAAACTTGGATAAAAATAATATAATTATCTCAATAGGAGAAGTACAACAAAAAGTCAGTAACGGAATCCATTTATAATTAAAAAATTAAAAACTCAGCAAACCAAGAATAGAAAGACCATTATCAATCTGAATAAAAGGTGAAAACATATATCCATAACCATACTTAGGTTTAAAATTTCAAACTTTTCCTGTAAGTTGAGCACATAGCAAAGATGTCTGCTCTGACCTAATCTGGTAACATTTTATTGGAAGTCATAGTCAGTGCAATTTAACAAAACAAAAAGTAAAAAGGAAGAAACACAACTGCCTCTCTGCACAGAATCTATGTTGGATATACTAAAAATACTTAAAAAAAAAAACAAAAAATCTTGTAGTGAATTTCACTTATCTGCTGTGTACATGTTGAACATAAAAAAACATTAAATTTATGTAAATATTATATTACATTAAATTCTGTAAATATAAATATACCTTTGGAATGTACATTTTAGATTGTAAAATTGCACTTATAAGGCAAATAAAAAACCTTTGTATATATGTTCAAATGATTTTTGATAGCAGTGCCAAGCCTATTCAATGGGGAAATAAAATTCTTCTCAACAATTGTTAGGAATACTGATATCCACATGCAAAAAAAAAAAAAAAAAAAGCTGGACTCTTACTTTACACTGTTTTAAAAAAATAACTAAAATTTAATCAAAGTCCTAAGCATAAAACCTAAAACTATAAAACCCTTGGAAGAAAATATAGGGAAAGGTCTTATGGCATTTGATTTGGCAATGATTTATTTAATATGACACCAAAAACATAGGCAACAGAAGTAAAACTAGACAATATCCAAATTGTAAACGTCTATGCATCTAAGGACACAATGAACAGAGTGAGAGGCAGCCTACAGAATGGTATAAAATATTTGCAAACCGTGTATTTATAAAGGGGCTAAAATCTAGAATATATAAAGAACTCCTTTAACTCAACAACAACAAAAAACAAATAACCTAATTTTAAAAATGAGGAAGGGATGTTATAATGATACCTCAATGTTTTAACATAAAATGAACACGAGTCTCTTCTAAACTATTTTTCTCCTAAATTTTAATATCTCTAAGTCGTCTACACAATTACTCAAGTAAGTCAATTAAAAGCAATTCTTGATTTTTTTCATTTCTTCCACTCATGTTCAATTTGTAAAAATATCTTACATATACATATAGAGAAAAAAAGTGACAGAGGAAAAGAGAGACGGGGGAAGAGGGACAAATATGTCTGTTTATGTATATAAAATAATACATATATCTCAGTTTCTATCAAGCAATGTTTATAGATAATCAAGATGCATTCTAGTAAAAAGCACAAAATATTTAATAATATTACTTAATATATTTTATTTTCAGTGAATTAAATGTGATATATTTTTAAAATTAAGTTGAAAATTTAAGTACCACGCAGGCACTAACAATAATCAGCCATGTTAAAATGTAATTTCACTGATTATTCACATTTTTAGATGAGGAATCAAAACCATATGGCATGCTTTCCTCACAATTCCATAGATATGCAAATATATCTGTACCTTCATATCTCCAGCACAGAAATTATCTATGTAGAATCATCTAATTCTAGATTAATGTAGTGATAGGCTTCTGTTTTCTTAACAAATGCAATATACTAGGCAATTCTGCATACTTCTAGCTCTCATGGTAGCTAGAAGGCATTTCATATGAAAGTAAAACTTTAAAATATTGTGGCAATATGTGAAGCAAGGTAATTACTGCTCAATAATGCAGAAAATAATTTCTATTACCGGCATAAATTCTAGACTAGCACCTGAAGCTGATTTTTTCGCCCTCTAAAATATTAGTACG
The DNA here is from genome assembly GCF_000001405.40 of Homo sapiens. Taxonomy (NCBI): domain Eukaryota; kingdom Metazoa; phylum Chordata; class Mammalia; order Primates; family Hominidae; genus Homo; species Homo sapiens. Next base: position 22,416,483 of record NC_000021.9, on the reverse strand, counting down.
GTTTACACATTAGGCTTTGGTCAAATAGCATTAAGAAAATTGCTGGGCTTCAAAACATAAAAATAGATTTAATTTACACCCGTGTAACATGCCCTGTATGTTTTCTTCTGTTTAGTATGGTTGAGAACATGAAGCTATGCAATTATCCTGTACAACCATTTTTATGGACTCAAATTGCATATAAAAAGTTAACTTTTTCTGAAATTTAATTACAGGTTTATAAAAAGGAGAAGTTCAATTCCTATTTGGTATATATTTTGGTTTCATTTTTTATATAAGGAGTTAATGTTTCTCACAGAATTAGCAAGAAAAATTATTAAACTGAAATGATGTATTGAAATTACAAACCTAATATATATAAAATAATTTCAGAATATGTTGTTTAAACTAAAAGCTTTTTTGTAGTTGTGAATCACATAATTTTGCAGAAAAAAAAGAAAAATTTTTAGTTTCAGCTTTCAACTGCGCTATCATTAATTCGCAGAAACACTTAACACACACTTAAGTACTCATACTTAATCTTTTCAAATGTTCATACCTCCATGAAATGAACACTCTAATAATCATTTGTTATTTCAATTTCTCCTTTGGGCACTATAAAGATACTTCCAAATGGTTTCACTTTTATTCCCCCATTATATGATCACTTTAAGGAGATAAGAGTGCACAAACTAACTAATTTAGGGGTATAGAAAATTTGGGTTTCTCTCTGGTAAACAGCTGTAAAAATATATATTAGCTTGAAAATGAACTTTAAGTCATAGTGAAGATATGAATTAGAAAATATCCCATGTAAGAAAATTAAATTGACTTTGAGCAAAATTTCAGGAATTACTGATTTTTAAAGGGCTTTTCTATATATGTTTAAATACTTTTTTATAAACCAGGCACAGAAAGATAAATATCACATGTTCTCACTTATTTGTGATATATAAAAATCAATTCATTTGATAGAAAGTAGAAAAACGGTTACCAGAGGCTAGGAAGGGTAGTTTTTGGGGAGAAGGGGTGTGTGAGGGAATGGTAGAGATGGGTAATGAGTACAAAAAATGATAGTTAGAATAAATAAGACGTATTATTTGATAGCACAATAGGGTGACTATAGTCAATAATACTTCAATCATAAATTTTAAAATAACTAAAAGAGCGTAATTAGATTGTTTGTAACACAAAGAATAAACGCTTGAGAGGATGGATACCACATTCTCTATGATATAATCATTATGCATTCCATGTCTGTACCAAAACATGTCACATACTCCATAAATATATACACCTACAATGTACCCATAAAAATTAAAATAAATAAATATATCTTCAAAATTTATAAATGAAAGTAAAATTAACTTTAAACCCAGCATTTTAAATAGAAGAATCAGAACATTACACTGCTGCTTCTTATACTTTTTCTCAGTTGGCAACTTATTTACCACCTTGTACAATAGCCATTCTGAACTTCCTGAATCTGTCAAATCAAATTATCCTGATTTTTTTATGGTTAACAGATTTCTAATTCCTGGTCTGGTAACAGCATAACATCTTCAATGCTGGGACAACAAACTACTAAATGGAATGCAATAAATGCCTGTAGCAAATGAAGTAAAGAGAGATGTTAGGTGAATACTAGTGAATAGCAGATAATCTTTAAAACAAATATACAAGAGTCTTAAAACTTTTTGCTTTGTAAACACTAGGTGTATTGTCTTTATATTCAGAAAAGGGACTAACCTCTCATGGCATAGGAAACAAGTAATTGTTCACTTACAATATTCTACCATGTTTTTGGTTAATGTCAAATTTCATGACTTGTCATAAAAACAAATTTAATGGTTAAAGTCCATCTGAATTTCTAAACTACTTGTAATGCACCTATATTCTTATAAGTAAAGGTCAACTCATGAGATACCACAGTGTAAATTTTTTGACAAAGATTATGGAAACTATCTGACTTTCAAATTATATTTTATTTATTAAAAATATTCATCTGTTAATCTGTTCTCATGCTGCTAATAAAGACATACCCAAGACTAGGTAATTTATAAAGGAAAGAGATTTAATGGACTCAGTTCCACATGCCTGGGAAGGCCTCACAATCGTAGTGGAAGATGAAGGAAGAGCCAAGGGACATCTTACATGGTGGCAAGGAAGAGAGTGTGTGCAGGGGAACTCCCCTTTATAAAACCACTTATTCACTATCACGAGAACAGCACACACACACAAAAACCACCTCCACGATTCAATTACTTCCCACCAGGTCTCTCTCATGACACATGAGAATTATGGGAGCTACAATTCAAGATGAGATTTGGGTGGGGACACAGCAAAACCATATCACCATCATAGATTATTATGCCTAATTAAATATTATTGACAAAATTGTTTAGTGATTAAACTCAAAGTGATAAGTAAACTGAAACAAAAGCAAAGAAATGATAAAGGCTTTAGGTGAGGGATACCCCAATTACCCTGATGTATGCCTATATCATTGTATGCCTATATCAAAACATCACATGTACCTATAATAATTAAACATTAAATATTTTAAAAACAGTTGCTAATATCAAAAACAGGTTTTACAAATTAGTGTAGAGTAGATTTACTCAATTAGCCAGAATCTTAGCTGTCCAGTGATTTTAATTTTTTAATCTTAAGCTTAAAAGAGCACATTTGCATGTAAGAAAAATGAAAATTTTATACTTCCTAAAATAGTATTTTAAAAACCATGAAAATTATTGCAAAGTTGAAACTAAGTTGAAAATTAAATTTAATAACATAATAAATATTTATCTAAGATTAAAAGGTCACTGTTAGGCAAAATAAACATATAGCAAGCTTCAATTTATTGATGGGAAATAATTTATTGATTTATCCACTCATTGATTCAATGGATACGTAAAAAGTACTTATACGTGAGCACTAAAGGCACACAATGGAGAAGCTAGAGTGATTTATTTCAAAGAGCTCCAGACCAATTAGTTCTACAACCAGCTACTAATCAAAATTATACACTCTTTGCAAATTGTAGTTTATAAGTCAAATATAATTTCATAATTTGTAATTCACTTTGATACCTTTTCTTAAATAATTATAATTACAACTAAATTAAATTACTAAAATCAAAGACCAGGAGAAAAAAGTTTTGGTAATTCATGGACTTAAACTGAGATGGAAGAGAGACAATAAACTTGTTTGGGCTATGAATTCATGAAGAGATTTGCTCATGTTTGTAGGTTTTCAGTTATTTGTATTAGTTATGGTAGATTGAATGACTACTAATATAGTATATATTAGTAGTTTCCTTATATATGTTTCCTTACATATGTTTTCCTATATTAGTTTCCTTACATATATATTAGTTTCCTTACATATGTGTTGCTATATTAGTTTCCTTACATATGTTTTGCTATGACATTGTCAAAAGAAAAAAATGTGACTTCTATTTTTATTTTATTTTATACATATATTTTTTGAGGCAGAGTCTTGCTCTGCCACCAGGCTGGAGTGCAGTGGCGCAATCTATCTTGGTTCACGGCACTCTCAGGTTCAAATAATTCTCCTGCCTCAGCCTCCAGAGTAGCTTGGATTACATATGTGTGCTACCGTGTCTGGCTAATTTTTGTATTTTTAGTAGAGACAGAATTTCACCACGTTGGCCAGGCTGGTCTTGAACCCCTGACTTCAGGTGATCAGCCCATCTTGGCCTCCCAAAGTGCTGGGATTATAGACATAAGCCACCTTCCTTGGCCTTCTATTTGTATTGCTTTGAAAAATCCACTTAATCATAATTGCAAAATGCTTATGAAAAATTGTGAAAGTTTTCTATACGTGAGTTATAAATGTACTGCAAGAAGCATTGCTAAAATAAAAAGTCCCTCCAGCGTGTGCACTCCCTAAGCTCCCCAAGTTCCCTCTTCCACATAAAAGGAAGCATACTATCCATCCACTTTTGTCACTTAACAACAAATTAAGTTATAAGCCAATGTACAACGATAATCCACCCACATGTAAATAACTTGAAAATAGATTTTATGTGTTCTCGCCATACACACACACACAAATATATATACATATGAGGGAATACATATGTTAGTTAGCTCGATTTACCCATTCTACAATATATACATATTTCAAAACATCATGCTGTATATTATAAACATACACAATTTTTGTTGATAAAAATGCTATAAAACATCAAGGGAGTAAATTGAAGACACAAAAATGGAAAGATATTTCATAATCATGAATTAGAAAAATCAATATTATTAAGATGTCTATACTGCCTAACATTATCTACAGATTCAATACAGTATGTGTCAAAGTACTAATGAAATTCTTCACAGAAATAAAAAAAAATTCTAAAATGTATATGGAACCACAAACGACCTGGAATACCTACAACAATTCTGAACAAAGAGAACAAAGCTGGAAGAAGCACAGTATCTGACTTCAAATTATACTACAAAGCTATAGTATTAAAATCAGCATGGTACTGCCATAAAAACAGACACATAGAACATAATAGATAACCTACAAATCAATCCACACATTTACAGTCAATTCATTTTTGACAAAGTACCAAAAACATACACTGCAGCAAGGACAGTCTTTTCAATAATTGATGCTTGAAAAACTAGATAACCATATGCAGAAGAATGAAATTAGTACCCTCTCTCTTACCATATGCAAAAACAAATCTAAATGTATTAAAGACTTAAATGTAAGACCTGAAACTACTAGAAGAAAACATAGGGAAAATATTTGAGTACATTAGTCTGGGCAAAATTTGTTGAATAAGACCTCAAAAGCACAGGCAATGAAAACCAAAATGGACAAATGGGATAACAAAAATACAAAAAGACAGAAAATAAATGGTGGTAAGGAGGTGGAGAAGGAGGAACACTCATACACTATCGGTGGGATGTAAATTAGTATAGTCACTATGGAAAGCAGTAAGGAGGTTCCTTAAAAAACTAAAAATAGAACTACAATATAATCCAGCAATCTCACTACTGGGTATTTATTCAAAATAAAGGAAATACATCTATTGGAGAGAGATGTTGGCACACCCATGTTTATTGCAGCACTATTTGCCATAGCCAAGATATGAAATCAAACTGTGTCAAACAACAAATGAATGAATACAGAAAATGTGGTATATATACACAATGGATTATTATTCAGTCACACAAAAGAATGAAATCATGATAATTATAACAACATGGATGGAACTGGAGGATACTATGTTCAGTGAAATAAGCCAGGCACAGAAAGATAAATGTTGCATGTTTTCACTTATATATGGGAACTAAAGAAAACTGATCTCATAAAGACAGAGAGTAGAATGACAGTTACCAGAGGTTGGGAAGGGTAGTGGGTTTGCGGGGGGTTATAAAGAGGGGATGGTTAATAGAATAAGGTCTAGTGTTCAGTAGCACAATAGGGTGACTACAGTTAATAATAATTTATTGTAAATTTAAAAATAACTAGAAGAAGAGATTTGGAATGTTCCCAACACACATAAATTATAAATATTTTATGTAATGAATATCCCAATTACCTAGATTTTATTATTACACATTTTATGCTTGTATCAAAATGGTACATCTACCACATAAATATGTAAAACCATTGTTACCAAAAATAAAAAGTAAAAAAAAAATTAAAGAAAGAAAAAAGAGAAAAGTTTACAGAACTGAAAGACTATTATAGATATCTCATTTTTCTGGATGATATATAAAAACTTAAAAGATTAAGATAAATATGTTACTTTAATTGTATACAAATCTAGGATTGAAATTAACTTACAGTAAAAGATACACTATTGATGGGTCACTGATTCATGAAGAACTGAAAGTCTTAAATTAATGATTAAAATAGAATACATTTTGTTTAAGAAACATACCTTATTTTAGTAAGTGTATACCTCTTTAAATCCCAACTTTGACATTTTTATTAATTTGTTTTCATAAATGTAATTAAGCTTAAATAATACCTTTGAAGACCATAACAGAAAAGAAGAGACTGTGTATTGAAATTCAGTAAGAATAACTCTTTATCGTACTATTATCTTTATGACTATTATACAAATGTTAAACCCTGGCGAACACAATCTGCATTTGTATAAACTTTAAGTTACCTGTGAAAATTGATTTCAACTTCTCTAAAAACCAGGTTACAGCTGCTGTTGCTGATTTTGCAGCGGCTGATTTGGAATTCTACTGCTGTGAGAACTGCAGGTGGTAGCTTTTATTATATAACCTTTAATTCAAGAAAAAAGGATCACATAAAATTTATGTTTATATTATATGTAAGAATTGTAATTAAAACTATATATATTAATAAAATTATAAAATATATACATGTAATGTGTATATATATATACATGTAATTTTTGTATATATAATGTAATGTGTATATATATACAATTTTAAGCAATATATTTTACCTCCCTTCATAGCACCAAACTGACATAGCAAAATCATCGGCATTCCTGAATTGTCTATTGAGAGCCCCCAAATTGAGCATCTTTATCCATTCACCGTTAGGTTTTGAATAAATCTTTTAGGTGACAATACATGATTGAAAAATGTTTTGAATGGCAGTGAATGATGATAGTTGAGTATTTTCCAAAAAATAAAAAAGAGAGAGAGGAAGGAAGGAAGGAAGGAAGGAAGGAAGGAAGGAAGGAAGGAAGGAAGGAAGGGAATGAAAGAGATTAAATGTGTTTTTTAAGTCTCCTGGTTTTCACCACTAATCTTTGCCACTGCTTCTGTTTTCAAGCAAGTAAAGTTGAGGATGTATTGTCAGATCCTTGTACAGAAGAAAAGAAGTGAAAATAATGAAAACAATGGCAAGAGAAGTTACTATTTCCCAGAGGAAAAACGCTGCTGTAAAAGGAGCTCATATATTTTAGCTGTGGTGTTAATTTTGAAGTCAGCATGAGTCATTAAATTAAAGTATTGTAATTTGGAAATATATTTAAAATGAAAAGAAATAAAAAAGAGTACTAGAAAATGTACTTCTAATAGTCTCTTTCATTTAAGCAAAGATCATGTTGAAATTTAACCACTCTTAGTACTGAAAAATATTTTGTTTTATTTCAGTTATCTATTAAAATCCAGAAGCATACATATTTTTAAATTTGCTACTGAAACTGAGATCAGCGGATCACAAAGCAGTTTGAAATGAAAAAATCTTAGCTCCATCTTCTAAAAACTGAACCAAAATTTGCTTTTTTAAGAGGATACCATGTGGTTCATGTATACATTAAAATATGAGAAATACTTCCTGAAATATCATTAATAAATGTTATTGAATAAATATTATATTCAACTGCAATATGAACCATATATCTATTTATACCATTGTTTTCATAAAGTATGAAAGATCAAACTGTAATTTGTACCTACAGCACCAAACAAAAATATATCTTTGCCATATGATTATGCATGTGCCACTTATTGACTACAAATGAGAATTAGTTATTATTTAAAATGTTTTTAATGATAAAAACTGAACATATAGTTTTTAGAACAAATTATTATCTTGGTATAAATCCCTGACCTTAATCAATTCATATATCAATGTATATTATATGATAAAATAATATATATCATGGAACAGAAAAAAATCATAGCCAATATATCACTAAAGAATTGATAGTAGAGAAAATTTAACACTTTGTTCATACAAGAGATGAAAACTATGTAGTTATCGCTGAAGGTCTTTTCCATCAAGTTATTCTGACTTATTTGTCCTTGGTGTCCATAAGCCATGTTGGCCACAGGAATAAGTCAAACTTCACTCTGGGAAAGCGAATGATTTATAGTTTTCATCCTGAAATTTAATACCTGAAAGTGATTGCATTGTCACAATAAACCATTCTCAGACCATCCCTCTCATAGAATGTCATATACCAATTGTTTATTTTACAACAAAAGCTATTTAAACTTTTGAGTCAACTAATAACAGTGCTCTGAAACAGTGAAACTAGGAAGAACTGTCTTTAGTTTTTATAGTGGAAACTATTAAGTTTTGAGAGAATGCCCTTACTGTAAATCATCCTTTCTACTCTAGGTGCCATATAGCTATTATTATTTCGGTGACTGGAATGCAAATGGACACAAAGCTAAGTCCCATTCTCTCATCCCATACTGTCAATGGAAAAGAGTAAACCCTGCCATAAACTCTTCGGTAAGAGCAGTAATCCCTTCCCCATAGGAATATAATTTACACAGGTGAATATTCTCCTCCTGAACATTTCTAGAGAAATATGAATCATTTTGACATTGTGAAAGGAAAGGAGTGAAGTTCAAAATCACAAATTTTATTATGCTTCTGTAATAATTTTTCAGCAAGTATACTTCAGAATGTACACAGCTCCTTACTATGCTCAAAAGAGGATTTTTTAAATAAGAAAATGATCACTACCATCTATTATGGCTGCTCTCTTCTCATTTTATCCGTTGAAATCATACTTTTAGCAATAAACTTAAGTAAAAAAAACTGTTCATTTTTAGAGTCTTCATGTCCTTGAATTACATGGTTTAAAAAGAAAGTGAACCGTTAGAATAATACCCAACCTATATTAATTTGACAGAGGAAATTGGCAAGTGAAGATAATTTGGGGTTATGAGAAACATCTGGAACTGAAAACCGGCTACATTCCAAAACCCATTTTCATCCAGGAGTATTGAAAAGGGGGGCGGCCATTGAAGCTGTGACATAGTTTCAATCTGCAGAACATGCCTAGGTAGAATTCCCCCTCCTCTCCTTATGGCTGCATCTATCCAAAGTCCTTAATCGGCACCCACACTCTGCTTATATTTTGCTATTGTGAATGAAATGCACCTGCCACTAAAGTTCAAACTCTTCACATGTGATATTATCTACTAGTTGCTTCTCCAAGGCTGGCTTCCATCACCAATTTCTTTCTCCACTTTTTCACCATCTTGGAAATATGCACTTTCTAGCTTCTATTTCTCCTTCCTTTCACACTGAAACTTACTCACCTCAGGGTGTCTATAATCAAGGGCTTATATTTCCTCCCTTTCCCATCTTTTTATTTTATCAAGCCAAAATAAATCAGTCTTTCCTCCTCACCATTCCAATAAATGTCCTGGTCATTGTCACCAAATACTTTCATATTGCAATGGTCACTTCTCTGTGCTCCACTTACCTGATCTAACAGTGGCATTGAGCACACCTTTTACTTCAATGGTTTTCTTTTTTGAATACCAGAACACCTTAGCAGCCTGTTGTTTTTATTTCTCCTTATGTAGCCAAATATCTTTATTTTTTATTTATTTATTTTTTTGGAGACGGAGTCTCTCTCTGTTCCCCAGGTTGGAGTGCAGTGGCGCGATCTTGGCTCACTGCAACCTCCACCTTCCAGGTTCAAGCAATTCTCCTGCCTCAGCCTCCCGAGTAGCTGGGACAGGCACGTGCCACCACTCCTGGCTAATTTTTTATATTTTTAATAGAGACCGGGTTTCACCGTGTTAGCCAAGATGACCTCCATCTTGTGATATCGTGATCCGCCCACCTCGGCCTCCCAAAGTGCTAGGATTATAGGCGTGAGCCACCACGCCTGGCCATGTAGCCATATATTCTAAATCATCTTCATTATCTTCTCCTGTGTTAAAAAATCTTGACTGCAAATTTCCTAAAGGTTTAGTCCTCAATCTTTATGTTTCCTCTATTTACTGGAATGTATAGAAGTAGCATCAGAAGAAATGATTTTGTGTGTCATGATATGCCATGTGGCTCAAATTCTTATCACCTGACCTCACCGAACACCAGATTCACACACCCTCCACTCAGAATTTCAACCATACTCCATACTGCGACCTAACATGCATGGCTATGGTAACACTATTTCTTTCAATAAACTTTTGCATCTTCCATAATATTTTATTTCAGAATCTAGAAGTCCTTTCTTCAGTTGTTAAACCACTGAGTGAGAAATTGCACTTACTCATTTTTTTCTCTTATTTCCTCCATGTAATATATCAGCAATACCTCCATCTGTCTACCAAAAATACATGCTGAACATGGTCACTTGTCATTTACCTTTATACTTGTCCTTCAACAAGCTGCTATTAACAACCATCTAGGCTCTGCAGCAGCCTGCTAACCATCTTCCTGCTTTCATGTTGTTTACATGGAAGTTAGAGAACAAGGCCGGGCGCAGTGGTTCACACCTGTAATCCCAGCACTTTGGGAGGCCGAGGCGGGCAGATCACCTGAGGTCAGGAGTTTGAGACCAGACTGGCCAACATGGTGAAACCCCGTCTCTACTAAAAACATAAAAGTTTTCTGGGCATGGTGGCGCATACCTGTAGTCCCAGCTACTCCGGAGGCTGAAGCAGGAGAATCACTTGAACCCGGGAGGTGGAGGTTGCAGTGAGCCAAGATTGTGCCACTGCACTTCAGCCTGTGACACAGAGTGAGACTCTGTCATAAAAAAAAAAAAGAAAAAAAAGAATAAAACCAGAAGTTAGAGAACAATTAAAAGTAATGTTATAGTATTATTTTTTCTACCACGTCAAAACTATTCATTACAACGAGTTCAAATGCACTCATAAAAATAAATCCAAACCTTTATTTTTATCTAAGAGCCTGTGAAACCAGAAAATCTGAGACAGATCTCAGTTAATTTAGAAAGTTTATTTTGACAAGGTGAGGGAAGGGTCCGTGACACAGCCTCAGGAAATCCTGACATGTGCCCAAGATGGTCATGGCACAGCTTGATTTTATACATTTTAGGGAGACATGAGACATCAATCAATATATGTAAAAAGTACATTGGTTTGGTCTGGAAAGGTGGGACAACTTGAAGCAAAGGCAGGAAGACTCAAAGCGGGAAGGAGCTTCCAGGTCACAGATAGGTAAGACACAAAGGGTTGCATTGTTTTGAGTTTCTGATTAGCCTTTCCAAAGGAGGCAATCATATATGCATCTATCTCAGTGAGCAGAGGGAGAGCTTTGAATAGAATAGGAGACAGGATTTTTCTTAAGCAGTTTCCACCTTGAGTTTTCCTTAGTGATTTTGGGGGCCCAAGATATTTTCCCTTCACAAGGCCTACCAAATCTTGACCCAAGACTTCATCTCTGAAATCATCTCCGAGTTTCCTGTTTATGATTCACTAAATCACAGCTCGTTAAGCCATCCAAGCACATTGGCTTTCTTTCTAGTCCTGTATTGAACTTAAATTTTAAATGACTTTAGAGCCTTCATCTTATTTCTCCTACCTGAGAAGTTATTTGTCTTAAATACCCAGTTCTTTCTAACATCTGTTTAAATGCTGCCTTTTCCATCTGGCCTTCACTGACTATCCAAGGAAGGATAATTATCAACTTTCTCTACTATTACTTAATTTCACTTATCAGAGCAATTGTTATCTTGTTTATCTAATTGTTTACTTTTCACAGTGACTGACTCTGTTAACCAAATAGTAATACATAGAAGAGTGAGTTTGCTGTTCATGTTATCCCAAATGCTTTTGATTTGAAAAGACCTAGCACAAAATTAATGCACTATAGACATTTATGGAATAAATGATTAGGTTACACTCAGTATTTAAGCCACATATGCTATTTTGACTGAGTGCACATTGAGTCCACAGATGAAGGCTAAGTGTACCCATATAAGAGCAGCTATAAAATGCAGAACTAACCAAAATCAGATACACTTTTCTAAAGGTGATATTCATGGTCTTTACAGTCTGAGTATTCAACTGATATTCCAATGTTTTTCTAATCCAAATGTAATAAGGCTCAAGTTCCATTTCTCTGGTAGTGATAAATTCAACCTCAATCATGTTATTTCTTTCCTATGGATGTAAAAAAAGAAAAAAAATGTAGAGAATTTTAGAGTTTCCTAGGCTTTACTCTACAATGGTCAATTACTCTCCTTTAGCACAGTTCCTTGACAAATATGAACACCAAAAACTTTGGTAAGTATAAGAAATGTTTATCACAATAGTCCTCAATTGAGTTCATAAGTAAAATGAAGTTGTGGAGGGGTTTTCCAAATATTTAGGATGTTTAATTTTCAGTTATGTAACAAAAAAATGTTAATAGTATCTCCTCAATCTATGCCCAAGTACTCAAACACCTAGGTTTAGCCACTTCTTTAGCTTAAAGTAGGAAATAATAAATATTTCTCTTATAGATACTCCCACAGAGAAAATAAATAAATAGTGACATTGAGATATAAACTACCTTGCTATAGTTATGTGTTTTTAATGTCTGGAAATACCAGACATTTGCGTTAATTATAAAATTTTACGTTTGCTCCATTCATAATAAATCTCACTTCTCACCCTTCGTTATCCAAATATCCTTGTCCTTTGATATGTATGTTTACCAGTTATATACTTACAATTAATGCACTACTGATTCACACCTAACTGGTAAAATACATGATCTATTGCCTTATCTCCAAGTGACTATTGAATGTACATGAACCATGGATATGTGAATGTAAAATAGACAGGCTTTATTTGAGGCAGCTGCTACATCTGATAAAGGGGCAGTGTGATCTGTTTAAAAGCAGTTAACTGATGGATAGATTTCACCTAGGATATTAGGAACCATTTCTGACTGTCACTCAAACTAGGAAGTGTATTTTGTTGTATCCCAAAGCCAGTAAGACTCAGTAATAATGTCAAGGTTTTCTAGAACACTTATTGGTAGAAATTTCCATGAAGGTAGGGATCATGTGTGGCTAGAATGATAGCTGGTACATGGCAAATTTGAAGATACCATTTGTTCAAACAAATGTGTGGATTAACAAATGCAGAGATAAATAAGGACAATTATATCTTCAGTATTTTTAAAAACCTCTGCAGTAGGAAAAATGAGCACAAAATGTGAAGTACAAATAAACAAATAAACAAAATGTGAAGTAAAATAAATCAAATCATTCTGTTAAAGGAGGAGGGTGTCCAGGTTCTTGGCATCTTGAACAAAGAATTGGACAAAACACACAAACAAAGCAAGGAAGGGACAAAGGAATTTATTGAAAATGAAAGTACACTCCACAGTGTGTGAGCGGACCTGAGCATAGGAGCTCCAAGGCCACGTTACAGAATTTTTGGGAGTTTAAATACCCCCTAGAGGATTCCACTGGTTATTTCTGGTATGCCCTATGTAAATGGAGAGGATGAAGTAAAGTTACAAAGTTATTTACTCTGTGTATGTCCTATGGAGAGGATATTTCCTCTCATAGCTGAAGTGTAAATCAGCCTTATATGTTCCTTGCCTCCAGACCCTATTTTCCTGCCCCTTTTCCCACCCTCCCGCCAACAGATGTGATCCCCATAAATCCATAAATCTTTATAGGAAGCAGAGGGATCAATGGTCGTCTTTTTCTGTAACTGCTTCATGCTGGCTTGGGGTGTAGTCCTTACCTACTGGGGATCATGGAACTCTCGCCCTGTTCTCTCTAGTGGAGGCAGAGTAGCTTTTTGAAGGCCAGGTGTGTTGTCTTCACCTGGAACTAGCTGGGACTTTTGTTGCATGATCATCTGAAGCTTGATGGTCTCTAGGCCAGAGGAAATGAATTTGGTTAAAAGATTTAATGGGGACTTTAGGGGGTGGATACCTATGCTGTCAGAAATCTGTATTATAGAGATTTGCAGGATTCAGAACAAAACCTGATTTGTTCTAGAATCTATGTGTTTCCTTAAAGTCCTAGCACAAGCAACTCCATTTTGGTTTGGTTTGGTTTGGCTTGGTTTGTTGAGACCTAGTACATGAACTTAGTCCAAAACAACGGCCTCCCAGAATTTTGTTTAAAATATTCTGCCTGGCTGGGCACGGTGGCTCACACCTGTAATCCCAGCACTTTGGGAAGCCAAAGCAGGCAGATCACAAGGTCAGGAGATTGAGACCATCCTGGCTAACATGGTGAAAACCCGTCTCTACTAAAAATACAAAAAATTAGATGGGTATGGTGGCACGCACCTATAGTCCCAGCTACTCAGGAGGCTGAGGTAGGAGAATTGCTTAAACCTGAACCCGGGAGACAGAGGTTGCAGTGATCCAAGATCATGCCACTGCACTTCAGCCTGGGCACCAGAGCAAGACTCCACCTCAGAAAATAAAAAAAAAAAAAAATTCCCCCTTTTTGGTCAGGTTCTCACTTAGATGAGAGTGTACCAAAACTTAGGGCCTTAGAACCACTCTCAGTTACCATCATTTTGGGTTTCTGGTATCAGCACATTATTTATAGGTTATGGTGTCCTCATGGTTGCACATTTCTTTCAGCTCCTGTTATTCCAGTTGAGGAGAGACCATATCACATTCTAGAGATGGCTGCATGCAAGCATTTGAAACCTTTGAGAGAATACAGTGCACCCTGGAGACTATTATTATGACTATTGGGAGAATAATATCAAGAGTTTGGAATATGCTCCTTCCTCAGGATCCCCATAAAACAAACCTCCTAAAATCAAATGGATCAAATAATGAGCTAGATAAAGAATGTACTCACTTGACTAAGCAATTTCTTCATCACTCCTCTACCACTGAATTTCTATAATCTTCATTTGATGTATTTCTCTATAGGCCACAAGTGCCAGCAGCTGCACAGATACTTCTCTGTTTAGCGAATTTTGTCATAACTTTCACAAGAAAATTTAGAGTCTATTCTGTAACTGTAGCCTTTACAGTAGAATCTGCCATAGAGCCTGTCATGAGGGATTAAATTTCTAGTCATTGCATAGTTTACTTTAAACCATGGAAAAAGGACCTAACAAATGATGCCCTTTTAGAAGAGTGAAGGCCTTCTGGCAATGTTCTCTTTAACCCATGATGTGGGTTAAAAGGAGTCAACCAGTGTTTTGCTTTTGACTGATTATGAGGCAACACATGTACCATTAAAGTTTCTTACCAACAGTGGGCCTTCACCTTTTATCTATCAAAGTATAAGGTTACCCATGTATAAGGCAGGCTGCAAACTCATTAACAAATAAAAGTGTGCCCCATAAGTGCACATAACAGACCCTTTTTCCACTTCTATTGTTCTTAGAAGGCATAAGCAAGAAAAAATATTCAAAGATATGAGTTCATGATAGTAGAAGTCTTAATCTGTGAACTTAGGAAGCTGTTCACATCAAGGGTCCTATTCTCTTCTTGG
Source organism: Homo sapiens (assembly GCF_000001405.40). Lineage (NCBI taxonomy): Eukaryota > Metazoa > Chordata > Mammalia > Primates > Hominidae > Homo > Homo sapiens. The sequence continues at coordinate 22,401,338 of NC_000021.9, read as the reverse complement.
GAGAAATTTCCCTGCTTAGTTTGACCTTAAGGGTTCCAGTGGGTGCATAGCTCCAATAGCATAGAGGGACCCTTCTCAGTCATGAGGTTATGAACCCAAAGTTCAAGGTCCCAAAGTTTTGTTGTAGTGTGGATGGCAAGTATGGTTTTACTCTGATGTTTCCAGAAGATTCAAACCATAAAAAGCTTTCTTTACCTGGTGAAAATATACTGTAGCATAATAATCTACTGTTATAACATCAGTCCTCCTGTGTGGGAAAGCTTTTATACAACCAGAAAGCATGCATTGAATTAATTGTCTTCCCAGGAATATGGGACCAAGCATTGGTTATAAACTATTTTAAACAATTTCAGTTTCAACTGGTTTAACATGAAAATCTGACAAAGTATTTTCTTGGTATTTAATTAATTTTGTTCTACTTGAGTTAGTAGTTTTATACAAGGAAATTTATTTTTTTCTGTGGTTTACAATAACATAATAACTATAATTGTGATTGGTAGCATACACTTAGACATTAGAATTTTAGAAATCCCATACAATTTTGGAATATATTCACAAAAACATAGCCTAAAGAAGATTGAACATCATTTTGGCAATCCTACGTACCTAAACATGTCAAATAATCCTGTTTACCTCCTTTCTGGATGTTTTCAGGGGCCCTCTGATCCATCCAGAAACTCAGGCATTAGGAAAGATAATTTTGAGGCTTAAGTTTGATTTTGGAATTCTAGATTACCATAAATTATTTCTTTTGCCAAAATGATGAGTCCAAAATTTTAAAGAATCAAAAACCTTTTATAACCTTTAAACAACAACATAAAAAATCACATTCTACTGTTTTTGCACACCTTACATTTAAAACTGTTTCTAGCAGTCTCAATTGCATATTATAATAGTGAGTCTTAGCAATTTTAACTTTAATGTAAAAATCTGGTAAGTTATGTTCTAATAAGGTTTGACTGCTTCCAGCATAGCTAGGGAGTGGCCAGCTCCACATGTCCCCAGGCCTTACCCAGCTGGAATGCAGGCAAGTTAAACAATTTTCAAAAACCAAAGAAGCAGTTTATGATCTTAAAGCTTTTAGCAAACCTAATGTTTGAACATAACTTACACCACATGTTTACATTTTGAAGACATTGTATTTTACCAATAATCTTTAAAACTGTCTTTATTTGCCAACGATTACTCAAGTCACATGAACAAAATAAAAGGCATTATGTTTTTCACATTTCTGATGAAACATTTGATTTAAGCTCTTATTATTATTAAACAAATTAAGTCAAAACTTTACAGAGGAGACAAACAGTGATTTTTATCTTTAATGTAACCAGTTTGCACAGAAAGAAAGAGGCCAGAGACTGACTGGCAAGAAATTCTTACCCTTTTGCCAGCATGCCAGGTTTCTAGGTTCTCTCTCCCTGAGCAGCCTTAGGGATCATGCTTGACTGTATGTAAACAAACACATTGCCATGAATTAAGAATATTTATAAATAGTTTACAATTTTGGAGAAACTAGGCAGAGAGAAAGAAATATGACTCAAATTCTATTTATGAGAGTATAGTCAGCATACTTAAAATACCAGGAAGCCTAAAATTCAAAAAGTTAGTTTATAAGAATAAAAAGCTGGTGTGCTCCATTAATCCTGTGACCTGACAAAGGTAGCTTAGGAATTCCAGATAAGTGGAATGAATATGACTTGCTAGAAATGCATTGGAAACAAAATAACTATTCACAAAACCAAATAAAAGCCTTCCATTAGAAAATAAAAAGCATCATGATTTATATATATGGATAGTCAATCAAAGCCAGAGGAGAATAAACAGCAAATGAATGAAAACTAGAAGCAAAAACAATTAAGGAGGAAACCAAATCTAAATTTTCCTACTCTATTTACCCTGGTGGTTACAGCGTCACTTAGGGCCCCCAAAAACCCACATAATGAATATTTTATTCCTGACACACAATTCAATATCCTTAAGTTCACCAATATCATTATACATTCTGTGAAATTCAGAAATTCACTTTAGGCACATGACCAATAAGTACTCTAGCACTATCCACGCAAAACTGTAAACATAGTGTGAAGCAATGCAATGTATGTGAAATTTGACTTTATGCTAAATCCAGCTCCATGCTTAACTATATTTTTTAAAAACTGCCAAACTGCCAATGCATTTTTACAATACTTTTAACTTTATTCAAGACTAAGAGCTTTAACTATGAAAATGATAGACAAATGTTTCCAATTCTTTATCGGGTTTTAAATAATATTTTATTATTTAAAGTTTTTCCATATCTTTCTCCCCTACTTAATGGTTTCTTACTACACTGTTTCATAAATAACCTTTTCAAATCTGTAATTTGAACTTACTTTTAGATAATTTTGGAATTAGATAAAATTATTCTTTTTCCACTAATAATACAACCCTTTCTGGCACATTTCCTATACAGAATTACATGTTAACTAGAATTTTATCCTTAGTAAACTAAAACTATACTGAAACTCTAAAAAGCAAGAAATCCTGAGCTATCAGATATGGACATTTATAGATAAGGACAATTCCACAATTTTTGGAAACATATTTTTCTATATTACAACATTTTCTTTATTGGAAATGACTCAGATATTAAATGAGCATCAAAAACAACTTTAAGATTTTAATTTACACAAAAACATTACCTAAACAATTATTCTATTCACTGTACTTAATTTTTTACTTTTTACAAGGAAGACATGAGACATCCATCAACATAGGTAAAATGAACATTGGTTTGGTCTGGAAAGGTGGGACAGCTCGAGGTGAGGAGGGGGCTTGTGGGCTTTCAGATCACAGGTGGGAGAAAAATGGTTGCATTCTTTCTAGTTTCTGATTAGCTTTTCCAAAGGAAGCAATCAGATATGAATTTATCTCAGTCATTTTGAACAGAATGGGAGGCAGGCTTACCCCAAGCAGCTCCTCCCTTGAATTAACACTGATATTTAAAAATATCTAGCAAAGACAAACATAAAATTCAGACAAAATGTATGCTGACAATTCTGAAGGCATTTCTATTTTTATTCCACCAATAATTGTAAAGCTAGATTGTTTAGTAAAGTGATACTTTAAGTCATCTAAACTTGTAAATTGCTTAGACTTATTTACTTAATTTATGAGTGCTCTTTTACTTATAAGCCAATTTTGGTAGACATGACATATAACAATAAGCGTACATACAAATAAACACATATAGATGTGTATACACACACACACAAATGAAAATACAATAGCTTGGCACCTTAGTCATGAGATAGCAATACAAGCTTGCCCGTATTACTTTGCCCCAACAGATAATCTAATGAAGGCTGTGAACCAAGATTTTGGGTAAAGCAGTCTTCATGACAGTTTGATTTTTTTTTTTTTTTTGAGACGGAATTTCACTCTTGTTGCCCGGGCTGGAGTGCAATGGCGCAATCTCAGCTCACCATAACCTCTGCCTCCCAGGTTCAAGCTATTCTTCTGCCTCAGCCTCCCGAGTAGCTTGGATTACAAGCATATGCCACCACGCCTGGCTAATTTTGTACTTTTTTTTTTTTTTTTTTTTTTTTTTTTTTTTTAGTAGAGACAGGGTTTCTCCATGTTGGTCAGGCTGGTCTCGAACTCCCGACCTTAGGTGATCCTCTCACCTCGGCCTCCAAAAGTGCTGGGATTACAGGCGTGAGCCACCACGCCTGGCTGACAGTTTGATTTTTAAAGGTCAAATCTCCCCAGACTTCAAAGAGCACTGGGACCAAACCCTACCAAAGGAGGATGTCACACATTAACCAAGCGCCCTGGTTAGAAACACAGCACAAAAGCCTGGACACATGCAACACCATTCCACTTTCCCATTAGAAAGTAAACTCCAGATTCCAAACACTGTTGGGGCCAAGCAGCACTGCAACTGTGAGAGAAAATTCTAAGGGGGTTTAATACTAGACCTCAGATCCTCTGCCAAGAGTGTTAGGAGTGGAGTGGTTAGGGTCCCCAGGATCCACAGAGCATCCTCCTGTGGGGTCCAGTCTTAGAGTGCCAAACGTCTCTGACCTCAGGTGGGCACCACATGCAGGTTCTCCCCTCTGGAGGATACAATGAGCTTTATAAGAGTGGCCATGAACTGTAATGAGAACTGGATGCTGGGTGGGCCTTTTTGTTCCTTAGCCAGTTGAATACAATAAGGGAAGAATTTAGCATAAGAAAAGAAGGTTTAAGTCCCCTGAAACATGTGCAAGTTTGCTCGGAGCTGCATCCCATGTAGGGATCAGGGACCATGTACAGAAAAGATTAAAAAATACAAGTCCTTTCCCCTTTGGGGCAGGGCAATTATTCCCATTCATTTCCTAGGCCTTCAAGCAGTACTGAGGAGTGACCCCAGGCAATTGCCCTCAATTTCCAAGGAGCTACTAGGAAGCTGCTGCTGAAAGACTGAAAAAGAAAGAGGAAAAAAAAGAAAAAGAAAAAAGACGTGGAAAAAAAACCCAGGTTTCTTAAGCGAACTGGGCGGTGGTGGTCAGGCTTCTCCACATGGAACCCCCTTAGGTTTACTGGCCACAGCCAGAAACCTGCATTTGCTTCCATGTTTAGGATCTGACTACTAAGGGTCCTGGGTTGGAAAGGAAAAGGGAGAAAGATTCCCTTGTATGGAGCAGAAAGAAAAAGAAGAAAGGAGAAGAATAAATCCCAAACTTTGGGCTTACCTCTGCCTCCAGGCTGGTTCACCAAACTATGTTAAAGGTGGTTCGTGTCGAGGTTCTTGGTGTCTTGAACAAAGAATTGGACAAAACGCACAAAGCAAGGAAGGGACAAAGGAATTTATTGAAAGTGAAAGTACACTCCACAGTGTGGGAGAGGGCCCAAGCATAGGAGCTCAAAGGCCCTATTAAGGAATTTTTAGGAGTTTAAAATACCCCCTAAAGGATTTCATTGGTTGCTTCGAGTATGCCCGCTGTAAATGGAGAGGACAAAGTAAAGTTACAGTCATTTACTCGGTGTCTGCCCTATGGAGAGGATATTTCCTGTCATAGCTGAAGTGTAAATCAGCCTTATGTTCCCTGCCTCCAGACCCTATTTTCCTGCCTCAGTTCTGCAAGTGTGTGTACGCGTGTGTATGTGGGCACGTGGGAGTGTTCATTACCACATAGTCCACTAATACCTAATCCGTGTCCTCCTGATTAAGACTATACTGTTTACAAACGTTCCTATGCTGCCACCTTTGTCCTGTTTGTTTCTACTTGCTTTCATCTATTTACAGTTGATCATTTTAGTTCTATTTTAAATTTTGTAGTTTCTTTCAAGGGATTAGTGAAATTATATATACATTCATGACCATACCTGTAGTAGGCTCCAAAAGAAGTAAACTTAATTTTTTTTCTTTTTTTTAAAATTTTATTATTATTATACTTTAAGTTTTAGGGTACATGTGCACAATGTGCAGGTTTGTTACACATGTATACATGTGCCATGTCGGTGTGCTGCACTCATTAACTCGTCATTTAGCATTAGGTATATCTCCTAATGCTATCCCTCCCCCTTCCCCCCACCCCACAACAGGCCCCAGTGTGTGATATTCCCCTTCCTGTGTCCATGTGCTCTCATTGTTCAATTAAAAAAAAAAGAAAAAAAGAAGTAAACTTAAAAAGAAGTTTGAGTTTCTTTCAATATTGACATATAATACAATAAACACCATAAATGACTTGTATCTCTTATCAACTTTTATTATATCCACTCTCCCAATCTTCTTATTGATTTATTTAGCTATAGAATTATTTTTCAAAAATTTTTATATGCATACTAAAAAATGCCTTACCCTTCTGTATTAAAGGTTAATGATGTTTTCATTAATAATCATATGAAATTACCAATTGTTGTATTTATTGTTTGGAATAAATGTGCAACAAAATTGATTAAAATAAATTGTTGTGTTATAAATATAAAGCCTATAGAGAAAGTAAAACAAACAGTGTGGTTTAAATTATATTCAAAGCCAAAACTAATGTAGATTTTTTTTTTAGTAATTTCATTTTTATATATTCAAAGAGACATGCATTATTTGTTATCTTAATGGCCTCTCTGGAACACTGTGAATCATTGTCTATCCCTATTAAATCTATTTTCACTTAGTGTATTCTCTTACTCTTACAGAAATTGATGGCTAAGATTAAGAACTGAATAACAGCATTTGGTGGATATATTAGATTCAGTGAAGAGAGGTCAAGACTGTTTAATAAGCAATAGAAACAAAGAAAATAAATCCACAATCCAAGGTTAAAGGAAGCTGGGAAGAAACAATATTTGCTTGGTATTAAATGATCAAATGAGGAAAGTTACTGACAACAATAATCTAATCTATTTGCTTACTAATTCATATCATTTTACTCCTAATAAAAATAGTGAAATTATTTCTTAAAACTACATTTTATTTTAGAACAATTTTGGATCTACAGAATTATTGAGAAGACAGTACAGGAAGTTTCTGTATAATCTACCCTTAGTTACCCCTATTAATTTATTATATTACAGTAGTATATTTGTAAAAATGAACCGAGATTCATATATTTTGATTACAGAATATATTTTACTGGGGTTTTCCTGTTTTTTCATAATGTCCGTTTGTTTTTGTTGTTTCAGGATTCCATCCAGAATATGATACTACATTTAGCTATTAGGTCTTCTTAGCTTCCTCTCAGCTGTGACAGTTTCTGAGACTTTCCTTGTTTTGTATGATATTTAAAGTTGCAAGGAGTACTGGTCAGGTATTTTGCAGAACAGCCTTCAATTGGCACTTAGTTAATTTTTTTTCTCATGATTAGACTGAAGTAATGTCTTTTTTGGGAGGTGTAAAGTGCCATTCTTATCACATCATATCAAGCATATGCACCATAAATATTATGTATCACTTTTCATGTTGACCTCAATCTCCTGGTAGAGATAGTGTTTGGCAGGTTTCTCCAATGTTAAGTTACTCTGTTCCTCCTTCCCTACATAGAAGGCATTATATACTGCCCACACTTAAAAAGTGAAGAATCATGTTCCACTTCGATAAGAGCAGAGTATCTACATTTATTATTTGGAATTCGTCTACTCAAATGATTGGTCTATTCTCTTCCATTTATTTATTTATTCCATCATTTACTTATTTTAGTATGGACTCATGGAAAATTATTCTATAATTTGGGTTATAACTAAGTACAATTTTACATATTTCCTGTTATAATTGTTCCATATTTTGTCAATGGGAGTTTTTTTTTTTTATTCCTGGGGCCCTTTGACATACTCCATCACTGTGAGGGTTTTTTTTTTTTTTTTTAATTTTTTGTCACTTTCTGACACTACAAAAACTTGATATCTTGTCTTGTATATTTTCTACCCCAGCCCTAGATTCAGCAATTGTTCCAATGATTCCTCATTCGTTTTATTAGTCAATGGTATTAGAAGTGAAGATCTGTATGCTGGTTGTGCTCATTTCTATGGGAGTGCTGTATATACATATCTATAAATGTTTTTATGTGGAACGATCTGTATCAATATTAAGCTAAAAAGAGTTTATGCTGATGTCTTCAACTCTAACCCATTAACATATAATTCATTTTAGCCTCTATAACATGTTTTCTGTGACTTCCCATTTCAACAATGATGAAATTTGTCTCTATCATTCACCATCTATTTACATAATTTTTCAGTTTTAGTATATATGTATTTGTGGTTTCAGAATAGTTAACCAATACTTCAATGGAAAACAGCACTATTCAACTCTTCTGGGTCCCTTTAGTATTACAGAGTTCATGCATTTCCAAAGTTGCTTAAGTCATCACTTTATTGTTCCACCCCTTTAGTGAGGTTATTTCATTCATTTGTAATACATTTAGATTATTGTCACATTCTTCATTCCATCTTAAAATTCCCAGCATTTAAATAAATTTTTAAAAATGTGTATTCATTAAAGTTAAACTGCAAAGTTCTATAGGTTTTGACAAATGCTTGTGGTCATGAATTCATCATTACAATGTCATATTGAATAGTTTTTCTGCTCTAGGAAATCTCCTATGCTTCAACTATTCATCTTCCTCCTGATTGTGACAGAACCACTGATGTGTTTACTGACTCGATAGTTTTGTCTTTTCCTGAAATTCGTGTAATTGAATTTGGCACTGTGCAGCTTTTTTAGACTGGCATCTCTCACTTAGCAATATGGAGTTATGTTTTGTAATGTCTTTTATGATTTGAAGCATATCTCTCTTTATCACTAAATCAAATTCCATTATATGGATGTACTATGATTTGTTATCCATTCACATATCAATGGATACCTTGGTTGCTTCCCATTTTTGGCAAATACAAATAAGTTGCCAAAAATCCTGTGTCTAGGTTTTCTGTCAACCTAAGTATTCAATCAACTCAGTTGGGTAAATGTCAAGGAGCCTAATTGTTGAGTTGTAAGAAAATGCTGTGTTCCCGTATAAGTGTATCATTTTGCATTTCCTCCAGATGAATCAGAGTTCCTGTTTCATGTATTATTGTCAGCATTTGGTATCGTTAGCCTTTGGGTTTTAGTGATTCTGATTCTAATAGATATATGGTGGTATTTCATTGTAGCTTTAATTTACATTTTTCTGTTAACAAATGGTCCTGAGCATCTTCTCATTTAATTATTTTAAATCCATATATTTTGGTGTGTTTGTTCAGACTTTTGCCCATTTTAAATATTATTTTTTCTTATTGTTGAGTTCAATTTTAAAAATACTTTATATACAAGTATGTTTTCAAATCTGCACTTGTAAATATTTTCTGTCAGTCTGTTCATTCATTTTCTTTATTCTCATAAAAGTCTTTTGCAGTGCAGAATTTTTACATTTAAAAAAGTCAAACAATAATTGTTATTTGACAGATCATGCCATTGGTGTTGTAATTAAAGCTCATTTTCAAACTAAAGGTCATATATATTTTATGTTTACTCATGAAATTCTATAATTTTATATTTTACATTTACATTTACATTTAGGCCTATGAGTCATTTTGAGTTAATTTTTGTAAAAGGTGTAATGTTTATATCTAAGTTCATTTTTAGCATTTAAATGTTCAATTGTTTCAATTTGTTTAAAAGATCATTCTTTTTCACTAAATTGCCTTTACTCTTTTGTCAAAGATCTGTTGACTATATGAGAGTCTATTTGTATTCTCCTTGATGTAGTCCATTACTCTATGTGCCTATTCTTTGGTCAATATGATGCTATTGAAATTTGATATGGTGAGTCCTCCAGGTTTGGTTTTCTTCCTTAGCATTGTGTTAGATATTACAGGTCTTTGCCTTCTTATATACATTAAGAATCAATTTTTCAATACTCACAAAATTGCTTACTGGTATTTTGACTGATATTGCAGTCAATACAGATTAGATTGGGAAGAACTGACATCTTGTCAATAGGTAAGTCGCTCAATCTACAAATACAGAATATCTTTCCATTTATTTACATATTCTTTTTTTTCTTTAGTGTTTTACACTTTTCTGCATGTAGGTTCTATACATTTGTGTTATATGTGTACATAATCACTTCATTTTGGTGTGTGATTTTGAAAATGACACTGATTTTTCCCTTTAATTTCAAATTCCAATAGTTGATTTCTGATGTATGGGAAAGCAACTGATTTTTATATACTAGTGATGTATCATGCAAATACTATGCCCATTTTAACTGATTCCTAGTAATTTTCTACTTAGACTATGATGTTACTGAAAATAGAGACAATTTTTTTATTTTTTATTTTTTCATTTTTTAATTTTGCTTTAAGTTCTGGGGTACATGTGCAGAATATGCTGGTTTGTTACGTAGGTGTACACGTGTCATGGTGGTTTGCTGCACCCATCAACCTGTCATCTAGGTTTTAAGCTCCATATGCATTAGGTATTTGTCCTTATGCTCTCCCTGCCCTTCCTCCCCAACCCCCACCTCCCAACAGGCCCTGGTGTGTGTTGTGTTGTTCCCCTCTCTGTGTCCATGTGTTCTCATTGTTCAACTCCCACTTATGAGTGAGAACATGCGGTGTTTTTTTTATTTTTTTGAGACGGAGTCTCCATCTGTCACCCAGGCTGGAGTGCAGTGGTATGATCTCGGCTCACTGCAACCTCCACCTCCCGGATTCAAGCAATTCTCCTGCCTCAGCCTTTTGCTGGGATTACAGGCACGTGCCACCACTCCCTGCTGATTTTTTGTATTTTTAGTAGAGACAGGGTTTCACAATGTTGGTTAGGCTGGTCTGGTACTCTTGACCTCGTGATCAGCCCACCCCTGCTTCCCAAAGTGCTGGGATGACAGAAGTGAGCCACTGCACCTGGCCTGATTATATGTATATAATATATATATATAATTATATATATATATTATATATATATAATTATATATATATATTATATATATAATTATATATATAATATAATATATAATTATATATACAAAATATATATAATTATATATGTATAATATAATATATAATATAAAATTATTATATATATATATAAAATAATTTTCCGGTATATGTTATCGAAACATTTTTTCTGTTGTTTGTCTTTTATTTTTAGCAATGTTCTTAAGTTTTTTACTTTTGTGAAGTACAAATTATTGATTTTCTTTTCTGTTTTGTGAATTTTATGTCCTATATTTTAAAAAGTTGCCAAATTGAAGTTGAAAAATATTTTCTCCCATGTTTTCATCCAGATGTTTTATAGTTTTCATTGTATGTATAGCTGTATCTATGATACATTCCAGTTAATATTGTATTCAATTGTAAGGTGTACATTGAGATGATTTTTTTACTTATGGCTATAAGATTATTTTATAACTTTTTTAAAATAAATCAATTCTTTTTTATTGAATTGTCTTGACCTTTGTTGACAATCAATTCATTAATTATGAGTATGTTACTTTCTGGTATATGTTACATTTCTGTTACCCATATGTCTATGCTTTAGCCATTATGACACAATCTTAATAATTAGTTAATAAGTACAAAAAATCATATGGGCTTTTTGACTTTTTTTAATCAAAATTATTTGGCAATCCTACTTGTTTCTACTTACATTTTTTAAAGCGTCTTGCTTTTAACAAAGACTACTGAGATATTTTATTGCCTTGCATTTGTAATTTATTTTATTTTTGCAATAATATGCACATTTTTTAAAAAACAGATTGATGAGTTTTGACACATGTTGGTAGTAAACACATACATTGCAATGAGAAGGCAAGCACTGGTCTGCTTTCTGTCATTATAAATTAGATTGTATTTTCTAGAATTTTATATAATGAAATTGTACTGGATATGCTTTCCTTGTAATTTTTTAAAATAAAAACAAACATAATTATTTTGAGATTTATCGTCGTCGTTTTTATTCGTCCATTCTGTTTCTTTGCTGAGTAGTATTACATTGCACTGGTAAAAAAATTTTTGGATGCTTCCAGGTTTTAGCTTTTACATATAACACAGCAATGAACCAAAGCTTTGAATGAACATATGTATTTCTTTCTCTTGAGTAAATATATAGGAATGTAATGGCCAGGTGATTTGGTAAGTGGATGCTTAAATTTCTATGTAACTGTAAAATTGCTATCCAAAGTGTTTATGCAATCATACACAAAATGTATGAATGTTATAATGGTTCCATGTCCTCACCGGCAGTTAGTAAAGAGCATCGTTTTACACTTTTACCATTCTATGGGGTGTGTAATGATGACACATTGCTATTTTTTTAGCTTTGCTATTTTTTAGACTTTGAGTTTTCTTTTTAATTCCAAAAATTGGAGTTTTTTTACATGATTACTTGACCTCTATGTATTTCATATGATAAAGTTCCCATTCAATTGCTGGCTAGGGTTTATATTTAGATTTCCTTGATTTGATGAGGTTTTATGACTTCTCATTGAGGTGCAAAAATTTTAAAATGTATTCTAGGTACAGGTCTCATATAATATATATATTTTGCAAATGCTTTCTCCCATTCTGTAAGAATTCTGTTCTCAATGAAGATACTTTTCTTTTTAAATGTAGGAAATACATAACTTCATTTCATTTAAACAAAAACTGGGAGGACTGCTTACTACAGGATATGAAATATTCTGGAAGAAGAAATATGAACAAGGTCAGCTTGGGCAACATAGTGAGACCGTGTCTCTACAAAATAAATAAATAAATAAATTAGAAGTTTTAAAATAGCCAGTTGTGTGGGTATGTGCCTATATAATTCCAGATAATCCAGAGGCTGACATGATGGGATTACCTGCACATGCCACCACATCTGGCTATTTTCTGACCATGCAATACTCATGTTGTATTAGTAGGCTAGAATATAAGTAGACAAAACATTATTTTATTGTAGCATCAGAAAACATAAGTGTCAATTCCAAACCATCTCTCTCCAGTCCAAAGTTCCACAGATCTCCAGAGCTGGGGCAAAATGCTGCCAGTCTCTTTTTCTAAAGAATAACAAGAATGATCTTTGCTCTAGTTCCCAAGAAGTTTCTCATCTCCTTCTGAGACCACCTTAGCCTGAACTTTCTTGTCAATATCACTATTAGCATTTTGGTCAAAACCATTCAATAAGTCTCTAGGAAGTTCCAAACTTTCCCATATTTTTCTGTATTCTTCTGAGCCCTCCAAACTGTTCCAACCTCTGTCTGTTACCTAGTTCCAAAGTCGCTTCCACATTTTGGGGTATCCTTATAGCAGTACCCCACTCTACCGCTACCAACATCTGTATTAGTTAGGGTTCTCTAGAGGGACAGGATTAATAGGATAGATTTATATATGAAAGGGAATTTATTAAGGAGTGTTGACTCTCACGATCACAAGGTGAAGTCCCACCATAGGCCATCTGCAAGCTGAGGAGCAAGGAAGCCAGTCTGAGTCCCCAAACCTCAAGAGTAGGGATGTTAACAGTGCAGCCTTCAGTCTGTGGCCAAAGGCCTGAGAGCCCTTGGTAAACCACTGGTGTAAGTCCAAGATTCCAAAGGTGAAGAACTTGGAGTCCAATGTTTGAGAGCAGGAAGCACCCAGCATGGGAGAAAGATGAAGGCCGGAATACTCAGCCAGTCTAGTTTTTCCACGTTCGTCTGTCTGCTTTTACCCTAGCCTTGCTGGCAGCTGACTAGATGGCGCCCACCTAGACTGAGGCTGGGTCTGCCTCTCCCAGTGCACTGACTCAAATGTTAATCTCCTTTGGCAACATTATCACAGACACACCAGGAATAATACTTTGCGTCCTTCAATCCAATCAAGCTGACAATATTAACTATCACCTAGGGTAATCTAAGTTGTCAATATATGAGGCGAAAACATATATTTTAAAAAAACTTATATAATGGAGCTAGAGAATATTGTAGAATATTGTAGAGAATGTTGTAAAGGTGGTTTATTATGCTATCTGATTATATTAGTATAACTGTGTTGACGTACTTATTAATTGAATTTCTGGTATTTATTCTAATGGAGAATGTTTCACAGAAAATGCTATTCTGAATGTGCAATACATTTGGTCAAACAATAAAGGTGACAATAAAATATTTTGTTCTGAATTTTAAAAGGTCATGATATTTTTAAAGAATTCAAGATAAAATTTTTGGATAAATATTTTCCCAAAAAACCAGGTAAATGATACTGCACACATATACTTACAAGTATCCTAAATCATATCAGCAGGTTTCTTTTGAAACTATTCCCTGTCAAAGATGAATATTTTTCTAAACAATAATAATAATACAGTTTAACTTAACATACAATTTTTATGTCAATGGTTTTTTAATATATTTGCAGAATGTCAAAATACTTTCAAAAGTAGCTGAAGCTGTGTGAGATTTAATGACCATAATTTCCTGTCTGCACTTTTAACAGTTATACTTTTTGAAACTTTTGAGTATATTCACAGTTGTGTTCTCAGTAAAATTGAATATGTTGAGTTGATTGAATGTCCAGAGGAACCAATTAAAGGCGGGATATTAATATTAACAGGAATGTTACATAAATGATAAAAATGACTTATTTCCTATTATTTCACATTGGAGGATAGATTGCTTTCTCTCCAGAGCTAAAAGCTTTAATTTTTTTTATTTATTGAGTTTTCTTTAAAAGTGAGAATAGAATAACTCTACATGTAATCATCGTAGTTGGAAGTAGAAGAAAATGAACCCTCTATAACGTCATATTTAAGCGATCCATCTTTTAGAATCATGCAGAGAGAGGTTGCCAATGAAAATGCAGTGGAGCTGTACACTGGAACCAACATTTACTTCAGAAAGTAACATTTCCTGATTATGCATGAGCGATTCTGTAGAAGAAATCACATAAAGGGGATTATTCTACCTAATTATGCTGTTTAGGTTTTCTATTTGAAATGTCTGATATCATTGGTCTTTCAGAGGAGGAGACAATGCAATATATAGTATAAATACAAATGTATGTATTTACATAGTTTTAAAAAATGTTTAGTTTTGACACATAAACATTTGTAATTCAAAATAACCATAAAAAAGAAAAAAGTGAGACAAGTAATGCTAGGAAGGTGTGTAATAGATATTTAAATATGTTTCTAAAAGCTGAACTAAATATTTAATGAATTAATAGGCTGACAATTTCCACCTTGTACTCTTGACCTCAATACACTTATGATTTAATGGAATCAAGAAAATTGATTACTGACCATGGTTTATTTTTAGATTATAACAGAAAACCATATTTCCCTAAGTTATTATATTACAAGCCTGAGATGTCATTGGTCCACTATAAAAATTTAAAATATTAATTCATTAAAATAAGGAAAAACTTAAAGAACTGAAAAGTCCTTTAAAATGACATTAAAATAATATTAGACTAATATGAAATGAAATAAACTAGGAAAATTCTCATTATTAGCACTAAAATATAATTAATTTTATACCTATGGTATATTTCTTTTATAATTCAATATTCTTTGTAATAATTTCTATTAAAATGATCAAAGTATGGCAAATTATTTTTCTCTTAATTTTTTTTCCTATTAGATGTAAACATCCTTCAGTTATGTTTCATGACTCTATGTGACTTACTACTCCATGGGCCAGCTGGATTTCTCTTCCATCAATAACCAACATCTGTGGTTACAATTAGTGTAGCTAGAATGGTTCTCAGAAAAGTCTAAACATATTGATTTGACTATATCTTCCCAATTTTACAATGATCTATTCTAAAAAATAATAAAATTACACACACACACACACACACACACACACACACACACACACACAAACAACCTTAGAATAATTACTGCTTTTCCTCTGCAGAAAGTGGTCTAAACTTCAGTCTGGCCAACATAGTGAGACCCCGTCTCTACTAAAAATAGAAAAAAATTATCTGGGTGTAGTGGTGTGCACCTGTAATCCCAGCTCCTCGGGAGGCTGAGGCAGGAGAATCGCGTGAACCTGGGAGGCGGGGTTGCAGTAGGCAGAGATCGTGCCATTGCACTCCAGCCCAGGTGACGGTGTAAGACTCTGTCTCAAAGAAAAAAAAAAAAAAGAGAAAGAAAAAGAAAAAGAAAGTGGTCTAAACTTATTATCTAATAAGATGTTTCTGGGGTTTTAAGTAAACATTTCTAGTTACAAAATCCAGATAATCCTATCAACACGGTGGTGCCGATATCTTTATAAGGTGGTGGCATCATTTGGGGGAGTATAGATGCCCAGAAGAGGAATTATCGAGTAATACAATAGTTCCATTATACTTTATTTAGAAACCTCTATACTATTTTCCATAATAGCTATATCAATCTCCATTTCTCCAATGAATATCTATTGACCGTTTTTATTTCTTTTTCAGAGAAGTATCTATTCGGATCTTTTCCCTATTTTTAAACCAATTTTTTTTCCAATTGAGTTTTATGAGTTCTTTATACATTTTGAATAGTAACCCGTTATCAGAAACATGGTTCACAAATATTTTGTCCCAAACCTTAGGCCATTTCATCTTGTTGATTGTTTTCCTTGCCATGTAGAACCTTGTCAGTCTGATGTAGTTCTATGTATTTATTGTTCCTTTTGTGGCCTGAGCTTTTGTGTGATATTCACAATATCATTGCCAGGGACGACGCCCAGGAGCTTTTTCTCTACGTCCTCTTCTAACTTTATTGTTTCTCATCTTATATTTAAGTCTGTAACCATTCTGAGCTGATTATTGTGTTTGGTGTTAAGATAAAGTGTAAAATTTTAGCCTTTTGCATGTTGAAATCCAGTTTTCTTAGCATTATTTATTAAAGAGGCTATCCTTTCTACTTTTAGCCATCTTGGTGCTCCTGTTGAAAATTAGTTGACCATCTATGTTTAGATTTATTTCTGGGCTCTTTACTCTGTTCCACTTGCCTATGTGTCTGTTTTATGCCGATAGCATATTATTTTGATTACTATAGATTTGTAATATAATTTTAACTTAGGGGGTGCAATGTCTCTAACTTTGTTTTTATTCTTCAGAATTGTTTTGACACTTTGAGGTATTTTTAGGTGCCATACAAATTTTATGATTTTCTTTTCCTATTTCTGTGAAGAATACCATTTGGAATTTGATAGGTATTCCATTGAATATGTATATTTCCTTCAGTAGTGTGAACATTTTACCCATATTAATGCTTCTAATTCATGAGCATGGAATATCTTTCCACTTATTTGTGCCTTATTCAATTTATTTCATTTATGTTTTATACTTTGCAGTTGTACAAATTGTTCACCTCAGATTGTTCACCTATTGGATAAACTTATTCCTAGGTATTTTTTATATTATTGTAAATGAAATTATTCTATTCATTCCTTTTTTAGTTAGATTGTTATTTGAGTATAAAAATGCTGCTGATTTTTGTATGCTGGTGTTTTCTTTTGCAACTTTACTTCATTTATTAGTTTTAGCAGTGTTTTTGTAGAATATTTGTAATTTTTTTTTTTTTTTTTTTTTTTTTTTTTTTTGAGACGGAGTCTCTCTGTGTCTCCCAGGTTGGAGTGCAGTGGCGCGATCTCGGCTCACTGCAAGCTCCGCCTCCCAGGTTCACGCCATTCTCCTGCCTCAGCCTCCCAAGTAGCTGGGACTACAGGCGCCCGCCAACACGCCCGGCTAATTTTTTGTATTTTTAGTAGAAACGGGGTTTCACCGTGTTAGCCAAGATGGTCTCGATCTCCTGACCTCGTGATCCGCCCGTCTCGGCCTCCCAAAGTGCTAGGATTACAGGCGTGAGCCACCGTGCCCGGCCTGTAATTTTTTATTTATAGGATTATGTCATCTGCAAATAGAGATCATTTTACTTCTTCCATACTGATTTAGATGTCTTTTATTCTTTTCTCACCTGAATGCTCTTGCTCTCACTTCCAGAAGCAGAGTACTTTCAGTACTAGACAGAAGTGGCTAGAGTGGTCATACTTGCTTTGTACCAGTTCATAGTGAAAAAGCTTTCAGTTATTCTTCATTGATTATGGTGTTAGCTACTGATTTTTTATAAATGATCTTTACTATGTTGAGGAACTGTTTTATACCTAAGTTTTGAGAGTTTTTATCACAAGAAAACGTTGGAATTTGTTAATTGCTTTTTCTATGTCAATCGAGATGAATTATCTGGCTTTTACTTTTGATTTTGTTAATATGATGCATCACTTTGATTGCTTTGCACATGTTAAACCAACCTTGCAGGCTAGGGATAAATCCCACTTGGTTACAATATAATCTTTTTGACATACTCTTTGATTAAGTTTTCTAATAATTTATTGGGGCTTTTTCATCAGTGATTATCAGACAAACTGACCTGTAGATTTTTGTTTGTTTGTTTGTTTTGTTTGTTTTTTGCAGTATTGTTATCTGGCTTGGCTATCAAGGTGATGCTGGCCTCATAAAATGTGTTTGAAAGTTATTCCCATAGATCTATTTCTTTGAAGTGTTAAAAAAGCATGGGTATCAATTTTTCTTTGAATTCAGCTGTGAAGGCATCTGGTCTAGGGATTTTCTTTTTTTGGAGGTTTTTAATTACTTCTTCAATTTATTTATTTGCTATTGGTCTGTTGAGGCTTTCTATGTATTCCTGACTTAAATCTGGTAAAATGTATTTTTCTAGAAATTTATCTGTTTTCTTTAGATGATACAAAATATCAGCTTATAATCATTCATAATAGTTCTCTGATTTTTTTTATTTCTGATGTGTCTTTTGTAATTTCTTCACTTTCATTTTTGGTATTT
This sequence comes from Homo sapiens, assembly GCF_000001405.40. Taxonomy (NCBI): domain Eukaryota; kingdom Metazoa; phylum Chordata; class Mammalia; order Primates; family Hominidae; genus Homo; species Homo sapiens. Next base: position 22,383,101 of record NC_000021.9, on the reverse strand, counting down.
ATTTAAGTCGTTTATCTCTCTTTTTTTTAGGCCATCTAAGGGCTGGCTAATCTTGTTTATTTTATTAAACTCAGTTATATTGACTCCTTCTATGGTTTTTTTGGTCTCAATTTGACTTATTTACATTTCTATTTTTACTATTTTCTTTTATCTGCAAAATTTGGGATTTGTTTGTTTTTTTCTGTTTCTTAAGTTATAATGTTAGACAGTTTAGTTGGGATCTTTCTTCATTTTTAATGTAGGTATTTATTGCTATTAACTTTCTTCTTAAAACAACTTTTACTGAGCCTCTTAGGTTGTCATATGTTGTGTCTTCACTCTTTTCTGTCTGAAGATATTTTTAGATTTTCTTTTTGATTTATTATTTGACCCATTGATTTTTCAGGAGCATATTGTTTAATTCCCACATAATTATGAATATTTAAGATATCTCCTGTTATTGAGTTCTAGTTTTGTACCATTGTTGTCAGAAAAGATACTACCATATCATTTTATTAAATTTATTAATAAGGAAGTTGTTAACTTACGAGATTTAATGTTCAAGTCAGTATCAAGATGTGAGTATTGTTGCCCACTGGAGAATCTCAGTATGAATTAATATTGACTTTGATCACTTAGCTGAGATTGCATTTGCCAGATTTTTCTGATGTAAAGTGCACCCACTCTTGACTCATTTATATTGTACTTTTTGGAACGAACTCGCTATTTTCATGTCAAAATTGAGAAGTGGAGAGGTTAGTTCCACTTTCTTTTATGGAAGAGTGCCTACATAAATTATTTTAAAATCTTTATGAATGATTTGTCTTACCCTATGCTATTCTAATCCATTATATTTTATTCTATTAATATTCCTTCTTAGTTTTCAATTTATCCAGTGATTTAGTGTTCCATAAATGCCTACTAAATTACATTGGTTGATAGTGTTGTTCAGATCAACTATATATTTACTGATATTTATTTCCTTACTATCAATTATGAAAGTATATTTAAGACATCAATAATAGTGGATTTCGTGTGTTTCTACCTGGAGTTCTATCAGTTTTTTTGTCCACATTCATATTCATCTTCTTTGCTAAATGCTTAGAAAATTAGGATTATTTTTGACTTGCAGAGTTGGTCATTGTTTTATTTATACAATGTCCCTCTTTATCCTTAATAAGTTTTCTTGTTATTAAGTTGGCTTTGTCTGTATGGTTTTCTTTTATTAACATCAGCATGACATATTTTTCTCCAGTTCTTTACTTCAAATCTATAAGATTCTCTATATTTAAAGTGAATTTAATTTGTCTAACATAAAGTTAAGTCTTCTTATTTTATTCACTCTGACAATCTCTGTCTTTAAAATGGTACGTTTAGGCCATTGATATTTAAAGTGATGATCGATACAGTTGGATTAATATACAGTATTCTTTCTATTTGTTAAATTTATAATTTATTACTTAAATTATATAAAATTATAATTTATTATAAAATTATAATTTAATATAAATTTCTCCTACTTTTCTGTCTTCTCTATAATTAATTGAGCATTTTATATTCCCATTTTATTTTCTCATTTTGCACAGTAATTAGGCATCTTTCTAAAATGTTATAAGTACTTGGCTTATAGTTTACAATTGCATTACAATCAACCTTCAAAAAGCACCATACCACTTTATGTATAATACACATAACTTATCACACTATAATCTTAATTCCTCCTTCCCATGTCTTATAAAGTTGTTGACATTATTTTTCATTTATATTTATTCTACAATCAACCATTATATTGTTACTGGTATTACTTTAAATGATCCATTATTTTAGATAAATTAAGAATAAGAAAATATATTTTCCTTATTCCTTCTTTGATGCGTTTCCTTTCATTATGTAGATATGTCTCTAACCTGTGATATTTTTCTCTTGCCAAAAGGAAATATTTCACATTTCTTGAGGAATAGATACTAGGAATAAATTTTCTCAATATTTTACTTGTCTGAGTATGTCTTTATTCTCCTTCACTTTTGAAGGACAATTTCTCTGAATAGATAATTCTAGTTGGTGGAATTTCTCACAAAATACTCTACTCTAATTCTTATTCTTGTTCCTATCAAGCCAAAAAAAAAAAAAAGAAGAAAATCTTAGGTGCTTCACTCTTACTCACAAACATACACTGGCTTGGTTCAACATCTCTCTTTGTTTTTGATTTGCTACAATTGAAATATAATATGCCTAGTTTTGAAGTTTTTTTTTTTTTTTAGTTATTATCGTTGTTATTTTGGTGTTTAATTGGCATGGTATTCTTTGCACTTCAAGGATCTGTGCTGTGTTGTCTGCCACCACTTCTGGAAAGTTTTCAGCCATTATTGCTTCAAATATTTCTTTTTGTCCATTCTCCCTTTCATCTATTTCTGGTACCTTAAAAATGCATACTTTTTACATTTTGAAATTACCGTTTAAATCGTAGAAGCTCTATTTTTTCTATTAACATTTCTCTTTACATTTAGTTCTGGAAGTAAATCTCTTCAGGATCTTCCCAAAAAACAGACTAATAAGATCTGGGATCGACTGACCTACCTACTTACCTACCTACCTACCTACCTATCTAGTCTATCTATTTTGAAAGATACTTGTGATTTATTTTAAGTAATTGACTGATGCAATTGTGAGGACTGGAATGTCTGTTATCTACAGGGCAGGCAGCAGGCAGGAAATTTAGACTGGAGTTGATATTGCAGTTTTGAGTGACAAATTAACAAGGCAGAAAACAGGCAAGAAATTCAGGCAGGATTTCCATGGTACAGTCTTGAGGACAGATTTTTTCCCCCCTGCCAGGAATCCAGTTTTTGCTCATAAGGCCTTCAACTGATGAGATAAGCCCAGTCTCTCCCAACAATATCAAGAATAATCTTCTAAATAAAAAAGTCAACTGATTGTAGATGTTAATCACATCTACAAAATACCTTCAAAGCCGCATCTAGATTAATGTTTGACCAAACAACTAGGTGCTCTAGCTTAGTTAAAGTAGTTGTTGATACATAAAATGTTTTTGATTTCTAGCATTTCCTTTAAAGTATTTCTTAGTCTCTCTATCTCTTCTTGCATTGTCAACCTGTTTTCATGTTCTCTTCTTTTAATAATAATTAAGATATTAGTCATAACTATGTTAAACTTTCTACTTGATAAAGCAAACATTGGTTTTATATCTGAGTCATGTTTTGATGATTGACTTCTTCAGACTATTTTGTTTTATTTTGCCTTTTGGTGTGTCTTCTATTTTGTTGTTATTGTTGTTGCTGTTGAAATCCAGAATTCATTCACTGGGTAATAAGAACTGAATAAATAGCTGTCCAGTTAAAGGTTTGCATTAATATGATTAAAATTTGACCTTTGTTAGTACCTGTACTAGCTATAGGTGCCAGTGGCTTCAAATTTCCCCAGTGTCCTTGTTCTTGTCTTTACTCTCCACTTCCAGCTTTCCTTAGTAGGTTTCCTCAAAGAAAGTTTTTGTCTCAAGGTTTTTCAGGTGTAATTTGCCATATGTACTATTATATTGTAACCCTGTTGATATGCTGGTAAAGTGTGGGAGAAATTTTTCAACAAAATCTATCTTTAATGGGCCTGTGTCCTTGGCTTGTGACATTCACCAGTGTTTCTTCTAATATAACTTTTTGCTTTTCTTTTCTTCAGGCATACAGCAAAACTAGAAGGAACTGGAATAAAATGAAAATGCCTAATTTCTGGGACAAGGCTCTAGTAAAGTCCTGCCTCTGGCAGATGAAATTTGCCATAGAGAAGGTGCTGGACAATACTCAGAAGTATTACTCTTCCCTGCTTCATGCCAGAGCTGCAGAGGAATTTTTATTAAATCTTCACAAGGAAAACTTGATGAGGCCTCTGGAGTCGAAATTCCACAAAACTGTTGGGGTTGTCTAAAAATACAACCCTCAGGACAGTATTTATCTTAATCAATTGTCCTCTCAAGTTCCAATAACCCAACAAAATTCCCATTTAACTGTTCCTACCTGTTCACAGCTTATGATTTCTATTCCTGGGAAGCAATTTTGGGCTGTGATTCTCTGGATTTACCCATTTTCTGCAATTTGGAGTGGTTGTTTGCCCTGTGACCTCTATTCCCTGAAGAGTCTTAGTAAAATCCTTAATTTTAGTTTGTTCTGCTTTTATTTGTTGTAAGGACTTTCTTATAACCCTTGAAAACTGTGATTTCCATGCTATTTACATGCTGGAACTAAAACCTGAAATTCATAGCTTACAGTTATAAGCCACCTAAGCTCCACTAATATTATTAAATATCTTTTCAACTTTCTTGTTAATAAATAGATGTATGTATTACTTTGAATGATTATATAAGTGAGTTACTGACAGCCTTTACGATTAATTTATCCAATATTCTAATAACTTCCAAATTTCAATCTGTTTCTCTGCTATACATTTTATTATATCCTCAGTGTCATTTCTCTTACAATTAATGCATAATTTCAGAATTACATATTCTAAATATGTAAATTCTTCAAGAATATTATTTACAATTGGCAAGATTCATGGCAAACCAAATGTGATAACGGAATGTTAAGACATTGCATTGTTATAGAATAAAATATGGACTGAGCCTTATGAGAATCTAATTCTTGGTTGTTTTTCACTAATTAACTGAATGACCTTAATAAGAAGTGTCAGCTGCTCTGCAGACTGTTTATTTGACCCGTTATGTAAATTGTCTCCAAATGAACTCTTGTCTATTTTGTTAAATTGTCAAAATCTGACAGACACCATATTTAGCCATCAGAAAATAATATTTTAATAGCTTTCTTTTTATTTTCAGTCTACCTTTAGAAAACTTTCAGCCAAATGTTTATGTCTTTTTTTATTTCTTTATTTTGTTGGAGACAGTTTTGCTCTTGTTGCCCTGGCTGGAGTACAATGGTGAGATCATAACTCACTGCAACCTCCGCCTCCCAGGTTCAAGTGATTCTCCTGCCTCAGCCTCTTGAGTAGCTGGGATTACAGGCACCCACCACCACACTCAGCTAATCTCTTGTATTTTTAGTAGAGATGGGGTTTCACTATGTTGGCCAGGCTGGTCTTGAACTCCTGAAGTCAGCTGATCCACCCGCCTTGGCCTCCCAAAGTGCTGGGATTACAGGCGTAAGCCACTGCACCCAGCCCATGTTTATGTAATTTTTATAGAGATTTTAACAATATCTCAAACTCATTTTCATTTAAATTCTCTACTTTTAGATTAAATGAATTTCTTAAACCTTAATGTTAAAAATTATCTTAAAACAATGTTCTCTTTCTAATTCATAGAATTTTTTTCAGAAGATGTAGCAACTCTTTCTTGACTTGAACACTGTTCCTCCTTATCTAGCTATAACTTTTCTTACCCAACTACGTGAGAAACTCCAATAAGTAAAATGTCTCTCAGTTTGTGCATATTTGTTTGTCTGTGACATATTAGAATAATCATTGCAGGTAAAAATTTTTTGAATAAATTAATTTATAATTGCATATGTTATTCTCCAGTTCAGCAATTTTATTTTCTCAGGATTTATAGATATACAGATTTTATATATAAAAAATTTTCGGCTTCTCCAAATTTTTTTTGAAATTTGAGTTATAAATATCAATATATACTATATTATAAATTAAAACTGTGAAATTCAAGAACTATTTATTATTTAAAATAGCAGAAATAAATTCATTGCATGTTAACAAAAATTGCACAATTTTATAAAAATAGCTATATTTTCAAAACAAAATAAAATGTAAATGATTATATTGTTTTACATTTTTACAAATTAATGTAATGTCCAAATTCAAGAAAAGATGGGGATTATCATATCTGCTTTTTTATGTAATCTATTGTGATACCACATGTCTATAAAGCCTTTGAAAATATTCACTGTATGCTCATGAGGAAAAGACTAGAAAGAGCAAATAATGTCATAATATTATAATTAATGTGGTTTTGAGTCCATGGGCTTCCAAAAGTATATTCCAAACCTGCTGGGCTTTTTGGTCATATTTGATATGTGTGCTCTAGATAGTGAGTATATATCATAGAGGCAATTTGATTATATTTATATGAGATTTCTAAGTATACACAGCATCTTTTACATTGTGAATGTCATATATATGTAATAATAATTAACTAAGTATGTAATTCTAACACACATTAACTAACTTTCAACGTAAATGTAGCTGGAATTTGTATTAATTATTAACAGATAAAAATGAAGAAAGAAACCAGATATTACTTATGGGTTATGACTTGATAAAAATAAAGTAATGATTGATTACCAGTTATACTCCACAAACTAAACGGTGTCAATTCTGTTATGCTGCTTACCTAATAGTCTTCTATTAATTAGGTGATTTTTTTCATAATTCATTCTGAGATTTTCACACAATCGTGAGTTCGGTGACTTTGCTTTTTTATCTAGGAATTTTATTTGAAAAACAATGACACATAGTACACTATTTTGGTTATGCTATTAATCTTACTATTTAATGCAATAATTTCTGCATTAAGGCTCTTACTAGAAACATAGGAAATTAAAACAAGGAAGACAAAGGATGGCAGAATAATAATATTGACAATGTTCACTCATGTGAAAGAAATCTTAAAAGGTTATTCATAAAGTTGGCTATGGTGTTTCTCACTACCATTGGATTAAAATAATGCCAGTGGCCCTATCCCTTGATGGCATGGTTTCATATCTTTTTCTAATAATTTTCTCCTTCCAAGTCATGACCAAATTTGAGCTGTAAGGAATTTAAGGAAGAAAGTAGATAAAAATGAAGTTTAAGTAGTATTCTGTACACTAAAACAATCACCAAGTCTAAATAAGAAGAAAGTAGTAAACTCCCAGGACATTAAGGGAAGATAAAAAACCCTGTAGGTACACAGAAAAAAAGAAAGAAAACAGATTACAAAATAAAGTCTACTGTACTTGCCATAAACAAGAACAAATTTAAAAAATACAATTCCTCCTATATTTAGTTTGTTGAGTGTTTTAATTATGAAATAGTGGTGAATTTTGTCTAATGCTTCTTTCTTTGTCTATTGAGATGATCAAGTGATTTTATTCTTCATTCTGTAATGTGATATATAACATAATTGATTTGTATATGTTGAACCAAATTTGCCACTTGATCATGGTGAATGGTGCTTTCAACATGCTGTTGACTTCAATTTGCCTGTATTTTATTGAGGATATTGAAACTACGTTTATCAGGAAGATGGTCTTTTAATTCCCATCTCTTGCAGTGTATTTTCTGGCTTTGGTATCAAGAAAATGCAACCCTTGTAAGATGAATTTGGAAGTATTTCCTCTTCTTTATTTTTAGAGGAGTGAAGAAGATCGGTATTAATTGTTATTTGAATGTTTGGTAGAATCCACAGTGAAGCCATATAGTCCTGAAATTTCCTTTGTTGAAAAGGTTTTTCTTGCTGATTATTTTTTCTTACTCTTTTATGATCTATCTTATCTATCTTTATGATTTTCTTTGTGATTCAGTCTTGATATGTTGTATGTTTCCTAGGAACTCATCCAATTATTGTAGGTTTTCCAATTTGTTGGCATATAATTATTCAAAAAAGTTTCTTATTATTATTTGTTATTTCCCTGGTATCAGTTGTCGTTCTCATGCTAGAGTTCTTATGAGATCTTGTTGTTTGACAAATGTGGGGATTTTCCACCTTCAGGCATGCTCTCTGTCTTCCTCGTGCTGCCATTTAAGACATGCCTTGCTTTCCCTTTGCCTTCTGCCATGACTGTAAGTTTCCAGAGGCCTCCCCAGCCATGCAGAACTGTGAGTCAATTAAATCTCCTTTTTTCTTCTAAATTACCCAGTCTCAGGTATTCTTTATAGTAGTGTGAGAATGAACTAATATAGAGAATTGATACCAAGGTAGTGGGATATTGCTATAAGATACCTGAGAATGTGAAAGCCACTTTGGAACTGGGTAACCAGCAAATGATGGAACAGTTTGGAGGACTCAGAAGACAACAAAATAAGGAAAAGTTTGGAACTTACTAGAGACTTGTTACGTGGTTTTGACTAAAATGCTGATAGTGATATGGACAATGAAGTCGAGACTGAGGCAGTCTCATGTGGGAGACTGACCCGCAGATCCTGACCCAACGACAGATGAATAATGTACACTGACACAGATATTTTGCCTGACAGTCCAGCTAAGTGTCTGGACCACTCACAGACACCAGGGAGGGTGCTGTAAAGAGTTGCAGCTGTGGCCCTGATCAGCCAGCGAAGCTCACATTTATTCAGTATGTAAGTGACAAAAGTCTTGAGTAAACACCACTAGAGGGTAATTGACATTGCCGACACCCCCCTCCTCCCGCGCCCCAGTAGAGAGCAATTATGCACCGGTGGGAAATCAAAGGTTGGTCTTAGGACCACATGAGTAAACAAGCTATTTAGATAAACTCCCTTGAATTCCTTTGTTATTTACCCTTGCTATTAGCTCAAAGAGGATTAGGCTGCTTCAGCAGTATCTTTTACTGAAGCTATGCAAAACCCCGGCCTTCCTGGAAGGTTTGTGACTATTTTACAACTTCTCCCACCATTCTGACTGAACCCCCACAGTCTCAGATTGAGGTGAGGAACTTATTGGGAACTGGAGCAAAGGTCACCCTTGCTATGCTTTAGCAAAGAGACTGGTGGCATTTTGCCCCTACCCTAGAGAGCTGTAGAACTTTGAACTTGAGAGATATGGCTTAGGGTATCTGGTAAAATAAATTCTAAGCAGAAAAGCATTTAAGAGGTGATTTGGCTTTTCCTGAAAGCATACAGTTATATGTGTTCACAAAAAGATTATTTTAAATTGGAACTTATGTTTAAAAGGGAAGCAGAGCATAAAAATTTGGAAAATTTGCAGCCTGACCATGAGGTAGAAAGGGAAAACCCATTTTCTGGGAATAAATTCAAGCCAGCTGCAGAAATTTCCATAAGTCACAAGGAGCTGAATGTTAACAGCCCAGACAATGGGGAAAATGCTTCCAGAGCTTGTCAGAGGCTTAGGGTCCTGCTGCTCTGTGCAATCTTTGGACATGGTGCCCCTGCATCCCAGCCACTCTGGCTCCAGCATGGCTAAAAGTTGCCAAGATACAGCTCTGGCCATTGCTGTAGAGAGTGCAAGCCCCAAGATTTGGTGGCTTCCACATGCTGTTGGTCCTGTGGGTGCACAATAGACAAGAATTGAGCTTTGGGAACCTCTGCCTGGCTTTAAGAGGATATATGAAAATGCCTGGATGTCCACCCAGAAGTCTGCTGCAGGGCTGGAGGCCTCATGGAGAACCTCAGCTAGGACAAAAATTATTTGACCAAGTATATGTGGGTTTATTTCTGTGCTATTTTGTTTAATTGGCTTATTTTTCTGATTTCAAGGCCAGTACAATACTGTTTTAATTGTTGTAACTTTATAATATAATTTAATAAGAAAATGTGATGCCTTCAGCTTTGTTCTTCTTTCTTAAGATTGCTTGGGCTATTCTTGGTCTTTTGCAGTTTCATATAAATTTTGGAACTTCTTTCTCTTTCTATATTAAAAAATCAAGATTTTGGTAGAGATTACACTGGGACTTTAGATCACTTTAGGTAGTATGGACATTTTAACAGTAATAAGGCTTTCAACTCATGAACATGAGAAAACTTATTCATCAAAAATGAAGAGATAAGGACTTTCCAAATAAAATAAAAAAGAATTAATCCTCACTAGATATGCCTTACATCTGATTTTGCAGGGTACAGTCTCTACAGTTGCTTTCATGGGCTAGCACTGAGTGCCTTCCAAGCTGTCGATGAATCCATCTTTCTGGGTGGGGTCTGGAGGACTGTGGCCCAATTCCCACAATTCCACTAGTCAGTGCTTCAGTGGGGACCCTGTGTGGGGGCTGCAACCCCACATTTCTCCTTTGCATTCATCGACAGCTTGGAAGGCACTCAGTGCTAGCCCATGAAAGCAACTGTAGAGACTGTACCCTGCAAAATCAGATGTAAGGCATATCTAGTGAGGATTAATTCTTTTTTATTTTATTTGGAAAGTCCTTATCTCTTCATTTTTGATGAATAAGTTTTCTCATGTTCATGAGTTGAAAGCCTTATTACTGTTAAAATGTCCATACTACCTAAAGTGATCTAAAGTCCCAGTGTAATCTCTACCAAAATCTTGATTTTTTAATATAGAAAGAGAAAGAAGTTCCAAAATTTATGTGAAACTGCAAAAGACCAAGAATAGCCCAAGCAATCTTAAGAAAGAAGAACAAAGCTGAAGGCATCACATTTTCTTATTAAATTATATTATAAAGTTACAACAATTAAAACAGTATTGTACTGGCCTTGAAATCAGAAAAATAAGCCAATTAAACAAAATAGCACAGAAATAAACCCACATATACTTGGTCAAATAATTTTAGCAAGGGTGCTAAAAATACACAATGGAGAAATTGTTGGTGTCTTAAAAGTTGATACTGGATATTCACATAGAAGAGAATGAAATTGTAATCTTATCTTACACCATACACAAAAATCAACTCAAAATGTATTAAAGAATTAAAGATAAGACCTGTAATTGTTAAAGTTTTAGATGATTTATTGGATATTACACCAAAGGGACAAGCAACAGAAGCAAAAATGCATTCTTCTATCTCAAGAATTATAATTATAATGTAATTCCGATTTCAAGGACAACTGGGACTAAAACAAACTAAAAACACTTTCTACTCAGGCAAGAAAACCATCAAAAGAGTGAAAAGGTAAAATATGGAATGGGAGGAATATTTGCAAATCATACATTTGGTAAGGGGTTAATATCCAAAATATATAAAAAGATCCTACAACTCAATAGTAAGTAAGAAACAATTTGATATAAAAAAGGAAAAAGACCTGGATGAATCTTTACCCAAAGAAGACATACAAATGACCAACAGGTGTAAGAAAATGTGCTCATTATTATTAATTTTCAGGGACATGAAAATTTCACCCCTGTTATAATGGCTTTTTTTTTGTTAAAGGATAGCAAATGTTGACAAGGATGTGGAGAAAGGGAAACTTGTATGCTACTGGTGGAAATGTAAAATGGTGCAACCATTATGTAAAACAGTATGAAAGTAACTAAAAAAATTAAAATAAAATTTCCATTTGATTCATCAATCCCACTTCAGAGCCTAGATCCAAAAGAATTAAAATCAGGATCTCTGATTCCTCAAGGATCTAGAACCAGAAATACCATTTGACCCAACAATCCCATTACTGGGTATATAACCAAATGATTATAAATCATTCTACTATAAATATACATGCACACGTATATGTCTATTACAGCACTATTTACAATAGCAAAGACTTGGAACCAACCCAAATGCCCATCAATGATAGACTATAAAGAAAATGTGGCACATATACACCATGAAATACTATGCAGCCATAAAAAGAGAATGAGTTCATATCCTTTGCAGGGACATGGATGAAGCTAGAAACCATCATTCTCAGCAAACTAACCCAGGAACAGAAAACCAAACACTGCATGTTCTCACTTATAAGTGGGAGTTGAACAGTGAGAACACATGGACACAGGGAGGGAAACATCACACACTGGGGCCTGTTGGGGGTTGGGAGTAAGGGGAAGGATAGCATTAGGAGGAACATCTAATGCATGTGGGGCTTAAAACCTAGATGACAGGTTGGTGGGTGCTGCAAACCACCATGGCACATGTATACCTATACAACAAACCTGCACGTTTTGCACCTGTGTCCCAGAACTTGTGTCCCAGAACTTAAAGTATAATAAAAAAAAAAATCAGGATTTCAAAGAGACATCTGCACTCTCATGTCTATTGCAGCAGTATTCACAGTAGTCAAAATATGAAAACAAACACCCATTGACATGCAAATGGGTGTAGAAAATGTGATATATGTTTACAATGGAAAGCTATTTAGCCTTTAAAAGGAATGAAATTCTGCCATACTTGATAGTATCAATAACGTCCATTATGCTAAGTGAAATAAGGTAACACAGTAGGATAAATACTTCATGATTCCACCTATATAAGTGATATGGCTTGGCTCTGTGTCCCCACTCAAATCTCACCTTGAATTGTATTCCTCATAATCCCCACATGTCAAGATTGGGACCAGGTGGAGGTAACTGAATCATGGGGTGGTTTCCCCAATGCTGTTCTCATGACAATGAGTGAGTCTCACAAGATTGGATGGTTTTATAAGCATCTGGCATTTTCCCTGCTTTCTCTTCTCCTTCCTGCTGGCTTGTGAAGAAGGTGCATTGTTTCCCTTTCCCCTTCCACCATAATTGTAAGTTTCCTGAGGCTTCCTCAGCCATGCAGAACTGAGTCACCTGTGAGTGACCTGTTTCTTCTGCAAGTTTCCACTCACTCATTTAACCTAAATATTTCCTGCAATAACTATTATGTTATCTGTGAAATCTTTTACAATGGACAACAATAAGACTTTAGGCTAATGTAAAAAAAATTAATAAAATAAACCATTATTCCTTTATGAGGAAATGTAAATCAGTCATACAGTCTAATAATTATCCATTTGAAGGATTAGTATTTTTATTTTCATTTTCCGTATTGATTACTGGAAATCAAAAAATACTAATTTTAGGCTTTTAAAGATGAAAACACTAATTAATTAAACATAATTAGCTTGTATAATCCTGGAAATATTAATAAATATTTAATATAATAAATCATGGAAAATAACATGAAGATAATTTTAAATCCAAATAAATGTATTTTTCAAAGCTTAATTTAACACATCTGTGAACCATTTAAATTGGACATCACAGAATTTTGAAACAACAAATTATACAATACCTGTCAATGTATCAGAGAAAAATAATATTTTAGGATTAAAAGTTTTGCTTCTAGACTACATTAATAAATGTAACATTGGGGCCAGGCATGGTGGCTTGTGCCTGTAATCTCAGCACTTTGGGAAGCCAAGGTGAGTGGATTACTAGAGAACTGGAGTTGGAGACTAGCTTGGGAAGCATAACAAAACCCTGTCTCTACAAATAAATACAAAAACTAGCCTGGCATGGTAGGGTACGCCTGTAGTCCCAGCTACTCAGAAGGCTGAGGCAGGAGGATTGCTTGAACTTGGGAAGTTGAGACTGCAGTGACGTGAGATCATGCCACTGAGCTCCAGCTTGAATAATAGAGAAAAAAAAATCCTATCTTAAAAAATAGAATTGAAAAAACAACAAATAAATGAAATTTTAGACCATATATTTTAAAGTATATTTTGAATGAAAAATGTTGAAAATATCAAATTATGATAAGTAAAAATATATGATCAAAATAACTTTAAAAGTTATCTATTATATGTAATAAAAAGTTAAGACAAAATACATTACTGAAACTTTTTAGTTTGCTGTAGACTATATCAACAGTGTAAAGCCAAAATTAGTAGCAATCTTATGTGAGACTTTAGCATTTATTACATCAAATATGTATGTAAAAATACCACAAGAGTCTGAAAAACTGAAATGCGAATATGTTGTCAAACACTGAACATTCAGATAGATATTATAAAATCTAGGACAATACCTAACTTTAAAGGACATATAAATAATACTTCAATAATTAACATAATAAGCTTAAAAATATTCAATCCAAAGTATGCAGACAAGAGGACAAAAATTAAATAAAGTAAATAGAAAATGGATAGCCAAATCATAGATTTTTATCCAATAATATCGAAAACTACAATAAATTTAAATTGTCTAACCACATCCATTGAAAGACAGATAAGTCGTACTTAAAAATAAGACCATTTATGTGTTTAATTTAAAAGATGAGCAAGGCAAATAGTAATCAAAAGATATGTTGATATCAGAAAAATTATACTTCAGAATATCAAAGATAATAAAGAAAAATAACATAATAATAAAGAGATTATTTTACTGAATAAATACAATCATAAATGTATATGCACCTAATAACTGACCAAAAAATATAAAACAAAATTAAAAGACAAGTAATCGAATATATAACTATTGTTAGAAACTTCAATATTCTGTTCTTAGTATTTTAAAAAATAAGTAGAATATCAAAAACTATGTAGTATACCTTAAAAACACCATAAACCAAAATGACAAAGTGGAAAACTAGAGAACACTCCAAACTAACAACAGCAAAATGCATCAATTAATTTAAAACATTTAAAGAGTATACCATATTCCAGGCCTTAAAACAAACCTTAACAAGTTAAAAATAATTAAAAGTATCCAAAATATGTTACTATGCTATTACTGAATTGCACTGGAAATCAAAATAGACTTTACTATTTATTATTAATTGAATAAAAGAAAAAGGGACATACTGAAATGTATTGGTTTGTACTTAAAGAAAATTTTGCTGCATGAAATTGTTTTATTAAAAAAGAAGACAGAACTCAAATTCATCACCTAAGCTTCTACCTTATGAAATTAGAAAACACAAAGCAAAATAAATCCAAAAGAAGCAAAAAGTAAGAAATAATGGAGATAACATAAAAAAATCAGTGAGAGTGAAAACAGACAATAAAAAGATATTTTTTAAAAGTTCACTTTTTATGAGCATCAATAAAATTGATTACCCTCTAACCACATTGATGCATAAAATGAGTTAGAAGATGCAAATGACCAACATTAGCAATGAAACTGGATCATCAATACAGATTCTGCTTATTTTAAAAGATAATAAGAGAACATTTTACTATAAAGTTGACCATTTAGATGAAAGAGATAAATTGCTTTAAACTAGCAAATATTACTGAAACAACAGAAGATCTCTATATCTTTTTTTAAAAAATTGAATATTTGTTAAATACATTTATACATGCACACACACACACACAAACATACATACACACACAAACATACACACACACACACACACACACACACACACACCAGGCTGAAGTAGTTTAAACGGTAAATTCTACCAAATATTGATATGGACATAGTACCAAATCCTACACAAACAACTTTTCTGGAAAACTGATGAGAAGTGAATACTCCCAAATTATTCTAAAGGACAGCATAGCTCTGATATATAAAAAAGACAATAACATTACAAAAACAGATGGCTATGTACCAAAATCTCTCATAAAAATGGGCATACAATATTTTAAAGAAATAGTTGAAATTTTAATTCAACAATATGTAAAATGGCAAATACAGACAGACAAGTGTGTTTTCCTTGGTGGTTGCAAAACAAATTCAACAACAAAAAATAAGCAATATAACTAATCATATGAAGAGACCAACCAAGAATAACCACCTCATCCAAAAAAAAAAAAAAAACCTTAAATTTTTTGGTCATTTGCATTTGCAGAAGCAGCGAATGACCAAATTTAATATCCATCTCCAATAAGAATATTCAGTAAACTAGAAATAAAATAATATATCCTTAAGCTTTTTAAGTTCATCTAAGAAAATTCTAAGATAATGTCATCCTGAACAATGAAAGACTAAGTGCTTTTCCTATAATATCAGGAACAAGATAGGAATGTCGATTCTATTTAATAACATTTTGAAGACCCTAGGACATACAAGAAGACCTATCCCCACCCAAAGTCATACAGATTTAAAAGAAAGTTATAAAAATATCTACTTACTGACACCTGATTTTATATGTATAAATTTGAAAGATTCAAAATATGTACTAGAACTGAAAAAATATGTTTAACAATTTCCTAGGAAAAAGGCTATTATAAAATTCAATATGTTATCTATACAAAATTTAATTCCATTTCTACATGATTGCAACAATTAAAAACTGAAAAGAAAAGTAAACATAACATATACAATAGCACTGAGAAAATAAGGTAATTAGTTGTAACTTTTACTATATACATTTAATATATTTATGCTAAAATTGGCAAAGCACTGATAAAAGAATTCAAAAAACACAAGTAGGGCTAAATACCATAATCATGGATTGTAATGCTCAATGTTGTTAATTATCTTCATAATCTACACATTAGAAGAAGTATAGTCAATGTCACTGCAGTAAATATAGATATGAATATATATATACATATTAGATAGTAGCATCCTTAATATATTTGGTGAAAGGTAAAGAAATTAAAATGCCCAAAACAATTTTCTAAAAGAAGGCAAAAGTGTTCTTGAAGGGCATTAGTACCTCCTATTCATATCTATGATAGAACTGTATTATTCAAGGCAGATTTTTACTGGACAAAGTACAGGCATATAGATAAATAGAACAAAATATATAATCCAGAAATAGTTATATATAATCAATTGATATTCAACAAACACACAAACAGAAATCGTATGAAACAAATAAACATTTATGCAAATAAAATAACTTTAATCTCTCTTACACCATTTTTGAGTTAGAAAAGTGACTCATGAGAAATCATTAACCTAACTGCAAAACAAACCTGAATGTGTATGTGTTTGTGTGAGTGTAACTAAAAAAGTGTAAATTCCTACCTCACATTATCTTTGAGTTACAAAAAGTAACCCTAAATGGGTTATTAATTATAAAACCTAAATATACAAACCTTCTAAATGAAAATGTAGAAAAAAATCTTTGTTACCTTAGATTAAGCAAAGTTTTGTTAGATATGACACAAAAAGACCAATTCATTAAAAAAAATTGGACTTTACCAATATTAAGAAAATCTGATCTTCAAAGGAGACTGCTAAGGAAATAAAAGAGAAACTAAAAACTGGTAGAAGAAAAATGAAAATAAGAAATCTGATTTTTTAAATGAGCTCCAGTATTTAAAAAGCACACTGCACTTTATAATAATGAATTGAATAACTCAATTTTCAAAATGAGACAAAGATTTAAGCACATACCTGACCACAAAAGAGACATAGATACCAAGAAAACAAATTAGTCATTAGGAAAATGCAAATAAAACAATGAGATATCCCTGCACAGACATTTAATAAATAATTTTTAAAATAAAATAATCTAAAATATCAAGAACTAGTGGAGGAGGTGGTATTCATACACACTGATGAATGAAATACAAAATATTATGTCCACTCTAAAAACTTGCAGCTTCTTATCAAGTTAGGAATTTACCCAATTGAAATGAAACCCTACGTTGACACAAATATGGGAAGCAAATACATATGGGGGCTTTATTTGTAATTGCCAAAACCTGGAAACAACACAATGCCCCTCAATTGGAAAATGAATAATTAAGAAACTAATAAAAGAGAAAACAATATGAATGAATCTGAAATACATTATCAAAAGCTTTCGAAAAAGGCATACAAAAGGAAAATGAGAATTTGGGAGATGATAAAAGAGCTTTGTCTTTCATCCTATGTTTAAGACTGATATCAAATTCCTAAAGATATACTTTGTTATATGTATCTTGGACCAGGCATTCACATCCTCTCCAGTCAAATGTATCTCAGTGTAGAATAACATTCAACATTTTTTGGCTGTAAGAAGAAAATGTTCTATAAAATGTATCTCCCATTTAACAATATTTATTACTCCTTTAACAATCTAGTTACAATTACCTATTTACAAGTAATTACAATAACAGTGACACTGACACAATTTCCCATGAATTGCAATGATGAAAATTTTAGACATTATTTTTTCTTTAAATACAGTACCTGTAAAATGTATTAGGAGTAAACCTACAAAAGCATCTACATTTGGTATACATAAATGAATCCTTACATATTTCTAGCATTTTGCTAATTTGCAATGTATTAATTATTTATTTCTACATAATAAATTACTCAGACATTTAGCAGCTTAAAAAATGTGTATTTATTATCTCACAGAATCTTTACCCTTTCCCAAGATATTATTTAATTTATTCTCAAGTTGAATTAAGATATTTTCTGTTTCTGTTCTTCCATTTGTTTTATTTATATGTATGTGTTATTCCTCACATTTAATTATTTCTCTTTATCCTTAAGTTCCCAAGAAATTACTTCTGAAATAAGCATATACTGGAAAATAAATTGTTACAGTTGACAAGTTATTATAGAAATCTAGTAATTACATTAGAGTATTTTTCAAAACATTCTTTATTGAGAACAGCATATCTCTAGCAGAACTAAACAAACAGTACACATACAGAATAAATTATTAAGTATAAAGGACATGGCATTTTATGTACGCATCATCTTAATCAATTTGGATAAGCAAATAACTGTATATAGGTTAATTCTTTATGATTATTACTTTTATAGTTTAGGAATTCAAAGTGTCATGTATACTTACATGAAATGTTCACTTTTGATTTATTTTTAATGATTTTTTAAATTATGAAAAGTACAAATGACTTAATTATGTATGGATAATTAGTTTATATATTGTTGGGCCTTATCTTACTCTACTTTAAAAGATAATGCATGTATATGGAAAAAACACTTCAGATAAAATTTCAAGTTAACATTTCTTATCCTAGTTTTCAATGGAAATAAAAACGAAAGGTAAAATTATTTATTACTTGGAGAATTATTGGAGGCAATAAATGCAAAATATTTAGCACATTGCTTACCAATAAATATTACTTTCTATTTTTATTATTAGGTATTATTCAAAGAACTATATCAAGGTCTCCTGAACAGATTTAATTTTATTTCAGAAAATAGACATCTTAGAGATTTACCAGTTATCCGTTTCTTTATAACAAACTACAACAAAACTCTGTGACTTTAAATTACCGATTTATGTGCTGTTCATAATCCTGTATGTCAGCAATTTTGAATGGGCTTAGATGTTCAGTTCTGCCACAAGTTTTGCCTAAGGTCACTTGTGAGACCCTAGTTCTCTCGTGACTCTACTGTTGCTGGATGGTCCAAAGTGGGCTTACGTGTCTCGTATTTGCTGGTAGTTCTGAAGGAACTTAGATTCAATAGCTCTGCTTTATGTGATTTCTAATCCTCCAATAGGATTAACCAAGATTTTTCACATAGCAACCTCAAAGCAATTTGTCAAGAAAGTGAGAGTGGAAACTTCCTTTCCTGGTCAGGACTAGGATCAGAATTCCTACACTGCACTTCCACTGCATTCTGTCCATCACCACAAATCACAAGACCAGCCCTGATTACACAAGGTGAAGAAGTACTTTCAACCACTTGGTGAGCAGAGTAGCAGGAAAATAGCATTGCAAAGAGGCAAGTTCACCAAGGATGAAGAAATTTGTGACCATTTCCCATTTCAGTCAAATACACAAGCTTTATTGCCGGGTCCATCCTGCAGACCTTGGCCTAGTGATGGATGAAACGAGTACTCAGACACAGGTATGCAGTGTTAGAGCAGCTAGGGGACTGCCTGGCACTAGTGGCCAGAGAGTGAGCAGTCTCAAACGGCTGGAGCTGCTTGCTTTCACTCAGTACAGACATAATGCCGAAAGCCTGGGGCAAACACAGTCTGTGGGTAATTAACATTTATTGTTCCCCTTACAGGGAACGGGTCATGCACACGGATGATCAAAGGTCAGTTCCTGGTCAACGTAAGTGAACAAGCCTGTTTAGGATAAATTCCCCTATACTTCTTTGTACCTACTCCTTGCCCTCTCCCTCAGGGTCAGAGAAGAGCTGCCTTCAGTTTATTCTCCACCGAAGCTAAGCAGAGCCTTCTGACTTTTCAAAAGGCCTGCCCCTTTCCCTAGATTTTCTCCCACCATTCTGACCAATCTCCTACCCTTTATGTTCTAGACTCTATTTCCAGCAATCTGTACCTTGAAATCATTATGCTAATAAAGCATTTGGCAGTTCTCCAACAAAATTAAATTTCTCTTACATTTTCTGAAAATGACAATAAAATCTGAATATCTTTTTTCTAATCTGTTGAAAGAGGTTGATGATTGGTACTGGTAGAGTATTAATGAGAAATATTAGGTTTTCTCTTTTTTTTAACTTTTAAGTTCAACAGTAAATGTGCAGGTTTGTTACATAAGTAAACTTGCATCATGGGGATTTGTTGTACAGATTATTTCCTCACTCAGGTATTAAGCCTGGTACCCATTAGTTATTTTTCCTGATCCTCTCCCTCCTCTCACCATCCACCCTCAGGTAGTCAACACTTATACACTTTTGGTGACAGTGTAGGTTTTATTTTTTCTATTAGGAATAATTTTGTTTATGAATACAAGAGATTTTTGTGGTGTGTGTAATTACTTTCGCATTCATAGTGTGAGCAACAAAAATACAAAACAAAATCAATGAAATGTTTTAGACATGTAACTGTAGATCAATAATATTTATTATTTCACCCAATAAACAGTAAGTGTTTATAGATGTGTTTCTTTCTGTCAGAGAGTACCAATTGTATGTTTTTGTCCTTTGTGCAGTGGTATTTTTTCTTATTCTGCTAATATTATCAAATAACTTGAAGAAGAGAATAAACTGTAGTACTCTGAACACACTTATATTATTTTGTAATTATAAATTTAATATCTTATTAAAATTAGAAAAAATTCAGTAAAAACCTTTTAGTACATAATCATTAAGAAATAAGAGGTAGCATATTTTATATATCATTTACATGTATTTTTTCAAACTTTGTTGGTTTCTTTCTTTTTTACACTTGAGTTTGTGTAATACATTAAGATATAGAGCTTGTAGTTCTTAATAAATTTTAGCAAACTTTAATATCCCAGGCACTTCTCTGTTATTGTACCTTTCATTACTGTAATTGTGCATTTGATAATTACTCTGACCTTCACTACATTGGAATCTGTCTCTGACAAGACGGTATTTCTTGTAGAACCATCATTGTATCCTCTTTTCCATGTATAATACTAGCATATGGTATACCACAAAGTATGTATTTTTTTTCTCATAAATATTGGATGAAAATGCAAATTGAATATTTGGAACCCATTTTTTTTTTAACAGAACCTTAGAAACAACTTTTATTTTACTAACAAAGTAATTATTGGCCACTGGAAAACATCTAGTGGTTATGGATAAGGTCACAGTTTTTGACTATGGAGAACTAATGACAGAGTAAGTGGTTTGGGATTGTAATGTAACAGTGCCAGGAGACTAAAGCTATTGTTTGTTTTCTGTACAGTGTTTGGCAGTGAATGGGAAGCTTAGGAGGATAAGTAGCCTTCTCATGTTCCCAGGTGATAGGACAGACTCATTACTATCTTTCCTTCATTCTTCCTCTCTTGCCAAGGGCAAGCGTCTTGACTTTGTACACTTACTAAGTGTTCTACTTAATAGTTGTGGTCAAGCAGAAGTCAGGTTAAGCCTGGCTGTGGACTTGAGCTTTCCATATCCTATTTACTAAAACACAGATTGATTTAACCTTTGACTTCCTTTCTTTGCTCACTCAGAGATGTGAGAAAGTCAGCAACTCTACACTAGCTGTTGAGAAGAGATTAAGGACACATCAAACTACTCCATTTTGAGTTTCCAGCCCTTAAAATCTCTACCAAAAGAGTTTGAGAACACGTTTTTGCCTTCGTCAGTATTTTACAATTGTTATCATGTCAGACAATAGAGTCTGTCCAAAATTATAGCACAGACTACTCCAAAACTGCAAACAAAGTGAGTTAAAATGAAAGGCATCGGCCGGGCGCGGTGGCTCACGCCTGTAATCCCAGCACTTTGGGAGGCCGAGGCGGGTGGATCATGAGGTCAGGAGATCGAGACCATCCTGGCTAACAAGGTGAAACCCCGTCTCTACTAAAAATACAAAAAATTAGCCGGGCGCGGTGGCGGGTTCCTGTAGTCCCAGCTACTCGGGAGGCTGAGGCAGGAGAATGGCATGAACCCGGGAAGCGGAGCTTGCAGTGAGCCGAGATTGCGCCACTGCAGTCCGCAGTCCGGCCTGGGCGACAGAGCCAGACTCCGTCTCAAAAAAAAAAAAAAAAAAAAAAAAAAGAAAGGCATCAATGACATCTGGGATTTATTTTCAAAAATAAATTTTCAAAGATCATTTTACAGTTGTGCATATGCCACATTTTTTATATGTCAAAGAGTTTGCATTTCACTGAGATTATTTTCCTTTTAACTTTTGAATAAAAGCATTATTCTTGCTTCTTCTGGGGAGACAATCCTGGCTAAATAGCTTGGAAAAATACTTCCCACTTTATTCTACATCTCTCTATATTGTGATATTTTATTATCTAAGCAATGTTAATGATCTGATAGAACATATATGAGGAGGGTAATTATGTTTCAAAAGAAGACTTCTATCCACATTACATAATGACATGTGCTTTTAGGTTTGATATTTCCTGGTATGAAAGATCAGCTATTCTCATATACCTTAAGTGAATATATTCTCAGAAATATATATAAAGAAACAAATACATATAAACACTAATAAACTCCAGTTTTTCTATATTAAATCAATGAAAATTTCAACAGACATATTAAACAGGCAATAATGGCTTTATTCAAGACTCTTGCAACAGAGAACAGAGATTGAACTCAATTACATTAAAACAACTCCAGGAGAGTTTTTAATTGCTGGTATGAGCTAGTGCACAAGTACTAGAGGACATCGAGCGGCAGGTTAGTCAGCATGAGAGGCAGGACTAGCTGGATTTCCTAGGCCGACTAAGAATCCCTAAGCCTAGCTGGGAAGGTGACTGCTTCCACCTTTATACACAGGGCTTGCAACTTAGCTCATACCCGACCAATCAGATAGTAAAGACAGCTCACTAAAATGCTAATTAGGCAAAAACAGGAGGTAAAGAAATAGCCAATCATCTATGGCCCAAGAGCACAGAGGGAGAGACAATGATCAGGACATAAACCCAGGCATTCGAGCCAGTAACGGCTACCCTGTTTGAGTCCCCTCCCTTTGTATGGGAGCTCTGTTTTCACTCTATTTCACTCTATTAAATCTTGCAACTGCATTCTTCTGGTCCGTGTTTGTTACAGCTCGAGCTGAGCTTTCACTTGCTGCCCACCACTGGTGTTTGCCGCTGTCACAGACCCGCCGCTGTCACAGACCCACCGCTGACTGCCATCCCTCCAGATCTGGAAGGGTGTCCGCTGTGCTTCTGATCCAGCGAGGCACCCATTGCCACTCCTGATTGGGCTAAAGGCTTGCCCTTGTTCCTGCACAGCTAAGTGCCTGGGTTCGTCCTAATTGAGCTGAACAGGAGTCAGTAGGTTCCACAGTTCTCTTCCGTGACCCACGGCTTCTAATAAGAGCTATAACACTCACCGCATGGCCCAAGATTCCATTCCTTGAAATCCGTGAGGCCAAGAACCCCAGGTCAGAGAACACGAGGCTTGCCACCATTTTGGAAGCAGCCCACCACCATCTTGGGAGCTCTGGGAGCAAGGAACCCCTGGTAACAAGCATGACTGGGCAGAAAATTTGCATCTCAAAGGGGCAGTGAAAGAATTTACAATTGCCAGTTTTCTAACATAAGTGTTCTAAGAAAAGGGAGATCCTAGGCCTAGAGTCTAGAAGAAACCTGCCTAAAATTTAGGCAAGCTTAGGAGATGTTAGAAATGTTAACTCCATTTTGTTAATTATACCACTATGTTCATGTGGACTGAAAAAAAACAACACATCCCTAAAATCAGTTACATAGAATGAATAAAAATCAGCTCAAAATGCAATTTAAAAATACATTATTTTGTCTTATGCACCTATTTTAGTGTTTTCATTTAGAATCTAAAATATTTTAGTCAATCTTTCAATGAACATTTTTAAACTGTATTACTTTACAAAAACAAAAACTTGCTTTGCTTTCAACTTCCTATGAAATTCAGTATCATAAATAATTGGATCCAG
Organism: Homo sapiens; assembly: GCF_000001405.40. Classification (NCBI taxonomy): domain Eukaryota; kingdom Metazoa; phylum Chordata; class Mammalia; order Primates; family Hominidae; genus Homo; species Homo sapiens. Next base: position 22,359,342 of record NC_000021.9, on the reverse strand, counting down.
AAAACTCATCCACAATAGAGAAAATTATGTTTTTCTTAAATCTTATGAATAATCAGGATATAGTTATTGTATATTGAAATTATCTAAAAATTTAAAATTTTAGTTGTTATGGAGATAATTTGTGTAGACTGAATGGCCTCATGAAACTGACATATGAAGGTTTCCCAAAACCCTTGTGTATTTGCTAGGGCTACAATAAAGAAATATTATAGACTAGGTGGCTGCAACAATAGAAACCTATTTTTCTCACAGTTCTGGAGGCTAGAAGTCCAAGACCAAGATGTCAGCAGTATGGTTTTTCCTTATGTCTTTGTCCTTGGCTTTCAGATGGTTTCCTTCCTGTTGTGTCCTTACATTGTTTTTCTAGGTCCCTGCACATCCCTGGTGTCTCTATGTGTGCTCACATTTCCTTGTATAAGGACATCATTCACGTTGATTTAGGGCCCAATGTAACTGCCTCAATTTAACTTAATCACCTTTTAAAAGGCACTGTCTCCAAACATTATGACGTACTAGGTGTAAAACTTCTATATACAAATTTCGGGGAACACATTTCAGTATATAACATCTGGTAAACATATAAATAAAGACTCTGAATCCAAGAAACTCACAGAATAACATGACTTATCAGCCAATTTATTAACAGATTTGTCTGAGCACTGATTATATATATTTAAATGCCATGGAAACCCCGAAAATAGAATAATTTTTTATTACAGGTCTCAGAATAGACTTCATTAAGCAGGAATCATCTGAGTTGTGTCATTAAGTTGACATTTGTATCAGTACAGACAAAGGTAAAGAGAAAAACAATGAGCATGCAAGCAAAAGTAATCATTAACCTCTCAAATTAGCATTGTAATACTCATTTTCTGTCATATTGTGCCCCACTCTCATATTTATTCTACTACTTTGTAATAATTTCTTCTCAATTTCCTTTGCAGCTCTATTTTAAAATATTTTGGGTTTTGTACCTATTATTGAATCCTGATTCATATAAAACTATACATGTTTGTCAAGGATTCGATTATCATATACATTCTTGAGTTGTATATATTTTTTAATCCTATGAACTTATATTTAGTCTGTGTCACTATAACCATAAATTCACTTTCCTCTGGAGGATAAAGATAATAGTGAGTGATAAAAGTAATATAGTAAGTCTCAAAACAGCAACTGTGAGTGATTTCTTAGTTTACTGCAGAAACTTGTTTTAGTATTTTGTGTGTATTATTTCAAAAATCACAAAAACTTTGTGGTACATGCCATTTTTGTTCTTCTTGTATTTGAGGAAATTGAAGGGCTAGGAAGCTATAAAAAAAAATTCTTAATATCTTACAGTAAGTGGCAGAGCCAGTGTTTAACCTCATAATTAAAATAGAAATCATTATTAACTGCCCAAAATTAACTTTCTGAATTTCATATCTTAGTGGGAAATATTAATACTTGCCCTTTGCTCGTTCTGAAATGATAAAATTTACTGTGACTTCTTTCTCTACTTTTGGCCCATCTCTAGCCAACCACCAAGTCTAGCTAATTCTATTACGTCCACAATCTCTCAAATACATTCACATTCCCCCATTATTTTATTTTAGTGAAATTCAGGCAATCAATGTCTCTGGCCTGGAGTTTTACAATAACTTCCTTTTGGGACTTTTTTCCTCTGTTCTTGCAACCTGTCTTTAAAATTTTTCATTAATTTCTTCAAAAACAACATTTATTGAATGTAAGCAACATGACATTATGCCAGCAAATATATATTAGATGTCAACTATGCCACTAGTTTTTGGCCTGGGTATTGGTAAATATTTTGAAACAATATAACTGAAGAAATAGAAATCATTCTACCATAAAGACACATGCACATGTATGTGCATTGCAACACTATTCACAATAGCAAAGACATGAAATTGACCTAAATGCCCATAAATGATAGACGGTATAAAGAAAATGTGGTACATATACACCACAGAATACCATGAACCCATACAAAAAGACTGAGATCATGTCCTTTGCAGGGACACGGATGGAGCTAAAGACCATTCTCCTTAGCAAACTAACACAGGAACAGAAATCCAAATACTGCATGCTCTCACTATAAGTAGGAGCTAAATGATGAGAACACATGGACTCATAGAGGGGAACAACACATACTGAGGCCTTTCAGAGGGTGGAGGTTGGGAGGAGGGAGAGAATCAAGAAAAACAACTAATGGAAACTAGGATTCATACCTGGGTGATGAAATAATCTGTACAACAAATCCCCATGACACAAGTTTAGCCACGTAACAAACCTACACATGTACCCCTGAACTTAAAACTTAAAAATAAACATTAAAAAAATCTTAAAATAAAATAAAATGGGGAGTCAGAAAACACACATGATGAAAGGATGTTTGTTAATAGTTTGGCCTTTACTTTCAAGTGGAATGTAGAGGAGTAACTTGATAATATTTCATTTCTTAGCAGGATTACCCTAGTTGGATGTTGCAAAACGACTGTGGGGGATGCAAAGGCAAGTTTTCAAAAGAGCTTTAATTCTCCCTGTTAAAAATAAAGGAAGAGACTCCCTCCACCGCCCTTTTCTTAGAGCATTTGCTCTAAGTAATTTTAATTCTAAGTAATTATAACGTAAGTAATTGTAAATTATTTTCTTGTCTCCCTAAAATGTATATAAATCTGTTTAAAAGCTAGATAAGACTCTAGCCAGCTTGAAGACATAGGAATGTCTTTCTCTAGCACTTGGGAGCTAAGTCTTTGAAATGTAATCATGAAGAGCCCCAGTTTCTATGGGAAGCAATGTGCCTAACTTTGCCTAACAGATTCTGTGCTCTGGGTTCCAAAATCACCTTCTGCCATAAAAATATGAAATTATTTTCCTTTGGATAAATCCAATTAGTAAACACAGATAAACACCCCAATTATCAGGTGAACGTAGGATGATCTGTGTGTAACAAATGATGGTGTCAAGTTCTCTTACTTGAGGACTAGCTATTGTTTATCTTAAGAACATGTATGCAATGGGTTGTAACTGTTTGGCTAAATAAAAGACTGAGATTTCTTAAGTCTTTGCAATCTCTTAGCAGGTTGTTCATGATGCACATGACATTCTGATTTAATACTACATATAATTTATATTTCTCCAATAGGAAAGAAGGGTGGAAACAGCCAGAGGGGAATCTCTATGACTCAGATGTTATCATTTCCCTGCTATCCTTGTGTGGAGTGTCATTCCATCTCCTTCAACTCTCACCAACAAAATGCATTAAAGCTTCTGGTTCTGCTTTAGGGCTTAACTAAAAATAGATTCTAAGATATTTCCCCAACTTCCAATCAGCTTTGCTCCTCCTCCTCCTCCACTAGTACTATCGTTAAAGGTAGAAAGTATCCAAGTTACCAGTGGCAAATCTGTACAGGTCTGCAGCAACCTCAATTCTTACCTCCTCAGAAGAAAAAAATAGACTGAGGGGCATAAGGCAGAAAAAGAGACCAAGGCAAGTTTCAGAGCAGGAGTCGAAGTTTATTACAAAGTTTTAGAGCAGGCAAGAAAGGAAAGCACACTTGAAAGAGACCCAGCGAGTGACTTGAAGGACTAGTGCATCATTTAACCTTGATCCTAGGACTTTAGATGCTGGCCCACTTTCAGTGTCTTGCACCCCTTTCCTATGATTCTTCCCTAAGGGTGGGCTGCCCATATGTGCAGTGCCCTCATTATGCTTGAGAAGTGAGCATGCGTCCTGTGTTTAGGAAGGTGTATGCATTCCCATCTGAAGCTTCCTTCCCTTTTCCTGTGGAATGCCCCTGGAAGGTCATAGTCTGCCATTTTGTCTATTTTTTTTTTTTTTTTTTTGAGATAGAGTCTTGCTCAGTGGCCCAGGCTGGAGTGCAGTGGCGTGATCTTGGCTCACTGCAAGCTCCACCTCCCAGGTTCACGCCATTCTCCTGCCTCAGCCTCCCGAGTAGCTGGGACTACTATGACTGGCTAATTTTTTTTGTATTTTTAGTAGAGACGGGGTTTCACCATGTTAGCCAAGATGGTCTCCATCTCCTGACCTCGTAATCTGCCCGTCTCGGCCTCCCAAAGTGCTGGGATTACAGGCGTGAGCCACTGCCCCCAGCCTGCCATTTTGTCTCTTAATGCACATGTCCAGTCTCACTCCCCCAGTACCTGAGGTTTTATTGGAAGCCAATTACAAATCTCAAGTGTTTTTATCTGTTTGGGAAGTTGCCTCTCCCTGGTACCTGCATTCAATTAACACTTCAGTGTGATAGTTGTGCACCATCAGGAGATTGTCTCTGCCTGGAGCCAGCTGCCAAATTATCATTTTTAGAGAGGCAATGTGATAACTACTGTACCATCACATGATGGTTGCCTCACATTCCTGATGGGAGGGCCCTTTCCTGCCCTACTCTTGCCTGTCCAACTACCTGTAACACTATTCTTAAGAGATGATCACAATTGTACGTAGGAGCCAAAAAGAACATGGATAATACATGAAACAGGTTTGTATGAATAGTGTGATTGGAGGGGCCTCTGAAGTTCTGCCTTTTATAAAGAAGTCAGATGATGCCATTCAAAGCATCAGGTCCAGACTTCTGGTGCTGGCTTAAATAGGGTCATGACTACAACTCATATGGGTAAATGGGTAAGTGGCTACAGCCCACATCTCCCACTGAATACCACTTCTTGGGGACTGAAAAACAAACAATAGCAAGTAGAATGGAGATCAAATTTGAAAGTTAAATAACAACGCTTAGCAATGAGTTTCTTGTTTGCATCTTCCTGTTTGCCTCCAACTTCAAACAAATCACAGAAGTGAGCAATGTAAATTCCAGGAGAAAATCCCAATTTCCATCAGAAGAATGGAAAAGGGGCCTACATGTGCCAGAGAGTGTGAAGGGAAACCCATTTCCTGGTGTTTGGTGTTTGCTTGATTTCCCTTTCTTCTCTCCTCGTGCCCTCCTGAGGCCAGCCCTAGCCATGGAAGGAACTATGGAAACAACAGGAGCAACTGTCCTAAGCAAAAGTGGACCCGTGGCCGGGCGCGGTGGCTCACGCCTGTAATCCCAGCACTTTGGGAGGCCGAGGAGGGTGGATCACGAGGTCAGGAGATCGAGACCATCCTGGCTAACATGGTGAAACCCTGTCTCTACTAAAAATACAAAACATTAGGCGGGCGTGATGGTGGATACCTGTAGTTCCAGCTACTAGGGAGGCTGAGGCAGGAGAATGGCGTGAACCCAGAAGGCAGAGCTTGCAGTGAGCCAAGATCGCACCACTGCACTCCAGCCTGGGTGACAGAGTGAGACTTCGTTCCAAAAAAAAAAAAAAGTGTACCTGCGTTCCTGTCTAGAGGAACTACAAAGCAGAGACCCTGAGGAGCAGAAAACTTTAACATCATTAGTCAATAGTAGAACAGAAATCATTAATATGATATTACTATATACCTATTGAAACTAATTTAAAAAAAAGAAAAGAGAATTTCAAGTCCTGGTGAGAGTGCAGGTCAACTTGAACTCTCATGTAGGATAGCCACTTTGAAAGCAATTGGCAGCTTCTTATAAAAACTAACATAATAGAAGATAGTATAGAAGAATATCTAGATGACTTTGGTTAAAGTAACGGCTTTAAAAATACCATGCCAAAGGAATAATCCCTAACAGAAATTGTTAAGCTAAACTGCATTGAAATTAAAAACATCTGCTCTTCAAAACATAGTGTCGAGACAATGAGAGGACAACCCATAGACTGGGTGAAAATATTTTCAAAAGACACACTGATAAAAAAACTGCTATCCAAAATATACTAATAGCTTTTAAAATTCAATAATAAGAAATGGGCAACATAACTGAAAAATAAACAAAACACTTGATCAGAAGCGTCACCAAAGATGTACAAATAGAAAATAAGCATGTGAAAAGAGACTCAGCATCATATGCCATTAGACTATTGCAAATGAAAACAGCAATGAGATATCACCTACATTCCTATTCAAATGGCCAAAGTCCAAAACACTGACAAGAACAAATGCTGGTCATGATGTGGAGCAACACTAATTCTCATTCTGGGAAATTCAAAATACTAGAAGCAGTTTGAATGGCAGTGAAACTAAACATACTCTTATAAGATTTGGCCATCTCATTTCTTGGCATTTATCAAAATGAATTGAAAATTTATATCCACACACAATTTGCACGTGGATGTTTTAGAGCAACTTCACTGATAATAGCCAAAATGTGCAAGTAACCAAAAGGTTATTCTGTAGGTGAATGGATAAATAAATTTTGGTATACACAGAAGATGGAGCATTATTCTGCATTAAAAATATGAGCTACTAACCCATGATAAGACATGGAAGAATCTCAAGTGCATACTACTAAGTGAAGGATCCTAACCTAAAAAGGCTACGTGTTACATAATTTCAACTATATGGCATTCTGAAAAAGAGGGAAAAAAAACTAATCAAGACTTTAAAGTAGTTGCCAGAAGTTTGGGAAAAGGAAAGAATGAATAGGCAGAGCACAGAGGATTTTTAGGGCAGTGCCACTATTCTTTTTAATATAATAATAGTAAATACATGTCCTTATACATTTGTGCATAGAGTATACAACACCAAGAGTGGACTATAATGTAAACTGCTTTGCAGGATGATATGTCAATATCAGTTAATTCATTGTAACGAATGTACCAGTGGATATTGACAATGAGGAAAGTTGTGTGAGGGGGCAAATGGGGTTATGCGACAATTCTCTGTACTTTCTCTTCAGTTGTGTTGTGAACCTAAAATTGCTCTAAAAAATAAACTCTAATCTTTTCATAAGGTGCCATGGTATGAATGTTTGTGTCTTCCCCAATTCATATATCGAAATCCTAGCCCCCAAGGTGATGGTATTTGGAAGTGGGACATTTGGAAGATTATTAGTTCATGAGGTGGAGCCCTCTTGAGTGGGATTAGTGCCCTTAAAAAGCTTACCCAGAGAGCTCTCCCATTCTCCTTGCCTCATGTAAATGAAACCACTATTGCAAAATTATGACTGTGGTGAAAGAAATCTGAAATCTTGCTTCTAACCACTAAGCTGTTCTTGTTCATTCCTGGATGAAGGCCAAATTAACTTTGGGAGGAACATAGTTTATAGCCCTTTTCTAAAACAATCCCCCTTCTTGCCTGGGGACTACACTGCCTTTTGTAGGACTAACAAATTAGCCAAAAGATTAGAAATTATGGTTTAGAAGCCATGCAGTTGGAGGTTACAAGACACTCCCCTAATTGCTCCTGAGGATAACATCACTATTGTAAAACCAAAGATCAGTGCTTGAGATATTTTACAGCCCCAGCACTTGATGGATGAGCTGGCACCATCCCAATGGATAAACTGGCTCATCTGATCGTGGGGCCCCCCGCCCAGGAACTGACCCAGTGCAGGAAGACAGCTTTGATTCCTTATGATTTCATCTGACCCAAACAGTCAGCACTCCCAACTCACTCACCCACACCCACCAAATTATTCTTGAAATCTCTGATCCCTGAATGCTTGGGGAGACTGATGTGAGCAATAATAAAACTCCAGTCTCTCACACTGCCGGCTCTGCACCAATAACTTTCTCCATTGCAGTTCCCCTGTCTTGACAAATCAACTCCGTCTAGGCAGTGGGCAAGGTGAACCTGTTGCGCAGTTACATAAGAACACACAGCTAGAAGACACCAAGTCTGCTGGCACCTTGATCTAGGACTTTCCAGCTTCCAGAATTGTGAGAAAGAAGTCTCTGTTGTTTATAAGCCATCTAGTTTATGGCACTTTTGTTATAGCAACCTAACAGATTAAAACAAAAGAAAACATGCACTTACTAAATGTCCTACCATCCTCGCTTCAGATATTTTCCAAAAAGAAATGAAGACTTAGATTCACACAAATTATTTCTATGTGAATGTTTATAAAAAATTCACAATCCCCAAAGCAGAAAGTAACCCAAATGCTCTTCATTTTTGAATAAATTTTTAAAAGGGTTCTACTCACACAAACGGAATATTACTCAACAAAAATGAGTCAGACTCTTGAACATGCAACAACATGAATGCATCGTAAATGTATAATGCTATTTTAAAGACTTCTGAGGCTTAATAAAATATCATTCCATTTACATGTAGTTCTCAACAGACAAAACTATTAGAAGAGACAATAGATCACTGGTTGCCAATGGTTAAAAGCAAGGAAAGCATTTAACTACAGAACAAAAGGGGGCATAAAGAAGATTTTTTAGAGAGTGATGAAATTTTCTCTATCTTGATTATGGTTGTGGTTACATGGCTTGATGCATCTTTATCACAATTCATAGAACTGCACACATGTATATAAAAAGAGTGAGCTTTATGACTCATAAGTTAAACACACTCCACATAAAATATGTTCATTGTATCTATGTTTTGGGTTTTTCAAGAAAAAGCCTGAAATTATTTTTTACCTACTGATAATTAAATTATGACATATCTTAAACACTCTCTAGTCTAAAAAATAGCATATCTATCTGTTAGATACATAATTCATAGTCCACTGCGTTGTAAATTTCTTGTAAGAACAACGTATTGCAACTGCTTTTACAATTTACTTTTGTAAGGACATAAACTGTGTTTTTTTTTTTAATTAGTATCCTTAGTATCTGGCACAGAATTTTAATAATTGTGAATGAAGCACAGGGTTGAGTATTTGAAGAGGTGTAGCTTACATGTGTATGGATCTAGACATGTGGAAAAGGAATTTTTTTGTTTGTTTGTTTTGTTTTTTTAGATGGAGTCTCACTCTGTCATCCAGGCCGGAATGCAGTGGCGTGATCTTGGCTCACCGCAACCTCCGTCTCCCAGGTTCAAGCAATTCCCCTTCCTCAGCCTCCCAAGTAGCTGGGATTACAGGCACCCACCACCACGCCTGGCTAATTTTTGTATTTTTAGTAGAGACAAGGTTTCACCATGTTGGCCGGGCTGGTCTCAAACTCCTGACGTCATGTGATCCACCTGCCTTGGCCTCCCAAAGTGCTGGGGTTACAGGCGTGAGCCACGACGCCCGGCCAGGAAGTCTTTTTTAAAACCATGCGGCTGCCTCCAGAGGGGAATCTTGTGATTAGATGAAGGTGATGGAGGAAGACTTTCTACTTCGTACAATTTTATGCATTTTACATTTTGTAAGATACATTATGATTCAAAAAAATAAGATCTCATTAAAAACATAGTTAGGGATGGAGCCTAATACAAATTTCAAACTTGATTCTCTTTCAAACATTTAGAACTGAGTCTTGAGAAATAAATGGATAATTTTTTTCACAAATCTTGAACTAAGAAATCTATGCCTATCATAGAATGCTGAATTGCATTGCACTTTTAGAAAATTTTCATTATAGAAGCATGATTAGTGGAACTGAATGCATATGTTAGTAAAAGACTATGAAGACAGAAGTGAGGACATGAAAGGGTTTGTATGTGTCTTAGTCCATTTGTGCTACTATAGCAAAATACCTGAGACTGAGTGATTTATAAAGAAAAGAATTTTTTAGCACAATTCTGGATGCTGGGAAGTCCAAGATGAAGGCACCAGCAGATTCAGTGATGGCTTGTCCCTCAGAGATGGCCTTGTCAAGGTGTTCTCCTGTGACAGAAGAGCAGTAGAGCAAAAGGAACAAATGCCGCCGTGTGAATCCTCCTTTATAAAGACCTTATCTCATTTACAAGTGCTCTGCCCTCATGACTTAATTACCTCCTAAAGACTGCACTCTTTATAATGTCACATTGGCAATTAAGTTTCAACATATGAAATTTGGGGAGCATTCACACCACAGTAGCATGTCATGCTAAATTTTTCCTATTTCAACTTGAAAGTAATGGGGAGTCAGTGAAGCATGTACAATGAAAATGCCACAAACTGATTTGCCTTTAATAGTGATTCATCCATAGTAAGAGGGATGACTATATTAAGGGAGCTTATGTGAGAGATAGGAAGACTAATTTAAAAATAGTCTAAAAGTCTAGCCAAAACAAGATGAACGTCTAAGTTGACAGTGTTACCTAAAAATTATTTAATGTAATTATCTTAGTATTTTTCAATGTAATTATGAGACACTATACAAACATATTAAAAACTCTTTAAAGTAGCGCCAAAATGAAAACGACAGAAACACTTTAACTAAAATGTTAAATCTACTGAGTAATTTATTAATTCACAAAATTTGGTTTCAATTTTTTTCTGAAATTCTATTAAATATGTTTAGAGATCTACTGCTGAATTATGCATATATAGAGAGATAAATATGTATATCTATATCTATACTGAGAGACAGATAATTTAATAATTTAGTGAGTTTTGTACTACTTCACACTGTCTTTTAAATATTCACTTTCTAAAAGTTCTTAGAAAATTGTATTAAAGTGAGTAAAATCTATGGATTCACCCAGTCTTCATTGTCTCATTACCTTACATCTCTCTTACCATTCTTCATTCTGTCATGACTATATGGACTGTATTTGGTGTGTAAGTGTAAATAGAGTTGATAAAGGCTAATGCAGCCATTCACTGAGAAGTATTTTAATTAAGAATAATCTAACAAAATAATATTGGACATTTTTAACATTAGGTAGTTTCGTTTCTTATGTGCATCATCACGTTTTACAGAGTTTACTAAACTTGAGAGAATATAAATTCAATTTTCAGCATAAAGATACCACATTTTCCTATGAGCATGAATCTCCCATTACATAGAAATTTTCTAATACCTTTTATAGCACAAATATTCTAAGCCACCCCTAGGGAGAAAATCTTGGTTTCAAGAAGAAGAGCCATGCAGTGTTTTGGGTTAAACAGCCTACTAAAGCTCTACACACAATGGAAGAATGTTTACCATATGCATGAAGGCATCCATAACTTTTCTACATGACAGCACTTATCATTGTTGTATCTGGGTATCCTTTCAGGGGGTCAGAATGCAGATAAGATTTTCTGTTGAATAAATCCTGGTAATATCTTGTCTGTAGGGTATCACAAATTGTCAGCAGAAAACAAGATTCAACCTAAAACTTGAACATAAATACATGCTGAGTAAAATGTCTCTGAGCTCATACATTTGATATTCTTCGTTTTTTCACTATTTTCTTGTTAAATCGTTGATCAAAGTTAAAGTTGAAAATGAGCAGATCTTGGGGGAGAGCATGACAGTATCAAGCCCCCCAAAAATGAGGGCAAAAATACTTCCCAATATGTTGAATTTATTCAGAAATCAGAAAAGATTGTAACCCAAGATGAACAGCTATAGCAAGCCACATATGCGTCTGAAAAGCGGAAGGTAAAGGAAAATTTTTTGGGCAAAGGGGTTCACATAAGCTCCTCAGGAACAAAGTTTATTGATTTTTGGAGACTGAAAGGCATGGTTAGTCAAAGTTCATTGGTGGAGATGTCATTATTGGGTGGGTGCTCCTTTGAGAGCATATTACGTGAATTGCTGCACTGTTTAGGAAAATAATCCCTCTTTTTCCTGAAAATAATTTCTTGTGGGTTTATTTTAGAAAATTCTTAAGACAATCTTTTTTTTTTTGTGCTCTTCTAGCTCTAATAGGTTTGGGTCTGATAAAAAATAATTTCATGCTTGTATCTGCAACTTTCATATTGCCCTTTTTTTTTTTTTTTTTTTTTTTACCAAGGTCTTTCTCCAAATGCACTGTTGATCAATCAGCCTCTAGTGAAGTCTTGAGTGTGCCAGGATAGATCTGCTTAAGACAGTTGGTTGTGATTTGTGGAGGTGATCAACAGTTGGAAGTTAGTGCTAAGACACTTGTATGCAGCATTTGAACAAGGAGGCCAGAAGGAGGAGTTCTCAAGGTTAAGTCTGTCTGGATTATATTACTGTTTGATTTTGTTTCTTCCATAGGTATTGGCTATCATTTCAAGATGCTGTGTCTTCATCATTGTTAGGAGTTGTATTTCTGTGGAAATTTGATAGACAGCAGGCACGCTTTTTTTTTTGAGACAGAGTTTTGCTCTTGTTGCCCAGGCTAGAGTGTAATGGAGTGATCTCGACTCACTGCAACCTCCACCTCCTGGGTTCAAGCGGTTCTCCTGCCTCAGCCTCCCAAGTAGCTGGGATTACAGGAGGCTGCCACCACACCAGGCTAATTTTTGTATTCTTTTGTTAGTAGAGATGGGGTTTCACCATGTTGGCCAGGCTGGTCTCGAGCTCCTGACCTCAGGTGATCCACCTGCCTCAGCCTCCCAAAATGCTGGGATTACAGGCATGAGCCACTGTCTCTGGCCAGCAGGCAGACATTTTAAAAAGAAAAATACAAAGTCAAAAGACCAAGAATATGATAACTCCAATTTGCATGGTGATTTCAATTGATAAGCCTAGGCCTAAAGGCAACTAACTGAACAAATCAAATGAGCATGTGGGACTGGCTGAGATTTGTTGTAGCTATGTGGGTTGTTCTCTTATTTGGTGTAACTGTGTCTCTTCTCCAGAGGAGTGTATCCAAGTGCAGCATGTAGTATTTATTAGCAATAGCACAGACGTCACCTTCTTCAGCTAACAGATAATCAAGAGCAATTCTGTTATCTAAAATTACTCTGGCAGTGGAAACTAATGAGTGCTGCTGTGCAGTGATAGCCTCTGCAGTGGAGTCTGCAAGGTTACTAAGGTTGATAGAGAGATTTTGAATCACTCATTCATTAGCCAAAATTCCACCCCAGGGAAAGATTTTTCAGATGAAAACAGCATAGAAATGATTGTCATCACTAGGGAGTCATGAGGGGAAATTTCACCTGGTTCTGTGATGTAACCTGAGTGGAGCAGCCCAATGATTACTCAGTGATCAGTTTCAGATCTATTACATGTTGACAATACAGAGGTCAAATATCCAATCCCATGTTCACCTCCTGTTGTCTAAATGCCAAAACATTTGGAGGCCCATGCTGAGGTGCCTCAACCACAAAAGTAGATATAGCCAGTAGGAACACAGACAATTTTTCCATCTGTGATTTTTCTGTATGATACACAATCAAGCTGACGACGGTCAGTTATGCTATTGCAAGTTGTTAATTACCCCTCCTCCTTAAGCCAGTCCTAATAATTTTTTTCTGCACCTTAGGATATGCTGCTGAATGGTTTAAGAGGGATGGTTCATTGCACATTCCTGGGACCCAGCTGGGAGGTTGCTTATTTAATAAGGTGAGGCAGGAAACAGAAGTTAAAGATAAATGAGAAAGCTTAATCCTATAAGAGGGTCCAATGATACAATTTGTATGGGTGGTTGGATTTGGGATGTTAGTGAAATTCATTACAAGTAAAACTAAGAAGTCATTAAAATCAGAGACAGATTAAGGTTTTTACAACAATTAGTAAGACTCTTCTTTATCCTCCCTCCATAGTGATGAATTGGGAAATACAGACAAGGTTATTGTCTTTCCAGGGGAAGGAGGGAGAAAAAGTAAAAATTATAAGTGAAAGTATTGTATACAGCCCAGTCCTGGGAATTTTTGGAGAAACCAACCACTAGATGTCATCTGCTTTAAATCCTAGAAATACTTATTTTGTATTTGTCAACAGAGATGCAATTCCACTCAGGAGCCAATGTCTTCTTTGAAGAGACATATGTATCCAGGAATCAATTTCTGTAAGTTTAGTTGCACAATGATTGGTGAATAAGACATGACATGGGGCTTTCCAGAGAGGTTGGAGGTAATCCTTTTGTAAATGTCTTTTTCAATAGACAGAATACCCTGGTTGTAGGTTATGATGTTTTTGTTTGTTTATTTGTTTGTTTGTTTTTTAAGACAACGCTCACTCTGTCTCCCAGGCTGGGGTTCAGTGGCGCAATTTCTGTTCACTACAACTTCCCTCTCCTGGGTTCAACTGATTCTCCTGCCTCAGCCACCCAAGTAGCTAGGATTACAGACATGCACCACCACACCTGGCAAATTTTTATATTGTTAGTAGAGATGGGGTTCCGCCATGTTAGCCAGGCTGGTCTCTAACTCCTGGCCCTCAAATGATCTACCTGCCTCTGCCTCCCAATTTTCTGGGATTACAGGCATCAGCCACTCCGCCCATACGGTTATGGTGTTTTAGGTCTTCATCTCCCAGGAGTGCACTGTGAAAATATTGTTCTATCAGAGTACAATTTTTATTCATAACCTTGATTATACCCTTACAATATTGAAACATTTCACCTTTTATTAATTTGGGGTCAAAACAAGGTGGGATCAAATGCCTGGGGCATCCCGTAATTACTGGAAATGTGAAAAATTATGGAATTCAAAGAGCGTTGCCCTTAAGCTTGAAGCACTATAGGTAGGGCATTTGGTCATGGTAACTATAAGGTTTCTATAAACTTTTCCAATTAAGTTTTTAAAATACTATTAATGCATTCAACAATTCCAAAGAACTGAGAGTGATAAGCATAATAAAAGTGCTACAATGCTAGCCAATTAGCACACACTTGTTCTATATCTTGTGCAGTAAAATAAGTTTGTCACTTGCTGTGGAGCTTGAGGGCATGCCTCAGGTATGGATTTTTTTTTTAATAGGACTCTAGCCTGTCTTCAGGGAATGTGGCCTGTCTTCAGGGAATGCTTCAACCCAATGGAAGAACATCAGATTATGACTGAATTATTCTTGTACCCATGTGTGGTAGGTAGCTGGATAATATTTATCTGCCAAATCATGAATGGCTCATTAGGAAGTTTAAAATGGTGAGGCACGGTTTGCATTTACTTTCCAAGGTTTAATTTAGGACACGTGGGGCAGGCCAGACAAGCACCTTTGGCAGTTTTGTGAATGTTACGCCACCAGTATTATTTTATAAAAGTAATCATCTTTTCTATAGCACAGTGATTTAAATCATGTACAGTAGATAACAGCAAAAATGTCATGGAGTCTGAGAGAACAGGCTTTCTATCTGGCCCAAACCAGAGTTCTTTTGTCATTAAACCAATAGCCATTATTTTTCCAAATTTTTTTTTGGTCTCTGTTGCCCAATTTTGTGCATCTTTAGTAACTATTTTAAGGTGATATTTGAGAAATTTTTCTAGGTGGATTATGGCAGAGATTTGATTAATAAGTAGGACTTTAAGGGCAGCACTCTCTGCCAGGCTATCAGCAAGGTGATTTCCTCTTGATTCCATAGCATTTAGTTTTAAACGGTCAAAGAGTTGGATAATGGCTAAAGCAGCAAGTAGCTGTGTTGCATCTGGTAATTCTTTTACATATGGCCCATTTTGTCCATTGAGAGTGAGAAAATCTCCTCATTTCCACAACATTCCAAAATTATAAGCAACTCCAAAAGCATACCTACTGTCTTTATAGACATTAAAAGTTTCCCTTAGCAACAAGACAGCCTCCAGTGAAGGCAAATCATTCCATCTGCTGGGCTGAAGTGCTAAAGGCAAAGGAGCTGCCTCCACAATTTCTAAGGAGGATAATTGTAGCCTGCACAATACTTACTCATATTTAAAAATAACACTTAAATTATCACTCTTTAGTGTCATTCTTTAAATGAGAGACATCTGTAAAACAGGGCAACTCAGCATTTTCCATAGGAGTCTTTTGCAGATTCTCCTGAGAAGTTAAAAGGTGGTCTGTTGGATTGGGCAGCCATGTGGTATCTCTTTTAAAGGAGAGGGCAAGGGAGTTGCAGAGTTATGGTCATTGCAGCATGAGGAAATGACATGAGGAGCCACAAATAGAAGCAGGTCATAGAAAGTAAGTTGACTGGTATAAAATACTGAGAGTGATGTTGAGATAGAAAATTGGCAGGACTTGTTTAACAACATATAGGTCACAAAGACCCTGCTGATAAAACAGGATGCAGTCAGGAAGCTAACCAAAACCCACCAAAACCAAGAGGGTGAGGAAAGCATCACTGATCATCCTCACTGCTCATTATTTGCTAATTATAATGCATTAGCATGGTAAAGGAAACTCCCACCTGTGCCATGAAAGTTTACAAATGGCATGGAAAAATCGAGAAGCTACCCTATACGGTCTGAAAAGGGGAGAAAACCTGAATTCCAGGATTCCCCATCCTTTTCCTGGAAATTTCATGAATAATTCACCCCTTGTTTAGCATATAATCAAGAAATAACTATGAGTGCAGTCACTTAAGCAGCCCATGCTGCTTCTCTGCCTATGGGGTAGCCATCCTTTTATTTATTTACTGTCTTAATAAACTTGCTTTCACTTTACTCTGTGAGCTCACTCCTGAATTCTTTTCTATGCAAAACCAAGAACTCACATGGCCTTCTGGGCTGAGATCCAATTTCGAGGTTTGCCTCACTACAATGTGAGTTTAAGAGAGTTTCCACTACATTAGGCACACATACAGGTGTTGGAGATCCCATGAGTATCTTCTCAGTTGCCTTTACTAACAAGGCTGCAGAAGAAACAGCACTTAGGCAGACAAAATTCAGAGTAAGACAATCCAGTTATGGGTTACAGTATTCTAGTGGATAGTGTTGGGATCTGTGCTTTGGGTTAAGACTCAAAGTGCTGTCTTCTTTTTTCTATGTGAGTGTTGTCTTCCTTTTCATATTTAAGTCAAGAGGCAGGTGTTTGACTTAGTAGTAAAAGCATGGCATTATTTTTCTTCTCTAAAGAGGGAATGAAATAGCAAATGTGAGAATTTGAGGAGTCAGGGGAATTCAAGCTTGAGTCAACACAATTTGGTTTGTCACATTCTAAAATTATTTGTTTCATAAAAAAAAATTCAGTATGGTATTTTTCCAGAAAATCACACCCAAATTCATGAAAGGAGGGCAGAATTAACATGCAAAAAGGAATGGGCATCCTGAAGAAGACAAAGATTGAAAAGAATGGGTTGTGAAACAAAAGCACTAAAAGGCTTATTGAAAAATCCTTACCCTTTGCAGTAGTTAGTTATTCTGAAGCAGGGCTGGTTGATATGGTGGGGTCCAAAGAGATTACCAGTGAGTTGCATTTTAAAGAGATAGGTTTTTAGGAGTCTAAATTTGCTTGGGGGTGAGGGGTGCTGAGGAATCTGGAGGGAAAGTTAATTTAGGTAAAGAAGGATGAAGAGGAGCTAGTGGGAAAAAGAGAAAGGAAAGTCTCCAGAGACAAAACAAATCCAAGCTTCTAGAAACTTTCTGTTCATCTTTAACTGTTTGTTCTTTTCAGTTGATTTTGAGATTGTGTTTTATAAGGAGGCAATTTTAGTATTTTAAATATGCTTAGAAGTTCCAAGGTGTCTATTGACATATGCCTTCTGATAGGTTTTGGGGCTGTGTACCAACCCAAATCTCACTGTAATCCCTAATGTTGGAGTTGGGGCTGGTGGGAGGTGATTGGATCATGGGGTCAAATTTTCCCTTTCATGCTGTTTTCATGATAGTGACTGACTTATTACTCACTGATCTGATTGGTTAAAAGTGTGTAGCACCTGCTCCCCTCTTCTCTTCCTCTTGCTCTGGCCATGTAAGATGTGCCTGCTTCCCCTTATCCTTCTGCCATGACTGTAAGTTTCCTGAGACCTTCCCAGACATGCATCCTGCACAGCTTGCAGAACCATAGGCAATTAAACCTCTTTTCTTTGTAAATCACCCACTTTCAGGTATTTCTTAATAGCAATGTGAGAACTAACTAATACAGAAAATTGAATTGTACCTAGGAGTGGGGCACTGCTATAAAGATACTTGAAAATGTAGAAGCAGCTTTGGAACTGGGTAACAGGCAGAGGTTGGAACAGCTTGGAAGGCTCAGAAGAAAACAGAAAGATGAGAGAAAGTTTGGAACTTTTTAGAAACTTATTAAATGGTTTTGACCAAAATGCTGACAGTGATATGGACAGAGATCCCCAAGCTGATGAGGTCTTGGGTGGCTATGAGGAAGTTACTGTGAACTGGAGTAAAGGTCACTTTTGTTATGCATTAGCAAAGAACCTGGTGGCATTGTGCTCATGCTCTAGGGATCTGTGGAGCTTTGAACTTGACAGAGATAATTTAGGGTATGTGGCAGAAAAAATTTCTAAGCAGCAAAGCATTCAAAACATGGCTTGGCTGTTTCTACAAGCCTATGCTCATATGCATGAACAAAGAAATTACCTGAAATTGGAATTTACATTACAAAGGGAAGCAGAGTGTAAATGTTTGAAAATTTGCAGCCTGGCCATGTGGTAGAAAAGAAAAATCAATTTTCATAGGAGGAATTAAAGCAGGCTATAAAAAGTTTGCATAGCAAAAAGGAAGAAAAGTATCTAATAGCCAAGACCATGGGACAGAGGACCTGAAGTCATTTCAGGGAGCTTTGTGGCAGCCCCTCCCATCACAGGCCCAGAGGCATAGGAGGACAGCGTGGTTTTGTGGGCCAGGGCCAAGGTCCCACTGCCCTACACAGCCTCAGAACACTGCTCCTTGCATCCCGGCTGCTACAGTTCTAGCTGTGGCTCAAAGGGGCCCAGATACTTGGGCTGCTGCTTCAGAGGGTGCAATCCATATGCCTCTGTGGCTTCCATGGGGAGTGAAGCATGCAGGTGTGCAGAGTGCAAGATTTGAAGCTTGGAAGCCTCCACCTAGATTTCAGAATATGTATGGAAAAGCCTAGGTGTCCAGGTAGAAGCCTGAAGGAAGAACCCCTACTAGCGAAGTGTGGAAGAGAAATGTGGAGTTCAGACCCCCACATGAAGAGTCCCCAGTGGGGTATTGTCTACTGGAATTGTGAGAAGAGCGCCAACATCCTCCAGACTGGAGAATGGTAGATAAACTGACAGCTTGTATCATGCACCCAGAAAAGCTGCAGGTACTCAATGCTAGCACCTGGGAAGCTGTGGGGGCTTAGCCCTCTAGAGCCACAGGGGTGGAGCTTCACAAGGCCTTGAGCGCCCACCCTTGGCTTCAGTGTGCCCTGGATTTGAGACATGGAGTCAAAGGAGATTATTTTGGAGCTTTAAGATTTAATGATTGCCTTGCTGGGTTTTGGACTTTCATGAACCCCTAGCCCCTTTGTTTTGGCCAAGTTCATAGGCAGAAGGGACTAGCCTTGTCTCAGATGAGACTGGACTTTTGAGTTAATGCTGAAATAAGTTAAGACTTTGGGGAACTGTTGAGAAGGCATGATTGTATTTTGAAATGTGAGAAGGACATGAGATTTGGAAGGAGACAGGGTGGAATAATATCCTTTCGGACTGTGTCCCTGCCCAAATCTCATGTCAAATTGTAATCCTCAATGTTGGAGTTGGAGCCTGGTGGAAGGTGATTGGATCATGGAGGCAAATTTCTCCTTTGGTGATTTTCTCATGAGAGTGAGTGAGTTATTGTGAGATCTGATTTTTTAAAAGTGTGTAGCGCCTCCCACTGTCTCTCTCTTCCTTCAGCTCCACTAATGTAAAACATGCCTGCTTCTCCTTCACCTCTTGCCATGAATGAAAGTTTCCTGAGGCCTCCCCAGCCATGCTTCCTGTACGGCCTGCAGAATGATGAGCCAATTAAACTCGTTTTCTTTATATATTACCCACTTTCATGTATTTGTTTATAGCAGTGCAAAAACTAATACATCTTCTCCTCAGGTTGTTTAATTTTATGACTGTTGTCTTCCACTTTAGTCCTGAGAAAGATAAATTTCAGAAACTCAGAAGATCTCCAGGACAGCCATTGAATGTCTAAATCAGTTGTAGTGTACTTCTCCCATTGATTTAAAAACATTCATGAGAGAGAACTATAATGTCTGGGCTGGGGTACCAGAAGAGAAATTTTTTTTGCATGCTTTGAAATTTTGGGGTTCCATTGTTTTTCTTATTAATCACAGAAAATGTCCAGAAACAGAGAAGAAAGGTCCATCAACAGCCAAAGGTACAAGTGTAAATACACAACTCAGAATAAAACTGAAGCCAGAAGAGTACTTGCCAAGATTAGAAAGACAAAAAGTCTTTGTTCCAGAAAGAATTTGCCAGGCAAAAAGCCTTTTATAGTTCCAGAAGGTATGTAAGATCCTTTATGAAGGTGCCTTAACCAAATCAGATCACAAATAAAGTTAACAAGGAGCTGTTACCATAGGGAGGAAGCTCAACCTGAGAGGAGTTAACTGGGCAGAAAAGAGCAATCCATAGAACACAGACAGCACAAATGGCTCAATTGTACCCTAGCCAGTTCCAAGAGTTGACAAGCTCTTCTGAAGGTAATCTAGCTCAGGGCCATTTCTGACATCAGATTAGTCAACAACAAAACAAAAATCAGAGAAAAAACATCTCCAACTATGTTGAATTTAAAATTTAACAGGAATTAGAAAAGAGAACTATAATCTGTGATGCACAGTTATGGCAATCTACTTATGAATCTAAAGAGGAGAGAGAAGAGGGTAAAGGGAAATTTTTATTAGCAAAGGAGAGCTGCATATAAGCTGCTTGGATACAGAGTTTCTTAATTTTGGGGGCTGAGAGTAAGAGTTGGCATCATTTCATTGGTGGAGATGCCATTACTGGACAGGTGTTCTTTCAAGAGCATCTTATCTAAATTTCTATAGTCCTAAAGAGATAATTTCTTGTGTGGTTATTTTACAAAGTTTTTAAGATAGTCTTACTCTCTGACTTGCAAGCATAAACATTCCCTTTTCCTGCTCTCCTGGCTCTAGATTTATGGAGTCTGACAAAAAGGATTTTATCCTAATATTCACAATACAGGAGGGAGAGAGAGAGAGGAGAGAAAACATTCTTATTTTGGGGGATGAGGAGGGCACAACTTATATTACACTATAGAAAAAATTATAATAATTATTTTAAAAATTTAATTAAAAATACATATTCATAAAATTCACCAATAAACACAAACATGTATAAGAAAGAATTGCAATGAAGTGATGAAAATTCAGTCTAAAAATATATTTATTTTAAAGGTTAAGGAACCTTAGCTTGAATATGTATTACTTTTATTTAGTTTTGTTTGCCTCATTGTATAAGATGTCACTATCCTGTTGTTCAAAGATAATAGACAATTAGTACATTTTCCCAACATTGACAACAGTTAACAACAGACATCATTTTATTTGGAAATTGAGAATTCCTCTGAGATATTTAATTTTTCTTTAATAAAAAAGTATGAGCACTTAACTTTCAAATTCAGATTTGAGTAATTTTTTTCGAGACAGAATTTTCCTATATCACCTAGTCTGATTTGGACTCAAGTTTCCCTCCCACCTCAGCCTCCTAAGGATGTGTGAGTAGCCTGGCATGCCTGACTAGATTTGAGTGCTTTTAAATAAACGTAGCTTACTAAAACCCACTCTTGCTAGCCCATAAGCGTAGGAGAGAAAGGCTATATATTTTTACATATACATATTTTCTTAATTCTTTTTCTTGATATCTGTATTAGTCCATTCTTACATTGTTATAAAAAATACTCAGACTGGGTAATTTATAAAGAAAATAGGTTTAATTTTCTCACAGTTTCACATGGCTGGGGAGGCCTCAGGAAACTTACAATCATGGCAGAAGGCACCTCTTCACAGTGCGGCAGGAGAGAGAATGAGTGCAAGCAGAGGAAATGCCAGATGCTTAAAAAACCATCAGATCTCATGAGACTCAGTCATTATTATGAAAACAGCATGGGGGAAACTGCCCCCATGATTCAATCATCTCCACCTGGTCCCACCCTTGACATGTGGGGATTATGGGGATTACAATTCAAGGTGATATTTGGGTGGGGACACAAAGCCAAACCATATTATTTGGCACTTGGTCCCTCCCAAATCACATGCCCTCACATTTCAAAATACAACTGTGTGCCCTTTCAACAGTTCCCCAAAGTCTTAACTCATTCCAGTATTAATTCAACATCCAAGTCTAAAGTCTTATCTGAGGCAAGGTAATTTCTTTCCTCCTATGAGCCTGTAAAATCAAAAGCAAGTTATTAATAGTTACTTCCTAGATACAATGGGGGCATAGACATTAGGCAAATACACCTGTTCCAAATGAGAGAAATTGGCCAAAACAAAGGGGCTACAGCCCCATAGAGGTCTGAAATACAATAGGGCAGTCATTAAACCTTAAAGTTCCAACATGATCTCCTTTGACTCCATGTCTCACATCCAGGTCATGCTGATGCAAGAGGTGGACTCCTATGGCCTTGGACAGCTTTGCCTCTGTGGTTTTGCAGGGTACAGCCCCCATCCCAGCTGCTTTCACAGGCTGGCATTGAGTGTCTGCAGCTTTTCAATGTGCACAGTGCAAGATGTATGTAGGCACATTGTGGGTCTGGAGGATGATGGCCTTCTTCTCACAGCTCCACTAGGTAGTGCCCCAGTAGGGACTCTGTGTGGGGGCTCTAACCCCACATTTTTATTCCACACTGCCCTAACAGGGGTTTTCCATGAGGACTCCACCCCTCGCAAACTACTGCCTGGACCTCCAGGCAGTATCTGAAATCTAGGTGGAGGCTCCCAAACTTCTATTCTTGACTTCTGTGTACCCAGAGGCCCAACACCACATGTAAGATGTGAAGACTTGGGGCTGCACCCTCTGAAAAAATGGAATGAACTATATGTTGGCCCCATCTAGCCATAGCTGGGACACAGGGCACTAAGTTATCAGATTGCACAAAGCAGCAAGGCCCTGGACCTGGCCCAGGAAACCACTTTTTCCTCCTAGTCCTCCAGGCCTGTGATGGGAGGGGCTGCTGAGAAGGTCTCTGACATGCCCCGGAAACATTTTCCCCATTGTCTTGGTGATTAACAATTGGTTCCTCATTACTTATTCAAATTTTTGCATCTGGCTTGAATTTTTCCCCAGAAAGTGGGTTTTTCCTTTCTACCTCATGTTCAGGCTGCAAATTTTCCAAACTTTTATGTTCTGCTTCCTTTTTGTACATAAGTTCCAATTTTAGACCATCTCTTTGTGAACCCATATGACTGTATGCTGTTAGGAACAGCCATGTCAGATCTTGCATGCTGCTTAGAAATTTCTTCCTCCAGATACCCTAAATCACCTGTCTCAAGTTCAAAGTTCCACAGATCTCTAGGGAAGGGGCAAAATGCCACCAGTCTCTTTCCTAATGCACAGCAAGAATGACCTTCATTCCAGTTCCCAGAAAGTTCTTCATCTCAATCTGAGACCACCCCAGCCTGGACTTCATTATTTATATCACTGTCTGAATTTTGGTCAAAGCCATTCAATATGTCTCTAGGAAGTTCCAAACTTTCCCATATCTTTCTGTCTTTTTTGAGCCTTCCAAACTGTTCCAACCTCTGCTGGTTACTCAGTTCCAAAGTTGCTTCCACATTTTCAGGGATCTTTATAGGAACACCCCACTGTCTGTGGTACCAGTTTATTGTATTAGTCTGTTCTCACATTGCTATAAGAGAATACCTGAGACTTGGTAACTTATATAAAGAAAAGAGGTTTAATTGACTCACAGTTCCGCATGGCTGTGGAAGGCTAAGGAAACTTACAATCATGGTGGAAGGCACCTCTTCACAGGGCACAAAGAGAGAGAATGAATGCAAGCAGAGGAAATGTCAGATGCTTATAAAACCATCAGATCTCATGAGACTTATTATCATGAGAACAGCATGGGGAAACTGTCTCTGCGTTTCAATTTCCTCCACCTGGTCCTGCCCTTGACACGTGGGGATTACAGGATTGCCTTTCAAGGTGAGATTTGGGTGGGGACATAAAGCCAAACCATATCAACATCTAATGTTTTTCTTGCTTGATTCTTCAAAATTTGTCCTATTTTTTACAAGAAGAGCACCACATAGGTTTGGAAAAATAAGAAAAATATGACAAAATTGATTCTTATTTTTAAAGGACAAAAAGCATATTAGAGAAGTCTAAGGTGAGTAGATTATGGAATTTAGGAAATGTAATATAAAACAGACAACAGGTTAAAGAAAGGGAATAAGAGAGTGCATATAAATTAAAAACTTTAAGGAAATTTTTGAATGAAAAAGCAGGAAATATATTTTTGAGGAGCAGATATTTAACATTTGAAATTTGGGAAGGCATATAATGACTACTAGGAAAGTAGTAATTCAACACTTTTGTAGATAACTTCAATATAAATTTAAATTATTTGAAATATTTGCATTACATTTTAGGAAATTAAATTAAAATATTATTCTGGAGGCCTGACAAGTATCTGGATAATACTAAGAAATTAAGAACTTCATGTTTACGTAATTACATTTATTATATGATGTTTCAAGTTCTTGTGTTACTTTTTAACTTTTGTAGCCTCCAAATTGTTTTGTATTTTTAAAAAGCTACTCTTACATTATACATAATTTCAGGTTTTAAAATACAGTCTTTGATCCTACAATTGCTTTCAACAGCTTCAAAAAGAGCAGACATAGCCTTTGCTTTATTATCAATTAATTGCTATTTTGCAAGAAGCTTTACAAGCCTTCTTCTTCCCAAAGGCTAAATTGCTGAAATCTTAAAAAATGCATATATGGGCCAGGGTCAGTGGCTCACTCCTGTAATTCCTATACTCTGGGAGCTCAAGGTGGTAGAATCACTTGAGCCTAGGAGTTCAAGGCCAGCCTGGACAGCATAGTGAGACTCTCTACAAAATTTTTTTTAAAAAATAGCCTGGCATGGTGTTATGTGCCTGTAGTCCCAGCAACTCAAGGGGCTGATATGGCAGGATCACTTTAGCCCCTGAAATTCAGACTGCAGTGATTTGTAATCATCACACCACTGCACTCCGGCCTGAGTGACAGAGTGAGACCCAGTCTCGGGGGAAAAAAAAGCAAAACGAAACACATAAACATAAATAATTATAAATTTATCATTACATAAAATATATAGACTACATATAGAATTATATATATAATCATACTATATATGTGCATTTAGATATATTTCTGTATCTTCAACTCTAAAACTCAATGTATTCCTTCTGCCTTATTTTTCTACTGTTTCTTTTCACAGTATTAAGCACAAAATTTCATCAAATAAATATCTCTTTCTACTTACCAGTGTTTCACAGCAATATGTATGGTTGACTCAAGTTAACATTATATATGTGCAGGTGGTAATGTTTGAGAAATATTTATTATAAATGTTAAAATAGTTTATTAGGATGATGTCTTCTAATATTAATTATTTTAAGATGTAAATAGCTGATTATCTAAAGTTTATGTATACATAAGAAGATATATTCAAGCATTAAGTAATTAACTTTTTCATTTTTAATTGATAAAGTAAAAATAAAAGCATCTAATGAAACTTTTTTCTCCTCAGAAATACATTTAATTAGCATAATTTTAGGATGTCAGCAACATTTACTATATTAACATTTTAAATTAAAACAGGTTATAAAACTTATATGAATGACAAGAAGGCAAATGTATGCTCTCAAAATAAATGTGAAAATTTTAAAAATCGAAAGAGGTAAAACTCATTTTACTGAATCCTTTGATGCAAACTGAATATGTTTCGTCTATAATGTATGACACACTTTTAACCCTGTTAATTAATTCACAGACATACAATCTCTGGGGCTTTATTTTACCCCACCTAAGTGAAAAAGTGTAATTCATTTGCCCTTTCTACGTGAATTACTTCTACATGAAACTCTTACCCTCCGATTTAATAATATGGTATTATAAATTATTTTAAAAATCACATTCATTTCTTTCAGAGCTCTAATATTAACAGTACTTTTGCATTTATTTAATGTGTATCTCCCCGGTTACGCTTCATGAGTTCAAGGGCCAAGTCTAACCTTTACCATATAGTAAGAACTTTATGGATGTAAAATACGTGTGTAGTTGTTGTTTGAAAACTGAAAGAATAAATTAAAAGACTCCACAAGAATCAGTACTAGAAATGCCTTTATGTTGTTTTGCAAATAATTAAAGATGCAAGTAACTATGGCATAAAAAGACAAAAGCCAGAAGTACTTGATTAAGTGAAATTTATTATAATTTCTGCAGAAGTTATATCATATTCTATTACACAAAAGAGAATTTGATAAATTGCCTCAAAATATTTAAAACATGCAGATACATGTTGGCTGTGTTTGATAAAGTATTATAAGAATAAAAAAACTATTACAAAGAAGAGAGATATTTAGAAAAAAATATGGCCAGTCTGCATGCATGATAGATATGCATGACAGGAGTAAGGGTAGTACATGTTTTCAGTGAGGTGTATTAGTGTAAGAGTCACCGACTCTCACCTCCAAACATTAACAAGTAAACTTGACATATACTTTGAATGACAAAGACCAATTTATTCTCAGTCTCCTTGCAAAAAGCACAAAACAATTGTGTGGTTGGCATATCCATTTTTTTAAAGCTCTCAACTTAAATCAAAGTAAAAGTTCAATTTAAAATAAGAGCCTGAGGAAATTATTTCAATTGGATTAAGTAGTTTAGAGAAAAAACTAATGGCATGGCTCTCCTGCCTAGGCCTGATAGATTCTAATTTTCTGAATTAATGTAAGATAGAGAAGGGTTGTATGGGGCAAAGATAGCAAGAGAATATAGCACAAATAAAAGTACATCCAGAAAATAAGAAGAGATGTGGGTATTGCAAATAAAGCAAAGTGAAATGGAATAGAAAAAAATGAGTCCAGATGACTTTTTAAAAAGTAGGCAGATATTTCTTAAGTTTTGGAGAATTGCATAATTTCAAAAGACTCTATGTAACTTTACAAGACTAAAATGACTCTCGGTTAATGTCTTTGCTTGGCCTGCTGTAACAAAGTTCTATATAGACTGGGTGCCATGCAATCAACAGAAATGTGTTTCTCATCATTCTGGAGGCTGCAAGTCTAAGATCAGGTGTCACTATGGGCAAGTTCTTGTGAAGGTCTTCTTCTGGGTTACAGACTGTTATTTTCTCATTGTATTCTCACAACGTGAAGATCTCTGAGAAGCCCTTTGTTAAGCTTGGGAACTGAGTCTTGCAAAGATTGCCTTCCTTTGGTTCTTAAACCGATAGCTGGCTGGGTGCGGTGGCTCAGGCCTGTAATCCCAGCACTTTGAGAGGCCGAGGCAGGCAGATCACCTAAGGTCAGGAGTTCGAGACCAGCCTGACCAATATGGTGAAGCCCGTCTCTACTAAAAATACAAAAATTAGCCAGGCATGGTGGCGGGTGCCCGTAGTCCCAGCTACTCGGGAGGCTGAGACAGGAGAATTGCTTGAACCCGTCAGGCGGAGGTTGCAGTGAGCCGAGATCATGCCAGTGCACTCCAGCCTGGGCAACAGTCTCAACAACAACAACAAAAAAACCAGATAGCTACCAAGATAGAAGGCCACATCTCTCTCACAAATTACTCGCAAGAAAATTCCTTGTGAGCCCCAAAATCTTTGCACTAACACAGAGTTCTGTTGAATTTCACTCTGACAATGTAAATTAACTGCTTATCTTTACAGGTACAAGACATAAACAAGACTAGAAACCATCCCCCCAACCACTCAGAAACAAATGCATATTTGACTGTTTTCTCTGTGCTTATTTATTTATTTTTAATTTTTTTCCATAGGTTTTTGAGGAACAGGTGGTATTTGGTTACATGAGTAAGTTCTTTAGCGATGATTTGTGAGATTTTTGGTGCACCCATCACCGGAGCAGTATACATTGAACCCAATTTGTAGTATTTTATCCCTCACCCCACACCCACCCTTTCCCCTGAGTCCCCAAAGCCCAATGTATCATTCTTATGCCTTTGCATCCTCACAGCTTAGCTCCCACTTATGAGTGAGAACATACTATGTTTGATTTTCCTTTCCTGAATTACTTCACTTAGAATAATAGTTTCCAACTCCTTCCAGGTTGCTGTGAATGCCATTAATTCATTCCTTTTTATGGCTCAGTAATTTATGTTTATTTTTGTAATATGTAAAGTGTATATTTTAAAAAATACATAATCAAATGTTCCTCTTTCCCCTCCTTTTAGATGTAACATGTGGATTCAGTGAGCACTAATCAAAGCCTCACAACAATGTGACCACTTATCTCACAACCTACCTATCCTCTTTTTTTTTTTTTCTTTACTCCTTCCCCTTCTGCCACTCTGTCTTCTTTAAATATTGAGTCCTCAAAGCCCTCTTTGGAAAAAGTACAGGCAACAGATTCTACTGTAGCTTACGTCTCTTTTTCCTGGGCACTCTCTTAGCCTAGTCAAAATGAACCTCTGAACTGATTGAACTATGTCTCAGAGATTTTTTAGTTAACAGCATTCAGTAGTCACATATAGGCAGGAATCAGACTGAGAAAACTGCTTAATTATGAAAGAATTATTATTTAATCATGAAGAAAGCAAGCAATGTTTACCTCAAATGAGTCCAGGAGGTTTAAAAAGAAGTATGAAGATCTAGGAGACTAGAGAAGAGACAAGGGCCATGAGAACCATAACTGGGGAGTTGATTCACAGCCCAACCAAGAAACATTCTTCACTCCCATATAGAGAATGTGTTTGGGATAAGAAATAATTTTATTCAAAGTTTCTATTATTTCTTATCCTAAACACATGTTTAAAAGATATCTGGTGTCACGATACAATAATAAATCAATAGATTTGCATGCAATCTTTAATATGGAAAATAATAGAATATGGTTGTTAAGACAAAAACTCTAGTGTTCAAATTTCTAGGTCCCATTCTCATGCTAACACGTACTAACCAAATAAATGTCTAAGTTATTTTGTTGTAATATACAAACTCTGAGTTTCGGTGGCTTAAAACAGTGAAGTTTGTTTTCCATGTGCATTGTGAGTTACTTGAGAGATCTGTAACTCTGCCTTGTCCTCAGGACCCAGGATACTGGAGCAGGCACCATATGGAGTGCTGTCGATCCTTGTGTTTGGGAGAAAAACAAAATGGTAAACTCTAAACTGGCTTTTCAAATTTATATGTAAGTAAGGGACATTTATCATTTTTATTAATATTCTTTTGGCCAAAACAATGACATGGCCATATTCATCTTTAAGAGGATGAGAAAGGACACTTGAACATATTTGATGATTAGTTCTAGTGGTTGGTATAATTTGTCTTTCTTATTACCAAGTATTTTAGATATTGTACTTTCCTATCAAAAATGCATGTATTGGAAATTATTTCTATTTTCAAATATATGCACTTTTGATACGGAAATATTTACATATCTATTGCAAGTATCAATGAAATAAACCATTTTCTGAAACTCAAATACTTAACTAAATTTTGTCTTCTGATTTCAATGATATCACATTATTTTTAATTGATAAAAACACATTTCAAAGTTGTTTCAATTCTCTTGATTTTACAAACTAAGTAAAAGGATGTACCCTATAGTATAATGTTAAATATAAGAATAAATGTAGAAAATGATGTGATAATATATGTTATTCATGCATTCAAATCATAATAAAATACATTTATTTGAGGATTTTACTTATTTATACTTCAATCTCAAAAAATAATAAAATGAGATGGGCCATCAGCTGTATTAAGAATAATGCTAGCAGGTGAATTATTCTGTATACTGGAGAGAAAAAGTTTTGCTTACACTTCAAACCTTAAAAAAAAATTTATAGTGCAATGTTACTCATATTTATATTGTTTGCATATAAAAGAATAATAATTATGTTTACTGCCACAAACATACCTCTTTTATAAAGATTTTACATTTATATATGGCTTTTAATAAATATATAATAATGATTAAAATATCTGACTAAAATTTTCTCTAAGTTTCATTGGGATTATATAAACTGATGGTTGTTATAAATAAATAAATAATTTATAAATAAAGTATGTTGGAGCCTAGTTTTATTTTTCTAGAAGTATTGACTATTTTCTGTCATTGGAAAATTATATTAGCCATGTGTGATGGTTAATATTTAGTGTCAACTTGATTGAATTGAAGGATGCAAAGTATTGTTCCTGGGTGTGTCTGTGAGGGTGTTGCCTGGGAGAGGCAGATCGACTCTCAATCTGGGTGGGTACCATCTAATCAGCCGCCAGCACAGCTAGAATAAAGCAGGGAGGAGAAGGTGGAAAGCAGACTTACTGAGTTTTCTGGCTTCCATCTTTCCTCCCATGCTGGATACTGCCTGTATTTGAACATTAGACTCCAAGTTCTTCAGCTTTTGGACTCTTGGGCTTACACCAGTGATTTACCAGGGGCTCTTGAGCCTTCAGACACAGACTGAAGGTGCACTGTCAGATTCCCTACTTTAGAGGTTTTGGGAGTTGAATTGGCTTCCTTGCTCCTCAGCTTGCAGATGGCCTATTGTGGGACTTCACTATGTGATTATGTGAGTCAATTCTCCTAATAAACTCCCCTTCATATATGCGTATATCTTATTAGTTCTGTCCCCTTAGAGAGCCCTGACTAATACACTATGTTAAGTAAGATACAATGCTTATTTTTCAAACGTACCATAAGTCAGATTCATCTCCATGAACTCATCAGTCAAAATGTAATAGTTAACATTAATGTATTGGTTCCCTTCAAGAAAATAAAGGAATAGAGTCAATGCTGATTAGTAGTTCATTCACTTGACCAGAATAGCAGTCTTCTCAAACAACCTGCTAGAAGATGAAATGATGATGGCACAGAAGAAGAGGATGGGGGGTGTTTGGAGGGCAATATATAGGGGAAATCTACATGAAGGGGCATCATGGAACTCATAGAACATATTTCCAGACTTGATTAACTTTCCTGTTAAGAAGATACTAGTGACAACACATGAAGCAAACGGTCTTCTTATTGCTAAATAAGGGTTGTTGCTGGCAACTAGCCTGAGGAAATATGGCCAAAACATGAAGGTTTTCCCCTGTAAGGATCACAGGTATGTGAAAAACCAAAGATATTAACTATTCTTTCCACAATAATACTTTTTGTTTTGTTCTGAAATGTTATACAGATATCTCTAATTGTGGAAGATTTCATTTATCCTATTCTAAATTTGATTTACTCACGTAAGCATCATCCTTGAATTAATTATTAAGTATGTCTTCATTCATTATTAGGCATCTGCTATATCCCATAAACTGTTAGGCTGTTGGGAACGTAGCAATAAAAATTTTTAAAAATAAGACAAAATTTCTTGTTATTTTGGAGCTAACATTCTAATAACAGAGAAAAGAAAAGAAAAGATAAATAAAAAACAATTTATAAAGTTTAGATAGCAATGATTGCCAGAGAGAAAGTGGAGCAGATATTTAGTGACACGGTTGGTTTCAATTAAAATGCAATGACCAGCCTGGCACAGTAGCTCATGGCTGTAATCCTAGCACTTTGGGAGGCAAAGGTGGTAGGATGCTTGATGCCAGGAGTTTCAGGGCAGCCTGATTAATATTACAAGACGCCATCTCTAAATAAATAAATACAAATAAAAATAAAATTAGCCAGGCATGGTGGCCCATGCCTATAGTCCAAGCTACTCAGGAGGCTGAGGTGGGAAGAACAGTTGAACCCAGGAGTTGCAGGTTGCAGTGAGCTATGATGGCACCACCGAGCAGCAGAGGAAATCCTGTCTCTTAAAAAAAATGCAGTCACCCAGAAAGACCTCATCGAGAAGGTGTTATGTGTGTTAAGAGCTAAAAAGGGTAAAGTAATGATTCATTTAACATTTGAAAATATTTGTTTAAAAAATAGCAGTGAAAAGACTCTAAAGAAAGAATCCTATATGAGCTGAGGAAAATCGGTAAGAGATGGGGTCAGAGTTAACAGGGGTGAAAATTGCAGGACACTGTAGAACATTGAAAGGAGTTTGGTTTTACCCTGACTGAGTTCAGAGGCCACTGGTATTCTTGACAAGGGAACTACATAAGATCTGGATAATACTATGTTTCACAAAATCACTGGCTATAATCTTGTAACTATCTGGAGAAGGGACAAAATGTTTGCAATAGATAAAGGACAATTAGAAAGTTAATATGATAGTCCAGAGAAGAAATGTCAGTGGCAATGGATGAGGTTAGAAATAGTCCCATTTATGAATAGGTTTTATAGCATAATGACAGAAATTGCAATCTATAGATTATTTTATTGATTATAACTCTTGCTCCATTTTTTTTTTCTTCTTAAGTTTTTAACTCCTCTTGGTGTTGTGTTAAACCTTCTGGTTTTGGTCAATATATTTTATTTTTTCTCTCATACATTCCATGTATATTATGTGACTCTGCTGTCTTTCTTCATGAATCTGATGATCATGTCATCCATTTAAACTTCAGAAATAATTTTTGCCCTATTTTTTCTCTTCTTCTATTGCATAATGAGTACAATTTTCTGCTAGATCTCTCAGCTGAGTGTAAGTTCTCACTGTGAGATCCATGTGGAACAGTGAAGCACAGGGCTTATAAGGTAATAGGCCTACTAAAGTCTTTCAAGCTGAAAGTGGTCTTGCATACAGAAATTAAATTTCACACAACAACTCAATTCTTTCCTCTAATCCTTTAATGTTTTTGTTTATATAATTTATGTGAACCTCTTACTATTTGCTTCAAATAATTTTTTTGAAAATGTAATTTCTTCTCAGAATGACATCCCTAATAACATAATAATTTCTTGTTTATTCTCTAATTGTGTCTTAATATATGTTTTATTTATCTACATGAAACTGTCAGAAATAAAAAGAGACCGACTGGGCGTGGTGGCTCACGCCTGTAATACTAGCACTTTGGGATTACCTAGCCAAGGTGGGTGGATGATGTGAGGTCAAGAGTTTGAGAACAGCTTGGCCAACATGGCGAAACCCTGCCTCTATTAAAAACACAAAATTTTTCTGGCTGTGGTAGCACGCCTCTGTAATCCCAGCTACTCAGGAGGCTGAGGCAGGAGAATTGCTTGAACCCAGGAGGTGCAGGTCTCAGTGAGCCAAGATTGTGCCGTTGCACTCCAGCCTGGGCAACAGCAGTAACTCCGCCTCAAAAAAAAAAAAAAAAGAAAAGAAAAGAAAAACAAAACAAAGAGCCCCATGAGCTTCCAGTTCAAAGGTAATATAATAAGTAACTTTATACTCTGTTAGACTACCTATAGGTACTAAAACTAACTAATCATTAGTATGTATATATTCTATTATTTATTACTATATATTAATTTAATTATTACTATAAATCACTTTATTTTTAACTATAATGTGAAAAAACTTCCATGCAGAAAGAATTTTCCCATTCGTTTAATAATTTACTATAGAATCACTTCCTATATTTCAATATCTACCTTTGACTGCAGTAGTATGGCTACATATAATATCAGTTCAAGTTACTGGGACTTTCTGTTGGTATTATTCCCATTATTATGCTATTTAGACATGTATACAAATAATTATATGAAGATGGTGATAAACATATTTGTACATTGCCACTTCTAATATGTAGTTTTCAAACTACTGTATATCCACTTATAGGATTTCATTTTTTTCTCATGGATCTCTTGTGAGTTGGCTGCTATTATCACACCATGAATGTAATGAATAACAGGTCAGAAAGTCAATAACTTAGAGGTTAAGAATAACTTAGAATTTAAGAATTCACTTAGATCTTCTGCCTTCAATTTTCTTTTTGTAATTTTCATGATATTGTATCTTCTGTTAATGCATCTGTATATGTGTGTGTGTGTTTGCATATGTATGCAGAAAATATACAATAATTTATGTGCAAAGTTGAGAAATGGAGAGTTGTTAGTTGATATAATGAACACGGTGTAAGGCATAAAGTAAACACTTAACGAATCATATGTGTCACATAAGCACAGGGAGCTCTTGCCTGCAAAACCAATCAAAAGTAGCCACCCAGTCAGTTTCTATCATACACCCTATTTTGCTCTCAAATTAGTGATTATTATTTATTCATTATTTTTTACTTTTTAAATTTAATATTTTGTCATCCCCTACTCTCACCTCAAACAGATAATGAGCTTCATACGAAAAAGGACTTTAACGTCTCCAAGTGATAGTTTAATCCTCAGTGCTAAGAAAACAGCTTGGTACATAATAGGTGTATAGTAAATATTTGGTGATGTAGCCCTGATATCTTGCTATTCCATATTTATGGCCTGCACTTTTCATTATTGTTAAATTGCCTTCAACCTTGCTTCCTAAGAACTTACGTACTTCTCAGTCTGTCAGTGACCTAACTCTAACAGTGCTACTTACCTCAAATTCTTTTTTGTACAGATCATTTGATGATTCCCACATCTGCTACTTTCCTAAATTACTCTGTAGAATTAATTTTCCCTGTTTCTCTCTTGTCTCAGGATTCCATTTATACATCTTCTTAATTCTTTTCAAAGTATAGTCATTTTTTTTACAAGCCTTTTACAATATTGATTCTAGATTCCAGAAGAGAAACCATACACATTTGAATCTAAATTCCCACATTGCCTACCTTACTGAATTGAAAATAGCATGTGCTTAATTGAATTTTATTATAGTTTGGATTTATTATAAGATATAATACTTCTATTAAACAAGAATACTTTTCAGTGAGGCACATACTACTTTAGCAGAAAATGTTTTTCTTCAGTGCGTAGCTCTAATTGTTTTAAAATGCACTTGCAAAAATAACTTTATTCCATGTTCTAGTATTTTAAGCATTAAAACAGTATGGAGATTTTTCATAAAGCTAAATACAGAACTACCATATGAACCAGCATTCCCACTACTGGGTATTTATCCAAAGGAAAGGCTATCACTATATCAAAGAGATACCTGCGCTGATATGTTTATCGCAGCACTATTCACAATAGAAAAGATATGGAATTAACCTAAGTGTCCATCAATGGATGGGATGGATAAAGAAGATGTGGCATATATACATAATAGAATACTAGTCAGCCATAAAAAGGCTAAAATCTTGTCATGTTTAGCAACGGGGATAAAACTAGAGGTCATTATGTTAAGAGAAATAAGCCAGGCACAGAAAGACAAATATCACATCTTTTCACTCGTATGTGGGGGCTTAAAAAGTTATTTTCATGAAGTAGCATAATAGTTACCAGAGTCTGAGAAGGGTGTAAGAATACATGTGGGAGAGATGAAGAGAGTTTAGTAAATAGCTACAAAAATACAGTTAGATAAGAAGAATAAGTTCTAATGATCAATAACATTGTTGTTAACAATAATGTATTGTTTATTTCAAAATAGCTAAAATAGAGAAGTTGAAATGTTCCCAACACAAGGAAATGACAAATACTCAAGCTGCTGAATACCTTAAATACCCTGACTTGATCATTACACATTCTATGCACGTAACAAATATTATACATATCCCATACCGGCATACACGTATTATGTGTCAATAGAAAATTAACATTTAAGCAACTGAAACTTTTGTTTTTGTGAAAGTAGTTGTTGGACAACCCTTTCACTAGAAATAAATATTCTAAATACTCCATTGGTAGTGAAAAAAATCTAGTATGATGTTGTTGTTATTATCATTGTATGAATGCAACTTGCTGAAGAGAGGAACACTAAAATACATGGTGTTGCAAAACTGTTCACAATAAATTATTTATCTGAATAATTTTTCACTTTTTTAATCTCGAAGGTATATATTTCAGGAAATAGTAAAGCAGGAAGAATGATTTTACTTATATGATCAAATTAATAATTACCCAAATTAAAGCTAATACATGAAATAAAGCATGAGACTCTGAAATTACTGATATGTTTATCACGTATTATAATGAAATAAAAACACTTAAATCACAATTTAAATGGCTGATAGTATCAATTCAATTTCATATTCCGAAAGAAGCACAGTGAAGAGAATCTGGTGGAGGTAATTCCATCATTCTCACATGTTCCTTCCTAATCATCCTTGGAAACAGATACTGTTTTAATTACTGTAGCTTTGTAATATATTTTTGAAATCAGAGAGCTGATGCCTCCAGCTGTATTCTTTTTCAAGATCACTTTGGCTATTCAAACTCTTGTTATTCTGTATAAATTTTAGATTTTTTTTCTATTTCTGCAAAAAATCCCACTGGAGTTTTGATGAAGATATTATGAAATCAGTAGATCACTTTAGATCGTACGGACATTTTAATAATAATGAGTCATCCAATCCATGAAAATGAGTTTGTGTGCTTTATTTCATCATTGTTTTATAGATTTCAGTGTACAAGTCTTTCACCTTCTTGGTTAGGCTTATTACTAGGTATTTTTTTTGATGCTTTTATATATGGGATTGTTTTATTTTTTAAAAAAATTCTGAACCGGAATTCTAGTTTAATTTTTTAAATTGCAGTTAACATAACATTTACCACTTTAACTGATTTTATGTATACAGTACAGTAGTGTTAAGTGTATTCACATTGTTGTGGAAGAGATGTGGTATTATTTTCTTAATTTCCTTTTGGACAGTTCATTGTTAATGTATAGAAACACAGTTGATTTTTATATGTTGATTTGGTATCCCTAAAATGTATTGAATTCAATGATTGAACTACCATACAATTCAGCAATCTCACTCCCGGATATACATCCAAAATAAGTGAAATCATGATATCAAAGAGATATTGCACTAATGAAAGTTGCAGTATTATTCACAGTAACCAAGCTACAGATATGACCCAAATTTCAATAGACAGATGAGTGGACAGAGAAAACATAATGTACATGTACCATGAAATATTATCCAGTTTTTTAAAATAAAGAAGAAAATCCTACAACTTGGGAAAACATAGACCTGGAGGACATCTACTAAGTGAAATAAGCCAGTCACAGAAGTACAAATACTGCATGATTTCATTTATATGAGTTCTAAAAATAGTCAGACTTCTAGAGGCAGAGAATAGAATAGTGGATGTCAAGGGCTAGGAGGAAGGAAAGATAGGAATTGTTACACAATGGATATAAAGTTTTAGTTATGCAAGATGAGTAAGTTCTAGAAATCTGCTAAACAACATTGTGCCTATAGTTAACAATTCACTATTGTATACTTAAAATTTACAAAGAAGGTAGAGCTCATGTTAAGTGTTCTAACCACACACAAACACATACACATTTGAAACACATCAGCACACACACCGCCTCCCCAAAGAAATACATGGAAACTTTTAGGAATGATGAGTATATTTATTATCCTTATTGTGGTGATTTTATGGCTACAGGCATATGCACTAAATTGTGTACATGAAACATGTACAGATATTTTTGTTAAGAAAAAAAAAAACTGTAAGCT
Source organism: Homo sapiens (assembly GCF_000001405.40). Lineage (NCBI taxonomy): Eukaryota > Metazoa > Chordata > Mammalia > Primates > Hominidae > Homo > Homo sapiens. Next base: position 22,322,249 of record NC_000021.9, on the reverse strand, counting down.
CTACTAGACCCCAGGTAAGGACCCATGATTACCTTTGACTGTAATGGCTATGTTTGCTGAGTGTGTCATTAATAATTGATTCAATTAATGGATTAATTTGTTTCCCCAGGAACCTAAAGGTTAGTCATCTTTTCTTTCTCATAATTTTATTTCTCATAATTCAACCACTGTAAGAAAATTCAAAATTATGGTCCTTCTTGGGGTTTTTCAAGTGTGGGGAGTTAATGACACTCACGGCATTAAGAGGGTTATTCTAGTCATTAACCAGTCATCTCCACTGCGATGCTATGAATTACTTGTGTTTGTAGAAATCTTTTTCATGTTCCTAAGACTACTTCTAATGGCAAAACTGTAATCATATCATTGGCATTCCTGCATGTTAAAGTTTATTACTTTATGGCAAATATTGAGATAGGCATATGCTTCACTTTTCTTAATTTAGCTAATAAAATGTGAAATATAATAGTGATTCCTTGCTGACAAATTCCATTTTGCTATGTCACGTTTTCCTCTTAATTTGCTAAAGGCTTTTATAATAGCACTCATGAATGAATTTTGTCTGTAGTTGAGAGAGCTTTACTCTGTGTGTGTGTATGTGCGTGCTACTTGTTTTCTATGTTATGGCATTCTTATTTTATTGCCTATAGAAGTTGTTAGTGCTCACTCCACACCTTCCTGGCACTTACTATTCTCTGAAAGGCCAATGGTTTCTGCTACAAGCACTGGCCACACTCTTCCTAAGGATGTTCCTTGGCCAGAAGGCTCAGATCAGCAGAAAACATGCGAACTCTGTCCACATGCATGTGAAGAGTATGTATGCTCGAGAATGGTCTTAAACCAATGATACAACTTAACAGATAAATATTCCAACTTCACATGTACAAGAGAAACAATTTGAAAACACATTCTATGCTGTCTCCTAGAAGTCCCCATCAGTGGTAACCGTATCATTAGACAACATCAATGTCATCCTTTCTTTCCCTGTCTAACTTTCCCTTTTACATACCAGTGCTTCTTAAGATTACCTATCAAACAATTTGCAGCCAAACCCATATTCGAATGTGTGCTTCTGGGGAAACTAAAACAAGCAACCCAACTGTTTTTGACCAATTTGAAAACTACTTATGTTAATATGCTACTAAATTCTTTTAAGTAGCATGTTGGCCTAGCATTTATAGAAGACATTCCTTCATAAATGTGTTCATTTCAACTTTGGTAATTATTCTTTAGCTTTTAAATGCCAATTGAGGTAGTTCTAATAATATATACCTAAAATTGCTTTTTTGAAATTTATACTTTTTCAAGGAAATATTTTAGCAAATATTTTATTATAAAACATCTAAATTCTTTTACACATTGGTAATTTATAGTCTTATTTCTTGTATCATTCTATATTATTTGTCCTTTGCTTAGGCATATAACCCAGATGTTGACTCCAATTGATTTTTTAGAGATCCGTTCCTTAACACACACACACACACACACACACACACACACACACACACACACACACACACACACACATATATATGCTTTTAATTATCCCTTGTTTTAAAATTTATTCGTTCATGGTTTTGTATTAATTACTTTTTATGCTGCTAAATTAACGTTTAGTTAATTATACTTATAAAATATTATTTGACAAATAATTCAGTTATTTCAGTTTGTCTAGTTAATAATATCTGGCTAAGAAGTTTTTAATCAAACAAATATTTTAACCAAATTTATTCTTTACAATATAAATATTGCTTAAACTTTATCTTTTTTATTTTGTTTATTTCAATAGCTTTTTGGGAAACAGGTGGTATTTGGTTACATAATTAAGTTCTTTAGCAGTGATTTCTGAAATTTTGGTACACCCATCTCTCCAGCACTGTACACTGTATCCAATGTGTAGTCTCTTATCACTCAACACCCCCATCCTTTTCCCGAGTCCCCACAGTCCATTGTGTCATTTTTATGTCTTTGCATCCTCATAACGTAGCTCCCACTTATGAGTGAGAACATACGATATTTGGTTTTGCATTCCTGAGTTACATCACTTAGAATAATGGTCTCCAATCCCATCTAGGTTGCTGCAAATGCCATTATTTTATTCCTTTTTATGGCTGAGTAGTATTCCATAGTGTGTGTGTGTGTATGTGTATGTGTATATATATATGTGTGTGTGTGTGTGTGTGTGTGTGTGTGTGTATCTCCCCACTCATTGATTGATGGGCATTTGGGCTGGTTCTATATTTTTGCAATTGTAAATTGTGCTGCTATAAACATATGCGTGCAAGTATCTTTTGTATAATGTCTTCTTTTCCTCTTGGTAGATACTCAGTAGTGATACTGTTGGATCAAATGGTAGTTCTACTTTTAGTTCTTTAAGGAATATTCCATACTGTTTTCCACAGTGTTTGTACTCATTTACATTCCCATCAGCCATGTAAAAGTGTGCCCCTCTCACTACATTCATACCAATATCTATTATCTTTTGATTTTTTTATTATGGCCATTTTTGCAGGAGTAATGTCACAGGATTCTTGGGGTGTCTCTTTGCCAGCTGGAAATTTTTGTGGCAGATGGCACCTTTGCCCAAGTTTTATTTAGGCCTGCTGAGCCTGTTCTGCCCACTCGGCTCATGCTACTGGCTTGGATCCCACATGTGACAAGGGTGAGCCAGGCACAGAGTATTGAGGGGCACATGAGTGAGCAGGTGCAGACTCTGCCCCTGCCTCATATTTGCTACCTACCATATAATTTTTTCAGCTAAATCTTTTGGTTCTTACTTTGCAATTTCCTAAGTCATTTTTCTCCCTAGGAAACAGTGAATATTTTAAAAATACTTCTTTCAACCTATGGCTAACATGTATTTTTTAAAATTTGTTGATTTAATAAAAACTGTATATATGTAATTTTTTACTTCTCTTTATTTTCTTTGTCATTCTTTTATTTATTAGTCTTCCTCTAGCAATTCTTACTTCACATTGTGTGATCTCTTGCAGCTTTCCTAAACTCAGTCAATTTCCTTATTTTACATATATAGTAAATAGAACATATGTGTATTTAAAATTTGATTCTACACATTTCTTATGGCACAATATTTGTTGTTGTTTTTTTTGTTCTTTTCGAGGGATCAATCTCTCACCTAGATTTAATAATACTAGCTTAGTGGTTTGTTAGAATGGTCATACTTTTTCTATTGAAAGTTATGAACTATACAGATTCTTCCTTTGAATCTCTAGTGTATTAATTTCTCTTCATATTGTGCATTTTTTATAGTCCCCCCACTCTGTTTCTGTTTTGTTATTAAAAATGAAGTTGTCTCTCTAAGCTTAGTATGTACCAGCAAAGAATGAATGGGATGCCTTAAGTCTCTCTTGTATTCAGAATAGGTACTCAAAATTTCTAAATCTAATTTTCTTCAGAATTCTGAACAAATTGATCTATTACCTATGTACCTTTTGCATTTCTCTGAAGAAATACAATAGCATTTTTATTTCTAATTGTTCATATCTGCTTATTTCCTCCCATTTTAAATTTTTCCTTGATGGAGGACTCCATAATTTAAGATATTTTATAAGGATTGTATGAAACAATGCATAAAATATGCCAATAATAATTCCTGGCTCACGAAAACTATTTTCTACATATTATTATTCTTATTCAATTGGTGCTTTTGTAGTTTGAGTTTGCAAAGTTATGCTTCACTAACATGCATCCCCTCTATATCAGTGGACTTATAATAATAAATATGTATTTTTCAGTCAGTACTAAATATGTGAAACATTACATTTTATCTATCGTGGCTGAGACACATAAGTTGTAATGTTCCATGTGTCTTCTTCAAGATAAAATTCATGTTTGAAAAGCAGCCCACATTCAAAACATGCCTTTATCATTGGCAAAAGCAAAGAGCAACAAGAGAATCACACAAAGGCATATCTGAAAGATATTGTGGGCTCAGTTCCAGACCACTGCAATAAAGCAAATATCACAATAAATTCAGTCACACAAATGTGTTGGATTCTTAGTTTATGTAACGGTTCTCTTTGCTATACAGTAGTCTATGTGTACAATAGCACTACAAACAAACATGTACATACCTTAATTTTAAAATAGATTATTGCTACAACAAAATTGCTGACACAGAGACACAAAATGAGCACATACTTTTGGGAAAATAGTGCCAAAAGATGCATAATTGTCACAAATCCTCAATTTGTTAAAAAAATGCATTCTCTATGAAGCACAATAAATTTAAGTGCAATAGAATGGGGTATGCCTGCAATTACTTTTTACCCTACTGCTCAGGCATAGCATAGGTCTCTTTTGCTCACCTTCTATCAACCATGCAAGCTGCTTAGGTCTCAACTGCTTGCCCTTTGGCAGTGATTTTTCAAAAAATATAATCATCTTTTTAATCAATTTGATGTCAGTTGGCTCTATTCACTAAATATTATACTTACACTTATTTTCAACATATGGCACATTATTCTCTAGTCTTCATTGTTTATAGCTTGAGGTTAACAGCCATTAGCGAACTCTTGGAATTTCCCTCGAGCCATTTTTTTCTAACTATAAAGTGTCTGATTTTATGTCTAACCTTTAAGACTTGGTAGTTATTTGTCTTTGTTTTGCATTTCTCTATTTAAGTTTATTTGGTTGTAGATAAAAAAATTATATCATATCATTAAAAATTTTGAAATTTATAGAATATCTCTTTTCTCTTTTATTTTTGCTTGTACGGCAGCCAAATCTTTTTGAAACTCAACTCTTTCTTTTAGGTTCTTAGTAAATCTAACCTATAGACACTAAGACACGTTTGCAGCAGTGTATTCGTAAACTTCTTTAATAATCCAGAAGCTCAATTGGTATAATGTATGACGTTCAAGTTATCACAACAGATTATTAGATGCTTGTGCTTATGAACAAGTTGATTCTCAATGTCCAATTTCTAGTAACAATTTTCTTGCTATCTGCTGCCTTTTCCTGAAGCCAATATCACTTATATTAGATTTTAATTACTTTAGCACCCAGTCCTTATATATTTTTTGTATTTTTAAACTCTTACTAAGTTATTCTGTAGTAACAACATCAAAATCTCATTGGCTCACAACCAGTGATTTCTTTCTCACCCATGCGACATTCCAACTGCAGTTTGGCTTTGGAACTGCACTGCTAATTGTGCTCCATTTAGCTTCTTTATTCAGGAATCTAAACTGAAGGAAGAGCTCCAAACTATGTCATGCTGTTATTTGTGATAGAGTGGATAAAGCAATGCCAGAGCTAGAAAAAGGATTTTACCATTTCTTTTGGAGCGCTCACCTTTCTTTGGCCATAGCAAATCACAAGGTCCAATATGATGTCAAAGAGAAGGAGAAAAGTTATGCCATCAAGAGTCCATGCAGGGCATATAGGATTTAGCAAAAAGGTGTAATTTCCTTATAGGGAAGGCAGTCAATAACTGGGGACAATAACATAATTAAGCACAGCGGGCGACTATTTAATGTGTTAATCTTGGGCATATTTTGGATTTTATGTGACGTCTGATCAAAACAATAATGTCAAATATAGTGAGTATTTTCATACCTGCTTTCATTTAAGAAGCCAATCTTTCTTCCAAAAAAACAAAATCACATTGCTTTGACCTTCCTTCTCTCATTTCTTTTCACTTTTTCTTTCTTTGTCCTTTCTTCTTTACCACTCACTTCTTTCCTTGCTTTTACATTGTCAACTAACTGTATCAACTTCATAGAAAAAGGATTCAAACAGATAAAGTAGTACTTAGAGAGAAAAATAAACTCACATGACCATAGATAATAGACTTTCCAGCAAAGTAAGTCATTCGAAAGAACACTGTAGAGAATAATGTGAGGATGACATCTCCCTAGATATGCTACCAATATTTAATTGATGTACTTGAGAAATTGAAGCTCAAACATATGTTCAAGAATTTTTAAAAGATGCAAAGGACAAGCACATCCCAATGTGGAAACTTACATAATCATAAAAACGAGTATGAAAACATTAGAATAGACAACAAAGAGGAATTCAAAACAGACCAGAAAACAGTCTTTGGTTTCAACAAAGGGTTTTCACCAATTTAAGAATGTGATAAAAATTATAAAAATTAGTATCAGAAACTCACTGAATAATATAACTTGTCTTTTTATATAATCATGTGTTTGATTAAGAGTAAGCAACTATAGCCCATGATCAAGTCAAGCTATCTGCATGTTGTTGAAGTAAAGTTTTACTGAAAATCAACATACTCATTTACCTATTGTCCATGGATTCTTTAATGCTAAAATGGCAGACAGAGTTGCATAGATGCAAGAGAGAGTATGGTCACAAAGCCAAGTATTAACTTCCTGGCCATTTATAAAATAAAATTGCTAACTTCGGGTTTAGATAATTACATATTCACATATTGTTATTAAAAAATAAATTGTCAACATCAACTTTATTTACACAGTCAAAAATCTTTTTATTTATAGTCATGAAATCTGTGTGTAAAAAATAACCAAATTTCAATTGTTCTCAAAAATAAATTTCCCCAGTAAATTTAAGCATTGCTCTCAAGATCTTGATTTTTCAAAGTGCACAATGAATCCAAAGCTGCATACAGAATGCTAGTTTATACAGGATTATCTCTCTCTACACCTGCTGAAAATAAGTCACTTGAGAACCAAGGAATTTACGTGTAATTAACAACACAAATGACGTTTTGAAAATAAGTATTGAATACAAAGTATTGTGGAAAAAGTGAATGTGATACAGATTTGAATATTCCAGAAATGATAATCTAGTAAAGGGGCATAACACACAAATAAGTAAATATTTGTACATTAAAAATTATAGATATATGAAGAAAACCTAATAACTGGTAGGTTTAGTAACACCTGTTTTAATATCTCAATAATGGTTCAGTCACTTGAAATGAGTTCAGAAGTCTGGTTCCAGGTGCAGAAGAAATATTATTCTGCTTGAGAGGAAAAAATGGTACAATAGGAAAAGTATAGTTATTTTTCTAATTTTTTATCAGCCAAATTCAAGCCAATGTCATCAGTTTACAAGCTGTTCTCATACTGATTACTCAATGTTGCATCATCTAAATTATACTTATTCCCACTACTTTCTCAAAGAGTTCTGATGAGAAATTAGCAGGTGCCTGATCATTCAATATTTCAACGTGGTTTTCAATCATAGACATATATCAATATAATACTAAAATACTGCTATTTCATTTTATAAAAGAATTATCTCTGAAGATGTCTGTCTACAAAATTATATATATGTACATATATAATTATATATATATATATATAAAATATCTGTAATAATTATATATAAAAAAATCTGTATCAGAAACCTGGCATTTCCCTGTCACTGCAAATGCATCTTAACTAGAGGCGTGCTGCCTTGAAGTGATCCTGTGTTTTGTGAGATATCTAAGCTTACTAATGGGTCAAAAACAAATCTACCCTGTGTGTGGGTTTTCTTCAACTGTGAAAGATCCTTTACACTGTGACCATTTGATGGCATTTTAAAATGCCAATCTTAGCAAATGTAGTTAGTTAGGCATATTTTGACTTTAAGAGAGTGAAAATGAGGTTAAAACGAAAAAGAAAAAAGAAAAAAACTGGCTGCTAACATCTGACAGCATTAAAACTTTAGCATTAGGACCAAAGAATACAGAGTGTGACACCAAAATACAGCTTTCTAACTTAGATGTGGGTCAATATACTTCAAAAAAGACTCAGTATTAATACTGTAGCAATTTCTCTCATGACACATGCATACACCACAAGCTTTGGTTGGCGGGATTTGTGAGAATTGAGGTGATAACCCAGCAGAAAATGGAATAAACAAAGGAAGAGGCTGGAATTGTTTATTCAGAATTTTTCTCTTCTTACTTTAAAGTTTATTTTCTGTTAAAAAAAAAACCCATGAATTTTTCATTCTGATTAAGCATGTACTACTGTGTAATTACTATAAATTAATTAAAAATAAAAAATCTATTTTAAAAATATAAAGTCTTTCTATATTTCTACAATGCAGTAATAAACGATTGTTGTTTCCTTTCAGAAATCTATTTTATTCCAATAGATATGTTATTAAGTACAAAAATATTTTCTACTTATTAATATTTTTAACAAATGACACTAAGTTCTTTCCCCTTCCTATCATCCCATCTCTGATGTAAAATTTTGAAATATTTGTGACTGGATGTTAATTTGGAAAATGTCTTATTGATGTCTGAGGTGAAATAAATAACAGATTCAAAAGTGAGTTGGGTAACAGGCCAAAATGTAAATTTCCAAGGAAACAGTTAAGTATTTTTGTTTTTTCTAAAACTTTTGAAAATCCTCACTTGCATCAGGACACAAAAAGATCAAGAAGGGGATTTAAACTTTGGGCCCTGAAGATATATCTCTGGGAAAAATTATTTTCATACTCTGATTTTCCTGCAAATCCCAAATCAACTGTTAATCAATAAATGAAGGATGAAGGTAAATTCTAATCTCAAGCCTGATGAGGGGGCTTTCCAGGAGGTCCCTTGGGGAGTTGGAAAAAGGTTTCATGCAGTCATGTGCTTAACCATGACTGATTTTGTTATGCAAAATGTCTTTGGCAGGATGGTGGATAGAGAAGAGAGAAGAAAAAGAATAGGGTTGGGGATGAGAAATGTTGTTGCTGACTTGATAAATAACTGTATTTCCTTCTAACAACTGTAAATACTAACAGAAACATAAAACCTAGGGGTGAGTTCTGGAACTCAATCCAGCTATTTACGACCAAGGTCATTTTGATAGGAATCTTGCTTCAGAATATCCACTAGGGTAGCATGGCAGGACTATAAAGCAGAGTCTATGTGAATGAGATTTTAAGATCAACCACTGATGAGATATCAGGAAGAAGTAGATGAAGAAGAGGCACTACTTCAAGAGTAGCCTCTGAAGTATCTATGAAAATGTTCACTAGAGAGAGTGGAGGAGAAATAAGAACTTGGCCATATGCTTTTCTCCTCCCACCGTGATGTAGTTTGAATGCTTGTCCCTACCCAAATCTCATGCTGACTTGTAATGCCCAATGTTGGAGGTGGGGCCTGGTGGGAGATGTTCGGATCATGGGCGCAGATCCCTCATGAATGGCTTGGGCTGTCCCCTTGGCGATAAGTAAGCTCTCTGAGTTCACACAGAATCTGGTCATTTAAAAGTGTACAGCACCTCCTCCAACCCTACTCTCTGTCACTTGCTCTTCCTTTCTTCATGTGACATGCCTGCTTCCCATTTGTCTTCCACCTTGACTGTAAGTTTCCTGAGGTCTATCCAGAAATCTAGCAGATGCCAGCACAATGCTTCCTGTAAAGCCAGTTAAACCTCTTTTCTTTATAAATTACCCAGTCTCAAGTATTTCTTTATAGGAATGTTAAAATGGGCTAATAGACACCCCTACAACCGTCTTTAAACTCTGGCAGAGTATGAAACAGTGAGTAAGGGAAGTGGTGAGCAAGAAAGGGGGAAGAAAGACCATATTCTCTTCATTGAATGCAAGTGACAGCATCATGTTTCTGGGAGTGAAGTGAATGAGAAATCTCACCTTTGATCACGGACTAAAGTAAAATAAGCACATTGGGTAAACATTCTCATTTTTTGGGTCTGTGTTTTAAAAATTAAATGGACTCTATGTATCTTCTATTACCTGAGATTAATAAAAAAAAAAAAAACCTTTTAGCATGCTGGGTTTTTATCTGGTGGAAATGAAGGTACAAGGGAGGAAACAGGTTTGAATGACATTCTTTGGACAACATATATAGCTTACACATTGCTATATATGTATCACTTTGGATGATTTAGCTTTTCTTTTAAAAATACTATATTTAACAAAGTAGGGAGAAACTCAATGCATAATGAAAGCCAGCTTTAATTAGCAAATGATTTTTCTTGTAGGGAAACTCTTTGTTTAGGTAAGTAAACTTTTGCCCAGACAAGGCAACATGCCCAAATGAGAAAACCTTTTACTCAGAAAAATTGGTTCCAAGGATTTTCTAAAGCAATGTGAAATTATTTATTCTTCTGTTATCTTGACTTCCTAGACAAAAATATCTTAGTGCAAATAGCTAAGTTATGCAGATTCAGGTGGTCTCTCTCCTCAATCCTCTCCTTGTATAATAAACCGGGCCATAGGGGGTAGTGAGTTGAGCTGTTGAAGCTGTGTATTAATGTGCCATTGGTGGTGTTACATTCTCTCTGTTAGTGGCCTGTTTTCTCATTCTTTCTGTTGCTTAATTCTTTGTTGAATCGCTTGAAAGGACACAGATGGTGAAATAACATTTAAGAGTCTGGAAGTCACACATTTGAACTCTTTGACACAGACTAATATTTAGAGAATGACTGTGATCAGAATTTTTAGTCCAGTACTCAGGTCAAAGTGCCCACATTAAACTAAGAGAAGATTCTCCACCCTTAATCCCAGAAGATCACAAAACCTCATATGCAGGCATTCACCAAACTTCCTAAATTTTCTGATGTCCTTGTTTGTTTCTTGGATCATGTAATATTAAACATTCCATAAATGCCTCTAATGATGTAAGTACAATAATTTTCTCCTTAGATGAGACACATTTGATCTAGTGAGGACAACCTTGTATTTGAGGCTTCATGGTTTTAAACCCCCTGTCAACTTCCATGAACTTCTCAATCAAGGACTTTTATGGATTTGGGGATATTGGTATCTTCCCTGTCATTCCCTGAACCGTAACTTGTTACATTTGTCCAACTTTCTTAGCTTCTTGTATATTGTGGTATAAACTTTAAGGACAAAAGAAAGAAACAGTGTAGAAATTCTCTACAGTTTTTAAGGCACTGGATTTTCAGTCAAAGCCTAGTTGTTTTTGTTATTATTTTTGTCTCTTTTTGAACAAACTTATCTAGTGATCACTTTTTCAAAACAGAGGATTAATGAAATAAATTTAACCCTTTCTGCTATGAGGCACTATGCTTCACTTAGGCATCAATTTAACAAGGTAATATATTTAGTTTTCTGGTGGAATCCAGTTGTTTGTGTCTTAAACTCTATTGATGAATAATTTAATTAAAATAAACTGCACATATTTGAAAAATTTACCGGTTTTAATATCTGTATCTGTGCTTGAAGCCATCATTATAATCAAGAAAACCGACATTTTCATTACCACCCAAAGTGTCCTACTGTCTTGCTTAATCCAAGGCTCCCTCTATGCCCATCTTCAGGCAACAACTTAGTTACTGACCACCTTTCATCCAAGTATTTTGCATTTTAAAAAACTTATATAAATGGGATATACTGTGTATGCATTCTTGCCTGGATTTTTTGACTCAGAGTAAGGATTTCGATAAGAGTAAGGATTATCCATATTGATTCATATATCAAAGTTCCTTCTATTTTATTGCTGAGTGATTATTCATTGTATGAATATACCACAATTTACCCATTCACTTGTTGCATTTCAGCTGTTTCCATTTGGGAACTATTATATGAAGCTGTTATAAACCTTTGTGTACAAGGCTTTGTGTGAATATATATGTTTTAATATTTTTGGAGGATGAATAATAGAAGTGGAGTGGCACGTTCATATAGGTGAATGATTATTATTTTAAAAAGTGTCAAGTTTTTTCTTAGAAGTAGGTATACATTTCATATTCCTACCAGAAGTGCATGAGAATTTAGGTTGCTGCACAGACTTGGCAACACTTGGGATGTTTATTTTATTTTATCTAATTAATTAATTTATTTTTTAGATGGAGTCTCCATCTGTTGCCCAGGCTGGAGTGCAGTGGTGCAATCTCAGCTCACTGCAACCTCCGCCTCCTGGGTTCAAGCGATTCTTTTGCCTCAGCACCCCGAGTAGCTGGGACTACAGGTGCACATCACCATGCCTGGCTAATTTTTGTATTTACAGTAGAGACGGGGTGTCACCATATTGGCCAGGCTGGTCTCGAACTCCTGACCTCAGGTGATCCACCTGCCTCGGCCTCCCAAATTATTTTTTTAATACTAGCCATTCTAATGGATATTTTAGGGCTACCACATTGTGGATTTTATTTGCATTTTTCTAAAGACTCATGATGCTAAACATATTTTAATGTGGTTATTTGCTTTTTACATGTCTACTTTGGTGAAATATTTACAAATCATTTGTCTTTTTTAAAATTATGTCGTATTTAGTTTTTGTTGTTGTTATCCATCTATCAGTAAATTGTATTTTTAAAATAGTCTGGATACAGAACACCTGTCTGATATGAAAATTCTCACTATTTTTTCTCAATGTCTTGCCTTTTTTTAAATAAAGGAGTCAGCTGATGCATACAATGAAAGTCTAAACTTCATCACTATGAAATATTACATGTCCATGTATCAAAATTGCACTTTTACCCCCTAAATTTACACAAATAACAAAAAGAAAAGGAAAAAAGTAAAACTTTAATTTTGATGAAGTCCATTTTACCATTCTGTTTTGTATTATGGTTTGTGCATTTTATATTCTAAGAAATCTCAACCTACCCCAAGGTAGAAAGATTTTCTCCAACTGCCTCTAAAAATTTTATAGTTTTAGTTTTTATTTAGGTCAATGATCCATTTTGAATCAATGTTTCTCTGTGGTGTGAGCTAAAACATGATGCTGGCATCTTTTCTTATGGATATCCAGCTGATCCAGTATCCTTTGTTGATTTTATGTTTCCCTGTTTGATTGCTTTGGAACCTTTGTTTTAAATCAATTGACCATGTATGTGACCAGAGATGTGGAATTTTTGTTCTGTTCTACTGATCTACATGTTTATATTTAGCCAATGCCAAACCAACTTGATTAGTTGTAAATTTATAGTAAATATTGATAATAGTTAGAACAAGTTCTCCAAACTTGAAAAAATGATTTGATTAGTCTAGGTCCTCTTTATAATAAAATAATTATTAATATAATTATTAATAATTATTAATACAATTAATTAATCAATTAATTTATTTGAGACAGAGTTTCTCTCTTGTTGCCTAAGCTGGAGTGCAGTGGCACAATCTCACCTCACTGCAACTTCTGCCTCCCATGTTCAAGCTATTCTTCTTCCTCAGCCTCCGAGCAGCTAGGATTACAGGCGCCCATCACCACGCCCAGCTAAATTTTGTATTTTCAGTAGAGATGGGGTTTTGCCATGTTGGCCAGACTAGTCTCTAACTCCTGACCTCAGGTGATCTACCTGCTTTGGCCTCCCAAAGTGTTGAGATTACAGGCATGAGCCACTGCACCTGGCATATTTAATTTATAATTTATAATCAGTTTGTTAATAATCACCAAAAAGCTTGTTAGAGTTTGATTGGTGTAGCATTGAATCTATAGGTAAATTTGGGAAGATCTGTTATCTTAAGAAAAATAGAACATTTTATCTCATAAGCATTGTATAACTTTCTACTTACTGAGGTAGTATTTAATTCCAATATTGTAGTATTTGGATCATAGTTTTTCTATATTATAAGCATTGTATAACTGTCTGCTTATTGAGGTAGTATTTAATTCCAATATTTTGCAGTATTGAGATTATAGTTTTTATACATCTCTTTGTTAGATTTGTATGCCATTGGCCCTATTATAAATGGTATGATCTTAAAATTAAACAGAAGTGTTAGTAAAAGTGAGAATTCTTGCCTTTATTCAAGATCTCAAAGGGAAAATTAGTTGTCTCTGCCATGAAGTATAATGTTAGGAGAATAGATGCCCTTTAATAAGTTGAGGAAATTCCCTTTCTATTCTAGTTTATTGAGCATTTTTTCCTGAATGAGTATAACATATTTTTCAATTTTTTTATCTGTGTATGTTGAAATTCATTAACTTTTTTCTTGTTAATATGGTAAATTTCATTGCTTCTATTTCAAATGTTAGACCAACTTTTCAGTCCTGGAATAAACACTACTTGGTCTTGCTGTATCATCCACTCTACCTATATTGTTAGATTCAGTAATTCAATTTGATAATATTTTCTGAATAATTATTCCATCTTTGAGATATATTGATTTGTAATTCTCTTTATCTTTCTCTACCTCTCTCTTCTTCCTCCTCCTCCTCCTCTATGCTTTCCCCTCCTTTTCCTTCTTGCAATATCTTTGTAAGTTCTTAATGTTGGGGTAATGTTAGCCATAAAGAAAAAGATTGAGTTGTACTCCCTCATTTTCTTGTGTTTGGAAAAAGTTTGTGTTAAATTGATTATTATGTTTTTCTGTAACATTCATTAGAATTTATCACTGAAATAATCTGAGCATGCAGGTAGTGGAGTTTTTGAAACCTTTTTAATAATATTATAATCTATTTTCCATTATTAAGATTTAATGTCAAATATGATAAATTATATATTTGAATTTTTTATTTTTATACTTTTATTGAATTTGGTAGAATACATATGCTCATCTTTTAATGTCTACAGATTCTGTTATAACCCCCTTTTTTATTCCTGAAACCTGCAATTTGTTTTTTCTTTCCTTATTTCTTGATCATTTGAGCTAAAGGTTTGGCAAACTTCTTTCATATATACTGGTTTTGATTTTGCTAGTGTTCTCTTTTGTCTATTTAATTTCAGAGATTTCTGCTCTTATTTATTTTTTCTTGACTTCTACTTACTTTGTATCTGATTTTCTATTTTGTAAATCTAATTTGTTAACATGGAGAGTGTGTTTACTGAATTTATCTATTTTCTTATATAAGCACAGTTTATGTGCTTTATTTTCAAAGAACACTTTGTATGATTTCAATCCATTAAATTTATGGAGATTTTGTTATAACTTAGCATATGTTTTCCTTAGTAAATACACAATGTGCCCTTGATAAAAACGTATTTTGCTTTTTTGGAATAGAAAAGTGAAAGATAATGTTGTTTGCTCCTTTGTGTTACTCTTCATATAATTTTTCAATCAATTGCTGAAAGAGAGACATTAAAATCTCTTATGTATGGTGTGGAAGTGGCTGTTTTTCTCTTTTATCATGTCAATTTTTGTTCCTGTATTTTGGGTCTAGACATATCCACAATTGTAATGGTTATGTTTTTTAAGCAATTGTTCCTTTCATTTTCATGAAGTATATATTTTCCTTTCTATTAATGCTCTTTATTTTGAAAATCATTTTATTTAATAAATTTTATATTGTCACTTGAGCAGATGGTATACGTATATTAATTTTGTACTTTCAGCTTATTTCTGTTGTAATGTACCTATTATGGTCAGAATATATTTGAATCATTCTTTTTTAAGATCAAATCTGTCAATTTCTTCATTTTAATTGGAATCTATAGGCCATTAATACTTAATGCTATTACTAATATGGTTAGATTTAAGTGCATCATTTGATTTTTTCTTTCTGTTTGTCACCTTTGTAATTTTTTGTTCTTATTGTTTTATATGTGTTCTTCTGTTCCCCTTTTCTGTATTTTTATAATTAAAATATATTACATCATACCTCATTTTATTGTATTTTACTTTATTGTGCTCCGGAGATACAGAATTTTTTACCAATTGGAGGTTGTGGCAACCTTGCATTGAGCAAGTCTTTTGGTGCCATATTTCAATCAACGTGTTCATTTCATGTCTCTGTGTCACATTTTGGTAATTTTTACAATATTTCAAACATTTTCATCATTATTATATTTGTCATGGTGATCTATGATTAGCAATTTCTGCTGTTACTAATATAATTATTTTGGGGCACCACCAGCCACACTATTATAAGATAGTAAACTTAATATATAAATGTTGTGTGTGTTCTGATTGCTCCACTGATCGACTATTCCCCCTTCTTTCTTTCTCTCCCTGGACCCCTTATTCCCTGACAAACAACAACATTGGACTTAGGTCAACTAATAACCATACAATGACCTTTAACTGTTCAAGGAAAGGAAGCAGCACACATCTCTCACTTTAAATCAAAAGTTGGAAATAATTAAATGTAATGAGTAATGCTTATCAAAAGTGGAGCTAGGCTGAAAGCTAGCTTTCTTGCACAAGTTAGCCTAATTGTGAATGCAAAAAAAAAGTTCTTGAAGGAAATTAAATGTACTACTCAAGTTAACATGTGAATTTCTAGAAAACAAAACAGCCTTATTACTGATATGGATAGTTTTAATGGTCTGAAACCTGCCACAACATTCCCTTTAGCTAAAACCTAATCTAGAGCAAGGTCCTAACCCTTTTCAAGTCTGTGAAGGCTGAGAGAGGTAAGGAAGCTGCAGAAGAAAAGTTTGAAGCTAGCAGAGGATGGTTCATGGGGTTTAGGGAAAGAAACCATTTCTATAACATACAAGAGCAAGGGGAAGCAGCAAGTGCTAATTTAGAAGCAGCAGCAAGTTATTCAGAAAATCTAGCTAAAGTCACTGGTGAATATGGCTACACTGAAAAACAGCTTTTCTGTGTAGATGAAACAGCCTTCTCTTGGAAGAAGTTGCCATCTAGAACTATCATAGCTAGAAAAAAAAGTCAATGCCTGGCTTCAAAAGACAGGCTGACTTTCTTGTAGGGGACTTTGCAGCTTCTGACTTTAAGTTGAAGCCAGTGCTCGTTTACCACTGAAAAAATCTTAAGACCCTTAAGAATTATGCTAAATCTACTTTTTCTGTGTTTTATAAATGGAACTACAAACCCTGGATGACAGTACATCTGGGTACACAATGGCTTACTGAATATTTTAAGCCCACTGTTAAGACTTACTGCTCAAAATAAAATAAAATAATTCCTTTCAAAATATCACTGCTCACTATATCTGGTCACTCAAGATCTCTGATGGAGATATACAAGAAGATTAATAATTTCATACTTGCTAACAGGAGATCCATTCTGCAGCCCGTATTCAAGGAGTAAGTTTTACTTTCAAGTCCTATTATTTAAGAAATACATTTCATAAGGCTAAAACTTCCTTAGGTAGTGCAGTGGTTCCTCTGATGGATCTGGGAAAAGTACGTTGAAAACCTTCTGTAAAGAATTCACCATTTTGGATGTTGTTAAGAACACTTGTGATCATGGGAGAAGATCAAAATACCGACATGAACAGGAGTTTGGAAGAAGTTTATTCCAGGCTTCATGGATGGCCTTCAGGAGTTTAATACTTCAGTGGAAAAATGAACTACAGATGTGGTGGAAAGAACAAGAGAACTAGAATCAGAAATGAAGCCTGAAAAAGTGACTGAATTGCTGCCATCTCATAATAAAGCCCGAACAATGAGTAGTTGCTTCTTGTGGATGAACAAAGAAAGTGGTCTACTGAGATGGAACCTTCTCTCAGTGAAGATGCTGTGACAACATTGTTGAATTGACAACGCAGTACTTACAATATGACATAAACTCTGTTGATAAAGTTTAATTTTAATTTAGTTTAATTTGATACAGTGTAAATTGATTGTCTCTAATATTTTTAACTTTTAAGCTCAGGGCTACATGTGCTGGCTTATTATATAAGTAAACCCTTGTCATGCGGGTTTGTCGTACAGATTATTTCGTCACCCAAGTATTAAGCCTAGTGCCTGTTAGTTATTTTTCCTGATCCTCTCCCTCCTCTCACCCTCCACCTTCCAGTAGACCCCAGTGTCTGTTGTCCCCTCTATGTGTCTGCTGTTCTCATCATTTAGCTCCCACTTATCAGTGAGAACACGCAGCATTTGGTTTTTTGTTCCTGCATTAGTTTGCTAAGGATAATGGCCTCCAACTTCATCCATGTTTCTGGAAAGGACATGATCTTTTTCATTTTTATGGCTGCATAGCATTCCATGGTGTGTATCTACCATATTTGCTTTGCCCAATCTGCCTTTGATGGGCATTTAGGTTGATTTCATGTCTTTGCTGTTATGAATAGTGCTGTTATGAACATACACATGCATGTATAATTATAGTCCAACGATTTATATTATTTTGGGTATATACCCAGTAATGGAATTCTGGGTTGAATGGTAGTTCTGTTTTTAGCTTTTAAGGAATCACCAAGCTACTTTCAACAATGGTTGAACTGATTTACACTCCCACCAACAGTGTATAAGCACTCCTTTTTCTCATGAATTTTGCCAGCATCCTTTATTTTTTTGACTCTTTAATAGTAGCCGTTCTGGCTGGTGTGAGATGATATCTCATTGTCGTTTTGATTTTCACTTCTCTAATGATCAGTGATGTTGAGCTTTCTTTCATATGATCATTGGCTGCACGTATGTTTTCTTTTGAAAAGTGTTCATGTCCTTTGCTCATATTTTAATGGGGTTGTTTGTTTTTCTTATACATTTGTTTAAGTTCCTGATAGATGCTGGCTATTAGACTTTTGTTAGATGAAGTTTGCTAAAATTTTCTCCCATTCTCTAGGTTATCTGTTTACTCTATTGATAGCTTCTTTTGCTGTGCAGAAACTCTTTAGTTTAATTACATTCCATTGGGAATTTTTGCTTTTGTTGCAACTGCTTTTGGAGACTGTCATGAAATCTTTGCCCATTACTATATCCAAGATTGTATTGCCTAGGTTGTCTTCCAGAGTTTTTATAATTTTGGGTTTTACTTTTAAGTCTTCAATACATCTTGCATTGATTTTTGTACATGGTGTAAGGAAAGGGTCCAGTTTCTATTTTCTGCATAAGACTAACCTGTTATCCCAGCACCATTATTTATACATGGAGTCCTTTCCTCATTGCTTGTTTTTGCCAGCTGTGTCAAAGATCGGATAGTTGTAGGTGTGCTGTCTTATTTCTGTGATCTCTATTTTGTTCCGTTGGTATAGGTGTCTGTTTTTGTACTAGTACGATGCTGTTTTTGTTACTGTAGCCCCGTAGTATAGTTTGAAGTTAGATAGTGTGATGCCTACAGCTTTGTTCTTTTTGATTAGGATTGCCTTGGCTATTTGGGATCTTTTGTAGTTCCATATACATTACAATATAGTTTGTTTTTTTCCTAATTCTGTGAAGAATGACATTCATAGTTTGATAGAAATAGCATTTGATCTGCAAATTGCTTTGGGAAGTATGGCCATTTTAATGATATTGATTCTTCTGATCCATGAGCATGGACTGTGTTTTCATTTGTTTGTGTAATCTTTAATTTATTTGAGCAGTGTTTTGTAGTTCTCCTTGTAGAGATATTTCACCTCCCTGGTTTGCTGTATTCCTAGGTATTTTATTCTTTTTGTGGCAATTGTGAATGGGATTGCATTTCTGATTTGGCTCTCAGCTTGACTCTTGTTTGTGTATAGGAATGCTCGTGATTTTAGCACACTGATTTTGTATCCTGAGACTTGGCTGAAGTTGTGTATCAACTTGGGCTAAGATTATGGAGTTTTCTAGATATATAATCATGTCATCTGCAAACAGGAATAGCTTGACTTCCTCTCTTTCTATTTGGATGCCCTTTATTTCTTTCTCTTGTCTGATTGTTCTGACCAGGACTTTCAATACTACATTGAATAGGAGCAGTGAAAGAGGACATGCTTGTCTTGTGCTGGTTTTCTAGGGGAATGCTCCCAACTTTTGCCCCTTCAGCATGATGTTTGCTGTGGGTTTGTCATAGATGGCTCTTATTTTGAAAGAAATTCTACTGTGGATAACATGCTATCAAACAACATAGCATGCTATAAAGAAATCTTTCTTTAAAGAAAGAGTCAATCAATGCAGAAATTTTCATTGTTTTCTTGTTTTGAGAAATTGCTATAGCCAATCCCAACCTTCAGTAACCACCATGCAGATCAGTCAACAGCCATCTACATGGAGGCAAGGCCCTCCACCAGCAAAGAGATTATGACTCACTGAAGGCTCAGATGACTATTGACATTTTGAAGCAATAGTATTTTTAAATTAAGGTATGTGCTTTGTTTTTTAAACATCATATTATTGCACACTTAATCAACTACAGTATAGTGTAAACATAACTTTTGTATGTACTAGGAAACGAAAATATTTGTGTGACTTATTGTGATATTCACTTTAATACAGTGGTCTGGAATCAAATCCGCAATATCTCCATGGTATTCCTGTATACATATGTGTGTGCACACATGTCCACACATGCACACACAGACATATATGTATATATAGACACACGCACATACATATATATGTATATTTATTTCAATCCTAATTTTTAATTGACTTTTGACTATGCCATTTGGTATTTTATTTTTGTGAGTATAACAGAAATTATAATATACATGCCTAATTTTTCACAGCCTATTAGAATTACTATTTTACCACTTCACGTTAAAGATAAAATACATACACTAATAATATAAATCCAACTCAATCCCTGTATACTCAATCCTGTATTTTATGGCATAATTATCATATGTATTTTCCCTATGTACATTGAAAACCACACCGGATAATAAGTTTTGCTTTTAAAATCTTACAAAGTTTAGAACTTTAGAGGAAAAAATGCTCTTTATGCTATCCCAGATATTTGACATTTTTTATTGCTGTTCTCTCATTCTTAATGATATAAGTTCTTTTTGTATCACTTTCTTTCAACCTACAGATTCAATTGCATCATTTACTTTAGAGAAAGTTCCACTATTGATATATATTTTTGTCTCTATTAATCTCAGAATATCTTTATTTTTACATTGTTTTTATTCCTGCTATGAAGTATCACTGGATAAATATTTTTGATATGCAGTTGATTTCTGTCTGCATGTTAAAGGTGTTCCATTATTCTCTGGCCTCCATGGTTTTGAAAATAAATTTGTGGTAATTATAATTTGTTCCATTGTAAATACTGTGAAATCCTTCACTAGCTGTTTTCAAGATACTTTCTTAAACTTTGGTTTCATTAGTTTCATTATGATGTCTCTAGGTATAATGTTGTTTGAGTTTATACATTTTGTGTTTTCCTGAGTAACTTGAATTTGTAAATTTATGTCTTTCAACAAATTTGGAAAGATTTAGACTGTTATTCTTTCAAATTTTTTTCTTCTCTAATCTTCCTCCTCCTTTTTCTAAATTCCTATGATATATTCAGTCAACTTTTTGGTATTTTCTCACATGTTCCTGAACTCTGTTACTTTTTTCTGTTCTTTATATTTCACAGTTTCTATTGATCTATCTTCAGGTTCACTAACTCTTGCTTGTGTCACATCTACTCTCCTATTGAGCTCACCCAGTGAAATTTTAGATCAGATATTGTAGTGGTCAGTTTCAAAATTCTTATTTTGTTTTTTAAAGATTACATTTCTTGGAGATTCATACTTAATATTAATATCAAGTGTGTTTGATTTTACCTCAGAGTTATCATAGTTTCATAATTTTTAAGAACTTTAAAGTCTTTGCTAGATAATTTCAGTAACTTTATCATCTCAAGGGTAGTATCTAATTATGTTTTTCCTTGAGACTTGGTCATATTTTCTGTTTGTTTTGCTTGTTTGTTTAATGTTGAGTAATTTTGGATTTTATCCTGGAGAGCATGAGTGTTATGTTGTATAGTCAGTGAATCTTATCAGAGTCTTCTAGATAATGTTGAGCTTTTTGGTCTTGCAAACAATCTTCCAGCTAAGCCTAAATTCCAAGTTTTGCATTAGCTTTTATGATGGGTTGTTCAAATCTCAGCTTAATTCTTTGTCTTTATTACAACAATTTGCATCTATCCCATGAGTATCTTCTAGGTAGAATGAGCTTTATTCATTCCTGGAGCCAGATTTTTTAAAAATGTGTGTCTCAATTCGAATACAATCTTTGGTGGGTCACCAAATGATTTTAAGCAGAATGCTCCCGTGAGGCTGTTGTATTAGGCTGGTGCAAAAGTAATTGTGACTTTGCCTTTTTTGTAATGGCAAAAGCAATTACTTTTGCACCAACCGAATATATTATTCTGTGGTTTTTAGCATCGTTTGTAATCATGGTCAGGTATGAGGCATGAATATTTGTGACTAGGGTGGTTATAGGTCTGAATCAGAAAATCCACTGAGCCTTCACTGTAAAATTTGCAAAAGAGAAACAACTTCCAAATATGTGTCATCTCTCCTGTAGTCACTTTCCAAGCTAAATTTTACAAAAAATATGAATAAGTAAATATTAACCACACCATATTTAAAACCTTTGCAAGCTGCAGTGGTATGAAGTCCACTCAGAAGTCTTCAAAACCATGAGGCTCCCTTGGGCTCTTGTTCAAATTTTGCCTTGATAATTTTATCAGGATTATGCTAGTGACATATGAGGCATGCTTCTGAGACCTCCTCACTAACTTTGTTAGATTTTCGTCTTTTTATTTATTTATTTATTTATTTATTTATTGTTGCCCAGGCTGGAGTGCAATGGCGCGATCTTGGCTCATTGCAACCTCCGCCTCTCGGGTACAAGCGATGATTCTCCTGCCTCAGCCTCCAGAGTAGCTGGGATTACAGGCCTGCGCCAACACGTTTGGCTAATTTTGTATTTTCAGTAGAGACAGGGTTTCTCCATGTTAGTCAGGCTGGTCTCGAACTCCTGACCTCAGGTGATCCTCCCACCTCGGCCTCCCAAAGTGCTGGGATTACAGGCATGAGCCACCACGACCAGCCAAAAAAATTTATTTTCTATTTTAATAGGTCTTTGGGGAACACGTAGTGTTTTGTTACATGAATAAGTTCTTTAGTGCTGATTTCTGAGATTTTGGTGCACCTGTCACCCAAGCAGTGTATACTGTATCCAATGTGTAGTCTTTTATCCCTCATCACCTACACAGGTCATTACTGTAACCTGGCTGTGATGGATAAATTCCTGTAAATTGTTTGAAGATTTCTCTTTGAGATCATCTGGCATGATCACATGGCCATCCTGAAATTGTTAGAGGTTTGTTTTGTAACTCGTATTTAGATATTTTTCCATTAATTTTTATATTCTGGAACTGTTGCTGACTTTCCACAGCTTCTTTGAAATTTTGAAAATGTGTAGTTTTAAGGTAGTGTAGAAGCTAGGACTTCAGTGAGAGATGCCTATTTGACATAATAATCAACTAAGGTATTTTCTTATTCTCCATGTTAACTCCCTGCAACTGCCCAATGATTTTCTTCATATTAGCCACTTTCTTTGGAAGTGTTAATAGCTTTACAGTTTTTTAGTCTGCTAAATATTCTTGGTTGTGCTTCTTGTTGAAGTAAAGAGATTCCTTCTTTTAAAAGCATTCCGAAATCCTTATTTACCCCAAAATACATATTATCTGTTGATTTTGAGGAATCTCTCATAAATGAACTAAGTTACAAGTCTGATAATTGTTCTTATTATGAGTTGAGACACATTATTGTGTATTTAGCTAATAATTTCTCATTTTGGTCATATGATAGTATCTGTTAATTTATTAAAAAATGGGAAAATCAGATTTTCTAGATGTCCAATATGTTTGGTGCTTCAATAGCTCTCAGAGAGTGGCTAACAGTTATAAATTTTATAACAGTATTTTAAGTATTGCAATATCAAATATAAATGTGTGAAGAAGATTGTAATTGAATTCCACTGGAGTTAAGTTTACTTATGACAATGCTGTGCCAGTGAGCAATGTAGACTGTACAGTGTGAGGAACCATCACGTTTGAGATACCATAAAACTAAGTTGGCAGGATTGCACTAATTTAGTTGCATCTGCTCTTAAGACAAGGTCAGTAGACTTTTGCCACAAAGTCAAGAGAAAGGGTATGACAAGTATTAGTCTCTGATGATTTTCATGCAGTTAGATCACCACCAACAACAAAATTAAAATTCATGATAATTATGCAAGCCTAGGGTGGAAGACTGTTTAGAGCTAATTTTAAATGGCATACCATCTTTCTGATGTTCAGACAGCAAATGTTCATATCAATCTGTTTTCTAAGAGTTGGAGATTTTATTTCCTAAAGCATAAATTCTTGTGGGTTTTGAGTTTTAATAAAAACACAATAGCAGATTTATTGATATCTCCAATATCTACTGCTTTGTGTAGCAGTAACACAGCTTGAGAAAATGAAATTAGCTCAAGAAATGGGACTGATTGGTCTACTGTTGGTTCAGGATGATGGGCTACTTCTGGCTAGCATTTTATTCATTAATTTCACACATCATTAAGTGCAATTCATTAATTTTTGCATTTCATTAAATGCAAGAAAGTTTTGCTTAATTATTTTGTGCATTTTCTCTTCTTGGAGATATTTTAATTGAAATATTAGGTAGATGAGTTAATGCATATGTTAAATAGCTTCATTTAGCCATTACTCAATGCATACAAATATGAAAACATCATTGTGTATAATATAAATATATATAATTTTTATTTGCCAATTAAAAACAAATAAAAAAGATTAGGAAAGTCAAACTAGATATTGCTACTTACAGATAAAAATAATCTGTTATTTAGTTCTACCTATCTAAGTAAGGCTACAAAACCACATCCAACAAAATTGTTTTTTGTATTTTTCTCTAACATCTGAAGACAAAAATCATAAAATTTTAAGAGTACAGGAGTTAGATTTCCTGTTATACAAAGACTTCCTTTGTCTTTGTAAATGTGTCTATGATGGGAGGAAATACAAATTTATATTCAAGACCAAAGCATGCGCAATTCTACTTGACACTTTGATTCTAATACGTTTTTGTGTTTCCTTAGTCTCTATAGCATAGAAAAGTAGAAACACATTATTTCTTGAAGATCAGCATTACCAAAATGCACTTTTTTACCTAAAGAGAAAGATGGAGAAAATGCTTAATTTTGCTGTTAAAGCTGTAAGACCTATTCTGGTTTTAAGATTGTAAAGAGTTGAATTCACCTTTTATAACTTTCTTCTTTATGCAATCACTTACTGTACCTTTTATCTACTGAAATTTAAAACAAATATTCTCTTTTAAAATGGAGTTATGGTTTAAAGTTGAGACTCTGTGAGCATAAAAACTGCTTCTGTGATATTGAAAATATTTGCCAGGTGTGGTGGCTCATGCCTGTTGTCCCAGCACTTTGTGGGGTCTGAGGCGGGAGGTTTGCTTGAGGCCAGGAGTTTGCGACCAGCCTGGGTGACGTAGTGAAACTATGTCTCTACAAAAATAAAAGTAAAAATATTAGTGAGCATGGTGGTGAGCACCTGCAGTCCCAGCTACTTGGTGAGATAATTGAGACCAGGAGTTCAAGGCTGCAGTGGGCTATTATCTCACTGCACCCCAGCCTACGTGACAACGCAAAACCCTCTCTCAAAACAAATACAGACACACAAACACACACACACAATGCTGAAATGCAAGTTACTTCTCATTAAATTAAGATTGATTTATGAGAATATTTATGGAGGGTGTATGTGTGTATGTGTGCAGGTATACGTAGACAAATTCTGATCATACCATGGTACAACCTATTATTTCTGCTTACCAGTGAGGTATTATTGTGTGCATTAACAATTCCTTAAAAATACGGAAGAGTTAGTGTCATGAAATTATGAACAAAGCAATGCAGGTTCAAGTTATGGAGAAGAGATTTATCAAATTCTGAACAGAATTGAGAAATGTATCAATATTTAAAGAATGGGACCATTGACAGACGACACATGTAACGTGAACATTGGCTATTATTCTCTTTTAACGTGATTTTGCATGCAGTGAAACTTCAAGAAGCTTGAAGCAGAAAGAAAATACACGATGATGTAACTGAGGTGAGTGATAACATATATAAAAACAGGAGAGCACCTCTGTAGCATTTCCTAGAGATAATAAACTTTGTGAACCAAAGAGCTTCTAATGAAGAAATGAAATAGAGAAACTTGAATATATCAATGTGAGCATCGCTTTATTGATATTCAAGAGTGAAGAAGCCTTGAAATATTTGCAAATGAGTGAAAGTACAGATTAACTTGTAGAAGAAAAGATTTTGTAATTCTGAAGCTGTTTCTTACAGTGATCACAACCTCCTGTTGCAGATGTTGTCCTTATTTCACATCAAGATAAGAATGAAGAAAATTATAAGGCCTCCCCTATGTTATGTTATAACATAATTGAGAAGGCCCCCTGTGTTATGTTATGTTGCCATGCTATGCTATGCTATGCTATGCTATGCTATGCTATGCTATGCTATGCTATGCTATGTTATGTTATGTTATGTTATGTTATGTTATAACATAACATAGGTGGGGCCTTCTCAATTCCATGATTGCTAGATCTGTCACTCACTAAGATGTAATCACAGTAAAATCAGCTTAGTGTTGACAGTCTCAGGTTCTCAGCCTGTGAAATGGGGCTAAGGAACCTACCTCATAAATTTGTCATAAAGAACAACATGGCAGTGTGTATAAAGAGCTTAGCAAAATGCTTTTTTGTTCATTTTGTTACTCTGTGTCACATTACTTTAAACTGACTTGTCTATGACTGTGAAAATCACTTTAAGGTAAAAACAGACCATGAATTATTTAGGGTTTCTAAGATATGGTAGAAAGGTTAAGAAAGTAGCACGTTCCTATGGGTCTGAATAATTATAAAATGTGAACACTAATAGACTATAAAGATACAGAATTGGACAGGAATAAGGCAGAGTGAGGTTTTTGGAATGGTGCTTAACTCTTTGTCAAAGGCCTCACAAAAAGACAAGCTTCATTTTAAGTCTATTCTGGGAGCTTTGTCTAACAAACATACACGCACACACACACACACACACACACACACACACACACAGACACACGGCTTTCTTGCAGATCCCTTTCCACTAAATAAAAGGCTACATAGGATTTTCCACTGAAGAGTTCTATTTTGTTCCTACCCTTAACAACACATTATGTCAGTGTCATTGCAGACCCATTGAAGTACTATACATGGTCTAATTCTCTAAAACTTACTGAGTGACAAACAGGTCTTAAAATTGAGGATCAATAATGTGAATAAACATCTCTTCTCTTGTTGACGGTGATATTCACACTTTAAAGAGTTTTACTTTTCCTGTTCACTATTTTAAGTTCAGCCAACTAACACATCAGACAACAGGGTTTAGGAAATACTAAATCCTGGACTAAGAACCCATTTAATTATTAATGACCTTTTTGGTCACAGTTGCTGTCTCATGTCTGTCTGTGTAACATTATATACAGCAAGAAGAAAATAAAAATGATTTGATTTAAAGGTGGAGTATTCAATATATGAAAAGCTGTTACAGTCACAGCAAGTTGTGATTGCTAAGTAAAGGCATGCTTGCCTACAGTTTTTTTTTTTTTTTTTTTTTTTTTTTTTTTTTTAAGACAGAGTCTCGCTTTGTTGCCCAGGCTGGAGTGCCGTGGCACAATCTCGGTTCACTGCAAGCTCCGCCTCCCAGGTTCACGCCATTCTCCTGCCTCAGCCTCCCGAGCAGCTGGGAGTAGAGGCGCCCGCCAACACGCCCGGCTAATTTTTTGTTTTTTTTTTAGTAGGGACGGGGTTTCACAGTGTTAGCCAGGATGGTCTCGATCTCCTGCCCTCGTCATCTGCCTGCCTTGGCCTCCCAAAGTGCTGAGATTACAGGCATGAGCCACTGCGCCCGGCTTCCTACACAATTGTAAAGCAATAAGTTTTATGTCATAAAGTTCTAGAAATGCCGTGGGTCACATGAACACCTTTTCAAAATGAAAATGTTATAACACAAGTTAAATTTTATATAGGCAAAGAGATATCTAGAGTATTCATATGTTATCTGCATATTTAAAGAGTTTCCAAGAATACAAGATAAATAGAACTTTATTTTCTAATAATTTTCTGCATGCTTCCACCTAAACATGCCAAAGCAGTTTGCTGCCAAATAAACATGCTGTTGACATATAGGATACCACGAACAAGTTCTGCAAAGAAGGGATGCAATATTTATTTTATGAAAAATTTTAATGTATTTGTACATATATTTAAATGAAAACTGATACTACCAGTGAAATAAATTGACAGAAAATGGCTGTATATTTTACAGGAGAATTTTAAAGACTTCTTTTTTTAATGTCAAATGAGGCTCCTAGAACTCTAGACCATCAAATAAAAACTTCACTTAAGATTTAGCTTATGAAATGTGAATTAACGTCACTCTGGCATTTCGTAATGTGGGACCCAAGGCAAGTTACCTAAATAACTTTGAGAAATATTTCCCAGATAATTAAGTGGATGCAATGATATTAAAGTCTTTCTTATAGGGATGCTTTGAGGTTTAATTGTAATAACTTTCATGTGAGTAACTACTGGGGTGCCTTATACATTTTTAATGAGAAAAATTTAAACGTTTCTCTCTTTATATATATATAGTTTATATATGCTATATATTTACACTATATATACTATATACTTATATATAGTATATACTTATATTTATATACACTTATATACGTATATATACTTATATTTATATATACAAGTATACATATATATATAAATACTATATATAATATGTATAAATACTATATATATTATATATAAATGCTATATATATTTTATATATATATATATATATATATAGTATATTTATATTTACTTTTGCAACTACCAACCGGTTTACTCAAGTAGATCTCTTCAGTTCTCTGGTTCTTCATTTTGCCAGATGTGAAGTGAGAAAGTTGGTCTATATAACCTGTAAGGTCTTTCTCATTTTAACTATAAAGTTCCAATTTATATTATTTATCTATAACATAATATTTCATTAGTAGTTTTCACTTCACTTACTGGTAAAACTTGTGTGTGTGTATATGTGTAGCTATATGTGTGTGGCCCAATGCATTTTAACGTAGTAACTCCCAGCAAAGCTTGAACTCATATTCTTGATATAAAGGGTTTCTTTCCCTTCATGATATAACCCCTCAAGATAGGTTTGTGAAGAAAAAGAAATTCAATTGTGTAATATCACAGAAGTAGAATTTTCAGAATATTTTCTTTTTATTGAAGTTGCATCAAAATTGTATATCTTCTTTAGAAACAAAAACATAATTCTCCACCATTAGGCTATATCCTCAGAGAAGCAGATGCCAGGAAAGGATAAAATGTTCAAGGAATTTATGAGAGGAAGCACGGCTGTGAGAGGAAATAGAAAGGAGACCTTAGATCTCACAACACAATTCTGACCCCACGTAAGTGAGAATAAAAAAGTGTGTTAGAGTGTCTTTCATTTTAGGGAACCTTCTTCAAATTTAGGGATTCCTTGGGCAAAGGCCCATTTTCAAAGTAGTCTAGTGTTCTAGGAAAGCAGACCATTGTCTGCTTCAGGATCTGCACTGCACTCACTCATGGGAGGCTGGTCGTAGTGCAAGCATGGCAATGTATTTTCTTTTCTTTCTTTCTTTCTTTTTTTATTTTGAGACGGAGTCTCGCTCTGTCGCCCAGGCTGGAGTGCGGTGGCGCCATCTCGGCTCACTGCAAGCTCTGCCTCCCGGGTTCACGCCATATTTTCAAGGGATGAGCCCGGGCCCTTGGTCAATTGTGCACTTGTAGGAAGAGAAGTGCCAGTGTACTCACATGGCCTCCACACTTGTTACTGATTTCCAGGACTCCCTTATTGATAGCAAAAGATCTTAGGATCGTAGAATTAGTGATGTAGACAGAGACTGGCTTGTGTCACTCTTGAGAATGGAAACATGTTAGACTTTTGTGAAAACTCCTATTGTCCGCTGGTATCATGAGAGTAAGATACATGCCACCTCACATCTAATTCAAAGGGCCAAGTGTCTACACATAGTATTAAAATTAAGCTAATATATCAGAAAGCATCCCCAATAGTTTAGCCTATCCTCTCACAGCAACCCACGTTTCAAAAATAAATAAATAAATAAATAAAAACTAGCTTTCCCCCCACCCACCTTTGAATAGTTTCCTATTCCACCACTGCTATGGTTAAAAATATTTTATATGACTACTAATATTTTGCTTCTATTACTTTCATGTTACGCCAATTCACTTACAAATGTGACCTTCAGCCAAGGTCCAGCAACAGAAAATCCTACATTGAATAACATTAGCAGCTATCATTCGTCAAATGTTGTAGTGTCTTGAACAGTTTCTAAAAGGATGCATAAAGCACAGTGTTTCTCTGTGTTGACTACACAGATCTACTAAACCCATTAAAATCCCATTTTTTTTTGGCTTTCTTGCTAAATCGTAGTATTTTTTAAATAACACATTTTACCATCAATTTTCTCTTTCTTTACTAATTGATCATATCTAAAGATGACAAATAATTAATATGATTGAATTAGAAATATTTAGAATTTTTAGACAATGGATTAAGCTTAGATGCAGCCATGATTCATAATTTAATAGTGTGATACAAGATATTTACAAGGAAAATAGCATACATTTGTAAATGGATTATTTTTTCAAATGTGAGTTTACCTTAATAATAGAATTTTTTGTAGGCGATATTTACAAGAGCTATTCTGTACTGTAATTATGCAGGGTACTGAAGAGAATGTAGTATAGATAGTACAATACAATGGAATAATCCAATATGTCTTCTTTAAATGAGAGCAGATTTCCTCTACTCTCTTTAATTTCTGTAATTTCTTCTTGCTCTGCTCCTTGGGCTTTATGAATTTTACCATGATTAAGTAAATAGATCTGACTTCCATGAGAATATTACGTAAATTTGAGGCCTTCATGATTAACTGTTTGTAAAACAAGGTATACATACAGTGAATTTGCAAAATTACTATATCATAATCATAGCTATAATAGAACAAAGTTAGCTATTTCCTTTTAACAGTCAAAAAGAGTGGTCATCTTTCAAGTCTTAATTTCCCAGTAATCTTACATCAGAGAAAAAAATCCCACAATATACTAAAAATATTTATTATTCATTAAAAAAAGAGTAGCTTTTACCTAGTATGAAATATGTAATACAAATTCAGGAAAAATATGATATAAGAATAATTAGAATATTTAGAATAATCACATCAACTATTTTTTTTTTTTTGAGACGGAGTCTCACTCTGTCGCCCAGGCTGGAGTGCAGTGGTGCAATCTCGGCTCACTGCAAGCTCCGCCTCCCGGGTTCACGCACATCAACTATTAATGCTCTTCTTGAAACCAAGTCAAAATAGAACACACACAAAAAATGAATTTCTTAAATATAGACTACCATAAAAAATTAAATATAAACTTTATGGAAAACAAAGGCTCAGCTGGTTCTATGTATGTATGGCCTTACACTTTAATTTGTATTAACTTCCCATTTTCTCTTACCTCCTCACTGGTACTTGTTTCCATGGGTGGTTTATAATTCATCATTAAGTTTAATAAAGCATATGGTTCCTTCTACATTCACAAAATGAAATGCATGTTTTGGGACTATGTAACTAAATATGAGCCTTTCCTAAGTACCAGGGTATTATTTTCAGAAATGTCTGTGAGGTTGTAGTTACAGAAACATCTCCTACAGATTATCAACACTGTCAAACACATTTAGGAAAGCAGTCAAATGGGCATAGGCAATTGTAGTAGCATAGAATGAGATTTGTCTGTATTTTTTAACTGTCAGAAAAAGAAAACTGCAGGATATTTTAGCAGTAAAAAAAGTACACATGTGATATATTCATTATTCCCCCCTTCCTGGGTTAAATATGCCACAAAGAACAAATATAATTCCATATTCTTTATCTTGTAGTGGGAAAAATATTAAACTTACTTATGCAAAGAATCAGAATTGCATATTGGATATGTAAATAGTCCTAATTCAATGCTGAATACAAGGGGGAATATGTATGTGTGTATATGTGTGTATATATATATATGTGTATACACACACACACATATATGTGTATACATATATGAGAGAGAAAGAGCAATTCTGTAAAATTGGATTGTTGGATATAAAGTTATGGACAATGTGATATGAGGCAAGTTTAAACAGAGTAAAACATGCATCATAATTTTATTACCAGGTATCGTGAAGGCATAAAATGAGACAAATAATTAAATACAAAAGGACACTTTCTAAGGCAAACAGATACAGCTTAAAACAAATTACAATAATTTAAATTATTTATCAGTCAAGAATCTACCAGCAATATTAATTTCTGAAAGTAAAAGGGGAAATAAAAGCATTCACGTAGTTGAATTTTCTTTTTTAAATTGAGATATACTTTACGTGCTGTGAAACTGACTCTTTAGATTTATAGTTCTCTGTTTTCTCAAATGCATACAGTCTTGTAAACACCAGCTCAATCAGGATACAGAAGTTACAAACCCACCCCCATTCCCTCATGCTTCTTTTTAGTAAATCCCTTTCCACAACCCCAGTCCCAGCAAATACTGATCTGTTCTTTGTCTCTATAATTTTGCCTTTCCCTGAATATTACATCAATTTAATCATACACATATGTGACCTTTGGGATTGGGCTTCTTCCACTTAGGATAAAGCATTGCAATTCACTCATGATGTTTCATGCATGTAGTTGCTGCAGTGGATACCAACTTTATATAAATGGATTCCGTAAGTTTTGTCAAAGAATCTTATCCTATAGTTTGAGGATAAGGCATGAAAGACTATATACTTAATACATTGTCTCAGATTATTTGGTGACTGAGGTCTTTGGATTGCACCGTGAGAAGCCCTGAACTAGGCAACAGGAAACAAACTTTCCTTGACTAATTCAGAAGAGAGTTTGTAGGTAGAGACAAAGGGGTACAGAGTCAACGTTCCCGGCACTCTATCCATTCTCAAATCTAATAGAACCTTGAAAAAGCAAAGGATTCTAGTCTTATTGGTCAAGGTCTCATCCACTAATAAGATCTCCTACTTTAAAGCAGGCTTTTAAAAAAAATCATTACATCACAGATTTTGCATTCAGCAAAATGTGATTATCTCGACAATAAGGCAGAGTTCATTGGTTGTAAGCAACAGGAATGCCTACAGCTACAGAAGTAAAACAGATGTGTTAGGATTATTTTGTTTGGAGTAAACTATCTAAAGCAAAAAATATAATGTATTAGCCTTTGTATCTGGGATTTCATAATTATGATTGGCAACAGGAACAACTGGACTTTGAGATTCAAATATTTACCCATTTATCACTATCTTATCCTCTCCTAACCCCATGTTATGGGTTTAACTTTGCCCCCACTCCCCAGAGAAAATAGATATACTGAAGTTCTTACCTTTAAGTACTTCATAATGTGACCTTATTTGAAAACTGAGTTGTTTCAGATGTAATGAATTAAGCTGAGTTCATGCTGAAATAGTGAGTCTTTATTCCAATAGCACTGGCGTCCTCATAAGAGGATGGCCATGTGGAACAGATACACACAGGGAGAAGACCATGCGATTACATAGACAGAGGCTGGAATTACTCAGCTGCAAGCCAAGGAATGCCAAAGATAACCAGCAAATTGTGAGAAGTGAGAGAGGGGAAAGGAGGGATACCTCTGTAGATTTCAAAGGATACATAGTTTTGAGGACATCTTAATGTTACATTTCTAGCCTCCAGAACTGTAGAAAAATAAATTTCTTTTATGCTAAAAGAAATTACCCAATTTGTGGGGCTTTGTTGGTAGCCATGTGAAACTAACATACTACATTAGTCTGTTCTTGTATTCCTGTAAATAACTACCTGAGACTGGATAATTTATAAAGAAAAGAGGTTTAATTGTCTCATGGTTCCACAGGCTATACAGAAACCGGGACTGTGGAGGCCTCAGGAAACTTACAATCGTGGTGGAAGGCGAAGGTTAAGGAAGCATGTCCCACATTGCTGCAGTAGGAGAGAGAGAAAATTGGGAAGTCTACACATGTTTAAACAACCATATCTCCTGAGAACTCACTATCATGAGAACAGCAGTGAGGAAACTTGCCCCATGATCCAATCACCTCACAGCACACTCCTCCTTCAATGTTGAAAATTACAGTTTGACACAAGATTTGGATGGGGACACAGACCCAAACCATATAATTCTGCTCCTGGTCACTCCAAAATCTCATGTGCTTCTCACAATTTCAAAACACAATCATGCCTTCCCAACAGCCCCCAAAGTCTTAGCACATTCTAGCGTTAACTCAAAAGTCCAAATTCAAAGTCTCATCTAAGATAAGGCAAATATCTTCCGCCTATGAGCCTGTAAAATAAAAACTAGTTACTTCCAAGATACAATGGGGGTAAAGGCTTTTGGTAAATGCACCCATTCCAAAAGGGAGAAATTGGCCAAAACAAAGGGGCAACAGTTCCGCTGCAAGTCGGAAGCCGAGCAGGGCAGTCAATAAATCTTAAAGCTCCAAAATAATCTCCTTTGACTCTATGTCTCACATCCAGGTCACACTGTTGCAAGAGGTGGGCTCCCATGGTGTTGGGCAGCTCCACCCCTGTGGCTTTGGAGGGTATAGACTTCCTCACAGCTGCTTTCACAAGCTGGCATTGAGTGCCTTTTGCTTTTCCAGGCACATAGAGCAAGCTGTCAGTGTATCTACCATTCTGGGGTCTGAAGGATGGTGGACCTCTTTTTACAACTACACTAGGTAGTGCCCCAGTGGGGACTCTGTGTAGGGGCCCTAACCCCACATTTCCCCTTCTGCAATGCCCTAGTAGAGGTTCTCCTTGAGGGCTCTGCCCCTGAGGCAAACCTCTGCCTGGATATCCAGGCATTTCCATATGTCCTCTGAAATCTAGGCAGAGGTTCCTAAGCCTCAGTTCCTGCCCTCTGCTCCCACACAGACTTAACACCATGCGGAAACTGCCAAGGCTTGCAGCTTGCATGCTTTGGAACAGCAGCCTAAGTCATGTCTGGGTCCCTTTTAGCCATCGCCAGAACTGGCGTGGCTGGGACACAGGGAACAGTGTCCTGATGTTGCACAGGAAAGAAGTGCCCTGGGCCCAGCCTGCAAAACCATTCTTCCCTCCTACGCCTCCAGGCCTTTGGTGGGAGGGCTTGCTGTGAAGGTCTCCAAAATTCTTTTGAGGTATTTCCCCCATTTTCTTGGCTATTAACATTTGGTTACTCTTTACTTATGCAATTTTCCACAACTGGCTTGAATTTCTCCCTACAAAATGTGTTTTTTTCTTTTCTACCACATGGTCAGGCTGAAAATTTTCCAAACTTTTATGGTCTGCTTCCCTTTTAAACATAAGTTCCAATTTCAGAAAATCTTTTTCTGAATTCATATGACTGTACACTGTTAGGAACAGCCAGGTCACATCTTGAATGCTTTCTGCTTAGAAATTTCTTCCCCCAGATACTCTAAATAATCTCTCTCAAGTTCAAAGTTCCACGGATCTAGGGCAGGGACAAAATGCCTCCATTCTCTTTGCTAAAGCATAGCAAGAGTGACGATTATTCCAGTTCCCAATAAGTTCCTCATCTCTATCTGAGACCACCTCAGCCTGGACTTCATTGTCCATATCACTATCAGCATTTCAGTCGCAACAATTTAACAAGTCTCTAGGAAGTTGAATTTCCAAATTTTCCCTCATTTTCCTGTGTTCTTCTGAGCCCTCCAAACTTTTCCAACATCTGCCCATTACCCAGTTCCAAAGCTGCTTCCATATTTTCCAGTATCTTTACAGCAATAGCCTACTTTTCTGGCATCAATTTTCTATATTAGTTCATTCTCACACTGCTACAAAGACATACCCAAGACTGGGTAATTTATGAAGAAAAGAAGTTTAATTTTCTCATGGTTCCTCAGGCTGTACAGGAAGCATGGCTGGGGTGGCCTCAGGAAACTTACAATCATGGTGGAAGACTGAGCGAAAGAAGACACATCCTACATGGCTGGAGCCAGAAGAAGAGAGACCAAAGGAGGTGCTACACACTTTCCAACAACCATATCTTGTGGAAACTCACTCACTATCATAAGAAAAACAAAGGGGACGTCTACCTCCATAAATAAATCACCTCCCATCAGGACCCCCCTCCAACAATGAGGATTACCATTTGTCATGAGATGTGGGTGGGTACACAGAGCCAAACCATATCACATGCCCCAATACAAATAACCTGATTTTTTTTCTAAATTAGCTTTATTTTTCATGTACTGATTTCCTTCATGAAGCAGAGAGATGGGAGACAAAATCATATAATGTTCCAGGTTTACACTCTCTTGGTTTTTGTTTTTGTTTTGTTTTGGACTCTATAGAGAACTATTTCTTACATCTGGTCTCTGTATATAAAATTCCGGGGGAAAGACTAAGATCGGTCAGTAAATGTCAATGTGGGAAAGAAGTATGGTGATTGACACGACTGGGATGCTTACTTTCCCCTGTGGCAAAATGGAAAGATTTACAATCCCTTTGAGAGCCACATGGAACAGAGGTGTGTAATAATGAGGATAAAATTTTAGTGGGATTTATAAATAATTGCATTCTTATTGTGGGAGATTTATTGACATTTAAAGTAGAGATAGGCAGGTACATATATCTGCACAGTCAGTCCTCTGTATCCATTGGTGCTTCATCTGTGGCTTCAAAATATTCAGAGGAAAAACAAAGTGTCCATGCTGAACACAAACAAACCTTTTTTGTCCTTATTCTATTAACAATTATTTATATTTGATTACATATCATACATGATCTAGGGATAATTTAAAATATACAGGAGTACGTGCATAGATTATATGCAACATTTTACATAAGGAAGTTGAGGATCCACTAAGTTTAGTGTTGGCAGCATCCTGGAACCATTCCTCCATGGATACCAAAGGACAACTGTATATATATATCTATATAGGTAAATAAACAGACACATATACAACAGTAAAACAAACACATTTATTCAACTTTCTAAACTTCTCTATGACTCAGTTGTTCTGAAAATCAAGTGAGTTAATATGTGTTCCCGTGGAAGAATATCTGAGATATAGTATGTTAAACAACTGGTAACTCATTTAACAGTAGTAGTAAAGATTGTTGAACATCAAGAAATATGAGAAGATAGGGATTAATTTTGAAAATTACCATAATCAAAAAGAAACATTAATTCACGCACAGCAATATATTTGTGTAAATCGTCAAATACCATCAACTCATTGGTAACAAATAAACATTCATCTTAAAATGATTTGTGTAAATATATAAGAACATTTTTCTAAATGTTAGTCAAATAAGTGAGAGGTAAATAAGATGCCACTAATCACACATTAAAATGACAATAGTAATAATCATTGCGAGTATTAAGTATCTGTAATGCCATGGGAACTCTCACACGCTGCTAGTGGGGTTGTAAAAATGGTGCAACCACTTTAATAAACTATTTGCCAGTTTCTAGAAAGTTAAATCCATCCTTAATATATGACCTTGCATTTCTACTTCTCAATTTTGATTAAAGAGAAATGAAATGTATGTCCACAAAAATATTTGTACATGAAAGTTTACAAACAGTTTATTAAAATAATCAAAAACTGGAAAAACATAATGTCCATCAGCAGGAAAATAAGAAAACTGTGACAAATCTATATATAAGGAAACACTTCTCAGCAATCATATGATACAAACTACAGATACACACCACAATATGAATGAGCATCAAAAACATTTTGCTGAGTAAAAGAAATAAGAAAAAACTTCATACGGTTTGATATATATTAAATCATAAAAAAGCAAGACTAATCTATAGTGTCAGAAAAAAAGCTCACTTGTTGCCTGAATGCCAGAGTGTGAAAATATTTACTGGAAATAGGAATGAGGATACATTTGGTATAATAGAAAAGTTCTATATCCTGATTGTGTTCATGGCTACATGGGTATATGCATTTGATAAAATAATTGGCCTACCGGGCGTAGTGGCTCATGCCTGTAATCCCAGCACTTTGGGAGGCTGAGGCAGACAGATCACGAGGTCAGAAGTTCAAGACCAGCCTGACCAACATGGTGAAACCCCGTCTCTACTAAAAATACAAAAATTAGCTGGGCATGGT
Organism: Homo sapiens; assembly: GCF_000001405.40. Taxonomy (NCBI): domain Eukaryota; kingdom Metazoa; phylum Chordata; class Mammalia; order Primates; family Hominidae; genus Homo; species Homo sapiens. The sequence goes on along the minus strand of NC_000021.9, from coordinate 22,284,486 downwards.
GGTGCACACCTGTAATCCCAGCTACTCAGGAGGCTGAGGCAGGAGAATAGCTTGAACCCAGGAGACGGAGGTTGCAGTGGGTTGATATTGTGCCACTACACTCCAGCCTGGTGAAGGAGCAAGACTCTGTCTAAAAAAAAAATACATTGGCCTGTACACTTAAAAGTGCATTGCATTGTATATCATTGTATTGTATATCATGTAAACCTCAATACATGACACAATGTAGAAATATACCCAATATTAAATATTAAGTATGGTAAATGATTATAACTTAACGTTTATTTTCCCCATGATGAACAAGAAAATATTGGGCTTGATGATAATCATTCTTATTGGATAGAAAAATTATTCTGTAAGGCAAATTATGAATACATACACCTTCATTTGCTTTACTAGTAAACATTACCTGATCCCATAGCTTTTTAAGGTATTCCTGAAAGTTTATCAAAAATTTCCTTAAATATTTTAGAAATTTGTTCACAGTATTTCTGTTCTTTTCTCTTTTATGTTGATGAAGGTTACGAGACAACCACATTTTGAGACAACAGTAGTCTTTTGAGGATTGACATTGTAGTAGCCTTTCTTCCTGTAAGGGGAAGAGTACTGGTTTTCATATCTCTATGACTAACTCCACTTCAATCATATTTCAAAACATTTTTTATACCTCCAAGGAGAGTAGTAAACATGTTATAACTCTATCGAGAAGGCCAAATAATCATGACAATGAAGTACAACATTGAGTGTCATGCATGCGTTGAGAGTTCCCTGGGGCCTTTCCAATACAAATCATCTCTGTTTTCTCCTCAAAACCTGAAGAGGCTGAGATTTGAAATAAGGAGTCAATATTAAGGAGAAAACATTACCTCTGTTATGATAGAACTAGGTAGGAGGACATATGTTAGCGTAAAAACTAACTGACCCCTTGAATTTACAAGTAAGGAAACTTAGCCAAGCTGTCAGAGGTAGTACTGGTATAAGTCAACAAGGCTTAGAGACCAGCATAGCAAATAAAAATCACATATTCTCTGTGGTCAGGCTGGATCCCAGAGAAAAACAGCTGCACCAGTTATTTATCTCAAATTTCCAAATCATATGTTTGGAAAATAGAGTAGATAAAAAAGAAAAAAAGGCTGGGTGCAGTGGCTCATGCCTGTAACCCCCGCACCTTGGGAAGCTGAGGCAGTTGGATCACCTGAGTTCAGGAGTTCGAGACCAGCCTGACCAACATGGTGAAACCCCGTCTCTACTAAAAATACAAAAAGTAGCCAGGTGTGCTGGTGGGCGCCTGTAATCCCAGGTACTTGGGAGGCTGAGGCAGGAGAATCACTTCAACCCAGGAGATGGAAGTTGCAGTGAGCTAAGATTGTGCCACTGTACTCCAGCCTGGGCCACAAGAGTGAGACTTCATCTCAAAAAAAAAAAAAAAAAAAGAAAAGAAGGAAAGTAGAAGAAAACCTTGGGACTGATAAAATTTCATTCTCCCAATGTAGACTATATTTATCTTCTCTACCAGATAAAGTCTCCACGATGCTTCAGCATCTTGATTATGTCCCAGGAGACTGAACTTATGAACGAAATCAACAGGGATTTTTTTGCCCTTTATTTCACTAAGTTTAGCTGATGGGAGTTTAGGGGAGGCAAAATTTTATCCTTATCCTCTTGGAGTCTCTGGCTGGCGACTGAGAATTAAATTGACGTAAGTTATATTAGCAAAATAAAAGCATACATATTCTTGTATGTACATGGAATCCCACACAGGAAAATGAAGACACAAAGAAGCAGTAGAATCAAATGCTTATATACTAAGTAAGACAGAGTAGTGAATTATGAAAATGTGACAAGACAGAGGGGCTTGGACTAGGACAGTTAATTATGGAGAAGTGACTACAAAGATAAAAGTTGGCTTAATAAGACTTATTTGCACAGATTTTCCTGGGCCTCAACTCCCTGTTTCTGGTGATAAGATGGTTCATCTTATCTCACATCTCACCATGTGAGAGAGAGAGAGAGAGAGAGAGAGAATGTGTGTTTCCTACGGGTACAAGAAGGGTATCTTTCACTTGACAGTTTCATCTCCTATTTTCAGGAAGAAAATAACACATCAGAGTTCTTGTCTTGCATTTGTTATTTTTCAAGTGCCTTTAACTCAAAGTAATTTTTATGCCAAATGACATATTTTGGGGTAGCATATTCTGCCACCTGCAAAGGTGATACTGATAGGATATGGGATAATAGAAATAGGGCGATGAGGGTGGCCAGTGGCCGTTTCTCTCCAAAGCCTAAAGCTATTGTTGGGTGATTTTTCTAAAGCCCAGGCTCCTGGCTTCCCTCTGGATTAAAACTTATTTTACCCTTTGACTCTTCTGTCCTATGGATGGTAACTTCTCTCTTAGTTTGTTGTATCCCTGGCCACTCAAGTCAATTATTCCTTCTTTAAACTTTTCATAATTGCCTATTAGAGAGTCCCATCTGTGTTTTTCCCAGTTGATACATTAAAATGGCAATTTGTTCCTGGTTCTCCTCATTATAACACAATCAAATTCTAACATTCAGGGACGCTTAAGATCCCCTTATTATTCTTATGGCAGAAGAAGAAGAACTGACACCACAAACCCTAGTAAACACATAGAAATTTAAATAATTGACAGAACATGAAAATATACCAATGGAGACCAGGTTATAAATATGAGTGGTTTATTATTTGGTGTCAAATAAGGAAAATGTAAAATTATTTTTAAAAATCAGTTTAGTCTTCTTACAGTTGGCTTCTAGTCGTGATATGTTAATAATTGATAATTGCTGTAGACAACATCAGTGTTTTCTGGATATTTTTATCTAGCCAGTTCTAGGAAAAGAAAACAATGCAACTTTGGAGGACATTTTCTTATACATGATTTTCTGGTACAAGAAGTGTGAATATCAGTCATTTAAAACCACAAATTCATTAAGATACATTTTTGAGCCAGTTTATAGAAAATTTCATAGAAAAGAAAAGGTTATTTCATATGATACTTTCCAGTTCTTTAGTTATGATATCTTATTATTTTAAAATATGTATTTTTCTTATCAGACATTTTCCCACAGAAAAAATCATTTAATAGACACAGAAGGCCAATAAAACAATATCTCTTGTTTTTGCCACACCACCTACAATATGGTTAGAATGATAAAAACTTCACGCCAAATACAGATAAAAGTAAAGAACATTTTTATTGACAAAAAGACATTTTAAGTACTTTGTAAATTTTAAACAACGCTAGATATGTGTCAATTTCCATCTCCTTAAGGCAGTTTCAATTTGAACATTATCAAATCATGCAGGTTGTGTCTCCCTTCTAGTCTACAGTTAAATAAAATTGTTTCATTACCATATCCACTGCTAAATTGCATGAAACATTAGCATCTGTTCAGAAGTGAAACTCTCCCTGGGGCCGTGTACTGGAGAACTCTGTGTGTCCCTATGAATCTGAGAAAAGACTTCAGATCCCTGAAATGTCTCCAAAGTAATTTACTTTTTAGCAGTGGGAAGCCTTAGTCTAAGGAACTGAACTCTTTGAAAAGCTTTCAGTTTAATTATAAAGATTAGTTATTCCCATCCTAGTCAACATTTAAAGCAGCATTTTCTGTTCTGTAATTATACCCCAAAATGATTTACTTATTAGGTGAGGTAGACTGATGTGTACATTTATTAGAGGAGTCATCAGAAGTCAAAGAAACAGTATTGTATCTTTAGTTGTCAAAGTCTTCTTTGACAAGTTAAACATATTGTTTTGCTTAGTTGTTAAAAGTAAAAAAAGACGGTAAACTAGAGAAGTGGCAGAAAAGATAAATATGTAATTAAAAAAGTAGAAGAAGAGGTTTTATGCAGCAGGTAGTCAGACTGTTTAAGAAATCATCAAAATTGATATCAGAAAAGGATACTTTCTTGCAAGTCTAATATTAGCTAACAGCATGATCTTTAGCAAGTAAATTTTTGTATTCTTTGAGGTTTCTTTCTCATCTACATGAAGAAAAACTGTTGTAGATTATTTCTCACATTGTGCTCAGCTGTTTCATTCTGTATTGTTACTGGGAATTAAGTTATTAAAAGGCAACAAGCTCCAAAATGAGGAAGAAAGGAAACTTATCTGAGAAATGGGAGCCTTTAAATTATCAGATCCAGACAGGCACTGGAATGAGACAACAGCCATGTTTTGCTCCCTTGCCTTGAGTTAAGTATTCATCTCCAGAAGCTGCTTGCTATGTGGGCTCTAGGCTGATGCCACAAGTTGCTAGAAATTAATCTAACAATGCTGCATACTGGACACCATAATTCATACCCTATGTTCAACAATGTATAGTCAATCACTAATTAATGTTATTTCTGTAAACCAATGATAATTTCTGACAAACAACCTTGTTTCAGTCCACTTCTTTCCCTGCTTTCTTTAAAAACATGCTTGTAACAAAAGCTGAAAAATGCACTTCACAAGGTGTTATGGTTTGGCTGTGTCCCCACCCAAAGCTCAAGGGCAGAACCAGGTGGAGACAATTGAATCATGGGGGCGATTTCCCCCATACCTGTTCTCGTGGTAGTGAATACGTCTCATGAGATCTGATGGTTTTATAAATGAGGGTTCTCCTACATATGCTCTCTTGACTGCCACCATGTAAGATGTGCCTTTGCTTCTCCTTTGCCTTCCACCATGATTGCGAGGCCTCCCTAGCTATGTGGTACTGTGAGTCCATTAAACTACTTTCCTTTATAAATTACCCAGTCTCGGGTAGGTCTTTATTAGCAGTGTGAAACCAGACTAATACACGAGGTAACCCGGAAGTGTTTCATAGGCAGCTGTCCTCACTTTGGCTCAAGTAAACTCCAAAATTTTATTTTGTCACTCAATTTCATTATTTAGATCAACATTTCTGACACTGCAAGCAGGGTTCAGAGCAATCCATCCCACCATGCAACACTCTTTCTGGACTTGATGCCTGGTCACCTAGAACCCCTTGTGTTCTGCCTCTGACAGCATTATCCAGTGTAAGGAATGAGTCCTTCTGGATTCTGACCTCCCTACTCTTTGATGATGTCTAGACTTTTCTTTATCTGTCTATTCCAACCCTCCCTTTCTAGAATGGAGGTTTCCATCTGGTATATTTGGGTCTCAGGAACAAAACAAAAACAAAAAAGCTGCCTTTTCTACCTTTGCCTTTGGCCAGAAGTTTGGCTTATTGGTTAAACAGTGAACACTGATGGATTTTCTCTATCTGAACAATTGTTTTGAAGTAATGCTTTTCTGGACCTGCTTTATTTCTTATTGTAACCAAATTCTGCCCCTGTATTTTATGAGGCTTATTTTCTATTCAAAAGAGAAGAGGCAATTGCTCCCCCGACCCATTTGGGTGCTCTAGGAGACTACAGACTTTGCAGAGGGGCCTCAACATTTGGCTGTGATGTATAGCAGCCTTATAGGGCTTCCCTGAAAAAAGAAAACCTGGAGGGACTTTCAGCTCAGCCAGAAAGTGCACATAAGAGTTGGTCACCTGGCACTCTGAGCACTCTGCCACTGCCACTGTAATTAGCCAGAAATTCTGAGACACCCAATATAGCAATTCATGATGTTTAGGTGACGCTCTGGGGAGTGATGCTCATAGGCAGCATACTTTGACCCAAAGCATGTTTTCAGCCTTGGACGCTTTCCAAAAGTTCTTAAATTATGGAAAATCAAGCTTCAAAATATGAGCACTTTTTAAAGGGATGATCTCCTTTAAAAACACCATTTGGTTTTATGTAAAATACTTAAAGAGTGTTCTTTTGTAAATATCTAGAAAAATGGACCCCCATGGCCCAGGTTGGTGATAAGCTACAGTGGCTGAAATGTGGGTCTTTTGAAATGCTTACAAAATTATTTGCATGTACAACCGGAAAAACTGGTTTTAAAACCAGAAATATTGAATGAGAGACTCACTTCTAATGGCAGGTAGAAGCTTCTAAAAAGGTTGAAAAAATTGCCTCCATTCAGGAGATAAAGAAAAAGATATCTGAGACTATTTCTGAATTAAAAAGGACTTCACTTAGGAGACCTTCTTCTCCCTTCCACCTCCACTGCTCCTTCTCCACCCACGCCTGAACCTTTATATCTTCTTGTATCTAAACTTTCCTGTCCTTACTTGCCTTCAATTCTATCTCCCTGACCACCTGAGGAAATTTTCTACATCTCTGACATCCTTTCTGAAACTCCTATTTTTGCAGCCCCTTTCAAGGTAAAACCTGCAGAAAGATGTGAGCCTCCTATTATGCACACCCGTTGGACAAAGACTGAACTTAAGAATAGTATAAAAGACTTCCCAGAGCTTCTCCAAGATCCCATAGTGTTTGCAAAAAAAAAAAAAAAAAATTCATTTAATTGTCAGGACATAAGAACACAGATAGTCTGACTTTTATCAATTAGTTCACACGCTGGCATCAAAAGACAGGGCCACTGAATGGTTGAAAATGGCAAGCTTAGAACAATACCTCATAGGATGTTTTAAAAAAAGACTGAAGCCAACCATGAAGGTGTCTACACCTTAGCCCAGGCTCTTTGTGATGCCATTCTCCAGACCTTTCCAAATAATGTAGCTTTGAGGAGAATTAATCAATGCTCTAAAAAGCCAGATGAATCTGTGCTGGATTATTTTGAACAGCTTGAAAAAAAAAAACATTTAAACAATATTCTGAAATGCCTGATGCTAGCCTCCAAGGTCATCAGAATGATTTTCTTATAAATTCTGCTTTCTTCAATGGCTTACATGAAGACTTGGTTACCTTATTTAAATAATACCATCTTAACTTTGCAGATATACAAACCCATAACTTAGGAAGTGTGGGAGATCAACTTTCTAAAACTATTCAGAAAGAAGAAAAAACTAAGGTCTCAAAGATGTATTAGGAGAAATGGAAATTTCCACAAATGGAAAACAGATGTGTACCCTCATAGACACTGAGGCTACTCTCTCTGTTCTCAGCCCTACCACTTTAAACTGTCTCCTTTCTTAGAGTAATAAAACTGTAAGAAATGGTAGCGGTATCTAATGAACCTATGACTGTATATAAGTCCAAACCCTGAGAATTTTAAGTAAGCTCATTTAGTGGCCTTCATTCCCTTCGGCCTGTTGCCTTGGCTCCCATACATCTCTTGGGCAGAGATTTTTTTTGGAATTTCATAATACACTAATTTCCTTCTCACAAAAGGGGGAAATATAGTTAAATTTGGAATAGAAGGAGCAAATGGAACAACTACAGACTAAGAATGAAAACACTAAAATTATAAAAAATATAGTTCAAACAATTTTTTTTCTGAACTGGGACTAATGAATGACATTGATGGCTTATTGCAAGCTTTGCCAGACCACTTTTCATCCCAATCTTCTACTTACTTTGGTAAAATATATTAATCCACCCTCAGTAAAGTAGAAGTAAACCTTATTAAACCTTTACCAGACAATATCCTCTAAGGCCTAGAGCAATTGAAGGAATCAGACCCATAATAAAAGATATATTTAAAATGGTCTAATTATTTCTTGCACCAGCCAATGTAATACTCTGATCCTTTCTGTAAGGAAGCCAAACAGGAGGGGCTGGACTTTTGTATAACATTTGAGAACTGTCAAGAACATTGTGATCCCAAGACATCTGGTGGTACCAAAAGCCCATATTCTTTTGGCAGCAGTCCTTACTGAAAGTTGTATATATATACATACCATGGTTGATTTATGCAGTGTTTCCTTTGATATTCCAGTAGGCCCATGGAGTCAATACTCACTTGCTTTTACTTGAGATGACTACCAGTATACCTGGACCATCATGCCCCAAGGTTATACTGAGAGCAATTCCTGTATTTTTTCAAATCTTGAAATCTAAGTTGGTTAATGTACATTTGTTAGGGCAGAGGTCCCCAAAATTTTTGGCACCAGAGATCAATTTCCCAGAAGCCAAGTTTTCCATGGACTGGCGGTGGGGCGTGGTGGGGGTTGTGGATGGCTTCAGGATGAAACTGCTCCACCTCAGATCATTAGGCATTAGTTAGATTATCACAAGCAGCACACAACCTCAAACCCTCTCATGCACAGTTCACAATAGGGTTTGCGCCTCTGTAAAAATCTAATGTGGCCAGTGATCTGACAGGAGGTAGAGCTCAGATGGTAATACTTACTCTCCTGCCACTCACCTCCTGCTGTCTGGCACAGTTGCTAACAGGCCATCGACCATTACCAGTTCATGACCCAGGGACTGGGGACCCCTGTACTAGAGGGAATGTATGCTCATCTAATGTGTAGATGGTGTCCTTCTTTATTCCCTGAATATGCAAACCTCTAAGAATGACAGCATGCATCTATGAAAACAATTGTCATTTAAGGGACACAAAATTTCTAAAGAGAAACTCCAATTTTGCTAGATGCAGGTAAAATACACGAGACACTTGATTTGTAACAAAGGCTTGCTGAAGGATTAAACGAATTCTAGCCTTCCCTACGCATTCAAAAAAGAAGCAAGGATTTCTGGAATTGGCTGGACACTGTTGGAATTGGATACCTATTTTTTTAATAGCTCAGCCTTTACATACCCTCTTGATAGTGAACCAGCCTGATTCTCTTGTTTGGACTCCAGAGGGAATGAAAGCCATACAATTTATCAAGTCTTGCAACTTTCTGTGCTTTAGGGCCTCTCGACTATAGCCTTCAGTTTTCTGTGTTCATTGATGAAGATCAGGGAAACACCTTAGGAGTCCTAACACAGAAACATGGGGAACAAAATAGACCTGCTAGATACTACAGCCAGCAACTTGATGCAGTGGCTACAGGGATACCACCATGCTTAAGAGCAATCTCTGCCGTCACTTTGCCCTTTAAGGCTATTGAAGAAATAGTTAGGGAATCCCCTTTTACCATTTGTACTCTGCTGTTTGGAAATTCTTCTGAACTCACATCACACCCAACATTACTCTGTTAAATGACTGGCTTCCTATAAAGCTCTTCTTTTGTCCTCACCTAATGTTAATATTTTGCTATAACAATCTTAACCCAGCAAATCTCTTGCCCTTGCCTACTGAGAGGATGCCATATGATTGCATCACTCTTTCTGACTGATAGACAGGACCTAAGAGAGATGCCCATAAATAATGCCAGTATAATATGGCTCACTGATGATTGTAATTTGAAAGATGAAATCTGAAAAATTTTGGGCTAGTTATGCCATAGTATCACTAACTGAGGTTATAGAGGATAATCCTCTTCCATATATAAAATTGGCTCAGTTGGTAGAATTGATTGCTCTAACTTGAGTTTGTCAGTTGGCAAAGAATAACATGGCTAACATTTGTGCTCACAGCAGATATGCATTCACGGTAGCTTATGGTTTGAGGGATGCTTTGGAAGCAACACAGGTTCTGACCTCTTCAGGTCAATTCACCAAAATTGTCAACAAATTTTCGACCTCTTGGAAGTAATCCAAACCCCAAATATCTAGCCATCATTAAAGTTCTTGGTCATTCAAAACTAGATATTCCAGAAAGTAAAGGAAACCATTTCACTGATGCTGTAGCTAAGAATGAAGCCTTGAGGGTTATGTTAGACAATAAATGCTTTGAAATGTCCTTACAGACTTATTACCCATTAAAGTTTTATTTAAGAAACCACAAACAACAGCCCTCAGAAGAAAATAGACGACTGGAAAAATAAAAAAGGCAAATTTTTCCCAGAATTAGGCTCATGGTGTGGATAAACTGATCTTTCCTTTAGGATTTCAATTACCTTTTTGCATTTGAATCCGGACATAATAATAGCAAGGGGGAAAGCCATATTATTGAAAACTACCCACTACTGTTGCACAGGTTTTTTCTTACTGTAGTGTTTGTCCCAAACAATCCTGGAAAATCCTTTCATGGGTCATGTGGACATTTTCATTTACCTGTAGGACCCTTTAAGTTACAACAATTACTCTTTGCCCAGCTGCCTCCATCTCAGGGTTATGGGTATGTTTTTGTGGTAATTTGTTTGTTCTCTCATTGTATTGACGCATTCTTATGCTGACAAACTATGGCTTAAGCAGTAAGTAAATTGTTATTAGAAAAGATAATTGCTACATGAGGAGTTTTATCTCAGCTCCATAGTGACTGAGAAACATGCTTTACTGGTCAAGTAATTTGATCCATTTGCAACATTTTGCCTATTTTCCAACACTTTCTTTGTACCAATCACTGTCATCTCCCCCAATAGCCCACATCCTCTGGACTGGTGGAACACACCAATGGCATAGTAAAACCTCAACTGGCAAAACTAACAGAAGTTTTTAACACTACCTGGCCACAGGCTCTCCCATCAGTCCTGCTCAAACTATGATTGCCTCATTTGGAAAACACCAGCTCTTTTCTTTTGAAATAATAGCAAGGAAGCCTATGAAACTAGATGAAGGAACTCATGAGCCTACACTTTTTCTTCTTTTTTTTTTATACTTTAAGTTCTAGGGTACATGTGCACAACGTGCAGGTTTGACACATAGGTATACATGTGTCATGTTGGTTTGCTGCACCCATCAACTCATCATTTACATTAGGTATTTCTCCTAATGCCATCCCTCCCCCAGCCACCTACCCCTGACAGGGCCAAGTGTGTGATGCTCCCCGCCCTGTGTCCAAGTGATCTTATTGTTCGATTCCCACCTATGAGTGAGAACATGCAGTGTTTGGTTTTCTGTCCTTGTGATAGTTTGCTCAGAATGATGGTTTCCAGTTTCATCCATGTCCCTGCAAAGGATATGAACTCATCCTTTTTTTATGTCTGCATAGTATTCCATGGTGTATATGTGCCACATTTTCTTAATCCAGTCTATCATTGATGGACATTTGGGTTGGTTCCAAGTCTTTGCTACTGTGAAAAGTGCCGCAATAAACACACGTGTACATGTGTCTTTATAGTAGCACGATTTATAATCGTTTGGGTATATACCCAGTAATGAGATTGCTGTATCAAATGGTAATTCTAGTTCTAGATCCTTGAGGAGTCTCCACACTGTCTTCCACAATGGTTGAACCGATTTACACTCCCACCAACAGTGTAAAAGCGTTCTTATTTCTCCACATCCTCTCCAGCACCTGTTGCTTCCTAACTTATTAAAGATTGCCATTCTAACTGGCATGAGATTGTATCTCATTGTGGTTTTGATTTGCATTTCTCTGATGACCAGTGATGATGAGCATTTTTTCATGTGTCTGTTGGCTGCATAGATGTCTTCTTTCGAGAAGTGTCTGTTCATATCCTTTGCCCACTTGTTGATGGGGTTGTTTCTTTCTTGTAAATTTGTTTGAGTTCTTTGTAGATTCTGGATATTAGCCCTTTGTCAGATGGGTAGATTGCAAAAAATTTCTCCCATTCTGCAGGTTGCCTGTTCACTCTGATGGTAGTTTCTTTTGCCATGCAGAAGCTCTTTAGTTTAATTAGATCCCATTTGTCTATTTTGGCTTTTGTTGCCATTGCTTTTGGTGTTTTAATCATGAAGTCCTTGCCCATGCCTATGTCCTGAATGGTATTGCCCAGGTTTTCTTCTAGGGTTTTTATGGTTTTAGGTCTAACATTTAAGTCTTTAATCCATCTTGAATTAATTTTTATGTAAGGTATAAGGAAGGGATCCAGTTTCAGCTTTCTACATATGGCTAGCCAGTTTTCCCAGTACCATTTATTAAATACGGAATACTTTCCCCATTTATTGTTTTTGTCAGGTTTGTCAAAGATCAGATGGTTGTAGATGTGTGGCATTGTTTCTGAGGCCTCTGTTCTGTCCCATCGGTCTATATATCTGTTTTGGTACCAGTACCCTGTTGTTTTTGTTACCATAGCTTTGTAGTATAGTTTGAAGTCATGCAGAAAAGGCCTTTGACAAAATTCAACAGCCCTTCATGCTAAAAACTCTCAATAAACTAGGTATTGATGGAACATATCTCAAAATAATAAGAGCTATTTATGACAAACCCACAGCCAATATCATACTAAATGGGCAAAACTGGAAGCATTCCCTTTGAATACTGGCACAAGACAAGGATGCCCTCTCTCACCACTCCTATTCAACATAGCGTTGGAAGTTCTGGCCAGGGCAATCAGGCAAGAGAAAGAAATAAAGGGTATTCAATTAGAAAATGAGGAAATCAAATTGTCCCTGTTTGCAGATGACATGATTGTATATTTAGAAAACCCCATCATCTCAGCCCAAAATCTCCTTATGCTGCTCAGCAACTTCAGCAAAGTCTCAGGATACAAAATCAATGTGCAAAAATCACAAGCATTCCTATACACCATTAACAGACAAACAGAGAGCCAAATCACGAGTGAACTCCCACTCACAATTGCTACAAAGAGAATAAAATACCTAGGAATCCAACTTACAAGGGATTTGAAGGACCTCTTCAAGAAGAACTGCAAACCACTGCTCAATGAAATAAAAGAGGACACAAACAAATGGAAGAATAAGAATACTCCATGCTCATGGATAGGAAGATTCAATATCGTGAAAATGACCATACTGCCCAAAGTAATTTATAGATTCAATGCCATTCCCATTAAGCTACCAATGACTTTCTTCACAGAACTGGAAAAAAAAAAAACTACTTTAAATTTCATATGGAACCAAAAAAAAGCCCACGTTGCCAAGATGATCTTAAGCAAAACGAACAGAGCCTATACTTCTTAAAGGTGATATCCTCGATTATTGCCAAGGTCTCACAAAACTTCTCACTAAGAACTCCAAATTAAATATTTATTTCACAGTGAGGTTCTGGGAGATGAAGACCTAAAAAGCATGGCCTACAACTTGGAGATTTCATTTACTGGAGACAATCCTAAGTAAAAGATTCCCTCTAACACCATTGGAATGGACCATATCAGGTATTGTAGACCAATTCCTGTGCTGCTAGATTTAAGGACATTGACTTATGGATTCATGTTTCTCATTAGAAAAGGTAACCCCAGCCAGGTGCAGTGGCTGACACCTGTAATCTCAGCATTTTAGGAGGCCAAGGTGGGTGGATTGCTTGAGGTCAGGAGTTCGAGACCAGCCTGACCAACAGAGTGAAACCCCGTGTCTACAAAAAATACAAAAAATTAGCCAAGTGTGGTGGTGGGCGCCTGTAGTCCTAGCTGCTTGGGAGGCTGAGGCAGGAGAATCACTTGAACCCAGGAGGTGGAGGATGCAGTGAGCCAAGATCTCGCCACTCCACTCCAACCTGACGACAGAGCAAGACTCTGTCTCAATAAAAAAAAAAAAAAAAGAAAAGAAAAGAAAAGAAAGAAAACATAACCACAGCCGTGTGCGTGCCTCACACCTATAATTCCAGCACTTTGGGAGGCCTAGGTGGGCAGATTGTTTGAGTCTAGGAATTCAAGACCAGCCTGGCCAACAAGGCGAAACCCCATTTCTACTAAAAATACAAAAAACTAGCTGGGCGTGGTGGCACATTCCTGTAGTCCCAGCTATTTGGGGAGGCTGAGGTGGGAGGATCAACTTATCCTAGGAAGTCGAGGCTGCAGTGAGCTGAGATGCGCCACTGCATTCCGGCCTAGGCGACACAGTGAGACCCTGTCTCAAAAGAAAAAAAAAAAAAAGCAACTCCACCAGAGTAGACATCTTCCGTCACTGGAGAAGGTTAACTGAAGCTGACTCACAGTCTTTCTGACCAAGGCATCAAGTAGCTGACACCTGAGGTAGTCTGATTCTGCCATTCTGCCAAGATACCAAACCTGGGCTGTATACCCAGTTCCTCACGATTCTAATGTTTACTCCACCTGAAACATTTGGTCTCCTATTTGTGTTGACGAGTATACTCGTGTTTTTAGGCCTCTTTCGTATGATAGGACTCCTCTCTTGCTGGTTTTGGTAAAATTATTCTACATATAATCTCTTAGGATACATCATACTAGTTGATGGGCCTATAAACGTCTAAGAGCATGAAACAATGAAAAGCAATATCTCTTCCTCCTCTGTCTATATCTATTGCTATGAAAAAAAAAACAACAAACTGATGAGTTCCCTTCTCTATGTACATATAGCTCTGAAAAAACCACAACACTAGACTAGTTCCCTCAAACTTTTCTTTAGGTGTGACCACTAATCTATTCGGGATGGTTATTCTATTTGGGAGAAATCTGCTCATTATCTGCCTAGCCATCAAGAAGATAGTTACATGCATTTAATTGGGAGAATGCTTTTTTGCCTTGGTTGGGTGTCACTTTCCATGAACACATGGTAATAATTTTTTTTTATAACTTTAGGAAATATTGTGATGAAACTGTAACCTCCATCACAGCTCAACAAAAAGCTATTGATTAACCGGCTAAGGTTGTACTAGAGAGTTGCATTTTTTAGGCTATATGCTGACTGGGCAAGGAGATGTATGCTTGGTGATAAATACTTCTTGTTATATATATATTATAGAAGCATATACTTTTATAGGAAGTATATAGGAAGTATATATTTTATAGGAAGTATATATATATATATACTTCCTATAAAAGTAGAAACTCTTCCAGAAAAAGTTTAGCAAAGAAGCCACTTGGCTACAAGTATACAAAGAAGAAACTGGATTTAGTTTACTTCATTTAGTTTTTAGTTGGGTCTTAGATGGAATAGGTTCCCAAACAAATTATCTTTTTCATTACAATCCTTATGTGCATAATATTTCTACTATTAAACTTATTAATGCTATGTATCTTTCATTTTACTTCTTCTAAGGAAACCAAAATCATGGTACTTTGAAGACTAGATATGATTCAACAAGTAATAGCAGCTATGTAAATCAACAACTAAGGTTGCATTTTTGCCACTCTTTAATAGCAATTTGGCTTTTGCACAGTCTTAAAATTCCTCACCATGACATTTTCTCATTTTCCCCAATATGCGACAGGATTATCCAAGAATAAGGCTTCTTGGCGACAAGGTACATCTTAAAATTCAGACTTTGATCATGATTGCTTTCAAGAGGAAATATTTTGACCAAAAGGGAAAATAATAAAGAAAATAAACTTGTTATCTGAGAAATGTGAGCCCCCTTTAAGTTGTCAGGCCCAGAGAGGCACTGAAATGAGACACCCATCATGTCCCACTCCTATCCCCCTTGAGCAATGCAATCATCACTGAAGCTGCTTGCTATGTGGACTCTAGACTGACCGATGCCACAAGTTACTACAAACTAACCTAACGACACCACATGCTGGACACCATAACTCATAGTCTATAGTTTAAAAATGTATAGCCAATCATTAATCAATGTTATTTCTGTAAAACAATTCCTGACAACTTTGCTGTAGCCCACTTCTTGTCCCCCTTTTTGCCCTTAAAAACTGACCTGTAACAAAGACCAAACAGAGAAACTTCCAAGGTAATCTGGAAATGTTTCCTGGGCAACGGTCCTCATTTTGGCTCAAGAACATTCTTTAAAATTATATTTTATGTCTCAGCTTCTTTCTTTAGGAGTACAAATATAATATATTTATTTTATTACTGTTCTCTTTTTTTGTTTGGATTTTAATGGAAACTGATAGTGACAGATCTGCTTAAAAGAAGTCATTAGAGCAGGTACAGAGAATTTTAGAACTTGACAACATATGATTATTTACTTTATTATTCATTTACTATAATATACTGGTCCAGTCACATTGATGGCTTTTTAATTCTGGGAAAGTGTAATGCTCATCCACTTTTCTTGGAACTTCAAACTGTTTCTGGGGTACATTCTTTACTTCTCTCATCACTATTTAAATGTAATCCACATTTAAATTATGAAACTATGTCATTTGCTCTGGAAATGAAGCAGTGATACCACTACCCCTTCCCACTGTTCATGCCAGTTCGTTAATTCATATAGGTATTCTATCTTTATTTTCAAAATGCATGTATTGGTTTGTAGTGATGCCTTAGTAAATCATCACACACTTGTTAGCTTAAAACTACACACATGTAGGGCCAGGCGCAGTGGCTCACGCCTGTAATCCCAGCACTTTGGGAGGCCGAGGTGGGCGGATCACGAGGTCAGGAGATCAAGACCATCCTGGCTAACACGGTGAAACCCCGTCTCTACTAAAAATACAAAAAATTAGCCGGGCACGGTGGCGGGCATCTGTAGTCCCAGCTACTCGGGAGGCTGAGGCAGGAGAATGGTGCGAACCCGGGAGGTGGAGCTTGCAGTGAGGCGAGATCGCGCCAGGGCACTCCAGCCTGGTGCACAGAGCAAGATTCCATCTCAGAAAAAAACAAAAACTAAAACAAAAAACCAAAAACTACACATATGTATTATCTTACAGGTCTCACAGGACTAAAATAAAGGTATTTCCTTTCTGAAGGATTTGAGGTAGGTATTGTTCTTTTGCTCATACAGGTCATTAGCCAAATTCTGACCCTTGTAGTTGTTGAACTTAAATCCTTCTTTTCTTACTGGCTGTCAGTGAGGACTGTTTCCAGCTGTTTGAGGCTACCCACATTTCTTGGCTCATCTTTCATCTTCCTTCCTCTATCTTGAAAGCCATTTACGGTGAGGCAGTTTCACACTTGAAATCTCTCCTTATTCTCATACTTCTACTTCACTCAGGAAAGATTATCACTTTTAAGGAGTCAAAGTGTTTAGATTAGGCTGCCTAGTTAATCCAGGTGTATTAGTTCATTTTCACGCTGCTGATAAAGACATACCTGAGACTGGGAGGAAAAAGAGGTTTAATTGGACTTAGAGTTCCACATGGCTGGGGAGGCCTCAGAATCATGGCGGGAGGCAGAAGGCACTTCTTACATGGGAGTGGCAAGAGAAAATGAGGAAGAATCAAAAGCAGAAACTCCCGATAAACCCATCAGATCTCATGAGACTTATTCATCATCATGAGAATAGCACAGGAAAGACCAGCCCCCATGAATCAATTACCTCCCCCTAGGTCCCTCTCACAACATGTGGGAATTCTGGGAGATACAATTCAAGTTGAGATTTGGGTGGGGACACAGCCAAATCATATCACCAGAATAATCTCCTCACCTGAAGGTCCTTAATCTTAATCACATCTGCAAGTTTTATTTTTCATAACAAGATAACATGCTCACAGGTTCTGAGGGTGAGCATCACTAGGGATGTATCAGTCTGGTTACTTCACTTTGAAATATACAAAAAAGATTACTTGATATCCTTTCAATGAATGCTGTACCCTTTCTGGATTTTCTAAACCTGTAGGGGTATGCCATTTTCATTAACATCATGATTTACAACAATCCAAGTCAGATTAATAGGAATGTAATTTCAATAATATTCAAATATTTGCTCCTCTATTGCCATGTTTCATCACTCTTTTATACTACTTTTATCACAAATGACCTCATTATACACTGTATTACAATTAGCATAGATTTGTAATAATTTCTTTATGCATTTTCTTTTTAAAGATAACACTTTTTAAAGGTAAGAACAGTGAAGCCTACAGACATGTGATTTGTTATAGTTTAATGGAGCAATGCATCCAAAATAAACAAAATAAGGTTTGGCAAAAATTCAATATCCAAGCAATTGTCTATCAAATACGAGAGTTTAATTAAATGAATACAATCTCAAAAAATTACCACTCATGCAACCTCCCTTAGTAAGTAACTAGAAGTGTTTTACCCAAAATTAGGACTAAATGAGGAATAGGAAAAGAAAAAAAAATCATTCTATCCAGGAAAGAGATGAATAGCGTTGGCAAGATGGGCATAATGCCCAAGACCCAGCTAACTACCACCCCAGATTAGAGCTAAAAAAGATTTTGACATGTATTTGAAATTTACACATTATTTGATGCTGAAAGAAACCAAAATATTTCTGTCTGAAATACCAGGGAGTGCTGAGATAAAGAAGGCTCTATTCCTTGCTCCAAATTCCTGATGGCAGGACAGCAAATTACAAAGAAAAAGGTCTTTTTGCACCCATCTCTGCCTTTTCCCTCTTTACGATGCTTGCTTATCAGCTCAGAGACGGTAGCACCAGCAGGTCTAGGAAAAGACCACTTTTCCCAGAAATTTACCTTCCAACATTTTCTCACCTTTTGGAAGCCTGAAGATGCACTTTACTTTGTCTTGTCATTACATAGGATTTATGGCTTAAAAAAAAATACTACTTAAACCAGGCCCCCAAGCCACTGCCTTGAGAGAGAAATATTTTTGAACTGAGGCCTCTCCTGCATGATGAGCACAGCACCTGTTAATAAACTTCTGGTTTTTCTCTTGTTAGTCTTACTTTAGTTTTCAGGAGAATATCTCAACTAAGAAAATATGAGAGGAAAAAAGAAATTATATTTTCTCCCTTACAATGCAAAATAGCTTAGAAGAAAGTTAGTACTGAACAAGTTGAAACCCTGTGTCTCTGGGAAGGGAGAAATGAGTAAAGTGAAAAAAAGGAATCTACTTTTTGGTAAAAACCTCGTTGAGCCATTTGACTTTTAGAAATGTGAATATGTGTATTTGGAAAAAAAAAAAACCACCACCAATTGAAGGACCAGATTAAAATAGCTTAAAACCTCAAAAAAAGAAAGCAACAATGTGATTGATCCTTTGTAAACTGAATAATTTATAATTGCAGAGAAGGTATATTCATGTTTCAAAACAAAATATTGAAGGATTTAAGCAAAATGTTCATAAGGTTAACTGAAATGTTGGTATGATATTTCATCTACAAATTAAACACAAAATTATAGAAAGTCTGGTTTTACTCTCAATTCTTGGTATTGAATGGAAACTTCTTACTAATTGCATGTATGAAATTTGAGATTATTGTGGCAAAATATTAATGAATACGTGATCTTTATGTCAAGTTAACACAGAATGCTGAACTGAATGGTCTCCTCAGGCTTATTAAATATAGTGCAATTTTTAGTAGTAATTATTACACATTTAGGTAAAATATGCAGGCTCATTTTCCTTTGATTTTGGAAAAGTAAAATATTGGAAGGTTTATAATCAGAAGAGTTTGTTGCAATTACAGTGTGCTTTGTTTAGCTGTCCAATTTTTTTTGCATATTACTTACTCTCATCTAGGAGAAAAGATTATTCTAAAAGAATTCTATTAGTAAGCTCATAGAATCTTAAATTCTGTCAATGATTTAGTAAATATTTAAAATATTTTTCTCATACTAAATGTTATTTTTTGGGTATAAGTTGTATCTCTCCTTGAGATTTAAAAAATGTACTCAGAAAAATATTTATAGAACCTGGAATGACTATGCATTTTGTATTTCATACCAAATTTTCTTTGAAACCGTGATGCTGGATCAGCCAATAATAGTTTGGATTTTGTTGCATTTGCACTTCTTTTGCCCAATCTGGCTTCCACCCACTTCCTTTAATAACTGTTGATCCCTAATAAACAGTTTGTATCTCAAAATCTGTTTTAACATCTGATTTTGGAAAATTTGATTTGTGAAACGATCCTATGAAAAACAGAATCTTCTGGCACATGCTATTGTTACAAATACTTATTTCCACTTTTTATTTTTCATTTTATTTGTATTTACTTATTATTTTTCTTCTTTGAGACATTCTTGCTCTGTCACCCAGGCTGGAGTGCAGTGGCATAGTCTTTGCTCATTGCGGCCTCAACCTCCTGGACTCAAGCAATCCCCTCATCTCAGCCTCCCAAGTTGCTGAAATCACAGGCATGTACCACCACACCTGGCCAATTTTTTTACTTTTATTTTTGGAACAGATGGAGTCAAACTCATCAAACCAGCCCAGGATGGTCTCAAACTCCTAGGCTCAATCCTCCTAAAGTGCTGGGATTATAGGCATGAGGACTGCACCCAGCCTATTTCCATTTTTAATGTTTAACACAAGTAAAACTGTCATCTGGTAAAATATCAATGTGTTTAGTTACTGTTTATGATTCTGTTTTTAACACAAGTAAAACTGTCATCTGGTAAAATATCAACGTGTTTAGTTACTGTTTGTGGTTCTGGTTTTACATATCATTAATGCTAAGAAAAAACATATTTGACCAAAAAGAATGTGCTAGCTCTCTGTACTTTACATTATCTTTAATAAATTAGTACATGTTTAAAATATTTTTGCTTATATAAAATAAACTATTACACATTATTCTCCTTTGAAAATTTTTGGTGTGTTAAAACATGCTCAAAAAGAGGTTTTTGAGGACCTTCTTGAATTTCTTGGTTAATATAAAATTTCTTTGACACCATGAAACAAACTAATTATAGATATTAACCAATTCGGTGGGGGTGGATGTGGAATGAAGTTATTCAGAACTATTACACACTACACTTTTCCTCTTTTTGTTTTCTTTTTAATTAGAAATGGGGTCTCGCCATGTGGCCCAGGCTGGTCTCAAACTCCTGGGCTCAAGTAATCCACTCCGCGGGGCCTCCCAGAGCGTTGGGATTACAGGCGTATCACTGAGCCACCGTGCCTGGCCTACACTGTGCTTTTCATTCTATGAAAGTAATTACCAAACTCCATGTTTTTTGTTTGTTTGTTTGTTTTTGGCTTCTGGGTTTTTTTTTGTTTTTGTTTTTGTTTTTTTGTGTCGGGGTATATTCTGGGCTTGTTAAATTCTATTGCTGGTATGCATTTGATTTTCAAATTACAATGAATTTTCTGAATGTTTCTCAATTTAATTTGTTTACCAATGTCAAAAAAGCTGTCCCTCTCCGGAATGGAGAAGATGTTTCCTACCTGACATAACTTTTAATTTTTATAATTAGGTTACTCTCTGGCATCATCTAAACCTTATCTCTATAGAAGATCTGTTTCTCAGATTCCTCTAGATGAGAGGTTAGCAGATTTTTTTTCTTAAAGGGCCAGATGGTAAAAATTTCAGGCTTGCTAACCAGATAAAAAAATTGAAGATATTATGTAGGTATTTATATAACCATTTATAATGTAATGATTTCAAATTATTATTATTTAACTTTTACTTTAGGTTCAGGGTTATATGTACAGGCCTGTTATATAGGTATACTGTGTGTCATGGGGGTTTGTGGTACAGATTATTTCATCACCCAGGTAATAAGCATAGTAACTGATGGACATTTTTTTAATCCTTCCCCTCCTCCCACACTCCACCTTCATGTAGGCCTCAGTCTCCGTTGTACCCCTCTTTGTGACCATGTATTCTCATTGCTTAGCTCCCATTTGTAAGCAAGAACATTCAGTATATGGTTATCTGTTCCTGCATTAATTTGCTAAGGATAATAACCTCCAGTTCCATCTGTGTTGCTGCAAAGGACATGACCTCATTCTTTTTAATGGCTGCATAGTATTCCATGGTGTATATATACATCACCTTGTCTTTATTCAGTAAAATTATTTTTTAAAAGCATTTTTTAATTTTTGCAGACTTCCCAAAACAGGTGGTTGTCAAGATTTGGCTCTCAGGCCATCATTTGCTGACTCCCACTGAGAGTAAGCCATTTATAAGTAGGCACTATGTATTATATTCAAAATTCATTTTGGAGAGCAATGAAAAGTAATTTTTGATTAGAAAATGTAAACTATTGTGCCAGTTGTAACTCAGAATAATCTTTCTCTATTTGTTTTTTGTTCTGCCATTAGAGTTAGTTGTTATTCAGTTATTGAACATCTTGGACTGGTTCTGAATTATTCCCATTGTCCATGACTGTTATACTTTTCCTGGAAAGCACACTTTATTACTATTTCCAAAAATAGTATTTTTAAAAATTTAGCCTACCATATTTCTAAAATATTATTTTGAAATAATCAATTCATTGAAAATTTCAAAAAATATATATATATATAAAGACGTTTCATGTATCCTTCACTTGGATTCTCCTAGTAGTAACATCTTGCATAACTATAGTGCACCAGCAAAACCAATACACTGACATATGCATAATCCACAGAGTTTATTCTAATTTACCTAATTTACTAGTTTTATAAGCAATGTGTGTGTTTGTGTACATTCATGCAACTTTATCATGTGTGTAGGATTGTGTAACCACCATCGCCATCAAGATACCAAATTGTTCATCACCACAGAGTTTCTTTGTGCTACCACTTTATAGTCATATCCATCATATCCAGCTCCTCCTCTTCAATCCTTAATCTCTGCCAGCCACTAATCTGTCTCCATCTCTATGTTATTTCAAGAACACGATACAAATTGAGTCATATGATATGAAACATTTTGTGATGCTTTTTTTGGTGAGCATAATTCTCTTGAGAATTCCAAGTTGTTATATGCATTCATAGATTGCTCCTTTTTTGTTGATGAGTTTTATTCCAAGGCAAGGAAGTGCCACAGTGTGTGTCACCACTTACCCATGAAGGACATTTGGGTTGTTCCAGTGTTTGGTTGTTTCAAATGGAACTGCTATGAATATTTGTATAAATATTTTTGCATGAATGGAAATGTAAATTTTTCTGTGATTAACGCCTAAGGAGTGGCAGGCTCCCATAATTATAGTATCCAGAATCTCTTTTTGTTCTTTCAATCCATCCATGTTTTAGTGCCCTGTTATTGTTTTTGTTTCATTTTCCATTGACTATAATTTTTCACCTGCTTCTTTGATATGAACAATTCAGTTGTGAAAGTGTCTTCGTCTTAATAGAATCTCCTTCCCTTCAAGTTGTTTTTTTCCATTTGTTTGTTTTAGTCTCTATCTTTCATGGTAGTAGGTTTTCAAAGATGTGTGTTGATGCTTGTATTTGGTTTGTATTTAAATTTGAGTTTCTGAGTTGTTAACAGAATGCTCTAGACTCATTATTTTGGCTTGCTAGCAGTACTCTTTATTATAATTTATTGGGCAGTGGCATTTCCCTGGAGAATTCTTATTTTCTTTAATAATTTCCTATTGAACTTGATAGAATCCTAACAACATAATATATAGAACTGGCTATTAGCAGCTATGAAAACTAAGTATGTGGAGAGGGCTGGATGCTTAGACATTTAGTATATAAGTATACATTAAATCCAAACTTTTCAGTATTTTTTAAACCCAAGATATTTGGAAAAATTTCAATTCAGGAAATCTTAATATTTTATGGAATGGTATTGCCAGAGGTACTTTCATTTATCAGTTTTTGCAAAGCTTCAGTTTTAGCTTTCTTTTGTTAATACTCATTATTCTAATTTTATTTCCTATTTTATTTTTAAGATCAAATATACAATATTCACTGCCCTATGATGGAACCATATTGTGCTATTTCCATCTGACTACCCACAGAGAATGGCAGAAAACTGAAGGATTAGTTTTCAGATTTTAGCAATTACTACCAGAGAAAAAGGTGTGTACTATATAACAGGATACAGATTTGGGTTTATATGTAAACTATAATTGTGCTACTGGTTTGGCCCAGGGCTCTATATTATTTATTCAAATAAGACACATGCAACTCAGGAAATGTAATTTGATTGATGCATGAAAATTATTCACAACAGTCACTGTCTTCTTTAAAAAAGGTATATCATGCAGGTGTTAACTGACATTTAAGAAATTAATGGTATTAGTACTAAAGATTGTGTTACTTAAATATCTTTCTATGAATCACAGCTCCCAAAGGTAAATAATTTCTTATTAAGCTTACAAATCTAAACTTAAGAATATCTGGCGAATAATTTAGTATTGGGCACTCATTAAAAGGCAAAAAATTTCAAATGGCATGCTTATGGTTATATCCATCAGTTATTTTAAATTTTATTTAACACATTTAAAAATCCTGTTGAATATAAATAGTGATTCATACCTAATAAGTTGACTCTATAGGAATGCAGCCAGCCCAAAAAATAGAATTATTATTAAGAAAGTAAATTATTTACATACCAGATATTAACTGACATGACATATTATTGGATTGAATATATACCAGTAAATAAAACTTAGGTCTTTCTTCTTCACTAGACAAAATATAAAGAATACAGTTTTCAAATTTTGCAATATACTGAAGTTATTAAAATATATGAAGAATACAGTCATATGGAAAGTCCATGTTCTCTAAGTTTCATAATCAAAGTATATTAACAACTGAAACATCTGATGACTAAGAGAACAATAGCTACTTTCATATCACAAGTTTTGTCAAAAAGCAGCTCCCTAGTGTTAAATGCAATTTTGTTTATTTAGTAATTATTTTCTTTTCCCAGATCTAGAAGTCATTCGGTATGTTCAGGTTTAGTACGGGCTTTGTCTGAAGAATGTTAATTTGTTTCTTAAAGCATTTTATTGCAGCTTGCTACATACAATCAAACTGTCTAGAGACTGAATAATACAAAAGAACTTCATTTAAATTATTAATTTAACCAATTGTATCTTTTATATATTTGTTAGATGATATTTTTCATATAATAAGTCTTTAGCATTGATGTTAGGATATGCTTTATAAATATCTGTTGGCTCGAATTTTAAATGATCAAAATGTACACATAAATTATTTTTAAGATAAAATTATATATTATACAAATAATCATACTTTCATTCTTTATTAAAATTAATTAAACCTAAAAGTTTATGTTGAAAATAATTTATTTTCTAGTTATTTCTTTCATAAAAGACAGTACCTCTTATATTTACATATAAATTATATAAGCATAGTAAGTTACAAAATCTTGCTAGAATTTGATAATATATAGAATAAAAACCGTTTCTGGTGCAAGAAGTGGACCTCCACTGCTTTCTTTCTCATCTTCATGCTGCTGATAAAGACATACTTGAGACTGGGTAATTTATAAAGAAAAAGAGGTTTAATGGACTCAGTTCCACGTGGCTGAGGAGGCCTCACAATCATGGCAGAAGGCAAAAGGCATGTCTTATATCCGGCAGACGAGAGAGAAAATAAGAGGCAAGCAAAAGTGGTTTACCCTTATAAAACCATCAGATTTCATGAGACTTATTCATTACAACTGGAACAGCATGGGGGAACCGCCACCATGATTCAATTATCTCCCACCAGGTCCCTCCTGCAACACATGGGAATTATGGGAGCTACAATTCAAGATGAGATTTGGGTGGGAACACAGCCAAACCATATCACCATCCACCCTTAAGAACCAAGATGGCAAAGATCTTTTATATTTTACTAATTTCTGAATACATGGGGACTTACAAAGGACCTGAAAATGGCAAGCATTAAAAAATTTGTTAAATAAATACATAATCCCAAATACATTCTCTCTTCTTCAAATAAGAAATTAATATTCTAGTGTGTAAGGTTAAAAGTTTTCTCAAAAAATAACCTATGCAACATACCCTTTAAAAAATTTCTACACAGAAATAGAGAATGAATCTACCTCCATGATTTGGTTGCTTCTGCGATTAAACAATTTTATTTTCTATTTCATTATTTATTTTATTTAATTAGGAGAGAATAACAAGTCATAGTACCTGCTGACTACTTAAATAAATCACAATGTTTATTATCTTTATTTATGTTTCTGAAATGTAAACATGGCACACATCACTGACATACTGGTTCCCAAGAACTGCACTGCTGAGTTGATTAGATTAAAATATGCCAAGGAAGGGGCTGTTAAAGCAATTCACTGGTGAGAGAGATGAAGAAGCTCTTTCAAAAGCAGCTTCAGATACACCTCTATACTTTTGTATAGTCTGTTATTTTAAATTCTGTACTAGCTTGTCAATTTTCCTCTGCATTTGGATTGCACTAATTAAATTACATTAAAGAAAGCCTACTTATAATGTGCCAATAATAATTTAATTATATTCATGAGAATAATCCTATCATTGCAGGTGGTATGAGGTAATGAAGAACAAATGTTCAACAGTATTTATTGGGCAATTTTTATTTGCTGAAAACTCTAACAAGAATTATATACAAAAAGATAAAATGCAAAGGGCATATGGATATTTAAAGCATATACAATTTTTAAAATGACTGACAGGAGAGATATTTCTTCCATGAAATAGCTAACTTTTGTGCTTTGAATCTTTTTTCACTTCATATTTATGCTTTAAATATCTATATGCCCTTTGCGTTTTATCTTTTTGTATATAATTCTTGTTAGAGTTTTTAAAGCATATATAATTATGCTTTAAATATCTATCATCTATCTATCTATCTCTCTACCTATCAATCATCTATCGTCTACTGTGAATTCAATGATTTTATCCACTACAAAATAATATCTATCTATCTATCTATCTAGCTAGCTAGCTAGCTATCATCTACCATGAATTCAAAGATTTAATCCACTACAAAATAATATCTATCATCTATCTATCTATCTATCTTTCATCTATCTATCACCTATCTGTCATCTGCGGTGAATTCAATGATTTAATCCACTACAAAATTATTTTGAATATTAGAGGAGACATGGAGCACCCTGGGTCTGAACTCCAGTTCCAAAATTGTAGTGTGGTCTCTGAATAAAAGAGAGGCCATTTATGGCAACAATAAGTATAACAGCATTATATGGTTGATATATCTTTAAGTAAAACTTTAATATTAACTGGGACCTGATTGAACCTAAAACTAATAAGAGTCAAGAATATACTTTTAAAGTTTGTCAATTATCAACATGAACTACAAATGCTTATTTTTACCTTCTTTGGACTGTATGAGAATGTATTGTTTCTGTTTCTTTTAATTAAATTAAATCTTATTTTCAACTCTTTCATTGATTCCCATATGGAATCTCCTTTCATAAAAAATAGTGTGAGCCTAGTTTGATGTTTGCAACATTGCTCTCACAAGTAAGGATGACTTATCTCTTCACTCAAAGATACTCAAACTATTAAAATTAACTGCGAATATGACTATGTTGCCTATGTAATGTAATGTTGCCTATGTCACTCCTTTTAGGGTCAGATGAGTTCCATATTATTTTTGTGATAAAGTTTAAATGCATAAAATTTATCCTAGAACAGAAATTGTTATAAGATGTACTATAATGGCTGGATGCGGTGGCTCACGCCTGCAATCCCAGCACATTGGGAGGCCGAGGCAGGCAGATCACAAGGTCAAGAGATCAAGGATCAAGACCATCCTGGCCAACATGGTGAAGCCCCGTGTCTACTAAAAATACAAAACTTAGCCAGGCGTGGTGGCATGCACCTTTAGTCCCAGCTACTCGGGAGGCTAAGGCAGGAGAATCACTTGAACCTGGGAGGCGGAGGTTGCAGTGAGCCAAGATCACGCCACTGCACTCCAGCCTGGGGGACAGAGGGAGACTCTGTCTCAAAAAAAAAAAAAAAAAAAAAAAAAAGATGTACTATAACTATATAAACATGTCACATTAAATATATTAATTTAATAAATCATTAAATGAAATTCATTAATATTTTAGTTATTCTAAACTTCAAAGTCAAAATATGTCAATTATACTGAATAAAAATATTTTTTCAAAATTCTGTATTGACATAGCAATGACAATAAAAGCAAAATCCTGACATATGAGATAAACACACATAAGGAAGGAATACCACAGAATTGGAAAAGAAATATAACAGAAGAAAATGGCTGACAAACTAAGTAGACTCAAGAAGCAGCAACAGCAGCAGCAGCTGCCACTGTCAGAAATAAAAAATTTACTACATGCTTCTTTTGACCACTTAAATATGTATGGGAGTCTCTGAGACAATAAGTCAAAGCAGCAGCATTTGGGCAGTGTGTATTTACAGAACATTTTCTGAAACAATCAGTGAGTTCAGTCAAACACTGACTCAATTGAATAAATTAACTTCTTCTTTAAAATGACTGTATCAGTTACAAAAACAAAATGAGGGAACCAAGTAGATATAAAAATATAGATGGAAGGTGCAGGAAGGTCATGATGATGATGATGATTGACTAAATGTCTGTAATGATGTGTATTTTGTGTTAATTGTCCTAAGTATTTTTTTCTTATTCTTGCATCTATTTGTCAAGTTGCAAAGTTAATCTCCTTTTGTGCTTTTGCATTACTTGTATTAGACTTTAGAAGGTCTCTAATGGCCCACTTCATAGTACAGATGTAAGATAATTCTGTGCATTATTTTATTCTGTGAACAGGAAAATTTTTATTTTTTCTTTTATCTATTTATATTTTGCAAAAGAGGATCTCAATAAAGAAATGAATAAGGTACATTTTTTGCAACAATTTCTTTCTCCTTTTCCTTCTTCCTTCTCAACACTTACATAACTTTAAGAACACTAGCTCCTTTTACAGGCAATTTATTTTAATGGATTATGGTGTTATATCTGCGAACTAAGTGGATAGCATTCCACTGCTGTCAAAGATGCTGAAACTATTAAAATTAACTGTGAATATGACTATGTTCCCTATGTAAGGTATGAGCTCTTGGAAATTTGATCAGTTGACATCTCTTCCAGTTGTTACAATTTTTAAAATGACTGACAGCAGAGTTACAGCATATCCTCCATGAAAAAGCTAACTTTTGTGCTTTATTTTTCATTTATTATCTGTATGTATACTTCTCAGTTGCCCCCAAGTCCAAAGCATGCCCCTTTTGGAAAGTTGCCCTAGTCGTGAGAAAGAATAAAAAAGGAATGTAACTATCTCAATTTTCCAGATAGGCTATTATTTTATTCATTTAAATTCATCACCCTCTTAATGTAGAAGTAATTTATTTTTAATTAACACTATAATTTTATCTAATCCTTTAGAAAAGAGCTTTGCTGGTGAAGAAATGTATACTTCTGGAATAAATTTGAAAAAGAGAGTTATTGTAAAACACTTAACCTTATAGAGTTTTGTCTTCTGATTTATTGCTCCCATCCATGGAGTAGAAGATTTTTAAGCAGATATTTAAAGAATTTTCAAGTTTTCCTTTAAATTGTTATGAGAATTTTAGGAAAGACTTATCCCTATGAATAATACTCAAGTATTGGGCTATTTGAGAAAGTATAGAGAGATACCATTTCATAGATTGCAACAGTTAAAAAAACTCCATAGTTGTAGTATCTCTCTGTTTAATTTCAGAGCCTATATTCACTATAAAAATCATAAGCAAACAAAAAATCACATCCACAAAGTTAGGTCGTTATCCCCCTTTTCAGGGATGTTTCTTTACTAATCCTAGCCATTTTAAAATAAAACATGTATTAATTCTTCCCACAAATGAGCCACACACAGAATGAAATCCTCAGTCCTAAAGCAGTAATAAACTACATTTCCATCAAATTGTCATCAGATTTAGTTCTCCCCAAAATTATGCATGCTCTTATTTAAATAATTAGCAAACACTTAGTGAATATTGATTAGGTTTTAAATCAGTAGGCAGAGTTTATTAAGCTATGAACATTAAGGAAGAAAGTCACTGCAAAATTAATAGAACACTCATTAAGATACAGGAGCAAGAGCGTAAGGAAACAAGAACTGAATATAGAAGGCTCAATTTACTTTAACTTTGTAAGTGTGGCTTTTGAATAGGACTTTGGTATTAGCTGCATTGTCCCATACTTGAGGCAAAGTAACTGTTGGTGGTGCCATTCGTGGACTGAAGAAAATAGAATGGGTTGTATGCTGGAGCCACAGAAACTAATTTGACTACTGCCATTTTGTTTTCAACTTTCCTATCATTAATTATTTTTCAAATGATATAATATCTGAGGTTGAACAGACAAGATAATGGTTATTTATGCAAATTCTCATCTTTACTACAAGTTTTTATTTTGTTCAGTGAGATAAAAAGGATTATCAAATGGGAGTCAGTTTGATATAGGGTTGCAGTAATGTACCATAGTTTGTTAATACCTCCATGGATCCACATTCTCAGCTGGTCATACCCACACTGATGAGGCTGACAATATACTGACTTGGTTTAGTAGTACGATAGCAGTCATAACAAAACCTGAGGCTGGAGAAAAGGGCTAGGTCTTTAAGGTTTTATCTTCCTCTTGCTGTTTTTAGGATCCCTGACACTGCTTCCATGAGAAGAATCCTGTAAAATTGTTACAGAAATGTAGTGCACCTGCTCCTAGTTGGCTGCTAACAATCACCAGAAACATACCCAACTAGCTAACTGCATCTGGCCACAGAATGAAGACACATAAATGAACCTACCCAAGAGAAGACCAAATCAGTCATATCCATCCCAAATTGCCACACAGAAAGAACTACGATCCAAACAAAAGGTGGTTGTTTCAAGCCACTACATTTATTATACATCCTTAGATGACTTACAATCTTCTCTTGTTACCTGTAGTGGATTGGTTCTAAGACTCTCCCACAAATACCAAAATCTGCAGCTGCTCAAGCCCCTTATGTACAGTACTGCAACTGGTACTTAAAAGATTTGAAGGCAAAGTGCAACTTAATGGAATATATTAGATCAATGGCTTAAATGTGAGATCCTTTGTTAAGACTTCTGAAAGAATAAAATCAGTACTTCTTAGTTACTCTCAATTAGACAAAATTCACCATTTTGAAGATTTGCCCCTCTGAAAACTAAATGCCCAATGTATCAGTTAATACATTGAGAGACAATTACTCAAAAAGAATTTCTGATGTGTCTTTCGAGTTACAACTCTTAGAAATCAGACTCACAGATAATTTGCCAAGTGTTTAATGGAGTTATGCCCAGAAACAAGTTGGCAGTCTTTATCGAAAGGCACTGAGACTGTTCAAACTCCAAAAATTCTCTGATTCCACATCTTTATGAAAAGAAAATAGGTTAAGAAAATTTCTGTAAGAAAATATTATCCTTTGAACTCTCCAGAAATATCTAAGGAGGATGAAAAAAAATAAAGGATATCTCAGAGGGTAGAGCCAGGGAACATGAAGGAAATATGGGAAGTCGCTCACTGGAAAAGGAATATGGCTTCGTCAGGGAGCATGCTTTCCCCTGAAACTGGAAAATATGACCTATTTGCCCAATTTTGTTTCAGAATTGCTATGGATCATGAAATGCATGTGGTTATCATTTTTCTCCTTTTGAAATGGCAGCATTTTTTGTCGTTCTTCTATTCTGTGTCACCATCAGAAGTTGTGTTTGTGTAGTGAAAATAACATGTTTTTCAATATGGTGCCTCACTGATATCCAGCATCACAGTGAATCACAAAAATCTGGACTTTATGCCTGATGCTTAGATTATATGAGAATTTTGGTATTTTGTGAGAGAGTAAATGTACTTTACTTGTGGGAAGCAGGTAAATTATTAGTGCTAGAGCCATGCTTACTAGATTGTTTCAGTAATGACCTTCCATTTATTCACGCCCTCCTGTCCCTGCTATGTGGGTTGTGCTTTTACATGTTGAATATGGGGTTGTCCTCATAGTATGTGAGCAATGAGACAATAGCAAGCATGGCATAAGCAGATACTTGGAAATGCTTTTGCATCGAGTCCTGTTCTACTTCTTGGTCTTCTTAAAACATGCCTGACCATCACCATATGAAGAAATCCAGGATAATTTGCTAGGTGAGAAGAGACCATTGTTTCAGTAATCCTTGTCATTTCATCCAAGAGCCAGAAGGTGAGTCTTTTGGCTGACTAGCAGCTTCCCACTAGTATACATGGGTCTAGCTAAGACCAGCAGCCAAAATTGTCAAACCATACAATTGTGGATTTGACCAATGTTGTTTCAAGGCACTAAATTTTGGTGCAGTACAACATGAATGTGAAAGAGGAAGTGATGGAGTTTAGACAACAGATAATTTGAAGCTTCTTTTTATTAAATAACTTTAATAAAATATATTATTTTTAATTGGGGAAAGTAAAAACCTATATGGGAGAATAAGTTTTAATCTGAGAAAAAATTGGGGAAAGTAAAAATTTACCTTCATTATATATTCTGAATATTATTAAATATTAAATGTTAATAAACACTGCAATAAAATATCATAAGTATATTCTTCTAGAATATCATTTTCTTAAAAACATTTATTTATACAATATATACTTTAAAATAATGACATAATGTTTTAAGGAGATTTAGAAGGTTATATATTATGTTGGAAAAACTTTCTTAGAATAAATTAAGAAAGACCACAGAAGACATTTACTTTATTCACAGCTGTGTCTCCAAATGCTCTGTATTTATTTGTTCATATGTAAAATGAGAAGGTTGAAGTACATTTTCAATGTCTATTATAGAATCTATTATTTTAGGATTTTAAATATCTTTTAAGGTACTTGCTTTCAGTGACACAATAAAATGTGCCATCAAAAACTAGGAGACATAAGGAGTTTCACAACAAAATCAACAAAAAGAACATAATTATTCTTTAACATTCTTATTAGGCTTTTTCCCCTCAAATATAAAAGAATGATTTATTGTTATAATTGATTGCTTCTTTTATAATTACTCCATTCATAAAAATTCAAATCATGTGTATCTCAGGCATATAGGAACATTAAAAAAGTTTAAATCAATATTCAGCATTAGCTTGTGGAAGACAAGAACATTCAAACAATCACCAAGTATTTTATTCATGGTTGGGAAATAACTTTGTAAAACAAGTTAACAGAAAAATTGGATGGAGGAAGAGCTAATCATTTTGACTTGTCTCAGTTTTTAATTAACCAAAATAATGATAATAGAGCTATTCATTCTTTTTATTGTAGTTCCCATCCACCCACACACTCACACACATGCCGAGACAGATACATACAAACAATGCTGAATTGAGCAATAAAAATAATTAACATAGTCCTAGGCTAAGTTTGATCAATGTGCCTGTGTCTCAGCACCACCTCTGCAAGTTAATCAATAGATGCATCCACAGTATGACTTGTTACTTGGTGTTTTCTTTAGAAGGACAAAACTAGCATCCTCATGAAGCTCTACCGATCTTTCATTCTACCCTATATCTTATTAATTGGGTTGCATAACAGGTACATCCCCATACTCCACACACACATATGTTTTTATAGTATATGTGTTTAGTTTACCTGAATAAACATTTTTTTAATGTTCCAGTCTACTTAAAAAGAGGAAGGCTCAATTGAAGTAAATTCTAAATACAATAGTTCGGTTCTAAAAAGTATCTGAATATGTTCAAACAGTATACATTTTTAGTATGCATGTCCACATATAATACATCTATACTCTCCTTTAATTTATTTACATTTTATAGATAAGATTCTACAGAAAGTGGTCCTTCCCTAGATAAGATCCAAGGTGACCCAGCTCATAATTAGCAGCTTTATTTTGTGATCACAGATTCTCAGTCAGATTTTATTTGAAGGAAACATATAACAGAAAAAATATGTATGGCATTTGCTTACTAAACACGCAGAATTGTCAAGCTAGAAAGATGCACATACTAACAGTGCGTGAAGTTGCAGTATTTCTTGATTTTCTTTGCTTATGAGTTTATCTAGAAACTCACTTTTATTTCACACTAAAATATAAGCGCTTTATTTGCAGAAATTTTAAGTTGTAAAGGAAATTTTACAACTTAAAGGATGATTAACTGAGGGTCCCAATTACAGTTAGCCAAGTGACAGATTTTTCTAACCAGGGGCCTTATGAAGCCCTTTAAATTGTATCATAGTTCTATTTATTCAACCTGTATGTGAAGATTACATTTTACTCATTCCCAGTGAAAATCCTTGTAAACAATCACAAGGAGAACAGATGCAAATTTTCCATTGTCTTCTGTGAAAATCTTGGAGCACTGATTTTCGATATCAAGTAAGTCCCCTCTATAAAACTGACTCAGGCACTAGAGCTCTTTCAAGATTGTAACAACTAGTATTCATTTAGGCCTCACTATGTCCCCTAAGCACTAATAGCACTAAGTACTACCACTGTGGTAAGACCTTACTAAATGCCTGCCATATATTCATTCTCTTTTTCCCCCCTTTTCTAATTTTGTTTTGCAAGAACAATGGACTAATTTAAAACTACTTATCTGGTTGAATCCATCACAGATAATGGTGGGCTGGCTATGTGCACGGTTCTGGTCAAGGAACAGTATAAATGATTTCCGGAGAAAGCATTTCCCTTTCTGATTCAGGCTCTCTTTTTCTTATATTCTTCCTTTCCTCCTTTGCAAAAGATGTAGAGCTATAGTCATTTTGAAACTGTGAGGTAACTCTCATGAGTATGAAAGTTAATGTAGTAAGAGAACAAAACAGAATTTGAGCCCAATTTTATAAGCCTATGTTTGTAGGGCTTCTTGTTATTTGTAACTACTTAATAGAGCTATGCATACTTCAGCGTATTTATCTTCAAAATAACATCACGGTTTAGATATTTTATTACCAGTAAAATGCACATTAAAAAAGGAATAAGCCAAAGAAATGTTAATTAATGGTTTAAGTCCACTTAAAAAAGTAAAACAATGGTGAAGATGTTTTCCACATGTGCAATAGATTATTACATTTGTCAAATTTATCTCTCCAAAGAATCCTTTTGAAAGAAGATACAGTCCTTCTCTATAATGCTCCAAAAAATACTTAAAAATGAATCTTTCCTGCCATGTGGAAAATAAAATATACGGTAATTGTGCAGGTAATGTCTGACTTATGTACATGTGAAGTTTTTAATTTTTAATTAGCTGTCAAAGCATATATTAATTGGTTGTTTATCAATTTCAAAATGAATGCCTAAGTTACAAAAATGAACAACTCATGTATGTTGTTTGAATAAAAACAGTTTTAATAATAGTCAAGTTCTGGGCAAGACAATTGTTTTAATCATTTCATCAAGTCAAGGTCTTAGACAAGAAGCCAACTATGTGTGTAAATATAGTGTTCTATTTGACATGCAAAAATTAAACTTATAAATGTAATTTGCAAGAAACACATTTTTAGTATAACAAAACACAAAGTTTTTTATAAAATAAGTTGAGAGGTGACTTACAATTTTAAATATCAGAATTCATGTTAAATATTTCTAGATAAAAAACTTTAAAAATGTAAAAGTATTATAAAATTTTTAGAAGTTCATTTATTTTTCTATGTGGTTTCTATTATTTCTATTCTGTCCATTTAAGTAATATTAAATAATAAAAATGTATTTTCCTTCAAATTATGTATTACAAGGTATTATTAACTTGTTACATGTAGCTCTGTTTGTCATAACGGATCATTAGATAAATTTCCATTGAATTAAGGTTGTAATTACATACATTCTCATTGATTTTGGCATCACATGCATGCCTTCAAATGAGTGCAGATTCATATTACACCCATTTAGTAAATGTGAGAGACAGTCATAATATTGTCATCAACAAAAGATGTTTATAACAGATTTACATAAGTTAATACAATGGAGAGTTTCTGTAATCTCAATTGCAAGATGGGTTTCCAGAACCCTAAAGATCTATAATACAGAAACTCCTCAGTCTACTTTAAATATTTTCATATTGAAATAATCCAATGTAGATATTTACAAAAACAAGACAACTGATCAGTTTGTGATAATTGGTCAAATTTAAAATTCAAAATTGGTCAGATTTAAATTTTAGCCAAAAGCGAATAAAAAAGCCAACTTGCAGCTTCAAGGCACACATACACACTATATATCCCAATTCATTAGTGAAAAATGAAGTTAATCAATTCTTAAATGAAAAATAAAATTTGTGACTACTTGATACCTTAAGAAAGAATGAATATTTTTCATTGTTCATCACTACTATGAAGTTTTATGAACACAGGAATAATTACATTTTTTTGAATTGTTTTTACAGAAAATTTTATTTTCCCCCTAAATGACAGGTTTTATATAGCAATTTCTGAAAGCTTAAACTGCAACAGCTATTTAAAAAAAAATACCTGTGACATTTTCTCTGAGTCGGAGTTTTTCAGCAATAAAATAATTATTTGTCAGTGCTATGACAATGGAAATGGTTTACCTTAGGGGAAAGAACAAAGAAAGGATGATCTTTCTGAAAAGCCTTAGGACTAATCTCAAATATACCCTTGTTTCCTCAAAGCACATCATTGTGTGAAATCTAAGCATAAAGTGAAAGTCAAATTTAACCAGCGCGGCTTCCTTTTCAATAAAAATGTAACTGTTAAATATTGGTTTATATATCAATGTTATTCCTGTTGATTGCTGAGTTAAGCTTTCAAATTTAGTTGATTAACATAAAAAGCCAAAGACCACTAGAAACATTCCTATACTATTAAATTATATTTGGTTTACTTGCAATTGGATAACTGAACTTTCTGCAGTAAATGAGAATGCTGATGGAGAAACGCTAGGCAATCCTTAAGTGCTGTTGATGGATGGGAGTTGCAATCTTTAGGAAAATTGCTGTACTGTTAGATAATCTGTGGTTTGATTTAGAACACACTTTCCTATTGTGCCATGGAATACCAGAACTTATTCTATCCAACTCCATTATTGTACCCATTAACTAGCAAAATATATTTTAATGTCTTCTTTCATATTCTTGAACAATGAAGACATTTCATACTTTCAGGAACATAATTTTTTCATTATTTTTCTCTTTTATTTGTATAAATTTAAGAGGTATATATGCAGTTTGTTACATGGATATACTGTGTAGTGATGAATTCTGGGCTTTTTGGGTAACGATGGCCCAAATGGTGTACATTGTACTCATGTAAACAAACCAAAAATAAGAAATATTCATTATTTGATACCAAAATGTTTAATGCATTTCTTTAAATAAGAACACATATATTAATATAACCTAAAGTTACTTATACATCCATTTTCTGTAGTAAAATGTATTAAATGAGACTAGAAATATATTAAAATTATTGTCGTTATCAAAATTTAAATTATCGATAACTCAATATTATACTACTTTAAGGTTTTAAGTTAACTATTTGGAAATTACTAATTAAGTTCTACTTGTTTATAGTATAAGACTTTATTTTAAAAACGTTCTTACTATTCTAAGTCATGTGCAGTTTAGCTAAAAATTTCAGAATCATCTTGCCAAGTCTCAAAACTTTTGCTGGAATTTTTAATGAGATTGCATTAAATCTTTTTATGTATTTGGGAAAATAGAGCATCTTAACAAATTTGAGTCGTCCAGTCCTCTAGCATGGGATATCTTTCTGTATTAATCCATTTTCACTCTGCTAATAATGACACACCTGGCACTAGATAATTTATAAAGGAAAACAATTTAATTGTCTCCATCCCGCAGGCCTGGGGAGGCCTCAGGAAATTTGCAATCATGACAGAAGGGGAAGCAAACATGGCCTCGTTCACAGGGCAGCAAGAAGTGCTGAGCGAAAGAGTGAATAGGCCCCTTAAAAAGATCTCATGAGAACTCATTATCATGAAGCCAGCATGAGAGTAACTGCCCCCATGATTCAATTACCTCTTACCAGATGCCTCCCATGACACATGGGGATTATGGGAACTACAATTCAAGATGAGATTTGGGTGGGGATACAGCCAAATCAAATCACTTTCTAAATATTTACTCTCCAAAAATATACTTTATATTCTATATGTACTTGAGGGAGTTCCCTTTTATACCTTGTATTTTGGGATTTTTACCAAAAATGAATATCCTATTTTTTCTTTTTTTGTGACCAATTTAGATAGTTTTAGAACTTTTTATTGTTCTTTTCATAAAACCTGTAATGTAAGCATTTGAATTCATATATTTACATTTATGAATGTTTTGCACCTTTCTACAAATGTTTATACATTGAGTTTTTCTTATCATTTAGTATACTATTTGCTACTTCATCTTGTAATTCCTTCATTTACACTTTGATTGATTCGAATTGAATTGTTTAATTTTGAGATACTCAAGACTGCTAGATATTTTTAACTTCTAGTGTAATTTAATTTATGATAAAGAAATAAAGTCTGAAATATTTTACTGTTAAATCTATTGAGCTGTCTTATGATTCAGAAGTTGAATATTTTGTGGTGAACGTTTTATGTGCATTTAAAAAATAATGTAATCTGTAATTGAGTGCACTGTTAGACATACAGGGTTATTAAAATGTTCGATCACCTTACTAGATTTTTGTTCAGTTCTTTTATCAACAATTGGGATATGGTGTTAAAATTTCCATCTAAGTTTCCAGATTTGTTTATTTCTTCCTTTGTCATTATTTTCTTCACATATTTTAAAATGTTCTTATTAGGCATATGCACATTTATAATTTTTATGTATTCCGAATATATTGACCCTTTTATTGTGATTAAGTTCTCTTCCCTGTTAATTTACTTTAATGTCCATTTTTTCTGACATTAATAAAACTATTCCAGCTTTCATATGATTTATTGTTAATAACATATTTTCCCTTTCTTCAACTTTTATCCCATTTGTGACAATTATTTAGTGTATGTGCATCTTGTAGAAAGCATATAATTGAGTCTTGTTCCTTTGGTTTTCTGATAATCTCTATATTTAATAGAATATTCTGTTGACAGTAAAGTTAGTGATATAGTAATATTTATGTCTGTCATTTGGTGAAGTGCTTTCAACTTATTTTATCTGTTTTTGTTTCTTCATTTTTATGTTTATTTCTTCTATCCTCTTTCTTATTTTGTGTTATTTGAATATTTTATTTGTACTCTATTTTGATTTCTTCTTTGCTTTTTTTGCATTACTGTTTAGTCATTACTCTAAAATTACAGATTTCACTTTATTTTCAGGTAATCGTCTTACATTTAACAAATTAGTAATTCATGTTTATAATGGGGTGCAATTTATAAATCATCCTTTATAAACCACCTATACTCTATGCTCTTGTATCATGTAAATTAATTCTATAAAAGTTGTAAACCATGCAACTAATGGTTATAATTTTTTCTTTTAACAGTTAATGGCTTTTAAGAATTTAAGAGAAGCAGAGACAATCTATGTGTCTGCATAGTTTCATATCTACCCACATATTTGCTACTCATTTGTCTTCATTTTTTCATTCCTGTAGATTCAAGAGGTCACTGTCATTTTGCTTCAGCCTGAAGAACTATCACTTCTTGTAGGCCAAATGAGCCCAATACAATATATTTTAGCTTATGTGAACATTTCTATATTTCCTTTTTTATGGACAGTTTCATTAGATACAGAATTCTTGGCTACAGCTTGTTTTTCCTCCCAGTATTTTGGCTATTTTCTTCTAATGGCATCTGATCACTATTGTTACTGTTGAAAAGTCATCTAATAATATTTGCTTTTTAGTTTTCTTCTTAAGGGTCATATGTCTTTTTCCCCTGTATACACTAGAAATATCATTTTTATGTGGGACTAGAATTAGTCTCTTTTGTGTTTATCCCACTTGGAAATGTTTAGCTTTTAAAATCTAAAAGATAATGTTTTACAAAAAAAGATAATATTTTTCAACAAATTTAAGACAGTATTTCTTCAAATATTTGTTTGGTTTTTACCTGCACTTTACATACCTTTTCTTTTAAGATCTTAATTAATTTTTTTGTTTGCTTTCCCTATATTATCACAAAGGTCTATTAAGACTGTGTCCATTTTTATCAGTCCTTTTTTCTTTATCTTTTGGATGGAGGAATATTCATTAATCTATCCTAAAGTTTACAGATTCTTTTATCTGCCATCTCTAAATTACCACTGAGATGACTCAATAATTTTTTTAGTTTTAAGAGTGTACATCTAAACTAGAGTGTTTCTAATTTTTATAGTTTACTTTTTCTCTATTCATATAACCATATAATGTATCTGTAACTCCTGAAGACTGTCTTTATTTCCTTGAATATATTTTTCTTTCATTTTTCGAGCATGTTTATAATAATTACTTTGGAGTCTTTTTTTTTTTCTGTGAAATGTAGCATCTGGTCCTGTTCAGACGTAATTTCCACTGACTGCATTGTTTTCCTGAATATGGGTCATATATTCCTGTTCTATGCTTGTCTAATACTTTTTGGCTGAAAACTAGCCATCATAAATAATACTTCACTGCAAGTCTGTCTTCCATTCTGTTCTTCTGAACACTTTTTGTTGTTGTGGTTCTTACAGCTTATAGAGGCAAATATAATTTTTTTAAGCCTAAATCCCTGGCTGTCCCCTCTTTCATGTGTAATTTGAGTGTTTGTTAAGGATTTGGATAAAGTTCATGCTCAGCTATTACTGAGCACTTTCTCTGTAATTTTCTTGCTTCTGGAGACTGCATCTTAAATTTCCACCTGCTCTTCTTGTATCAGGTTTTGTCCTCTGGCACATCAATTGTGCAAGACTCCCTCTTTCAATCCCGTGAGCTGAGCACTCACTGAGGAATGCATTAGTTTAAACAACAACAAAGAATTACAAACATTACCTGGCATCCCTCTTACTGTCAGTGGCAATTTTGTGTTTGGTCCTTGCCTGATGTGTTTTTGCTATGGGCCCCTGTAACGTCCACCGTGTATGTACTTTACTGGTACGTAACGCATCTCGGCAGTTTATATTCAGATTTTATATATCATGTCTACTGAAGATCCCCTATTTTCAGAACTTTGCCCTTAAATTTTCTTTTGTATTTTTATTCATGAACAATATTCTCTGTCAACTGTTAGTGGTAAGAC
Source organism: Homo sapiens (assembly GCF_000001405.40). Lineage (NCBI taxonomy): Eukaryota > Metazoa > Chordata > Mammalia > Primates > Hominidae > Homo > Homo sapiens. The sequence goes on along the minus strand of NC_000021.9, from coordinate 22,244,116 downwards.
TGATTTTTGGCTACTCTGATCATAACGGTCAGAAAATACCATGAAGTAAGAAAGCCACAAACAGACTATTTGATTGCAGTTTTTCAAAAGATAATATCCTCTCTCTTTTGTCTGTTTTGAAGACATTCAATACTACTTTCAAATATTATTTTATTCATATTTCATAATAATTATCTGCAGGAGGGTTCAGGCAACCACTTAACTCTATTTTATTATATTTCACTACCACTGACATTGACTCCAGTTAACATTTGAAAACTCTCCATATACTCATAGGCTAAACAAAATAAATAAAATGTATTGATTTATAGTCTATGTAAACCCATTTACATTCTTTCTAGATCTAAGTCTCTTAATTCTCTATTACCTTTACCTCAGTACATTTGATTTCAAAAGAATGCGCTATAACTAATTTTGAGAATCATGTCTAGTTCCATATTTTTAAATCTCCTGCTTCAAATATAACCCTACCCTTTTCTTGAGTCCATGCTCTTGTCTGGATTTCCATTCATTTCATTTATTTTTATGTAACATGTTTTTGTTAATTTGGGCATGCATATTGTTCACAATACTTCATCATTTCACAAGAAACAGATAACTTTACTCATTTATCTTCCTGCCACTATACAAACATCAGTAGTAAAAATGATGGTCTTTGTCCTTGGACACTAGCCAGATAGAACCATCATGTATAGAAGGTAGATGAAATTTTATTCATGAACACTGGAAAGAGGAAGTCATTTACATTGGTCTTGATTTCCTCATATGGATTCATACTTTGGTTTACACCATACCAAAGATTTCTTCTTCCATCTTATTTTTTCTTGATGGTAAATATTTAGTCTTAGAATAGAAAGAAAGAAAAGATGTTTCCAATAGTTTCTATAGCCTTAACATTTTTCTCACCTTGTTATTTTCTAGAAAATCATTATTCAAATCATCTTTCTAAACACAAGTCACAAATGTAGGCTTTAGATTTAGTGGTCGGCTAAATACAATGATTGCTTGAAAAAGTTAGATTAAAAGACAAACAACAAGCAACAAAAACAACAAAATAATTCTTGATTCATGCAGAGACATCTTTATTCTGTGCTCCAGTATTTGAAGAGCAGAAACTAAGAACTAGCATTCTAAGGAGGTGAAATTACTTCTTCTCTACCACAAGATCATAAGATTTATTTAGAAGAGTCTAACTGATTTCCAGATGTCTGCATATCAAGTTGTTTGATTATATTTTCCTAACTCTATATTATATTATATTCTAGATTATTGCTCATAATTTTATATAAATAACAACAAAAATGACAACACGGATAGTATTTATAACCAGTAAAACATTCAAAATTCAGAAGTGACTTTTGAAATGTGTACTGTAAATATTTCAGCTTTACGTACATAACGTTTCTCCCTTCCCCCATAAAAATCTTATTTTAAGGGACTAGATGAAAAATTCCAAAAGGAAAACATAATCTAACAGTTAATGGTATAATATTGCTTGAAATTTAGTCATTTAGGTATGCTACCAAACTATATGAATAAACATATTTAAAATAAAAATTTTCACTAATCGAAATAGAATAGTGTATTCTGTGATAAACCACAAGATAAAAAAATCTTGATTTCAATGCTAAAGAATAATGGATAATTTAAAAAAAATCTGGTCTCTGTTTTTCCCTAGCACTAGCTGATAATAATAACAACATATGTATAAAACATTTTATAGCTTTAAGTAATATTTAGAGATTGTTTTATTTAATAAAATGTTTTTTCATAAAAAATTAATACTAAGTTAAGAATCTAAATATAGTTTGAATAGGTCTTCATTTGGGCTGAAATGACTCTATAAAATCCATATTGGCAAGTTATAAAAACACATTATTTAACGGTAATGAAGGAGTGACATACTACTTTCTACGCTATTCATTTTTTAGGATGATTTACTTCTAATGTATAATTGCAGGTATTATATTTTATAGAATTATAGAGGGACTCTCAAGATGCATTAACCTAAAATGAACTGATCAAGCTTTACCATCTCTAATTTATATGAAGCAATTCATCTTCTTGAATATTTTACAGTTGATGCTGTTCAGTATACATTATCTAATTGTGCATACCAGATGCAGAAAAGGATAAAGTGCATGCTGAAGATAGAAATAACGTATTAAACTAATAGTAATCTAATTTTTTTAACTGTAGAAAACCAGATATATCTGCATGGGAATGTCTGATTTACATCGATCATACAATAAATTTTAAAAATAATGGATGTAACTGATTCGGGTAATATAATTTCAAGGTCACTATTAAAAGAAACCATATCATTTAGAATAATTTTCAGCTTGGAAAAAAACCTTTGTGGAATAAAATTTAAAAGAAATATATCAGATTTAAATTACTTTGAAATTGCAAAGCTGTAATTTCGTGTGCTCACATCTTTTATTCTTATCCAGTTCTGACAGAGTAATCTCCTGACAATATTTTAATAGATAGATTTCTAAGCCAGTTCTGAGCAGAAAGTCAAAATCCATTTTGTCATTCTGATTCATTATGGTTAAACCCCTGGAGGCTTTAATTATCATTCTCTTTTTGCGAATAATCTGCATTTTTACCATTTGTTTTAATTTTATTTTGATATTGAAAGGGCAACTCTGGATAAGCCACTATTTTTATGAATATTGACAACTGGAAGGTATTTTCACAGTTAAATGAAACTCACGAGGCACTTTGGAAACAACGGTAAAATCTGTTTTATTGGGCATGCATTAAATACCATGCTTGGTAATTATAGATATACTCTATAATTTTTATTCTGTAACACCATAAAACTCACTAATGAAGAATATTGCTTGTATCAGAAAATATGTTGAAATTTAATTCTATAAACATTTATGTCATTTACTCTTACCATGTTTTGAATTTTAGTACACATTCCTTTCATTTTTTTTTCCTCAACTAACAAATTCAACAGCACACAACGAAATTTGAAGCGTGTTGGAAAAGGTAGATTCTTATCTTCTGTGATGAAAGATTTTTGTACTTTTTCTCTTGCTCTCCTTTTCTTTGTAAGTAACTTTGCCCAGTGGTTCATGGCAGGAACCTGAAGATTATTGTTTGCTCTTTCTTCTCACTTATGCCCAGCATCAAATTGGTCACAAAATTTCTTTGATACCATTTCTTTAGTAACTAAAAAATCCAATGCCTTTTTTTTTTTAAAAAAAATTCCTACCTCTGTCGCATTAGTACTAGCCCAATCACTTTGACACTGGACAACTACAGGAAATACTTATCTTTTCTGGACATTAGTCTGTTGCCATCTATTAAATCCTTCACATTGCTGCCAAACATTTCTAAATACTTGCCTAATTATTTCACTTCATTTATATCATCTGCAACTAGCACCATACTATATCCAGGCTAAAACCCCAAAATCCTTTGTCTATTATCAAAGGCTTATTAACATGCACCTAATTTGTGTTCCTTTATCTTCGGCAAGATTCTCAGATTCTCAGTTATGTAGCAACATCAATAGTTTTTGGTTATGACTCTTATTTGCTAGAAGAAATTGTGACTTCTCTTGTATATTTACATAGAGGAATGCCAAAAAAAATTTAATAAAATTACTTTTCTTATTGAAATATCCAGAATTAAATTTTGAAATTAATGTGTTTAGTATTTTTACCCAATTACAAACTAATGTCTCATGTATGTTTTCTTTACTTTTCTGTAACAAAGAGTTGCTTAGACTTCCACAGTTCCTTCATTAGAACTATGAAGTTCTAATCAACTTCACAGTTGATGTTGCAAGAGTCATGAATTTGAATTGATAATGTATTAGTAATGTGTAAAAGTTTGTTCTTATGCTGCTAATAAAGACATACCCAAGATGGGATAATTTGTAAAGGAGAGAAGTTTCATTGACTCACAGTTCTGCCTGGCTTGGGAGGCTTCAGGAAACTTGCAATCACGGAGAAAGGGAAAGCAAAAAAATCCTACATCACATGGCAGCAGGAAGAAGACAAATGAGTGCCCAGCATAGGAGGAAGCCCCTTATAAAACCATTAGATCTAGCGACAACTAGCTCGCTATCAAAAGAAGAAGATGGGGAATCCACCCTCATGATTCATTTATCTCCACCTGGTCTATCCCAGGACACATGGGAAATATGGGTACTATAATTCAAGATGAGATTTGGGTGAGGAGACATCCAAACCATATCATTCTGCCCCTGGCCTCTCTCAAATCTCATGTCCTCACATTTTAAAACAGAATCATGTCATTCCAACAGTCCCCCAAACTCTTACTTCATTGCAGCATTAACTCAAAAGTCCAAGTCCAAAGTCTCATCAGACAAGGCAAGTGCCTTCTGCCTATGAGCCTGTAAAAATCAGAAGCAAGTCAGTTACTTCCTAGATACAACGGAGGTTACAAGTATTTGGTAAATACACCCATTCCAAATTGGAGAAAATGGCCAAAACAAAGGGGCTAAAGGCCCCAGGCAAGTCTGAAATCCAGTGGGGCAGCCAAATCTTAAAGCTCTAAATTGATCTCCTTTGACTCCATGTCTCACATCCAGGTCATGCTGATGCAGGAGTTGTCTCCCATGGCCTTGGAAAGCTCTGCCTCATGGCTTTGCAGGGTATAGACCCCCTGCCAGCTGTTTTCACAGGCTTGCATTGAGTGTCTGCAGCTTTTACTGGCACATGGTACAAGCTGTCAGTGGATCTACCATTTTGGGGTCTGCAGGATGGTGGCCCTCTTCTCACAGCTCCACTAGGCAATGGCCCAGTGGGGGCTCTGTGTGGGGGCTATCACCCCACATTTCCCTTCCACACTGCCCTAGCAGACGTTATCCACGAGGGCTCCACTCCTGCTGTAAACTTCTTCCTAGATAGCCAGACATTTCCATACATCTTCTGAAATCTAGGTGGAGGGTCCCAAACCTCAATCCTTCACTTTTATGCACCTTCAGGCCCAATACTATGTATAAGCCACTAAGGTTTGGGGCTTGCACCCTCTGAAGCAACAGCCTGAGCAGTACGGTGGCCTTTTTACCCACAGCTGGGACACAGGGAGTCAAGTCCCAAGACTGCACAAAGCAGCAAGGCCCTGGGTCCAGCCAAGGAAACCAGTTTTCACTCCTAGTCCTCAGGGCCTGTGATAAGAGGGGCTGCCTTAAAGACCTCCTACATACCCTGGGGACATTTTCCCCATTGTCTTGGCAATTAACATTTGGCTCCTTGTTACTTATGCAAATTTCTGCAGGTGGCTTGAATTTCTCCTCAGGAAATAGGGTTTTCTTTTCTATCTCATTGTCAGGCTGCAAATTTTCCAAACTCTTATGCTCTTCTTCTCCTTTACGTATAGGTGCCAATTCCAAACCATATCCTTGTGCACACATAAAACTGACTGCTTTTTCCCAGCACTTTGGGAGGCTAAGGTGGGCAGATCACGAGGTCAGGAGATCGAGACCATCTGGCTAACATGGTGAAACCCCGTCTCTACTAAAAATACAAAAAAAATTAGGCAGGCATGGTGGCGGGCACCTATAGTCCCAGCTGCTTGGGAGGCTGAGGCAGGAGAATGGCATGAACCTGGGAGGCGGAGCTTGCAGTAAGCTGAGATCGTGCCACTGCACTCCAGCCTGGGTGACAGAATGAGACTCTGTCAAAAAAAAAAAAAAAAAAAAAAAAAAAACTGACTGCTTTTAACAGCACCCAAGTCACATCTTTAACACTTTGCTGCTTAGAAATTTCTTCCACCAGATACCCTAAATCACCTCAAGTTCAACATTTCACAGATCTCTAAGGCAGGGGCAAAATGCCACCAGTCTCTTTGCTAAATCATAGCAAGAGTCACCTTTATTCCAGTTCCCAACAAGCTCCTCATCTCTATCTGAGACTGCCTCAGCCTAGACTTCATTGTCATATCACTCTCAGCATTTTGGTCAAAGCCATTCAACAAGTCTCTAGGAAGTTTCAAACTTTCCCACATCTTCCTGTCTTCTTCTGAGCCCTCCAAAATGTTCCAATCTCTGCCTCTTACCCAGTTCCAAAGTTGCTTCCACATTTTCGGGTATCTTTACAGCAGTACCCCACTACCAAATACCAATTTACTGTATTAGTCCATTCTCATGCTGCTAATAAAGACACACCCGAGACTGGGTAACTTGTAAAGGAAAGAGGCTTAATTGACTCACAGTTCAGCATGATATGGGAGGCCTCAGGAAACTTACAATTATGATGGAAGGAGAAGCAAACACGTCCTTCTTCACATGGAGTCAGGAAGGAGAAGAATGAGTACCCAGTGAAGGGGGATGTCTGTTATAAAACCATTAGATCTTGGGAGAACTAACTCACTATGATGAGAACAGGATGGGGGAAACTACCCCCATGATTCAATGATGTCCACCTGGGCCCTCCCATGACAAATGGTGATAATGGGAACTACCATTCAAGATTAGATTTCGGTGAGGACATAGCCAAACCATATCACAGGATTCTCCAGAAAAACAGAACCAACAGGATATGTGTGTGTGTGTGTGTGTGTGTGTGTGTGTGTGTATATGTATGTGTGTGTGTGTGTTTATGATATAGATGTAGATATTCTCTCTATATATCTATATGTATAGATATATTTTCTAATAATTCTTAATAACACATAATATGTATATATATACATCTATATAGAGAGATTGATTTATTATGAGAAGTTAAATATACAACTCATATGAGAGATATTTATATACATATATATAATAGAGAAAGGTTGACTGTGTATATATATATATATATATGTAATATATATATATATAGAGAGAGAGAGAGAGAGACATTTGAGAAATCAAATCATAATAATTGATATACTATGAGAATTAGGGCTTATATGATTATGGACACTAAGTAGTTCCTTGATTTGCTGTCTGAAAGCTGGAGAACCAGGCAAGCTGATGACAAATTCAGCCCGAGTCCAAAGGCCTGAGAATTAGCAGAACGTATATCTGAGGGCAGGAGAAGATGGACAGCCCAGCTGAAACAGAGACTGAATTTGCCCTTCTTCCTTCTTTCTGTTCTAGTGAGGCCCTCAAAGCATTGGTTGATGCTCACCCACATTGGGGAGGGAAATATTTTTATCTCAGCCTACTGATTTAAATGTTATTCTCTTTGGGGTACACCCTAACAGACATCACCAGAAATAAATTTTACCACTCTTCTGAACATTTTTTAAAATTAACCATCACAAATTCACCCCTTATCAACTTGGCACCCACACACATTTCCTTAAACCATACTTAATCTCCAAATACAGACAATAACAAGGTTAGAATTCTACCTAACATGAGTCAACCACCCTGTTTATAACACAAAATGCACTAATCCTTTCCACAGAAGAGTAGCTAAGGTCCACGAATAACATTAATTTTTCTCCTTATATCTCATAGCTTAAATGCTTTGATGTAAAATTAACAATATTTAAATACTAATATAAAATCAATATATCTTATGTTACATGATAAGATAATAAGAAAACAAAGATATTTGCTCAATATGTATACATATACACGAGAACATATTCATAACAAAATAAGGAGGAAATATAACAATTTCAATTTTTCTATAACTGGTCATGTGTCATAGCTGTTATTTATAACTACCTTCTTCTACTACTCCTTCTGTATTCCCTTTTTTCTTCAGGAAGCAGGTCAGCTGGTCATGATTCATTACTTGGCTGTATGACACAAATCTTAATTCCTGAAGAGTCTGGGCCATTTTTAGTCCTGTATGGATTGGGTTGTTACAGTTTTTCACTGACCTTAAAACGGAGCATGGTAATACTAAGAGACATCCTAAGATATCTCGTGTTTTCCTTCTGTTTCCTCTTCCTTTTCTTCACTGTAGAGTGGAAGTCCAATTTTCCTTTGGTAGTTTAAATCAATTATTTCACCCAACACCGAAACACCCTCCATGTTCTGTTGACTCAGAGGCAGGAAGAGCCCAAAGCATCCTTGTTGCCATTTAACCTTCACTTCAATGGAATCATTGTTGTGTCTCTTGGTGGAGGCATTTTTCCTCTGGAATAAAGACCTCTAGGCTAGCAGAGCATAAAGTCACAGAAACAGAATGCAAACATTTTGCTAGTGGGTTAACAGGAGTAATAGGGAGTAGGGCCACTCTCATTTCCACCTCTTGATTCCTAGACTGTTGAATCCTGGCTATCAGTGAAACAGCACCATGTTTCCTGTTTCATCAGATGCTGATTCAGAGCATATATGATCCTCTGCAGAATTTTATCCCATACTTGCAAGTGCCCCAGTTATCACCTAATGAACACAATAACGTAGTCTTAAAAACGCCATATCACGATCCAATCAAGCCAACTGCTTAAGGATGGTAGGGAGCATGGTAAAACCAGTGAACTTCATGATCATGAGCCCATTTCTACACTTCTTTGGCCATGAAGTGAGTTCCTTGATAGGATGCAATGAGATACAGAATACCATGATGGTGGATAAGGTATTCTGTAAGTCCATGAAAGGTAATTTTGGCAGAAGCGTTGTACGTAGAGAGGGCAAATCCATATCCAGAGCATCTACTCCATTAAAAACAAAACACTGTCCCTTCCATGTTGAAAGCTGTTCTGTATATTTGACCTGCCATCAAGCAGCTGGCTGCCAATCCCAGGGAATGATGCCATATTGGGGGTTCAGTGCTGGTTTTGGCTGCTGATAGATTGGGAATGGAGAGGAGTCAATACAGGTTGCCATTGGTGAGTAGAAGTCTCACAGTGTCTGTTAGAATTACCATGCCTTCCCTGAGGGGAAGTGCATGATCCTGAGTGAGCCCATGCATAACTGATACCCTTGCCATCATGGCTACTTTGTTCATGGGCCCATAGGGTGACAATAGGGTGGTATGGAAAGAGGTTGAGTGGGATCTCCAGAACATATCATTCTTACCACTTGATTATTAAATTTTTCCTCTTGAGGTAATTGGTGAGAATTCACATGGGACACAAATATCTTCCCCATTCAAAAATAATCTGTCCATATACCCCATCCCCAGATTTCTTTGTCCCAAGTTTTCTGATCCTTTTCCTTCCAAGTCCTTGACTATACAGGCAAACAATTTGTATAGCCCATGAATTGGTATGTAGTCATATCTCTGGCCATTTCTTCTTTAAAGCAACCTGCACAATCAGCTGCACAACCTGATGTACTACTACACCGAGAGGATTTCTCTTCAACAATGTTCTGCAAAGATGTCCCAGAGAGGGGCTGTGGCTGCTGCAGCTGTCCACTTTCAGATACTGCTCACATGTCATGCAACACCATCCATAAACCAGGCCTGAGTCTTCTCTTCCTCTGTTAACTGATTTTAGAGAGTTCCCCATGAGGCCACAGGTGTAGGCTAGGGAGAAAAGGCAGTTTAGCAGGAATGGAGACTGTGGGCATTTGGGCACCTTTTTCATCTGCCTTGTGTCTTCAGGGTCTGTGTGGGCCCTGTGGAGCAGGTTCTCTGTGCACTGGCTACCAAACTGTTAGAGTCCAGTGAGACAGGAAGATTAATTGTGTACAGATTGGCAGCAAGGGATGAAAGAAATCTAGGATCCATTTTGAGTAAGAAAGCTGCCTGGGACAGATGGAGTCTTTACTGCACTGAGCCACCTGTACCACAGCTGAAGGGCCCTGAAAGGCAGCCACCCTAGGTTATAAACTCCAGGGGCCATGTGGATCACTGGGAAAAGCTTAGAAGGACATCCTTCTTTCCAGGTGAGACAGGAACAAAGACTGTGCTGTCTTGGACAGTTCCTCCATAACTCAAGATGTCTCACTCCCAGAAGGGACAAAAACAAGGCCCAGGATGTTTTAGGCAGTTCCTTCCTATCTCAGGATACTGCATTCTCAATACGTTCTATACTTATTCTTAAGAACTAAGAGCAAGAATGTAGGAAGAACTAGATTGGTCCAAGACCATCTGGATAATTTTCCATAGGCCTAATCATGTATATGTCATTCAATTTTCCAGTAGAGTATTGCTGTGTATGCCCAACTTCATCATTTGGTGGGTGAGATAACACCCAGTTCACAATGGACAGTTCAGGTCACAAAGTAACTTGGCGGCCTATTGCGAAGCATTCAGGTTCTACTGAAACCTAGTAACAAACCAAGAGCTGTTCCCAAAAATAAAGTAGTTACCTGTGGATGATGGTAGAGCCCTGTTTCACAATCCAAAAGACCTGTATTACAATTATATACTAAAAGCATCAGAATATAGATTCAGTATCGAAAGGCACAGAACAGAATTTACACAAAGATGGTGTCCTGACAGAAGCATGGTGTCAGGTCAGATGAATACCAGAGTGATGAAATAGACAAAATCAAGAAATAAGTTACATCCAATAAATAGAGCAAATATATCACTAGGTTTATGGTAACAAAATATCACAGACTGGGTGTTTTAAAACAAACAAACAAAAATTACTTCTCAAAGTTTTGGAGACTCAAAGTCCAAGATTCAGATGTCAGCAGATTTGGTTTCTCCTGAGGTTTCTCTCCCTAGCTTGCTGATGGCTGTTTTCTCACTGTGTCCTCACATAACATTTTTTTTCTGTGCTCAAAATCCCTGATGTCTCTTTCCCTTCTTATAAAGACATCAGTCACATTTAATTAGGCCCCATGCTTCAAATCTCATTTAACTTTATTTCTTAAAGACTCTGTCTCCAAATATAGTCATATTAGGGGTTATGACTTCAACGTATACATTTTGGAGGAAGACAATGTAGTTTGTATTGATAGGTTACAGTGGAGAGTACAGTAGTGAAGTCAATTCTAAAACATTTTCTACTAGGTGGCTGAATGATCTTAGATACTTTCCATACTTCATATCAATGTCCTCAATTGCAAAATTAGAGGCTTGAACCAGATAATTTGTCAACTCTCTTCACTTGCCAGGTTCCTTAGTCTGTTTGTGCTGCCATAACAGAATATTAAATACTGGGTAATTTATTAAGATTTATTCTCTCGCAGTTCTGGAGGCTGGCAAGATCAAGACACCAGCATCTGTTGTGGGCCTTCTTACTGTGTCCTCACGTGGCAGAAGGCGAAGGACAAAAGAGGACAAGTACTGAGTCCCCACATGACAGAAAAGCAAAAGAGAGAGAAGGCACTCTCACCAACCCTGTTCATAGCAGCATGAATCCATGCAGGAGGTCAGAACCCTCATAACCTAAGTTCATCCCATTAGCCCCCATCCTCTAACACTGTTCCTTTGGGGATTAAGTTTCCAACACATAAATGTAGGGGGACAAACTCAGATCATATCAGTAGGATTAATTGAAGTCAGTATAAGTTGAAGAATTAGAGTTTAAGCTTTTCTTTCTTTCCTTCCCTCCCTCCCTCCTTCCTTTTTTCCTTCCTTTCTTCCTTCCTTCTTTTCCTTCCTTCCTTCCTCCCTTCCTTCCCTCTTTGCTGCAGTTCTCCCTATGGTAAATGCTCAAACTTGTATAGGACTAATAACATTTTTCTTTAATTATGGACTATTATTGAGATTTTTACCTCAATGGAGAGAGTGAGTATCTAATGCCAGCAGGTTCGTGTTGACATAATAACTATGTAGTAAGCATCACCATTTAAATTAGTTGGTCATGATATTTTGTCATTGTTTAAAAATTCCACAAAAAATTTTAGATTTCACGATAGCATTACAATAAATTGTTAGAACATAAACATCTGCTGGTGCAATTGGCAATACACACAAAGTTATGTTATGTGTTTAAGATCAGGGAATTATGTTAATAAGGCAACAATCATTCAAAGAAATAGTCTCAGGACATTGAGAAATCTGAAATAATAAAATATGAGTTAATCAATGAGGTGCATATTTTGATATTCATAATGAAATAATTCTTCACTTTGGAAAATAATTCAGACTCATTTATAGTGTAAATTCCCTAATGTGATGTAATGTTTTCAGGAGGTTTATATCCACATAGTCTATTATGAACATGACTGTTTCATAAAGTGAAACACATTTCTACTATTACACATTGCCCTGTGAGGACTTGACATAATTGTTTTTTCTCTAAGTCACTTTTAAATATAAATAACCACTAAATAATTTAACTATTTTATTGATTTTAAAAATCAGAGGTTACTCAATGCACTTATTTTGGTAATAAGAGTGTTGATAAAGTAAGCCATTATAATGTTAATGACTACAGTATTTTCATAGGAGACATAAATTGATTTTATGTCTTCTTTTTTATTGGTATAATATGAATTTAGATCTTTAAAATGTTAATATAGCACCTGATATAAGTGATCATTTTTTATATAAATATTTCTATGCATTTCATTTTAAAAATTGCCTTGTATTATTTCTTCTTACTTACCTGACCCTTTGTGGTTATAGTTGAAAAGTATCTGATTTACTTCAAAAACTACAAATATGATTGCACAGATGGATGTTTTACTTCCATAAGTTTTATAATTAAACAAGTCTTTTCCAATTACATTGTTGAGAGATTAGCATAAATATTGTTAAATTCTTTTCTAAATCTTAATCACTATTCATCTGGCCAATACACATATGGCATATAGGAAAATTTGCATCACAAATATAGTGAATAGCTGATGAAGACTAATTGTAAAAGTTGGTAACTATAAATCTCAAGACAATTTTGTTTTTGGTTTGCTTTCTGTAAATTTTATTTTTCTATATCTTTTGTAAGCCGATGCCACTATTCTGAAGTATCAAAATGCTTCAAGTTGATGCCACTATTCTGAAATAGCAAAATGTTTCTGTCTTATTTTAGGAATTTTGTGATATTAATTATTTCATATGCTTACGTTGCAGACCAGTTTTATAGTCATTTTACTTCCTGTTATTGCTAAACATAATGGTAAATAGGCTTTGGAACTACATCAAGAAAATCTGGCTTTTAATTCCAGCTCCATGCTAATAACTTATGCTGTATCTTTGGGCAAGTTATACATCTGTTTGCCTTTTGTTCCCTCTCTGAAGCATTTCTTAACTAGCAGTAAATAGACATGAAACCACACACAGATGACATAACTAGTATTTGAGGTTTATCCTTCTGAATGTTTTCTTAAGGACAGACAGGTAATGTACATGCATATTTGGTTCTGCCGCCACATAGAGCCACAAATACACACATAAGATAATTTTTTTTAAGTATCATAATAGAGTTGCCATTTTGTAATCTGTTTTCTATGTAAAAGACTATCATTGAAAAATAATATTTTTGGAATTATTAAATATAAACAATAACGACTATTATTAGACATTTTAAGATATTGAAAATTTGGCATTTTTAATCATATTTTTTGTCTAATTTTATTAGAATTTTTTAAATATTTTCCTTATTTATGTTATGGTTATTAATGCTGCTGTGGCATATAAATTTTCAGATTTTTGTTTTCTGGCACTATATTGCCTTTTAATCAATGTCCTTTTTTGAAATATGCATGGTTTATTAAATTACTCACATATATTTTAGCCAAATCTATGCACATTTTCTTCAAATTTTCTGATGTTGGGTTACTGCATACAATACACTTATTTTAAAATAATATACAAAATAACCTTTAAATATTTCCTATTTTTCATTAATGATTTGGTGTTTTGCCTTGTTTGGTGTAAAAATTTAGGACTAGACTTGCTACGTTAAGTAATACTCAGTGATATAAAATTTTTTATGTGTAGTGTAAAGATTATAACAATTTAAATTTTTAGATGGGGTACAAAAAAAATGAGATACAATCTCTCTACTGTAGAGCAAGAGGCAATTTTTTGTCTCAAATTTTTAAAACATTTAGAATTAAAATAAATTCAGTAATAATGTGATATCATTAATGTACGTGATGCAATTAAATACTTTGTGATGTTCTATTATCACCTTACTGTATTTTATTATGTTCCTTTCCCCAACCTCTACTTATACAAGAATAAGTAAATCTTAGTAAGCATTTTCCTTTGGCATGCCTTAAAAGGGATTCATTGAATCCCTGTATAAAAATATGTAAAAAGTATGAACTGTTGTAATCTGGAATTACAGAGGTGTGTTTTGTTTTGTTGGTTTGTTGGTATTAGTTCAAAGCATTTATTAGGGGAAGTTACATAGAGGAAGGACTTTAGCATCCTTGTGATGCTTACTTCATTCAGAATCATACTAGATTGTACCACCTAATGCACTAGGACTGTCAAATTGCCTGTCCTCCTACAGAAAAGTTCATGAGGGATGAGCTAGAGTAGTGCCAACAGAAAAGCCTTCTAATGCTAGCTTTTTGCTCTCAGATTTCAATGCATGAGTTCAAAGCTCAGCTGGGACAGTAATTAACATAACTAAGGATACATTTTAGAAACTCTTTTGGTATAAATTTACTCACTGGTAACTGGGAAAATAACATTTAGTCCTTCACTGGGTTAGTGTGAAGCCAAAGCACTATACCTATCTATTGATATCCGTAAGTAATATATATAGAATCATTTTTATACTTTTTAATTTTTGAAATGGTAAGTCATCTTTCTTTTCTCTCTTTTCACACAAGCCCTCCCCCCAAAAATTTAATTACGATGTGTCTCAGAGCAAATTTCATTTAATTAATTGTTTTTAAACTTCATTCAGAATCTTTGAAAAGACAAGGTTTCCCTTTTTCTCCTGTCTCTTTTCTTCTTTCAGTATTAAAGCTTCACTGTTTTTCCTGTTTTCTATTTTCTGACTGCCAATTTGGTGTATGTTATGAAGACAATTTTATTGTGTCCTCAATGCCTCTTAATTTGTCCTATTTTTCTTCAATCTCTTTTCTGTCATTTTTTTTGTGCTATATTTTGTGCTATATTTTTTGTGCTATATAATATAAATCTACTACTAATATAAACTATTATATTCTAATTTTTGTAGTTATTACTTATTTTCCCTCTGTATTAATTCTTTGTTGGCTACTTTGTGGTTCAAACTATCATTTGAGATTTTAATTTATCTCTCTTTCTCATATCACTATGTAATCTCTCTATACCTATATCATTCTATATATATAATTCTACCTATTTATCACTATTATCTATCTATCTTACATTTTTTGAAGTATCATAATAGGCAGCCAGGCTCATTTCTTTTTTCCTAACAATGTTTCACAGTATAATGCTTATGGCTCTTATTTTCAATTCTGTATTTCAACTTTAATAGTCATTTAATAATAGTCACATTGTATTATGTTGGATAAATTCCATATCTGAATTTCTGAGAGGCCTAATTTATGAAATTACTCATTTATCTTTATTTCTTATATTTAACCATTTTTAAATGTTGAACTTACATTTGTTTGGCCTTAATTTGTAACTTGCTTCTTCCACGTACTTCCAGGATGTTTCCCACTGGAAATCAATTTAACTTAAGTAATTGGTTTGAGATTGTCCCCAGTCAATAGGCAGTGTGAATCTAAACCAAGTGTCCATAAGTGTACAGTTAACATTACAAATTCTTACCGAAGACAGTTTTCAACTTTGAGCTAAGACTCTGACAGGTATATTTCCTATCATTTTACTGTGAGTGTATCTCTTTAAGCCCCCTGCACTGCCCCTTCATAATATGTCTTTAGTTTCTCCTAACTTATGGGAACACAATCTTGTTTCTCATACTTTAGGCTGCTGTAAACTCTAGTATTGTCAATCCCCTTCTGGTAATGACCAGTTTTAGCTCATGCATATGACCTTCATTTTGTTCTTTCCTTGTTTTTGTCTTTGAAAATTCATTTTTGTAAGCTTAGATTAGCAATACATTTAATACATTATGTGTTGCATTTTGTTCAGCACGTTAAATGTTTTTAAGAAAAATGTTCTTTTAGAATTTATAAATTACTGTAATGCCAAAGCAGAACTTCTTTTTCCTTTAATTACTTTCCCCTGTCTAAATTCCCAATAAATGACTTTTTAAAAATTAATCATCAGTTTGGAATAATGCATGGATGGATGGATGGATGGATGGACGGATGGATGATGGATCGATAGATGGATCATATATTGCTCATCAGATAACTTTCTCTGAATAAAATAATTTAATTGTATATAATGTTAACTGTATGTCCATTATGTTAAATATAAAATTATATATACTATAAGTTTAATGTATATTATATGTGTAGTTATATATGGCATATATGTGTATTTATATTATGACATCAGGTATTAGAGTTATTCATTGATAATCACAATTTTGCTGCCAAAATAATGCTGCCTAACATTATTAAAATATATTAATTTATTGTTACAACCATGGTAAGACTATTGCTACGTTATTGCAGGAAAGAAAATGAATTTGAAATAAAATTCTCAATTTGACCAATTATATTATTTTGTGTCATTTAAGTTTTATTGTAAAACCTGACCAAGAAACAGAGTGCCCTGACCACTCTGTAACCTGGACAGCAGCATATTTCCCCCTGCAGACTTGAACCCAAGATGGGGTCTTAAACATTTCCAGGCACTGATAAAGCTTTTGAGATTGTTGCTTGAAGCTCATAGAAATTATCCATGACCCCTGAGCCAAATTCCTGCAACCCTCATATAACCTAGCTAGCCCATTAGGGACATACCTGGATGGAACATCTCTTTTCTCACTCTTCATCACAAGGAGGCTAAAGACCCCTGTCTATCTAAGTTCCCCTAATATATGCTTTGGACTGAATAAAAACAAAAAAAAATAAAAAAGTTCTGTAATTCCAGGTGACAAGAGTTTTTTATGCAGGGATTCAATAAACTTTAAAAATTGACCTGTATTAGTTTTTATTGGTATAATTATTACACATGAAGGCAACTGAAGAATTGTTATCCCTAAACTTAGAGTAAGGAATTGAAAGTACGTAAATCCTAAACAGGAGAATTAGGACTCAACCTATGTCTTCTTACTTCCTTCCAGCATTATTTCAGTTCTAATTTCTCTATTTAATATGACTGAATTATAAAGGGCCCTATTCTTAATAGATCCATACTGATGTTTTTGCATTATGTATAGTGGTCAAGTAGCCATTAAACCAGAGAGTGTGGGTGTTTTCAATAGAAAGGACTTCCTTTCACTTTAACAATACAGCCTTATTCAAGGAACTGTGACATTTTTCTGATAAGGAATATTTCATCAAAACAGTAATGCTCTCTGTTTCAATGTACTTTGCTTGAGAAGGTTTTGTCCACAGTTTATCTATTCTACAGACATGTAGGTCTTATAAAAATAAATTATTTCAACATTAAGGTTTCTGAGTGCTTAATATTTCTTTTGTCCTCTTTAACTATGTCAGTTGTCTCAATAATTAAGTGTAAAAGACTTATTGAAAATTTGGCTTCAGTTTTCTTTATTTCAAGCCTTGTAAAATTCCTGTAAGGGTATTTCAGGCAGCTGGTCATAGTTTAACAATCTTTGACACTGAGATAGCAACAAAATCTCCTAGGAAAAAACTTCACAAAAGAATATCCATCCTATTTAAGACAGAAACCAATGGAAATAAGCCAAATTCTAAAATTTAACCCTCCAGTGGACACAGACATCAGCCCTCACCCTAGCTATCCCCATAACTACTAGCCTGCAACATCCAGATATTTAAAAAAAAACTGCTAAGAACATGTACACTATTGAACACAGTCTGATTACTAAGATTGGAAAATTTAAGCAGCAAACTTGGTATCAGCACTAGTAGCAGTGTATTTCTTTTTTGTTTTCCCAGTTCATTATTGTAGTGTATTTCATATTCTCACTGTCCTGATCTGATTAGGTCATCTGGTGTCAGGTTGAATAGAAGTAAGGAGGGAAGACACCATTTTCTTTTTAAAAAATCTCAAGTGAAGCTTTCCTTGTTCCATCAACTAAGATGTTTACATTTTTTTTGAACCTTCTTCACTCAAGAAATTAAAACATGAACCTCTGACTTAATAAAGTTTTTTTGTCTTATCTTGACCTTCCTTTTCAAAAGAGCAAGTAATTTAAAAGACTTTAACTCCATTTCTACCCTTCCAATTTATAGTCATGTCAGATGTTTTAATTCAATATATTTGTATTTTAAATCCCCTAAAACGTTTCTGTTTGACACCATGAATATTCATTTATATTAACCTACATATTTACTTGATTTTCAAACCTGCTCATGTATTTATTCAATCTTCATAACTTGTTGCAATTCAAGGTCCTATCTAGAATTACTTTACTTTTATTAGTGTAACAGGCTTGACATTTCTTGCATTATTTATCTTTTGGTAGTGATTATAATTTGGTGGTTCATCTAAAAAATCTTTATAAGTTCTAATTCTTGAAAGAAATTTTTTATTACTAGATGGAGATGTTTAAAGAAAAACTTCAGCCTAATTAAATTTAAAGTTTAATTAAGCAATGAACGATTTACGAATTGTGCAGCCCCCAGAATCACAGCAGATTCAGAGAGACTCCAGCAAAGCCATGTGGTGGAAGACTTCTAGACAAAGAAAAAAAAGAGAGAGAGAGAAGCGAGTACAGAAATCAGAAGTGAGATATAGAAACAACTGGATTGGTTACAGCTCAGTGTGTGCCTTATTTGAACACAGTTCAAACAGTTGGCTACATTTCACTGGCCAAAACTCAGTGATTGGCACAGGTGCAGGCTAGGGTCAGTTTACACTTCCACTTGTTATATTTCACAATGTACAGAAAAACCTTCAGGCTGAACTTAAATATGTAAAGAGGCAGCTTTGGGCTAAACTTGTCTTGGAATACAAGTTACTGTCTTGTCTTTCCATACATGGAACTAACTGACATAGAGCTTTTTTTTTCTGCTTCTACTGAAAACTCAGTTATCAGAATATTACCTCATTGGAGCTGATCTAGCTTTCCTCCTACCCTAACCCAGACTTTTAAAACGATGTATCTGTCTTTGATTTTCTGCAGTGTTATTATAAATGATTTGGGTATCATTTACTTTTATTCATAAAATTTGAGCTCTTCTTAAATTGGTTGATTATCCCAAGACTTGGTAGGAGAAAATAAAATTCTCTCCAAAACAAATGTACCGATAAAAAAGAGAAAAGTTTAGGTTTTCCAAGCAATAGCTGATAAACTATAATAATGTATCATACAGACAGCACCTGATAATTTTTTAACTAAAATTTTGAGGGTATATTTCTGTCTTTAACTTGTTCTGCTCATTATGACTTACATAGTTTTATCTTCTTATTTGCTGTTTGTCTTAGATTATGCTCACCATGTTGTATTAAAATAATTACTTATGTAAGTAATTTGATACCTAAGATGTCATTTTCTTACTCCACAGATTTTCCTTTTCTCCTACTAGACACTGTGGATGTTAGCAGTCCAGAATCAAGGGCCATTGTTTCTAGGTGCTCTAGAGGACGTGCTGAGAAAAAGTCAACACTATTATGTCTAGTGCTGTTGTGTTCTGCATCTGGAGCTGGGTGGGTTTCATCAGGGACTGAATGGCTGGCAATCACTGGAATTCAACCTTAATTCATTAAGCTCTTCAAGTTCGCTGCATGTGGAGCTCTTTATTTACGTTTATAAGAATAAAATTATTTAAAGAGATTTAGCTCATGTGGGTCTAGCCCAGAAGAGAGATGATTAGCCAGGGTTTCCAAGTATGGCTGACACCGAATTTCAGTTCCTGTTTTACCATCTCCAAATTAGTCCATTACAGCTTAGTTCAGTCTCTCAGATACCTACACCAGATCACCAAATACATCACGGTGGAAACAATTCAGAGTCACCTGCCTTCTGTTGTTTCCTCAGTTTTTCTAGATTATTCCTCACTTTGATTTTTTAAAATATTGTTTTGATCTTTCTGTTTTTCCTTCAGCAGAACAATCAATCCAAATGAATTAAACTACTATTAACGTAGCTTAAAAGTTTCATATATTATTATTATTTCCATTTCAATTGAGACGATCAAATGTTTCTCTTTGCAGAAATAATGTGGTAAATTAATCGATATTTCTAATATTAAATCAACCTCACATTCCTGTAATAAATCTAACTTTTTTGTTTGTATTTTCACACACACACACATACTTATATCTACTTGATTTGCTAACGTTTTATATAAAATATTTTTATTTATGGTCTTCAGGGAAATTGTTTTTAAGTTTTCAATTACTACTGTGCCTCTGTTAGGTTTTATTATAACAGTTATACTGGCTTCATTTTAATTTGTAGGGTATTTCTTCTTTATTTAAGTTACCCATAAAAATTTAGTTCAAACAATTTTTTCGGTTTAATATAAATCTTTGGCATATGTGTCATCAACAAATTAATTAGTTAGCTCTGCTTGATAGCCTAAGCCATGAGAAACTATAAATCATGCTGAGAAGCACGGTACATTAGTTTTAAGAAAGAATATAGTGAGGCTTTTGCGACTCCCAAGCATAAATAGTGATATCTTTAATCACACTTCACAGGAATGTGCTTTTTTACAGTAATCAGTGCTGACTGGGAACCACCTCAACTCAGAAAGAAACTTTCATTTCTGCATTCTTTCCACTTTCACTCTTCGATAAGCATGTAACACTCTTTGAAGTGTCAGACTAGTTTCATTCCTTTGCTGCATTTTAACAAGTATAGATAAGTAAAAAAACATTTCAACAGCACAGACAAGATGTTTGACAGATACATCCTTTGAACAGCATTCACTAAACAATCTCATCAAGAACATTAGTCTATATCTAGTACAATCTTATGTATTCCACACTGAGGGAGAATTAGAGATTACATTTCAGTTCTTAACATTTTCCTTTCTTGATGAAGCCATCTGGAACTAGGCTTTTCCTTCTGGGAAGAATTTTGAGAACTAATTCTATAACCTTGTTATTGGTTATAGGTCAAGTTTTTTATTTCTCCTTATTCTACTTTAACTTTATTCACTTTAATTGTTAATATTACTGCTACTGTTTCTATTTTTAGTAGATTATTTGTGCTAAATACTCTGAACAACATGTAAAGCATGAAAATTTATATGAAATTGAGAGTATGTCTAATTTATAAAGGTTTAATATCAATTATCTCCTCAATATAACTTTAAAATATAATAATTACCAGTAACAAACATGTAGAAGATAAAAACATAATATTTAAAATTGGCACCCCAAAAATGAAATATTAGATATAAATCTAACAAAATTTTTACAGACTCTATATGAAGAAAAACCACAAGATTCAGATTAAAAAAATCAAATAACTAAATTATCCATGTTTATGGATAGAAAGATAATATTGTCAACATATCAGTTCTTTGCAATTGATCTATGGACTCAATGAAATCCCATTTAAAATTCTAGCAAGTTATTTTATGGATATCATTAAAGTTTCTAAAGATTCTAAAGTTTATACGGAGAGGCAAAAGATCCAAAACAGCAAAATGTTGAAGGAGAATAACAAAGTCAGAGGACTGACACTGCTCAATCTCAAGTCTTGCTATAAAGCTACAGTAATATAGTGTGCCATTGGCAAAGAATTAAAAAAAACAGATCAATAGATCAGAATAGAGAGCTCAGAAATAGGTCCACATAAATATAGTCCACTTGTCTTTGAAAAAAGAGCAAAGGCAATAGAAAGAAGCAACAATAATTTTTTCAACGAGTGGTGCTGGAACAACTGGACATCTACATACAAAAATATAAACGTAGATAGATCTTACACCCCTCAGAAAAGTTACATAAAACTGGATTACAGACCTAACGAAAATGCAAAACTACAAAACTTCTAGAAGATAACCCAGGAAAAAACCTAAATGATCTTGGGTATAATGATGACTTTGTAGAAACAATACTAAAGATGGAATACATGAAAAAAAACTTGATAAACTGGACTTTATTAAAATTAAAATGTAAAAATGGTAATTCAAACTTGAACAATCGAGTTAATTTCTATTAAATAACTGATATTTTGATATAATGTATAGTATGTAAATTATTCTTATATTGGTATTGAGTCTATCAGTTTTATTTATGTTGAATTTGATATTGGATATGCTCTTGTTCTTGTGCTTGCCCTTTTGCTTGTTCTCTCTCTCTGTCTTGTTCTTTTCTCTCTCTTTTTTTTCTCTCTAATAGGCTACATGAATTTTTTCAGCTATAAAAGGCAGTAGTTACTTATGTAGTAATATCTACTCTATTTTCACCCTTTCCTTTATTAACAGCATAAAGCATAGCTAGTTTTCTCATGCATATTTGTCCATGTAAAAATAAAGTATCTCCATAAAAAGTAATTTCATCTATTTAATTTATCTGTTTAATTCGGAGCACAAGGTGATGGATACAAGAATGGCAACTCTCATACTCTCATATTTTTTTTCTTTAGTATCATCTATTTGAGATTGGTTCTGAGTAGAAAACAAAACTATGTAGGTTTCATTTGCAAAAAAATGTTCAAACTCACAAGGAATGTAAACCAATATGAGGAATTATATTACAACCGAAGTATATTATAAAAAGAGTACCAACAAAGAAACGTAGGACTTCAGAAGAGTTTATTTCTGTTGGTAAAAATCAGAAGAATTGGCTGTATAAGACTGAAAGATGGGATATTATTTCAGTGGAAATGTATGCAGTTGATTAATGTCCTGGCACAGTAACAAAAGTGAGGAAAGGCTGAATAATGCAACAGTATAAGTGATGTGCAAGAAATGATATGCCATTTGAAAGTGTAGTTGGGGAAAAAGACACAGGATGGTAGAGATTAACCTGTTTAGATTTGACTTAGTAGACTGCAGAGTTGACTACTTGTGATCAAGTGAGTAAAGCATTCATTTATTTCATCTAAAAAAGTTTATCTGGGTAAGAAAGATGGAAAGAGAAACAAGACAACGAGAGGCAACTAGTTAAGAGGCTATGCAATAGCTCAAGGATGAGCTAGTATACATTTCAACCACATTTATATTAACTTGAAAAATCTTGTGTGTAGCACTGACAAAACAAATGTTTTGAAAGCTAGTAGACTAAATTTAGAATGCAGTCGCTCTGAGTTATTTTCTGTTTTAAAGTAGAGGTCAAACACAGTAGCAGATAAACAGAACACAGCCTGCAGTTGTTTTGTTTGGTTTGCATACCGCTACAAAATTGAATATTCCAAAATAAAGATGGTCTTTCTTGTTCATTAACCCACCAACTTTCTATTGCTCTATTTGTGCACAGCTTGTGTATTTATTTACTCAGTGAGGTTTACTCTGATTAATTAAAAGTGGAACCATTCTCAACTATGTCCTGTGAACCCCTTATAACTTGCTCTACATTTTATTGTACTATGTTATTATAACTTTTTCTATATTTTAATAATTATTGTATCAGAAGAAATTAAAAGTATTTTATTGAGCTCTAGGTATATCTTGTTCAATTTTAATTTATTTTTCTTAGCACTTATCACATAATAAATACGATAGTATGATTATAAAAAATTGTATTGCCTGTATTCTCTTTCCCCAACATATCCCTAGGAGAAAAATTTCACAACGGGAAGACTCTTTGCTTTGGTCACTGGTATATAGTACTCAGAATTTTGCCTGCCACTGAAGAACTCTGACAAACATTCATTGAATATGGCTCATATAATAATAACAGCTAATATTAATATGGTGTTTATTATTTTCCATGTATAATTTAATAATATTATATATAGGCTTATACCATATGAGTCAAAACCCTGTGATGTCAGTACTAATAGTGACCTCACAGTTATTATTTATAGGGCTGGGCTCAAAGTCTATTAAATTTCTTACCGCTGATTAAAATGTTTATTTCTCACCTCTGATTAAAATGTTTATCATATTTGCTGTTTCAAATTTGAGACAAAATATTAGAAAAGTGAATGGCATTTTTCATGCTACACAAGACATTTCAGGATTTAGTAGACTTGCTATCTTCTTGCAAACAAACTTACTGTCAAATATTAAGTGTAATGGGTGGATAGAGGTGGTACCTTGTATTTTCTCTCATCTTATTTTGGCAAGACATAATATTTCCACTGTTAATTCACATTAACTATTTTTAACTACTTATAAATTATACCAAATACGGATAGGTAGTAAGAGAAATGAAATCATTTCCCTGTTTCTTAGCAACATATTATATACATTACATACAGGAAAAAAATTAAACACGTATTCTCAATTTTCAATTTGTATGGGGATGTTTTGTCTCCATTAAATTT
The DNA here is from genome assembly GCF_000001405.40 of Homo sapiens. Classification (NCBI taxonomy): domain Eukaryota; kingdom Metazoa; phylum Chordata; class Mammalia; order Primates; family Hominidae; genus Homo; species Homo sapiens. Next base: position 22,219,930 of record NC_000021.9, on the reverse strand, counting down.
CCATTTAAAGAGTATACAGAGATACAAGTAGGATTATTTAGCATTCATTTTTTGTTTGAGGGACTTTTGGCTGTATATTTATTCAGGAGGGAATTAGGTCAATGCACGTGCCCTAGGCTATATTTTGGCTGTGTATTCATCAGAGTAGCAGAGGTGCAAATTTTTTTTTTATTTTATATTTTGCAGAAGTTCGCGTGAAACTATCTAAGATCTTTACAGTCTACTGGTACTGCAAATGACTCTAGAGAAATCCAAGGCCAATCTGATTTTTTTTTCAATTGCTTGGATGAACAATGGGTTTGTTATCAAGATGAGGACATACGGAATTTAAAAAACATAATTTATATTAATTTTAGACATTTATGTACTAAAACTTTTCCATGAAATTTTGATATATTGTTATCATGCTACTTATAAATTACTTAGATTTGTTTTACCTAAGAAGAGGTGCAAATATTTTTTCATTATTTTCAAAGTTCCATAAAAAGTAATAAGATTTGTTTCTGTTTTTACAATTATGGATCAATTATTTTTGATATAAGATGCTATCTTTCAATTTATAAACTCATATTTTATTTTCATCTTTCTTGTGCCTTATCTACTCTGTGTTCTTGCATGTCTACTTTATAATCTTCCTTTATTAAAGTGCTTTATTCTTCCTTTTAAATTTCTTCTATAATATTTAGTTACAATTCTCTTTTGCCAAAAGAACATTAAGTGAAGAGTTTTTTAAAATGTTATCTTTCTTTTAACCTCTTTTAATATTATAGTGTATGTTTCTCAGGTGGTCTAATTCTTGTTAATAATAAGTTATTATTTTATGATGATTCCTCAAGAATGTAAACACAGAATTATGTATAATCCATCAATTCCTCTTCTGGGTATATACTCAAAAGGATTGAAAGCAGAAAATCAAAGAGATATTTGTACAGAAATATTCATAGCAGCATTATTCACACTAGCCAAAAGGTAGAAACAACCATAATGTTAGTTGAAAGATAAATGGAAACAAAACCTGGTACACACATAAAATGAAATATTATTCTGCCTTTAAAACAAAGAAAATTCTGCTATGTCACAACATGAATGAATCTTGAAGAAATTGTGTTTAGTAAAATAAGTCAGACACAAAATGACAAATATTATTATGATTCCATTTATATAAGCAACCTAGAGTAGTCAAATTCGTAGAGAAAGAACTTGCAGAGATGGGGATATGGGACATTTTTGTTTAATGAGAATAGAGTTTCAATTGGAAAGATAAAAATGTTCTGGAGATGGATAATGATAATAGTTGCACAACAATGTAAGTGTATGTAATGCTACAAAACTGTACTCTTAAACATGATTAAAACGGCAAATTTTAAGTTTCATACATTTTATCACAGTAAAATAATTATTTATTATTAAATAACTGATATCCTGGACAAGATATTTCTCAATGAAAAAGTGATGATGGAGAAGACTACCGAGTTTTCCAGGGTAATTGATTTACCTTAATTAATTTGTATTCTAGAACAGTTTCACATTTGTAGAAATTCTTGCAAAGCTAGTTCAATGAGGTCTCATATACCCCATTCCGGTTTCCCCTCTTATTAACGTTTTATATTAGCACGATACATTCACTATGCTGTTGATACATTGTGATGAACCAAAGTACATGCTTTTCTTAAATTTCCTCAGTTTTACCTAATGGTAATTCTCTGCCCAGTATTCTTTCAAGGATATCAAATTACATTTAAGTCATCATGTTTCCTTAGACATTTCTAGACCGTGGCAATTTCTCATATTTTCCTTGTTTTATGTGACTTGAGAGTTTTGACGAACACTGGTTAGATATTTTGTAGACTGTTCATCAATTAAGGTTCCTCTGATATTTTTCTCAATATTAGATTGGGATTAGGAGTTCTTGGGTGGAAGACCACACAGGTAAAATGCCATTCTGATTACACCATAATAAGGTGCATGCTATCAGGATGACATCACTGATGATGTTAACCTTGGTCAACTGGCTGAAATGGTGTTTGTCAGGCTTCTTCACTGTGTAGTTATTTTCTTGAAGCTCCACTTTTCTACAGTACTCCTTGAAAGAGACTGGGACACAATTATGGGGTAGAAAATTATGGTCCACATATTTAAGGGTGGCGTATGTAAGTACATTTCTTGAAATTCATCTTGTGTAACTGTAATTTTGTACCCTTTGACCAACATCTTCCCATGTCCTCTTTCCCTGCACTACTAGTAATACTTTTTAATATTTTAAATTTTTATATAATTGTCTATATTCCATCCTGAGATCCTTCAAGGATATTTTGAGTCAATATTTTAAAATATTTCTTACATTTTAAATTTATTTTTCCCTATTCTACCAGTTATCAATCCAATCATTTGTGTATTTTTAGCTCATTCTTTTAGCAGTATTGGTAAACTTGCTTAATTTATTATTTTTAAGTCCCTCTTCAAATTTCCGCAATTAGTTCGATTATTAGTTCAAACTATTTTTCTGTCTTGTTTGTTTCTTATTAAGGTACCTACAACCGTCATGTTGTTGACCTCTCCAACAACTCACTTTGCACTTAATAGCACTATTTTCTAAATAATTTGATCTGTTACATAGCTTTAAGAACAAGAATATTTAAATGGAATTGAGAGACAGCATCCTAACACTGAGATTATGGTTTTAATTCTGTTTTACTTCTTGGCCATTAAAAAATTGTGCCTTTTTCTAAGGCTAGAAACAGTATAGTAGGCTAAAAAATGCCTCCCCCAGGTTGGTCTTAAACCATACAGCGTGAGACTGCATTATCTTACTTAGCAAAAGGAACTCTGTGCCTGTCATTATATTAAGGACCTTGAATGGGGAGTTTACCCTGGATTATCCCAATGGGCCCAATACAGGCACAAGTGTTCTTGACAAAAGTAGACAAAACTATCAGAGTGTCAAAGAGGAGAGGTGATATAAAGATAAAGAGTGGAGTTATGAGTGATGTGCTTTGAAGATAAAACAAGGAGTCACAGAACAAAGAATGCAGGTAGCTTTTAGAAGCTGAAAAATGTAAGAAAATGGAATCTTCTCTAGAGTCTCCAGAGAAAATGCAGTTCTGAGGACACCCTGATTTGAACCCATAAGATACATTTCAGATTTCTGTCTTCTAGAACCATAAGATAATAATTTTTTGTTGTTTTAAGCCATTAAGTTTGTAATCATTTATTAACAGCAGTAACAGGAAAACAATATAGATGCCATTATTTAATTTTCCATGTTTTCTTATGTAGCATAATAAAAATTGGATCTAATATTTTATTTCTTTTTTGAAATACAATGTTATATTAAAGAAGACAGTGCAAAGGTATTTAAATGTTATTCCTTGTACTTAAATGTAAAACCATATATATACACATATACGTATATATACATATATGCATACATATATACACACATATATGTATGTATATATTTAATTTCTTTTGGTAAGTCACTGAGATCCAATTTCCAGATGCTTTCTAACAAAAATATGTCACAAAATTAGTAAATGCCTGGAAGAGTCTTGGAAGAGGATCTTCAAAATGTCTTCTTTAATAATGACATTAGCTCTTAAAATAATTAGAGGGGAGCTAAACATGGGAAGATTCAAAAAACATTGTATTTTTTAAAAATCTGACCTCTTTAAATTTGGAAAAATAATACATATGGACTAGGCATTGGAGAACATAATGATTCAATACATTTATAACATGATTTTCTACTTGCAATTCTTCCAAATTGTAAATTAATGTTTTACTCTATGAATTAACATTTCAACAGAAAATGTGCTCAAATATATTTTGTTTAACTCAACTACAAATGTTTGAATTTGTTTAGATGAGATATGCTACCTAGGAAAGAGTCATCTAGCATGAGCAAGTTGACAGTAGTAGAAGATTTTGTAAATCTTTGCCAATTTATCTAAATGTTCATATTACAGCAAAGGTCTCCACTGACAAATTCCTTTTCAATTCCTATTTTGCCACATGGCTATATTCTCATTCTTACAATAAAGTGAGATATTTATTTTCATGAATCAGTATTATATATATATGTGTGTGTGTGTGTGTGTGTCTGTGTGTGTGTGTAATCATTTGAATGCAATTGACTGTCATCTCATGTTTGATCTTAACCTATAATTTTTGTGAGTATCTATATGGTAGTATATTGTCCATAGTAACTTACTCACAAGAACTGCATGAAATATTTAACATTCTTAAATTTGTCCTTCTGGACAAATTTCTGGCAACATTTATATCATATCCTCTATTAGATAATGTTATCTGACTTTGGAAAATGGAACCAGCTTTCAGGAAGCTCTAGTGAAAGAGTGAGCAGTTATTAAAAGAATATAATAGTTTTTCATGGGTCCAAATTGAGAAATTAATAATCATTAAAAAGAATATATGTACAGTGATGTGTCACTTAAAAACAGAATAGACTCTGAGAAGTGCGTCATTAGGTGACTTTTATCATTGCGCTAATATCACAGAGTATCCTTACACAAACTTAGATGGTAGGGTCTACAACAATCCAAGCTATGTGTTATACTCTTTTTCTCCTAGGTTACAAATTTGTATGGCATGTGATTCTACTAAATACTATAGGCAGTTGTAACACAATGATAAGTATTTGTGTATCTAAACATATATAAACATAGAGAATGCACAGTAAAAATAGAGTATTATAATCTTATAAAACCGTTATTGTATACAAGGTCCACTGCTGACTGAAATGTTATGTGGCAGATGACTGTATATATATTGCAAATATACAACTAATAACATAAAGCATAAGGGCTTATCAAAGCTTTTTTTGAAACACATTCACTGATCAGGTCACTTAAAAATAGCCATCTAAAATTCCATGTATCTTTTCTAAAAATTCTCATTCTCAAGTAAAAAATTCCCATTGGCCCATCATGGACATTATGGAAAACTGGCAAATACGCCTCTTCTGTTACTATGTGTGTATTGGGGTTGGGTGAAGGGTGTGGTGTCCTCACTGACTGTCTCAAACAAATCACGTGGAAATGGAAAGAAAAAAACATAAAAGAATAGTTCTAAAAGAAAAAACGCATCATGATGTATCTACTAGGTATACATTCAAGATTTGCTTGATTCTTAAAACTGAGCTCTCTGGTAACTCACCTAAATAGGTGTTGAATTTAATTCAAACTTGATAGTGTTCTTTTATTTAATTTCCCATTCTTTATCCTTTGGTAATCTTGTTTTTTTGCTTTCTAATATCTTGAGCTGCTACATGGAAAAAACCAATGAAAGTGAACTATTCCCCTTAAACCTCATTTTATGAAATCTCATCTTTTCTGCTTGCCAGAGATGAGTTTTCCCTGTAGATATTTCTTCATTCTCGGCCACTAGACTGATGTTATTTTTCCCCAGGTAATTTTGCTACCTAATTTATGTTACATATAGGTAAAACTATCTTATAGATGATTGAATAATAAATTACTATAATCCCATTCTTTAGCATCTCTTCCTACTAGGTCTATTCAGCCACTTCATCATATTAGCTTCTTTTAAGGACAGGGAACTTAGAGGAAAATTACTGTAGAAAGTGATTGCATGTAATTTTCTTCTTGGGATTCTTTGCTAAATTGAAATTTAGATGTATATGCTACAAATTCTGTATTCATGGTCCTACTGCACCCACCCTATTTTTACCTAAGGAAATTAGTTTCCCTTAGTTTTACCTGCCAACTACTTCTGGAAGGTACCAATATTCCAGTTTATGCATACTGAAAACAAGTCTTAGGCATCCTTTAATTCAGAGCCCTTCTTCTTCTTCTCCCTGCTTCCTGTCTCTGGCCCTTGTGAGACTGATAGGTTGCAATGCCCAAAGAGTGCTGTAGTGAATATGCACTTTTATATACATTTATACTTCACCCCAACAATAGACAAAAAAAATCCCTAATTGCTTTCACAAATACTAAAATTACTTCATTTAATAAGCCGGTATTCAAAACTTTCCCTTAGATGAAAGAACTTACCGTGAAAAATAATATTCAAGTACTGCACAGTCTGAAACACGTCACAAGTCCCTTTGCAGGCCACCTCTTGGCAGGCTTTTAGCATTTCTCCACTTGGCAAAGGAGAACTCACCTACCCCTCATGCCACCATCACTAAGAGTCTCAGGTCTTTCTGTCCATCCCTTAGAATGTGGGCCAAACTAACTGCACACCAGCAGAAGGAAGAAGGTCTTTTTTTTTTTTTTCCTCTCTCCAGCCTATGGTCTCCTTCCCACAGCAGGATTTTAGGTAATAAATTTTCATATTCCACAAAAGACTATCTGCTGGGGAATCCATACCTTCAGGGAAACAACCCACATTTACCCAAAGAAATGTAGTCAATTCTGATGACCCCAAAAAGGACAATCATCAGTAAGGCATTTCTCAAACTCTGGGCTATTTAAAATACCTCAGGTGAGATTTAACATATAATCTTACTTATCAAAAGTAAATATATATTTTATATAATCTTTCCTTCAGATTAAATAAAAATCCTCTTTGCTCTATTTTCAATACTTCCTATTCAAGCTTGGCATATGCACAGAGTTGTACAAATGCATTCATACAACAGAAACATAGTACAGTTTATAAGAATATGATAATATAAATCAACATTGAGAAATAATACATGGTTTCTAAAAGAATATTATGTGCAGAAGCAGAGTTCTGCTACAAGTTCACCAAACAGAAAAATCAGCTTATAAGTTTAAATATTTGCATTTTCATTATTTTATTTTACTCAAACTTTTCAAAAGAGCAATGTGTACTATATCTGTCACAATTGTATCTGAAAAGCTAAAGCATGTAGCTAAGTTTTAGAATGACAGTAACAAATATAGTTTTAATTCCTCTTTGGATTCTCATCAAATATTTGGCATTGAGAATTAAACAATTTATTTTTCTATGAACTAAAAATCTAAAAATGAAGAGAATAAGGCAATAAGTCAAAATTTCCCAACAAGTAGCAACTTATACACAATCTAATATAAATACTACATTAAATATTGGAATACAAAAATATCTTAGAAGTCTAGGAATTCTTGTGGAACCTTCTTAGACATACCTTAAGTTCATTTTAGGATTCAGACACATCTGCAGAGGATTGTTCTTTAGTCTCCTTTCAGGGAGAACTCAAGAGTTTTCTAGGACAAAGGAAAATAGAGTGAAGAAATTTTGAAGAGACCATAATGGCTGCCTCTTGCCAGTTTGGATTCTTTCATTATGCCTAAGTTTTAAGGACAAACACTGCAAATAAAAGTCAAACCAAAGGAGATGTTTTATTAATGACATATAACAAAGGTTATTAGATTAGGAGGTTGTTAAGGTTTTAATCTATTGAAATTTGCATGATTGAGGTGAGCTGTTCCTAAGAGGAATGCACAGCTAACGTGAAGTGTCAGCAGTGGCAATGGTGGCTTCATCAATTTTCAAGACATACATACATACAGTGATGGGGAGACTAGACAAGTATAACACCTTAGAAATTTGCACAGTACACAGGCTCTGGCCACATATCAATTGGACCCACATCCTGGATCTACCACTTATTATCAGTATGATCTTGAATAAGCCCAAATTTTTTTAACTATACAGTGATGATAAATTATTGATAGAACCTGTATCTCAGAGCTGTTGTTAGGAGATTCTGGCAAAGTATTGAACACAGTGACAGATACACAGTAAGTATAGTAAGTTCTCTGCAAATGTTATGTCATTAATTTTTCTCCATTTCCACCAGTGCCCTTCGACAAGCCAGTGTCATTGTGACAGTGACTAGTGTTGTCAACATTGGTGCTGCGTCAAATGATAAACATCTGTTCAAAATTTAATGACTTTGAGCCTTCACCAATATGCCTTCACAGAGTTCTGGGTTGCAGATATAATTGTGGCAACTGAGATCACAATAAGAAGGGCAGAGAAAGAAACAAGTAAAAGTAAAGGGAGTAATTCTTCAATTCAAACATCCTGCCTCCTTTAGAGGTCTAATCCAATGTCTGCTATATTTGTGTTTTTATTTGTTTATTTTCAAAACTAATATTTTGCCCGAAGACACATATACTATTTTTGCCTCTGTTCCTTAGTTTATCATTTTACTCTATTTGAGATTAAGAAGTTTGTTTTTTAATTTATGGATACATAATAGTTGTATATATTTATAAAATACATATGATATTTTGGTGGAAGTATAAAAAGTGTAATGATCAAATCAGGGTAATTGGGATATCTGTCACTTTAAATATTTATCTTTTTGGGGGGAAACATCTCAAATCCTCTCTTAGATATTATGAAATATACAATAAATTATTGTTAACTGGTTGCTCAATTGTGCTAACATAGATGGTTACCCCAATTTCCATATAAATTTAGGATGTGTAATAAAAGATGCCATTAAGTCCTCTTACTTGAGAACTAGTTACTGCTTATCTTGAGAAAATGTACGTAATGGGGCCTATCTGCTTAAGTATATAAAACAGTAAAATTGCCAACAAAAAGTACAGACAAGATGAATTCACAGCTGAATTCTATTAGACATTTGAAAAATAATTGGTACTAATCTTGTTGACACTATTCTACAAGACAGAGAAAGACGAAATCTTTCTGCTATCATTCTATGAAGTTGGTATTACCCTAATACCAAAACCAGGAAAAGACAAAACAAAAAAAAAGAATACCAATATCCTTGATGAATACAGATGGAAAAATCTTTAAGAAAATACTAGCTAACTGAATCCAACAGCATATCGAAAAGATAATCCACCATTATCAAGTGGGTTTCACACCAGGGAGGCCATAGTCACCAAAACAGCATGGTACTGGTATAAAAATAGGCACATAGACATAGATCAACGGAACAGAATAGAGAACCCAGAAATAAACCCAAATACTTATAGCTAACTGATCTTCGACAAGGCAAAGACATAAAGTGGAGAAACAACACCCTATTCAACAAATGGTGCTGGGATAATTGGAAAGCCGCATGTAGAAGGACAAAACTGGATCCTCATTTCTCACCTTATGCAAAAATCTACTCAAGATGGATCAAGGACTTAAATCTAAGATCTGAAAACATAAAAATTCTAGAAGATAACATTGGAAAAATCCTTCTAGACGTTGGCTTAGTCAAAGACCTCATGACCAAGAACCCAAAAGCAAATGCAACAAAACTAAAAATAAATAGATGAGGCTTCATTAAAATAAAAAGCTTCTGCACAGCAAAAGAAACAATCAGCAGAGTAAACAGACAATCCACATATTGGGAGAAAATCTTGGCAATCTATACATCTGATAAAGAACTAATATCCAGAATGTACAAGTCACTCAAACGAATCAGCAAGATAAAAACAATCTCATCATAAAGTGGGCAAAGGACACGAATAGACAATTCTCAAAAGAAGATACACAAATGGCAAACAAACATATGAAAAACTGCTCAACATCATTAATGATCAAGGAAATGCAAATCAAAACCACAATGCAAGCCGGGTGCAGTGGCTCACACTTGTAACCCCAGCACTCTGGAAGCCCAAGACGGGTAGATTTTTTGAGGTCAGGAGTTCGAGACCAGACTGGCAAACATGGTAAACCTCTTCTCTAATAAAATACAAAAATTGTCTGGGTGTGGCGGCCCATACCTGTAATCCCAGCTACTTGGGAGCCTGAGGCAGGAGAATTGCTTGAACCCAAGAGGGAGACGTTGCATCACTGCACTCCACCCTGGGTGGCAGAGTGAGACTCCGTGTCAAAAAAAGAAACCAATAGGTCGGGCGCGGTGGCTCACGCCTGTAATCCCAGCACTTTGAGAGGCCGAGGCGGGCGGATCACAAGGTCAGGATATCGAGACCATCCTGGCTAAAACGGTGAAACCCCCTCTCTACTAAAAATACAAAAAAATGAGCTGGGCGCGATGGCGGGCGCCGGTAGTCCCAGCTACTTGGAAGGCTGAGGCGGAAGAATGGCGGGAACCCAGGAGGCGGAGCTTGCAGTGAGCCGAGATCGCGCCACTGCACACCAGCCCGGGCAACAGAGCGATACTCCGTCTTAAAAAAAAAAAAAGAAAGAAAAAGAAAAAGGAAAAAAACCCAACCAGTGCAATATCACCTTATGCCTGAAAGAATGGCCATAATTAAAAAAAATTAAAAATAATAGATGTTGGTGGGGATGTGGCGAAAAGGGAGCAGTTTTACACTGCTGGTGGGAATGTAAAGTAGTACAAACGCTATGAAAAACTGTGTAGATTTCTTAAAGAACTAAAAGTAGAACTACCATTTGATTCAGCAATCCTCCTCCTGGGTACCTACCCACAGGAAAAGAAGTCATTATACAAAAAAGATACTTGCACACACATTTATAGCAGCACAATTCATAATTGCAAAAGTATGGAAGTAAGCCAAATGCCCATCAATCAACAAGTGTTATATAAAATGGAATTTTATATATATAAATAAAATTTTTATACTGAGTAGTATTCCATTATATATATAATATATATAATGGAATATATATTATATATAATAGATAATGGAAAATATATTATATATTATATAATGGTATATCTATTATATATAATACACAATGGAATATATTATATATAATATATGATGGAATATATATTATATATATTATATATGATGGAATATATATTATATATTATATATAATGGAATATATATTTCATATATATTATATATAATGATATATATAATATATAATATATATAATGGAATACTACTAAGCTATAAAAATATAAATATCTATATATATAAATACTACTCAGCTATAAAAATTTATATATAATATAAATATATATAAGTATATATAATTATATATAAGCTTATATATATACATATATACTTATGTATATATACGTATATATATAAGTATATACTTATATATAGTATAAGTATATATAGTGTAAGTATATATATACTTATACATATATAAAAATATATATGTGTATATACTATATACACTTATATATAACATATATAATTATATATAACATATAAGTATATATAAGTATATATTTATATATAAATGTATATAATTTATTTTTATATTATATATAATTATATATATAATGTAAATATATATTTTACATATTATAATATATATTTATATTATATTTATATATAATTATATTTATATATAACGGAATACTACTCAGCTATAAAAAGGAATAAAATAATGGCATTCACAGCAATCTGGCTGGAATTGGAGACCATTATTCTAAGTGAAGTAATTCAGGAATGGAAAACCAAAGATTGTATATTCTCATTCATAAGTGGGAGCTGAGCTATGAGGATGCAAAAGCATAAGAATGATACATTGGACTTTGTGGATTCGGGGGAAAGGGTGGGAGGGAGGTGAGGGATAAAAGACTACTAATTGGAGACAGTGTGCATTTCTCGGGTGATGGGTGCACCAAAATCTCAGAAATCACCACTAGATAACTTATTTATGTAACCATACACCACCTCTTCCCAAAAATCCTGTTGAATTTTTTTAAAAAAGAATTTTTTGTGTAAATAGTGCTTAGAGGATTATTAAAACCCAAAGTTAATGATTCTCATCATAAACATCTTTCTATTTTAAAATGTCAAATACTTCAAAGTTTTAAAAGTACTTTATAACTCAAAAATCATTTTTTCAAATATTAAATATATTGTGAGAAATAAGATACCTATTATAATTCTAGAAATTAAAAACACAGAAACATTTGCAGTCAAGACTTTTTAAGTTGAGTGTAGTATTTGGCAATAGGATGAAAAATCAAGTGATGGAAAGTTATAGGACACAGAATAGAGAAAAAAGTTGAATAAATTTCAGGAGGGTTAGATAAGTCACTAAAATATCACCTTACGCCTTAAAGGTGTAAGGTGTATCAAATATTTGGTACTAAAAAAGCATCAAATAACAAGTAGTACAGAAAGATTATTTAGGTATCAATACATTTTCAACTTTAAAAATGGCTCCTATACTCCAGATGAGAATGCAATCTGGCTTAATCCTTGGTTTTAGCCTTGTAATACCCTGAACAGAGAAGCAGCTACACTCTGCCTGTCTTCTGATCGATAGAAACTGTGAAATAATAAATGGGGGTGTTGTTATAACTCAAGAAAAATAAATCCTAGAATTTAAATAAATGAAAATATGACATTATAAATGGTAGATGATTATTTAAAAGCAGTTGTATTTGTTAATTTCACTTGGTAGACTTGTAGCAAATATGCATATATTTTACTTAAAGTTTTGCAGTTATTTAGTCTATTTTCAAACTTCAAGTACAATTTTCAAGGTGGAAAAAATGTAACTGACCAGTAATGACTAGCACTCATATTTACTTAGTTAAATGGGTGCTTATTTTGAGATTTTAAAACATATATTTCAAAAAAATGGATGAATTAGACAACTTTTTAAATTTTTCTTAAATATTTTAAAATGATAGACCTGTACTTTTCACAACTTCATTGTATTTTATAAGGAAGACACTTAAATATGAATAAACTCTGAAATAAGTTTATGCTCACATCCATTAAATCAGACTACCCAGTTTTTAAAAACATGTACATGTATTCATTACGGTCATTTATTTGTGCACTCTTGCAAAGTTGAATTAATATAATAATAAAATTATATCTTAAGATATGTAAAACATGTTAAATGCTTCTAAAAATGTTTAATGAAATTCTACTTCTAAATACACTCATTGATCTATTCATTGGACAAATATTTATTAGGAACCTATTATATACCAGGACTACTTTTAGAAGCTGGAAATATGTATAGCAGAGTACAGAAACAAACCCTTGCTTTCACTGGCTTACAATCTAGTGGAGATATATAATAAACAATAAACAAATTAAGAAATACAATTTTTCAGGAGTTAAAATTGTTGTGGAAAAAATAAATCAGAGTAAGATGAAGAGAGTGAAAGCAGCTATTAATGACAGGTGGTCATTAAGTCTTCTCTGAGGAGATCATATTTTAAGAAAAGAACTGAATAAGTGAAAGAACTCATATACATGCAAGTGCATTATTTGTGAGACTTAACCCATACAATAGAACATACTGTTACTTTCCTGTTGCATAGATTTTAAAATTGATTGAAATAACTTTGGAACATATGATGTCTAAAGTTCAAGGACAGGTAGACTAGGTCTTAGCCAAAGGTTCTTCTTGCTAAAATTACTTTCTTGTCCAGCTGAGCTTACTTTTAAACAAACAAGCAAACAAAAAACTAAATACATGAGGCTGATTTTTATTTTTAAAATATTGAAGTTTGGTAGTGATTAATGGGATAATTATCAATAAAGCAAACATTCAAACCTGTTTTCATTTTGATGCTTTTGTACTTTTTCTAGGTTTGGATTAGTTAGCTCAAACAATAATTTACATTTTAATCAAATTTCATGTTAGCAATAGATACCTTCGTCCATGACAAAATTGGAATTAGGATTTTCACATGAAATTATTTCATAATTATAATCTCAAGTTTGATTTGATTTGATTGGCTGCATGTCCTTTTTATCTTTACTTAAAAACATCCTGATTCCAAATTTCAGCTTTCATCTTAAAAAAATACCAAAATATTATTTTCCTATCAGCTTAAAGAGCACAACTAATATCTGAAATTTAAAAATCCATATAACAAATGATAGTATTCATTTAAAAAATTCCAACACCAATCGGCCTTAGCCTGCTCTGTTTCATAAGTAACTTGCATACAAGTTTGCAAAGAAAATATTAATGCATATTTTAGACTGAAAGATTTCAGAATACAGAGACATTCATGGGCAGAAATGAAAGTCATCAGGTTTGGTGGCTTAACAATAAACAAAAAAATCATAACAACAAGCATTTCTTGAAAATTTTCATTGTGCTAGAATGTTTACAAAATAGTTTCATGCTTTAATCCATATTGTTCTAATAACAAATTTATAAGACAGGTACTGTAATTATTTTCATTCCATTGATGAAAAACTAGTGATCTAGAAATGCTGATAACATGCCAGAGATCAAATAAGTAGTTCATGGCGGAGCTGGGCTTCCAACCAAGGTCTCTCTCCAAAGCCTGTGGAAAATGGTTTCTCTTGATGCCCGAATGAGAAAATATTTGTGAGGAGAAAGGCATGTGTACAAATCAGTGGTAGAGCCAGAAAACACAATGGCAAAAGAAAAAAAAAAAAAAAACCGTGGGCGGCCTGGAATTTATATAATTTGTATATTACAATGTGGATATATATTGTCTTGTGGGGCAGTAAATATGAAACAAAAAACGCAAAATAATTAGACTTGTAAGGGTCTTAGAAGTGTAAGGGTCTTAGACTTGTAAGGGTCTGAAGACTTGTAATTTGGCTTGCAAGGGTCTTAGAACTGCATATTGTACCATCGTTAATTACACAGCTGGGCAAGTTAAACGGAAGAGGTTTGTAAAATTATGTGACCGTACATTCAACACAAAGTTAGATGTAAAGTCCTTTACATGGAGCTAAGTTTTTTTTTGTTTTTTTGTTTGTTTTCGTTTTTTTAAACAAAGATGGTTCATTCTCTGCAGAGACTGTCGAAAATTGCCAATGTCGACCATATTTCAAGTCATCATGGCCGGGTATTGGGAAAAGTTTTGAATTAGCAATACTTGCACCTCAGATAAACCTCATCAGCTAGCATACTTCCACTGTGCAAAGGTGGAGCTAAGTTTTTACACAGTAGAATCACCTAGTAGCCAAATGGAAGAGGATAAGGAAAACTTTAAAATCTATAATTAGGGGTCTTTCGTTTGTATCTCTAAGGAAAAACTGGAAATAAGAGAACTAGGACAAAACAACACTAATTGGGATTTTTCCCAGATGTTCTTTTTATTCCAGGAACTGGCATGAACTGCTTGAGAGTTGAAAACAAGTTTTTCTCAAAGCTTAAAATAGGAAATAACAGTAATATAGCTAAGGATCATTCTAAAATAGTCTATACTACTTCCATAATGGATTCATGAGAACAGGAGAAGAAAACTGATTAAGATTCTAGAACCTAGAACAGCAGCTCACAAATCTTTTGGTGTCAGGACCCCTTTATACCCTTAAATATTATTAATGAATCCACATGTCATTTTTGTGTATAGCTGTCAAAATTTATGGTATTAGGAATTCAAACTTAGCAATATTTAAACTTATTCTATTCCAGTTATTAACTATAATTACACATGATAGCAAAAATAACTTACTTAAAAGATTACACTTACTTATTTAAAAGATTATTAACTTACTTAAATTAAATTATACACTTATTAACTTACTTAAAAGATCACACTTAAAAGATTAAAGATTACACTTTCCCAAACAAAAATGTTTATTGAGAAATAGTGGCTTTATATTATATTTTTGTGCATCTCTTTAATGTCTGACTTACTAGAAGGCAGCTAGATTCTCATAACTGTTTTT
The DNA here is from genome assembly GCF_000001405.40 of Homo sapiens. Taxonomy (NCBI): domain Eukaryota; kingdom Metazoa; phylum Chordata; class Mammalia; order Primates; family Hominidae; genus Homo; species Homo sapiens. Next base: position 22,204,443 of record NC_000021.9, on the reverse strand, counting down.
ATATACAATCTTTTGTGATATATCTTTTAGCTCCTGGAAGACTTCACTGGAAGACTTTATTCTCTTGAGATATGGAAAGTGAAAAAAGCAGATATCATAATATTATTATGATTTTTTTTAATCTCTAAGACCCTTGTATTGTAACATGGTTCACACTTTGAGAATTGCTTGTCTGGAACAATGCCCCAGCAGACAGTAGATGTTAAAGTAATGCTTTTGAGTGAATGAATGTAAATCTCAGTTACAACTTGCCATAAAAGTTTGTTCTTAAATTGCATTCACTGTCATCCTGGGAAATAATCAATTAGACAAGTTCCTGTGTTTAGATTGCCACGTTCATTAAGTCCTCAGGGTTGGAAGTCTTGAGAGCATTGACTAACCTCTGCTGTAATAATCTGGATCTTAGGGCAAGAGAACATGGCTAAGGCGAAATGTAAGTGAGATCAAACTTCAACACAAATATCCAGGAAGGACTGTCACAGCTAAAAAGCCCTTTGAACTCTTAACAATAAAACCAGTTAGGGTTCTATCATACAGAATGTAACCCCCAAATATATCAAAAATCTTATTTTAATATAAAGAATATTGTATTGACAATTGACAATATTACAGTGAGTCTAGACAGTACATTAAAGTGTGAGATAAATACATATATATTTAACTTATAAACATGTATGCATACATAAATTCTAGCTGTGCTTAAATTAAATTAAGTTAAAATTACTATAAAAATATTATTTAAGATTCAAGACCAAAAGAAAGATTATCATATAGAATCCTCATGAACTTTCTGTTTAAAAATAATGACTTTTTGTTGTGCCATTTACCTTTTTCAATGTAATCTCTTCACTAATATAAAATACCAAAATCTTAATGTCTCATATATCCTGGGAAAGGTGCTTTACTACTTTAACCTTTTCAATATTTTGTAATATGATTGTCATACCTTTCTACTTCACTTATAGTTTACAGCCTTGGCGAACTGTGGGGAAGAAATTAGATTGTCAAGGGAAAAAAAATACAAAATGCTAAAGATTAAAGGCATCAGCTCTAAATATTAAACTGTCTGATTTTATTCATCTTATAAAAGACTTAATAATTTTGGTAGTCATATTTTGGAAGAGACTTTTTGCTAAAGAAAGATAACTCTAATATGATATAATTTGGTGGAATACATGCATGTTTAAGGGTTTGTGGGTGTTTGTGTTTGGACATGTGTAAGAAAATAGCACTTTATAGAAGAAGGACTATGTTTTATTTGATTGTCAGGCTTGTGCAATAATCTCAAAGCCAGGAGTCAAATTTAAATTTACAGAAGAGCAGGCAAAGTTGCTAGGTTGAAGAAATTGAATCCAAGCCTATTCATTCATGGTCAGGGGGATGGATGTATAGGTCTATAAAGACCAAAAGACAGCTATATTTGGCTAAAAAAAAAGAGAAAGTGAATATGGGTGGTAAATATTACACTTCAGAAAATAATGTAACATTTATATTCATTGCTGAGAAAAGGCTGATATAGATAGCTCAGATAATCTGAAAAAGAGGGCTTGGTTTGAAAGCTTGACACTAGGCTGAAAAGAAGAGAAATAGAGTGGTAGGAAAAGCTGCTCTGTAAGACTAATGCTTCACTTACATCCAAACTCATGGGTTACAATAATATCAGACAAAGAAAGCCTGCACATCTTGCTGGCTCATAAATGCATGTACTAGCACTCTGCGTTCTCTCTTTCTCTATATACATTTGCAGATGTATATATCTGTCTTCATTAAAACTCAATCAAGGAGAACATTTGTATTTCTAGCTGAAAAGCAGTTTTCATGTCTTGGTAAGTAAACTACTTTATTGTGTGCATATTATTGCAATGTAACTCAGAGAAAGGCATTAGATAAGACATTTCTTTCTGTTTTGTTTAATCCAAGAGATTTTAACCAAAAGGTGAACTAAAATGAATAAGTATAAAGACTTAACAACAGAAAAATTACTTCCCCTTAGAAACTTGGATAACTAAAGCATGAGAAGCCAGTGCTTTCTGAAACCTATGCGCCTTCCAGAGCATTTTTTAAAAATTCTCAGATAAATAATGAGCATTTCTAAAAGAATAAGCATTTTCTAAAAAATAAAAATAAACTGTGCTTATTTGTACCTACACTAAAATATAGTAATGTAAAGAAAGTTTACTTGTGTACTCCTTTGTTAATCCGCAAACCCCTAAGTAAATTATAATCACTTCAATACATGTTAAAATATGAATACAGTTTTTTCTTTTGTAAATTTTGTCACATGGATATTCAGTTACATATTTTTATGAAATGTATTTATATTAAGTATATATTTTATCATATATGGAGTATAGAACATTTAGTCTTTTCATGCATAAATCACCATTAAAATAATTTGAAACTTAAAGATTCTATCTGGTCCAGATACTGAAGCACAGCTATCTATCTTTAAAAAAAAATACAACTGAACTAGTTGGACTGTATGGGAATAATAACAAATAAACAAAGAAAATATGTGTTACCGAAAGCACTGCACTCAGGATACTTCATCTCAGTTCTACCCTCACTGCTACCTCTTCCTACCATTTTCACTTTCTTTTTAACCTGCAGCTTTATACTACATCTGGACTAATCATCCACTTCTTTGTCCCTTCAGCTAATATTTGAAGATAAATCTCAGTAAGGTAACACATTACTATAATAATCACAGAGTAATTATTTTATCATCATTATTTATTTACTTACTTTTGTCCTTTTTATTAAAAAGATAAATTAAGTCATAAAAGAGTCACATAAATTTTAGTAAATTAAATATGTTAAAAATTAGCAAATTTTTAAATTAAAATTTAGTCAATTAAAATATGTTAAAAATTAGCAAATTTTTGTGAAGAGCAAACAGGAATTAAAAATAAGTTTGCAGAAGGCTGTCAGCAAGAAGGTAAAATACAAAGCCATGCTTTCCCAGACGGCACATCAATTTCACAACATAAGGAAAAACTATTCCTTATGAGAAATCCAAGAACCAGTTGAGAGGCTCCTGCACTTTAGCACACAAAACCAGCTGCATAGAAGCTGGTAGGAAAATTTGAAGCACCGTCACACTGTTATGTTTCTCCATTGCACAACCTCACCATGTGAAGATAAACCCTAGATCAAAGTTTCTCCCTGGAGAAAAAAAAAAAGAAAAGGAAAAGAGTGGAGCATATGTCCAACGTTCTCACTTTCTGGAGGCTGACCAAGTGATACTGACAGAAGATGATCTCAGGTTGGGGGCTGCCGAGAACAAAGATGGTGATTTTTAATAGCATATATTCATTTATCATAGCCCCTTTCTCTCGCTCTGCACAGATCGAGCTTGCAGAAACCTCCATATTCCAGTTTCTCCCTGGAGAGGGAAAGAGTTTGGATGATGTAGCCAACATTCCAAATTTTGTGGGGTTGACCCAGGAATTGGCTTCTGTTTTTCCAGTCTCAGAGTGCTGATGAGATCAGGTACACTCTGCATGACTGGGGAACACTGAAGACAGCAATAGCTTGAAGTGTGCACTTACCTCTCACAGCCTGTCCCTCAGTACAGTGCCACATGATTGGGAAGAAACCTCTTTTCACAGCTTATCCTAGGGGAGGAAAAGCATTGGACCTGGCATGCAACATTCCAATTTTTCAGCGGGCCGCACCAAGGACTGGCTTCTGTCTCAACTCCCTGGGAACACTGGTAGGAACTAGCATACTCTAGATGCCTGAACGCTAAGAACAGGGCAAAAGTTTAGGCTAGTACAAACTCATCCATCAGAGGCCTACTCCCAGCTCAGCATAACACAGTCAAGAAGACTCCCAGTGACTGGCTTATCTCTGGGAAGAGAAAGATATGACTAACACATTTGTCAAATTTAAAACTTTTTAGGTGGTTGCCTGAGGGAATGAACTCAGTCTCACCTGTCTCAGAGCATAGGTGGATTCTGACACACTGTAGATGCCTGGGGGGTACTGATAACAGGAAAATGAGTTTGTGCATGCTGCTACTCCAGAAGGCACATGGTACAGCCGATAGATGACAGAGGAAGCAAGAAATTATACATTTCTAAAAAAAGAAAGCAGAAAATCACGTTCGAAATGTACATGCACAAGTCCAGAGAGGATGCATACACAGAGAGGTCTTAAAGACCCCATGAATCTCTGGCTAGGCTAATGATGAATGCCTTCTCCCATATGAGGCCACACTGGGAGGACTTGGAGAGGAAGCCGTTGTTCTTATCATCTGTCGATACCAAAACAAGTAGTAAATAAAAATAAAGTAATAAGGAAACATAATCCACACAAAGGAACAAATGAGTTACTCAAGGTGAAACAAAAGGATGCTAAGCATCAACATAAAAGCACATGAAAGCATAAACAAGCTGATAAAGGAAAATATATAGACAGTACAAAATGTTATACTGTAAAGGTAGTACGTGAATTACTTTTAATCCTAGTATACAAATTAAATGATTAATGTATAAAAATAAAAATAAAAAATGCTAAGGGATAAAACATATAAGAATATGTAACATGTGACATAAATGCAATAAAATGAAGAGCAGGAAGTGTAAAAGTATAAAGGTTTTGTATGCCATTAAAGTTGTTATTATCTGCTTAAATATACTGTTATAACTATACAACATTTTGTGTAAACCTATGATAATCATTTAAAAAACTTAAGAAACACAAAAGAAAACGAGAAAGGAATCAAATTATATTATTGCAGAAAATTAACTAAAAACAAAGAAAGATAGCAAGAGAGGGAAAGGGGACAGAAGTACAAGGCAAACAGAAAAAAATTAACAATTTAATAGCAACATTAAGTACTTTTCTATCAATGTTTACTTCACATGTAAATGTTTTAAACTCCTCAACTCAAAGGCATAGAATAGTTAAATGCATTTTAAAAACACACAAACAAGCAAAAAACAAGAACCAAATATATGCTGTGTACAAGGAGCTCAGTTTAGATTTAAGGACAGTCATAGGCTAAAAGTGAAGGAATGGAAAAACTAGTCCATGCAAATGGTAATCTAAAGAGAACAGAGGCAGCCATATTTATATTAGACAAAACAGACTTTAAGTCAACCAATATCATAAGAAATAAAGAAAAATATTATGTAATGATTAAAGAGTGAATTCACCATAAAAATAAAAAATTCTTAAATAATATTTACCCAATATCAGAACACCTAAATATGTGTTACAAACATTGACAGAACTGAAGTGAGAAGTAGACAGCAAAACAATAAAAGTAAAAGATTTCATTACTTCGTTTTCAAAATGGATAAAATATCTGGATAGAAAGTTAATGAGAAAACCAAGTATTTGAACAATACTAAATAGAAAATTGAACTTATAGAAACATGAAGACATTTTACAAAACAGCAGCAGAATGAACATTATTTTCAAGCACACACAGAATATTCTCCAGTATTGATCACGTTAGGTCTCAAAACAAGCCTTAACAAATTTGAGAAGACTGAAATCATGCCAAGTGTCTTTATGACCACAGTGGAATAAAATTAGAAATCAAGAGCAGAAGAAAACTGAACAATTCACAAATCTGTGAAAACTATACAACACACTTGTAACCAATAGTTCAAACACGAAGTTTTTAAAAATTAGAAAATATCTTATCAACATTAGAAAAATCTAACACAATCTAATATAATATCTTGCAGAAACAATAATGAAAACACAACATACCAATATTTATAACATGCATCAAAGCAGCACTAAGAGAAAAGTTTACAGCGGTAAGTACCTACATTTAAAAAAACAAGTTTTCAAATGAACTATCTAACTTTACATCCCAAGAGACTAAAAAAGGAAGAGAAAACTAAGCTCAAATTAGTAGAAGAAAAAAAATGCAAAGATTAGAGCAGAAATATAAAAAAAGGACGGAAAAACAATAAAAAGAGGTAACAAATTGAGTTGTCTTTTTAAAGACAAGCAAAGTTGCCAAATCTTTAGCTATACTAAGAAAAAAAGAGAAGATTTGAGTAAATGGAAATGTAAATGAAAGAGACATTGCAACCAGTGCCACAGATGTAAAACTGATTATAAGAAACTACTAAGAACAATTATATGTCAACAATGGCATAACCTAGAAGAAATAGATAAATTCCATGAAAGATGTAACCTACCAACAATGAATCATGAAGAAATAGAAAATTTGAAGATAATACTAACTATTAAGAATACCGAATTACTAATCAAAAACCTCCCAACAAAAAAGGTAAATTACTTCAGGACTAGATTACTTCAATGGTGAATTCTATAAAATATTTAGAGAAGTATTAATGACAATCATTCTCAAACTCTTCCAAAGTATTAAAGAGGAAAGAACTTCTCCAAACTCATTCTATGAGGCCAATATTACTCTGATATCAAAGCCAGAAAAAGACACTATCAGAAAACGTAGGTCAAAACACCTCGTAGCAGGATGAGCTGCAGACAAGAACCCACCGAATTGTAGAAGGAAAGGGCTTTACTCAGCTGGGAGCATCGGCAGACTCACATCTTCAAAAACCGAGCTCCCCAAATTAGCAATTCCTGTCCCTTTTAAGCGCTTACAACTCTAAGGGGGTCAGTGTGAGAGGGTCGTGATCGATTGGGCAAGCAGGGGGTACATGACTGGGGGCTGCATGCACCTGCACTGGTAATTAGAACGGAACAGAACAGGACAGGGATTTTCACAGTGATTTTCCATACAACGTCTGTAATCTATAGATAACATAACCGATTATGTCAGGGGTCGATCTTTAACTGCCAGGCCCAGGGTGTGGCACTGAGCTGACAGCCTGTGGATTTGATTTCTGCCTTTTAGTTTTCACTTCTTTTTTCTTTGGAGGCAGAAATTGAGCATAAGACAATATGAGGGGTGGTCTCCTCCCTTAACCTTATCAGTATAGATGTAAAATTCGTCAAAATACTAGCCAACAGAATTCCAGAGAGAGAACACTTAAAGAATCATAAAGCATGACCAAGTAGAATTTATCCCCAAGATGCAAATATGTGTTAACATATAAACATTAGTTAATTTGATACATTACATTAACAGAATGAATGCTAAAAATCACATGGTCATTTTAAAGATGCAGAAAGAAAAAAATGACAAAATTTAATGCCCTTTTATGATTAAAAAAAATTTCTAACAAATGTTGTATAAAAAGAAATTGCCTCAAAATAATAAAGGCCACCTTCAAAAGCTTCTGGATAATATTATATTCAAAGATGAAAACCCTGAAAGCTTTTCCTCTAAAATCAGAAACAAGAATGTCTACTCTTGTACTTCTATTAAATATAGTACAAAAAGTCCAAGCTAGTGCTATTAGACAAGAAAAAGAAACAAAGCACATCCCAATTTGAGAAGAAATAAGTGAAATTAACTCTGCTCACAGATGACATAATCTTGTATGTAGAAAATTCTGAAGATTCCACCAACAAAACTTGCCAGTTTAATAAATGTGTTCAGTAAATTTACAGGGTAGAAATCAATATACAAAAATCAATTTTGTTTCTACACACTAACAACAAACTGTTTTTAAAGAAATTTTAAAAGATAATCCCATTTACCATAGCATCAAAAATTAAAATACTTAGAAATACATTTAACCAAGGAATAAAAAATGTGTAATTGGAAAACTATAATGTACTGCTGAAAGAAATTGTAGGATACACAAATAATTGAAAAAGTATCCCATATTCATAGATTGGAAGTATTATATTTTTAAAAATGTTCATACTACCCAAAGTGACCTACAGATTTAATGCAGTTTCTTTCAAAATCTCTACTTAAAAAATAGAATAAAGAGACTTTAAATTAGTATGGAACAACAAAAATGCTGAGTGGAGAAAACAATCTTGATAAAGAACAAAACTAAAGCAAACACTTTTTTTTATTTCAAAGCATTCTTCAAAGTTGCAGGAACTAAAACAGTATGATACTAGCATGCAGACAAACATATTGACCAATGGGACAGAGTGAAGAGGCTAGAAATTAATCCATACATGTACAGTCAACTGACTTTTGAAAATGATGCCATAAATGCACAATAGGAAAATAATAGTATTTTCAATATATAACATATGAAAAAGCAGATATCAACATGGAAAAAAATGAAAGTGGACATTTATCTTACATATTACCTAAAAATCAAGTCAAAGTGGATTAAAGATGTCAACTTAAGATCTGAACTGCAAAATTCCTAGAAGAATACATAGGAAAAAGCTTCCAGGCATTGGTCTTAGCAAGGACTTACTGGCTATGAGAGTAAAAACATAAGCAAGAAAAGTAAAAGTAGACTGGTGGTATAACACCAAACTAAAAATCTTCTGCATGGCAAAGAAAACAATCAATAAAATGAGAAAAACTAATTGCTTAACATTTATCTGATAAGAGGTTATTATCCAAAATATATAAGGGACCCCTATAATTCAACAGCAAAACATAATAAAAGCAAAGAATAACCACCAAATCCACTTAAGTAACCCAATTAAATAATGGGCCAAAGACTTAAATCACCATTTCTCCAAATAAGACAGACATATGGCCACCAGTTATATGAATATTGATCAACATCACTGATAACTAGGGAAATAAAAATCCAATTCACAATGAGACGTCATCTCATATTGTTAAAATAATTATCTAAATAAATAAATATTGGTGGGTTTGTGGAGCAATTAAATGTTTTTTTTTTGTCGTTGAAATGTAAAACGGTATGGATACTACAAAAAGTAGTATGAAATTCTCTTAAAACATTAATAATAGAATAACCTTATAACCCAGCAATCCTACATCTGGGTATACATTCAAAGAGATTGATACCAGGATCTTGAAGATATATTTTCATTTCCATATTCATTTCAGCATTAATTACAATAGTCAAGCTGTGGAAAAGATTAAAATGCCTATGGACTGATAATTGCATAAAGAAATTATGGTGTATACATCAAATAGAATACTATTCAGCCTTAAAAGAAAGAAATTCTGTGATCTGTGACAACATGAATGTACATCAGGGACATTATGGTAAGAGAAATAAGCCAGCAACAGAAGGACAAATACTGCATGATATCTTTTATGCAGATATGTATGTTGGGAGCAAGCCACCCAAAATCTGGCCATAAACTGGCCCCAAAACTGGCCATGAACAAAATCTCGGCAGCACTGTAGCATGTTCATAATGGCCCTAACGCCCACGCTGGAAGGTTGTGGGTTTACCGCAATGTGGGCAAAGAACACCTGCACCGCCCAGGGTGGAAAACCACTTACAGGCATTCTTAAGCCACAAACAATAGGTTGAGCAATCTGTGCCTTAAGGACATGCTCCTGCTGCAGTTAACTAGCTCAACCTATTCCTTTAATTTGGCCCATCCCTTCGTTTCCCATAAGGGATACTTTTAGTTAATTTAATATCTATAGAAACAATGCTAATGACTGGTTTGCTGTTAATAAATATGTGGGTAAATCTCTGTTAGGGGCTATCAGCTCTGAAGGCTGTGAGACCCCAGATTTCCCACTTCACACCTCTATATTTCTGTGTGTGTGTCTTTAATTCCTCTGGCACCACTGGGTTAGGGTCTCCCCAACCGAGCTGGTCTCGGCAACTGCATGATACCTTTTATGAAGATATGTATTTTATGCATGATACCTTTTACGAGATGATGTAAATAGTCAAATTCATAGAAGCAGAAAATAGAATGGCAATTTACACTGTATGGGAGGAGAAAGAAATGACTAGTTGCTCTTCAAATGGTATAAAGTTTCAGTTAAGGAAGATGAAAAAATTCTGGAGATCTTCTCTACAGCATAGTGCTTACAGTAAACCATACTGTACTGTACAATTCAAAATTTGTTAAGAAGATAGATATCATGTGTGGCCTTACCACAATAAAATATAACTAATAAATACAATGAAAACAAAATAAAGTTTTCATTAGGCTTATCTTCTAGAAACATAAATATTGTGAAAATGTTAAGTGAAAATAATTTAACTAATGTTTTCAGACTTTTTTCTATTTTATTTTTCAAAAATTGTACCTTGCTCTACAAGGCAATTGAAATTCTGGTCTTTCTCTTTCTGTTGCGTGTGTCGTTGGTGCTGGAACCAGAGTTTTAGGGCATCCCACAGTGCAAGAGATTCAATAATTTTTCCAAAGCACCCTCTAACTGAGGAGTCAAAGTGCTTCTTTGCTGGAGCTGAGAGAGACTGGCGAGAGATAATCATCTCCCTTTGATATTGTTTGGCTCTTTGTCCCCACCCAAATCTTATGTTGAATTATAATTCTGATCATAAAAAGTGTATGTCACTTCCGCCCTTCACTCTCTCTCCTGCCACCATGTGAAGACATGCTTGTTTCTCCTTTACCCTTCTGCCATGATTGTAAGTTTCCTGAGGCCTCTCCAGCCATGCCTCCTGTACAGCCTGTGGAACTATGAATCAATTAAACTTCTTTTCTTTATAAATGACCCAGTCTTAGGTAGTTCTTTATAGCAGTGTGAGAACAGACTAATATACCTTTCTGCATTTTTTTGCTTCCTTGGCTCTTTCCAGCCTAGAAATACTAACAGTTCAGATAGCGCTGCAGTCTCATATAGGGAAAGTCCTTCTCAGCCTGAACTTGAGAAGAGAAAATGATAGTAAAAGATAACTTCCCCAAAGGCACTGTGGCTTCCATGGAGAAATCCAGACACTCTACCTCTTGCCTGTCTTAAATGTAGCCAGCACCGAATACCCACCCTCCATGGCTTCTTCTGCTAATGCCCTAATTTTCACTCCCACAGCTGTATCTAACCAGAAGCCAGAGGATACAATAACCCATATAGAATATGAAATCCAGGGTTCCAGAGCACAGAGCATAGTGTAAGAAAGTACAGAGTAAAATCAAGTGGAGTCGAAGGTAAATGAAACCTGGGGACCACATTAGGGATAGAAACACTCTGGCATAAAAATATATTTTCTTCTATTATGCAATAAAATCTCCCTCTTATAAAATTCCTTTACTCCCCCTTGGTAAAGGGCATAAAAAGGAAGAAGCAATCTCATAGATTCTGGAACAAGAATAGGGACGACTAGCTTCAGAATCCTTTGAGTGATGTTACTTAACTGTTTCTTGACCTTGAATGACAGAAGCACAACTTTACGGTAGACTTCATTTTCTATTGAGTCAGATTGATGAAAAAGCACGCTTTTTTTTTTCTCTGACAACCACCATTTGTATTCCCATAAAGAGTCTCTTCAAAATTTCAGAAAACTGAGTGAGTCTTTGCTGTCAGGAAAAGAGCAATTTGTGAAATGATAGCTGCAATAATTTTGAAGACTCTATATAGACGTTGGTCAACTATTCATGCATAGGGTGGGGAAAATGAGAACCAAGAAGTTCTTTTTTCTATCTCGGCCAGGGTTCACTTACCAAATGAGTTTCTTTGTGCCTTGGCAGTTGAGTCTGCCCAGCTGGATATAATTAAGTGGATAGTTGAGCCAGAGAGATCTCATCAACAGAAATACCTTCACTGTCCACAAAGCAGGGATTTAAACTATGTTAACTATGAATGTGCCCCTTAAAACTTTAAATACAAAATCATATTGCATCATAATGAAATACCTTCACTGTCCACAAAGCAGGAATTTGTACTATGTTGACTATGAATATGCCTTTTATAACTTTAAAAACAAAAATCGTAATTTATTATTTAAATACAAACAATATTGTTTTATTGGCTTTGCCATTAAAAGTAATGGCAAAACCCGCAATCATTTTTGCACCAAGAGTCAGTAACAGTTCAATAGAGATCATTAGTTTAAAACAGATGTTAAAATGTTGGATATATCAAAGGGTTGCTAAAGAGTGGAGACTAATAGAATTTCAACTTCGCAACACCCATGGTACTTAACACAATTAAAGACTTTAGATCCATTAATTAAATTTACTTCCCATATTTTACCATTCCGAATTCAAAGTTTAGATAAATATTTTTAGAAAGGAAAGTCAAGTCACTTATTTTTTACAACTCTAGAGGCATGCAAATGCACTATGCTTCCAGCGTTATGAGGGCAGAAAATCAACCTGTCTATTCATCAAAGTGGATTTAGGAACCGTCATACTATCACCTCATCATTGGTCTTCATTACATATTTGTTGAATAAATGAATAAAAGGAAAAAATGAAGAAAGAAAATACTATCTTGTCACATCCAAAAGAGTAAAATTTTGTCTCTTTTAAAAAATTATTTGCTGCATCCCCAGAATCTAGATCAATACTTTGCACATACAAGTGATCAGTAAATACACATTGAATAAACAAGTCCTAGATTATCTATTTATGCCTTAGTCAATCCACTATTTAGGTTACTGTATGAAAAGTTTATGTATTTGTTGATCTGAAGCTGCTAGAGATACAGCTTTACGTTCCAATTTGCTCTGATTTTTTTTTTCATGCTCTGTTTTGAATGAATCTGGCTATTTGACTTCTTCAGTTTATTCTCAATCCTTATATTCCCCTTAGTGGAAGAAAATAACAGGTCAGAAACCCTTATTGTTTAATGGTTTGTAATGTTTTCTTGGAGTTGCTCTGTTGGCAATATCTGTTTCAGTTACATAAATGAGAGTCTGGAAAAGCAGAAAAACAATTGATTGAGGGTTCCTCTGAGACAGCTGCAGCCTCGTTTTACATTGTTGTTATTTAAAATGTGAAAGAATTGTAGTTCTGCCAGGTCCAACATACAAGTATTTCTAGGAAAGACATTTTGTACTTTCAGAAACCAAAGCATAATTTTAATGGACTTTAATGCATTTTAAATGTTTATAAAGTTATGTCATATTATTTTGCATATAATTACCACTTTTGACATTTCAGACTATCATTCACAGATAATAAGAAAGAAACAAATACTCAGTACTTTCCTGAATTAAGTTGCTAATTTTTGTTTTTCCATTACAGCAAAGAAAATAAATACATAAATAAATAAGGATAGTTATATCAAATGATATGTTCTGTTATTAGGCAATGTTCACTTATTCTGAAAATTCATGCTGTTTTTCTTGAGTTACTTTCCAATCCAAATATCTTCATAAACATGCTAATATAAAAATATTCATCAGAGATCAAATATACCATTTATTCTTGACATTGGTTTCAGTTCTGGAGCGTTAACTCAAATATGTAGAAATTAACTATTTTTCTCCATAACTGTTTAACTTTCTCATAATTTACCATTCACACTCAGTATCCAGAAAACAAGCATCATACCTAATGAAATTCATGTAAATTAACAATCACTTCTGATTTATTTCAGTAACTCAGATTTACTCAGTCTCACCTTTTGTCTCTTTTTAAAATTATTTGCTGCATCCCCAGAGTCTAGACCAATATTTGGCACATACCAGCTGATCAGTAAATACATGTCGAATAAACAAGAACTAGATTTTGTCTATTAAGTGGTAAATACTTAGTCTTCCAGAATTTTTGAATGCTCCCTTTATCCAAAGGTACACTCTAGTTCATTAACATTTTTCTCTGTGCTTTGTCTCTATCCTTACTGCATCTACTGCTGGAGTACCCAAAGTATCTTCCCCTGCGGGCACAGAATCTCCTTTGTTTTTTTTTTTTTTTTTGAGATGGAGTCTCGCTCTGTCTCCCAGGCTGGAGTGCAGTGGCGCAATTTCCGCTCACTGCAAGCTCCGCCTCCCGGGTTCACGCCATTTTCCTGCCTCAGCCTCCGGAGTAGCTGAGACCACAGGCGCCCGCCACCACGCCCGGCTAATTTTTTTGTATTTTTAGTAGAGACGGGGTTTCACCGTGTTAGCCAGGATGGTCTCAATCTCCTGACCTCGTGATCCGCCCGCCTCGGCCTCCCAAAGAATCTCCTTTTAAGATTACATTCTGTTCTCAGCCCCACGCAAACTTCTACAGACCTTCAGGTAACTCACTGTATCAATACTACAAGGTATCTCTCATGTATTGTTTTGGAGGGGGTGTGGATTTGAAGTGGGGCTCACAATAATTTCAGAATTCCATCCCAGGTCCTGTAAAAACAAAACAGAAGGGTAGTGACAGTCATGGAGGGGGAAGAGTAGGGTGTGTATAGAATGAGAAATGTTAACAAACTTGGAGGATTTTCTGTCCTGCAATTTCCAACCCCTTTGCATCACTTAGACCTCTCACATTTTGTGAAACTTTCTCTAGGGTTCCAAATGGGAAATAGGAAAGTAATCCTCTTTGCTATTTTAATCCATAAGCCTATGATGATTAAGATATTTTTAATACCGAAGACTTCCAAATGCTGAGACTCAAGCCTCAAAATGGATTAATGTCCTTTCAGAAAAGTTTCTTATATAGTTATTTTATTCACTTCTCTGCGCTATTGTATCAGTTACATATTGTGACCATTATGTTGCATTACAATCGCACAACCTGATTGACATTAGTATTAGCTCAGGAATTTGAGTGCTTTACCTGATATAAGCTAGGTTGGCTATGAGTATCTGCTTGTTGGGTGTTGGTTAGATTTGTGTTGATCTATGATAGTTTTGGTGAAGAAATCTAATGCCTCATTACTCTGGCCCATATATTTCTAATACTTTTACCCTGGACTAGCCTAGGCATGTCCTCCTCATGTTGATAGCAGAGGAAAAGTGCAGTACCTGAAATACTAAAGTATTCTTCTTTGTCTCTTTGTCATGCTTGCTAACATTTCAAGGTGAATGTGATATAACAATGAAATACTCTTTACCCATAAAATAATGTCTTTTGCAGCAACATAGATGGAGTACGATTTACCCATAAAAATTATAAAATTATGTCTTTTGTAGTAACGTGGATGGAATTGATGACCACTGTCTTAGAGAAACAACTCAGAAACACAAAGCCAAATACTGTATGTTCTCATTTATAAGCGGGAGTTAAGTAATATGTACGCATGGTCATAGCATGTGGAATAATAGACACCGGAGATTCAGAATGTTGACAGCGTTGGAGGGGTGTGAGGGAGAAAAAATTACTTAATGGGTACTATGCACATTATTTGGGTGATGGTTACACTAAAAGCCCAGACTTCACCACTATGCAATATATCCATGTAATTGAACTGCACTTATACCCTTACATTTATAAGAAAAAAAAGTTAATCAAGTGACTGAGCTCAGAATCAAGGGGCAGTGCAGAAAGCCTTGCCCGTTATAGACCGCACTGTAAGGGTACACTTGAAAGTGTATAGATAAGGAAAGAGCAAAGGGTAATAGCCGGTAGTGCCATCAACTTAGCAAAACCTTTATCTTTTGGGATAGAAATATGTCCATAATTCTTGAATCTTTTATCCATAATTATTCATTTTATAGCACTATGCCCAAAGACTTTTATGCTGTATTTTTTCAAATAAAGGGAAGTCATTAAGTGTGGAGAGAGACCATATTTTTCTTTCTATTTTTAATGAAAATGTTCTTATCAGCTTGATGATAGTGAAGTGACTTATTTTGGGGGAAAATGTGTCTATTTTCTCATCCACCCGTAAACAAATGTAATGCATTCCATGGCAAAAGATTCAAAGTGGTCTTCATGATTCTACTCTTCTTTCTCTACATTCTCCACATAGCAGTGAAAATTCTTTTAAAAACACAATTCATTTTTTTTTTGTCATTTGGTCTCAATACTCTAGCACCTTAAATATTAAATACAATTTAAAATTCTTACCATAATTCACATGAGGCCTTCCGGGATTCCATCTGTATGTGTTTCCTCAGCTTCGTTTTCTATCAAGTTCCTCTGTTATTAAACTTTTATTTCTATAATCATACCGATCTGATGTAATACAACTATATCAATGCTATTTTGGCTTTCTCAACTTTTTTTCTTCCTAGGTAATTATTCCCCAAATATTCACATAATTGTCTCTCCACTTATTCAGGTCTCTGTCTTAATAGGAATTAATTGAAAATACCCCTCCTAAGTACCATATAAATAGACTTCAATGATTCTCTATCTCATTACCATGCTTTGATTTATTTAGAGTACTTACCGCTGTAATTAAATTCATTTCATAGTCTATTTATTATCCATATTCTCCTCTAGTCAGTAAACTCTGTTAGAAAAAAATAGCTTGTCTTTCTTGTTTAAAACTATTTTTTTCTAGTACCTATAACGGTGGCATATACATATGTTTACTAAAGTATGTCTTCGATGAATAAATAAATTAATCGAACACAAAGGGCAATGAACCTTTTGTTTTATAGTTAAAAATACCTTGCTACAATTTTTTTTATGCTTTGATGGTAAGTTTGAAGGATTAGGGAAACAGAACTAATCAGGAGGTATATGCAGAGAGCAAGGAAAAAAAAAGAACACCATTGTGTATTTAATACATGACATTTGAAATAATTCTATTAGGTAGGTATTTGCCCTGCTTTTGGAAGAGGAAACTGTAGT
Organism: Homo sapiens; assembly: GCF_000001405.40. Classification (NCBI taxonomy): domain Eukaryota; kingdom Metazoa; phylum Chordata; class Mammalia; order Primates; family Hominidae; genus Homo; species Homo sapiens. Next base: position 22,187,994 of record NC_000021.9, on the reverse strand, counting down.
ATAAGAAGATTGAATGACAGGCCAGACACGGTGGCTCATGCCTGTAATCCCAGCACTTTGGGAGGCCAAGGCGGGCGGATCACAAGGTCAGGAGATTGAGACCATCTTGGCTAACATGGTGAAACCCCGTCTCTACTAAAAATACAAAAAAAAAAATTAGCCGGGCGTGGTGGCGGGCGCCTGTAGTCCCAGCTACTCAGGAGGCTGAGGCAGGAGAATGGCATGAACCCGGGAGGCAGAGCTTGCAGTGAGCCGAGATAGCGCCACTGCACTCCAGCCTGGGCGACAGAGTAAGACTCCATCCCCCACCGCCCCCCCGCCCCAAAAAAGAAGGTTGAATGAATGACATGACTAACTTATCGAAATGTAATTTTTTTGATGATATACAAAACCAGTGGTGGCTCAGGCCTGTAATCCCAGCACTTCGGGAGGCTGAGGTGGGTGGATCACTTGAGGTCAGGAGTTCGAGACCAGCCTGGCCAATATGGTGAAACCCTGTCTCTACTAAAAACACAAAAAATTTAGCTGGGTGTGGTAGCTGGCACCTGTAATCCCAGCTACTGAGGAGGCTGAGGTAGGAGAATCGCTGGAACCTGGGAGATGGAGGTGGTAGTGAGCTGAGATCCTGCCACTGAACTCCAGCTGGGGCGACAGAGTGAAACTCCATCTCAAAAAAACACGAAATACAAAACCAGTTTCTGTGATTTTTTTATTTCTATTTGGCTAGAAATATCCCCAGTTGTGTTGCTCAGATCCTTTTAGTAAGCTTATATGTACTTATAATACAGGGATACAAAAATACATAGATAGATACATCATAGAAAGATAGGCAGATAAATGATACGTGGATAGATACTAATAGATAAACTAAAAGTCTACCAAAGACATTTTTATGCAATTTTCAATATTACTCAACATAGTTTGTGTTGAATTTTCAACTATTTAGACTGGGTATACAGTTCACTACTCATATTTTATTCATGCCAAAATTATTTAATTCTCCTTAAAAGGTACACATATGTGAAAACCTAAGATAATGATGTGAAGTATCTCATATTTAAGTGATATAGACAGATCACATTCTTTTCTTCTATTTTGTTTATCTACTGATTGACATGATGCATATTTACAGCATTCCTAGAAAAAGTGTAAATAAATATTTAAATATTTACAGTCTAACAAAGAGTTGAAAATGTCAATAATAAGCAAAGACAAGAAAAGTTTAGATAATTATTTAGAAGAATGGAGAGTGTTACAAAAAATATATTTTGTGAGGATAATTTTTTGCAACATTTATTTTAGTGTTGAGGGAATTCATTTCAATGGAATTGCTTTATGTACTTTATCCATAAGTGATGACTTAGAAACTTGAACTTTTCCTAGCTTTCTTTCTAGCTCTTAAGTCAAATGCCTACTATTTATAACTCTTGATATCCTGCTTGTGATAGAATCAAATGTGCAACCTACAGATATATAGAAAGCAGAATTTGTAAGCAATAAATTTGGATATTTACTGGAGGAAATTTTCAAGCAAGTGTTGAAGATGCAGCTCATTTTTTTCTTGGTACTTACAGTAAAGGGACAGAGGAAAGAGGTAAATGGAGGAAGAAATTTTAAGCAAGACAGCTAGAACTGGAAGTGCATATATATAAATATGTATTTATTACATTATGCTATATGTGCATAACTACATAGAGACACAAGCATTCATACACATACACATGTATACACATAAATACATATATGTGTATAATTACACATATGTGTATATGTAATTATACATACATAATATACATAATTGCATACACATACATGGGCATATGTAATTATGCATATAATATACATAGTTACATATGCATACTTGTGTTTATGTGATTATACATACATAATTACATACACATGTATATGTGATTATACATACATAATTACATACACATGTATATGTAATTATACTCATGTATTTATGTGTATACATGTGTATGTGTATGAATGCTTGTGTCTCTGTAGTTATGCATATATAGAATAATAAAATACATATTTTATATTATGTTACATTTATGTGACTTATATAATATATAATTACCTAAGTATTTTTGGCAGGGCATCTACTTACCTAAATTTAAACTATAGATGTTGTTCTTATGGACTTTAAGAGTCTAATTGAATCTATAGGAGAGGGCCACTTGACTTATATGTGGATGTATTTCCACGCAGCCCCAGTTCAGTGAATACTCATAGGAATACAGCACTGTTTAGTTTTTGGGTCTTACTACTTTGAGAGTATTGGGTGTAGAACACTTTAGGAAGAGAAAGATTCCTCTAACAAAAGGCAGCACATGTAGAAACAACATGAAAAGGCATAATCAATATGCAATTGTAAGGTCTGTGTGAAACAATGTTGTAGGATTTGTACATGAGCAAATATAGGCAATTCCAGAGATGCTAAGAAATAAGGCACGGAGCTGTGAGTAGGATTACAAAAATAGCATTTCAGCAGTGAAGAGGGTGAGGTTAGCATCAGGTGAGCAAGTGACTATGAAAAATGTCACGGACTCATTTGTCCCCACAGGACTTGACCCTCGAAGATGAGTTAATGAAAACAGAGAGAGAGAATGTGTGTCTTACTTCCCTCTCAAGAGTGCCACATACAAAGGCTTAGAATTTTGCCTAAATATTTACTGATCTCAGAAATACTCATTTCTGATATTAGTAATTTGCATTAAAATGCTATGCATAATTAGGAAACGTTTCTTTAAAATTTAATTTTAAAAATCAGCTAATCGGTGGAAAAGATGCTTTGAGAGAAGGATCAAAGAATGGATCCCTGTACCCTTGCAACCCACTCACATTCTTCAAGCATAACAATATGAGGAAAAACTATACATCTTTTATGACCTTATGTCTCTCAGTAATTGTCATATTTCTGGTTTGTAATGACTTAGATTTGAATATGGCCATTAAACATTTTGATTTATTGGATTTACTTTCCTGGATAGAAGAAAATATTCCCTAATACCTTGAAAATTTTGAATACTTAAATTGAAAAACTTATTCAACTATGATGGTTGCCTGAAATTTACAATGTATAAATGCAGTCAGAAACTAGTTTGACTTTTAAAACAGACTTTACTAGTTGGGGAAACAGCCTGAATGTCAGGAAATGACTTAATTAGAAGTGTAGAAGATAGCGATGTCAATAAGTTCTGAAAAGCAAAGTTTGTTACAGGTAATCCATAATGGAGTAATCCCAGGAGGTAATCAAGAACTGACTATAAGTTGAAAATACATTGGTTACGTGGCAACGCACTTGAAGAAAAATCTTTAAGGTGGAAAAAACAAGTACCCAATTAAATGGGAGGGTAAGCAAGCACCTGGTCCTAAAATGCACTCAATTAAATTGAATAATGACAGTATATTTCAGTGCAACTGTGTTTTTAAAATATAATAGCAGTTAAAATATTTGTCTAGCAATTACTACTTTTTTTCAAAATACTCCCATACTTACCATATTAAAATCACTCAACATTAACCAAGGCTACAAAGTTACTCATTCATAACAATACATAATGTATGTTTATACAACCTATACAAAGTAGTTACTAAAATGAAAATAAAGATGAATACGAATATAATCTTAGTTACTTTTATTATGTATATATCATATCACTGCTTATTATATCTATTATTATATTATTACTAGAGTATATCTTCAATGAGGGCATAAGATTTGTCAAACGTATCAAAAACTATAGCCTTGTGGTGCCTTGAAAAGAACATTGTATATATTAGATGCTAAAATCCTAAATTCCATATAAAGAAATAAATGAGTGTATGATGTAATACATGGTAGAAGGCCACTAGTAATACAAGTTATTTCTTTTTTTTTTTTTTTTTTTGAGACGGAGTTTCGCTCTGTCGCCCAGGCTGGAGTGCAGTGGCTTGATCTCGACTCACTGCAAGCTCCGCCTCCCGGGTTCACGCCATTCTCCTGCCTCAGCCTCCTGTGTAGCTGGGACTACAGGCACGCGCCACCATGCCCGGCTAATTTTTGTATTTTTAGTAGAGACGGGGTTTCACCGTGTTAGCCAGGATGGTCTCGATCTCCTGACCTCGTGATCCGCCCGTCTCGGCCTCCCAAAGTGCTGGGATTACAGGCGTGAGCCACCGCGCCCGGCCACAAGTTATTTCTGAGGTAAAAAACTATTTAACTTTTTTACTTACAAGGAAAAACAATTCCATAGTTTCCTGCTTAGCAAGTAAAGCTTGTGTACGTAGAGAGAAAAAACAAGTTTGTGAAAAGATCTTACAATGTTCTGACTTTTGACTGTTCTATTTTTATAGTTAATAAACACTGTTTGAGATTTAAAGAGAAACTATTTCATTGCTCTCACTGTCTTGAGAACCGTCTATAAGTTTCTATTTTATTTTGAGTTTCAAGTGACATTTTGCAAAAGTTCTTCTTTATCTGCTTAAACCTTACAGAAAAAAAAAATCATTGATTTGCCTTCCATGTGCACCTACTGCAAACTTAAATGACACCTACTAGTCACTGAGGCCTTCTTAGGACTTTGGTATATCTCTGTTCACGAGGAATGTACTTTTAAGATGGAAATAAATATGATTTCCCACAGTTGTAGTCATTCAAAGACAGAAAGCTGCATGTTTCTCTCAAATCAGTGAAAAATGTAGTGATAATCCCCGACAAAGAAGATTTTTCTTTCTTTTTTTTTTAAATTTTACTTTAAGCTCTGGGATACATGTGCAGAACATGCAGATTTGTTACATAGGTATACATGTGCCATGGTGGTTTGCTGCACCCATCAACCCCTCATCTAGGTTTTAAGCCCCACATGCATTAGGTATTTGTCCTAATGCTCTCCCTCTCCTTGCCCCCACCCCCCGGACAGGCCCCAGTGTGTGATGTTCCCCTCCCTGTGTCCATGTGTTCTCATCGTTCAACTCCCACTTATGAGTGAGAACATGAAGTTTTTGGTTTTCTGTGCCTGTGTTTGCTGAGAATGATGTTTGCTGAGTTTGCTGAGAATGATGGCTTCCAGCTTCATCCACGTCCCTGCAAAGGACATGAACTCATCCTTTTAATGGCTACATAATATTCCATGGTGTATATGTGCCACGTTTTCTTTATCCAGTAAATCATTGAGTGAAGCTGGGTTTTGTGTAAGCTTTTCTACATTTAATTACCGTCTATCATATGCTATTTATGTAAGCACTGTTAGAGGCTGTCACCACTGTGTTAGAAAATGCTTCTCCCTTAAAGTGGTCAATGGTTGTTCATCACAGTATTTTTGGAATACCTTTAAACACAAATTATGTCTTCACTCCTGTCGAAAAATTTAGTCTATTGACTTCTTTTTATTGAATTCCTTCTTACTTTCTTTGTACCATTTCCCCGACTGCTCCACAAGTACAAAGGAAGGTTGTAACCTCTGTCTGTCTGTCTGGCTTTCAGTTTCTTTCTCTATCTAGTATATAATAAATTCTTAATAATGTATTTACTGCACACATACAGAGTTAGAACAAAACCTTTAAGGTAAAGTTGGCTATTCTGAAGTGTTATTTTATTATGGGAAGGAACACATAAATATACATTTTGAGGCAAAAATGTTCTCCTTTTTTTCAGTGACATTTAGGAGAAAAACAAAAATGGCATTCACATATTGTAGTTGTAGTTCATAAAAAATAATACTATTGTTACAGCATTTTAATTGTCAGATAATCTTTAAAATATTTTATTGAGTTGGGAGTATAATTTCGAATTAATAAAGCTTCCTAGTAATAGATATTAAACTTAAATCAACTTTTAAAAAACATGAAGTAAAACACAAAACAAAAACTTAACTCATAAATTTAAATCAAAGTGGCTTTATTCACTGCACAGGAAAGGAAGCAATCAATGGAGTGAAAAGACAACCTACGAAATAGCGTAAAATATTTGCCAACCATATTTCTAATAAGGAATTAATTTCCAAAGTATATAAGGAACTCCTACAATGCAATGGTAAATAAGTCAGTAATCTGTTTTAAAAATACGGAAAAGTTTGAACAGACATGTCTCCAGAGAAGACATACAAATGACCAATAAGTATATTTAAAAATGTTCAACCTCACTATTCATCAGGGAAATGCAAATAAAAAGCACAATGACATAGCATCTTAGACATGTCAGGAAGGCTATTATGTAAAAAAAAAAAAAAAAGCACAGCAAATATTTTTAAGGATATAGAGAAACTAGAACCCATGCACACTGTTGGTGAGAAGGCAACATGGTACAGAAGCTATATAAAACAATATGGATATTCCACATAACTGTAAAATAGAACTATTATATAATCCAGCAATCCCACTTTTGAATTTTATTTTTATTTTTTTTATTATTATACTTTAAGTTTTAGGGTACATGTGCACATTGTGCAGGTTAGTTACATATGTATACATGTGCCATGCTGGTGCGCTGCACCCACTAACTCCTCATCTAGCATTAGGTATATCTCCCGATGCTATCCCTCCCCCGTCCCCCCACCCCACAACAGTCACCAGAGTGTGATGTTCCCCTTCTTGTGTCCATGTGATCTCATTGTTCAATTCCCACCTATGAGTGAGAATATGCGGTGTTTGGTTTTTTGTTCTTGCGATAGTTTACCGAGAATGATGATTTCCAATTTCATCCATGTCCCTACAAAGGACATGAACTCATCATTTTTTATGGCTGCATAGTATGCCATGGTGTATATGTGCCACATTTTCTTAATCTAGTCTATCATTGTTGGACATTTGGGTTGGTTCCAAGTCTTTGCTATTGTGAATAATGCCGCAATAAACATACGTGTGCATGTGTCTTTATAGCAGTATGATTTATAGTCCTTTGGGTATATACTGAATATTTATCTAAAAGAATTAAAATCAAGATCTCAGAGAGATATGTGTACTTCTATATTTATTGCAGTATTATTCACCATAGCCAAGATATAGAAACACCCCAAATGTCCATTGACAGATGAGTAGATAAAGAAAATGCAGCATATGTATGCAAAAGAATATTATTCAGTCAAAGAAAGAAAATATTCTGCATAGACAACAAATGGATGAACCTGAAAACCTATAAGTGAAATAAGTTCACTACAAAAAGACAAATATATTGTGATTTCACTTATATGTGTTATCTAAATTAATCAAATTGAGAGTAGATTGGTGTTTACTAGGGGCTGGGGGAAAAAACATGGGGAGTACCAATCGACAGTTGTGAAGTTTTAGTCAAGCAAGATGAACAAGCTCTAGAGATCTGCTGAAAAACATCATACCTACACTCAGCAATATTATTCTGTACACTTGTAAGTAATTAGGAGGACAGTGCTCATCTTAAGCTTGTAGTAATCTACAATAAAATAAAAGAAATGGATTAATCCAAAACAGAATTAAAATCAAATAGTCTTACTATGGTCTGAATGTTTGCATCACCCCAAAATTCCTACCTTGAAACCTAATTCCCAGTGTGATAGTATTAAAAGGTGGGAGCTTTGGGAGTTGATTATATCATGAGGGTGAATCCCTTATGGATGATATCAGTGATCTAATAAAAGAGGCCCAAGCAAGCTTGTGTGCCCTTTTCATTATGTAAAAACACAACAAAATCTCGGTCATTGAAGAATTAATACTCACCAGCACCTTGACCTTGAACTTCCCAGATTTCAGAACTTTGAGAAATAAGTTGCTGTCATTTATAAGCTACCAACTTGTGGTAGTTCGTTCAAGCAGTGTGAACAAAGAAAGTATCATCAAATATTTACCCTTCAGCCAAACTCACACAAGTCTATATGCACATGCACGCACATAACTGCACACATATTCTCATACCCTTACACTTCTCTCTTCATAAGGTCTGATTTGTTCTATACTAACCTGTTAGGCAGTTTGTTCTAAATTTTAAAACTGATATTTGTCGCTTCATTCAGACAACGTCTTTAGCATTCTTAATCAGTGAAAGCTTTCTGGCTTTGCTTAGTCACTTACTAATCCCCATCGCCACACAATCACGTATCCAAGGAGATGGAATTGACACAGATAGGCCAACGTGGGTCTTATATGCATCTTTACGACATGAAAGGCAGGATCATAGGACTTGCGGCTTCACCCTAATTATATGGAGCAAAGGAGAAGCAGTTTCTCAAAGGATACAGGGAAGCCAATGCAGTTAGCCCTCCATAGGTTCCATGAATCCATGGATTCAACCACAAAACCCACAGGGATAGAAAATGTTCAGGGAAAAAAAAGAGATAGGTGGTTGCGTCTGTACTGAACATGTATAGACATTTTGTTCTTGTCCTTAATCCCTAAATAATACCATTTATCAACTATTTACATCGAATTTATATCTCATTAAGTATTATAAGTGGCCCAGAGATTATTTAAAGTGTATGAGAGGATCTGCATAGGTTATATGCAAATATGATATCATTTTATATAAAGGACTTGAGCATCTGTGAATTTTGGTATCCATGGGGAATCCTGGAAACAATCTTCCATGGATATCAAGGGACAACTGTATAGAGACAATATGTACTTAATGTATTCATTATCTGTTTCGTGTATTAGATAAAACTCATAAATTCATAAATTTTAATTTACTCAATGATTATAGGAACAGCTTACTCCACAGTAGGTTTGATGTAGTCACCACTGCTCTTATTAAAAAAGTTATTGTACATTCTCTAAAGGATTTAACCGTCTAGCACTAAGAGAACAATCCTATATTTTTTAAACTCTAGAATCCCAGGGGATTGCAATATATAAATGATTGCAATATATTTGGCCATTCAGTTGAGCTCACATTAAAACTGAGGGGTTAAAGCTCACGTAAATCACATGGAGTAGTTTCTGAATGGCTTGTTAAAATCACTGGTATCTGTCAACTCACATTCATTTTACTATTTCCAAATCACTTCTAAAAGACAATTATTCAATCATTCAACTTAAGGATACAATCATTGTTAATATACAACACTTCTCTGAAAATACTGCAAAATATCATACAACTGACAGTGATCACACACTCCAAAAGTAAATGTATCACACAATACATTTTTGTTAAATATTGTTAAGTCTAAGAAGATTTTGCAGCTAAAAAACAAAGCTAGTCAAATTGAAGAGAGTAACTCAGTGTTGCTTAAAATTTGGACCATTTGCTATGCACTGTGTCTGAGAAAAAAAGGCAGGTGATTTAATTAAGAATTTGAACTTTTTGAGCTTGACATTTATCTCCTTGGCGCATAATTTTTTGAAGCAGTAACCCATGCAATATAATACAAGGATGCTAAACTACACAAACTTACATACACACAAGATACCAACTAAGAGCCGAATTCAATTATGGATAAATTATCAAAAAGAGTTTCACCGTAGATAAAACCTATTATCTTTACACTAAATATGCAAATAATGTAATACACTCACTAAAAAAAAGAATAAAGGCTAATAGACAAAATGTCTGTCACAAAATGTCATGCATTTCCATATTCTTATCAAATTGCCTTGATTTCATTCTTAAGAGTAATAATACTATTCATTTTTATACCTATTAACCACCATGACAGAGAAAAGTAAAGTAAAATAAAAGGTTGAAGTCACACACATGACCTTGGCTGTTTCTACCCAACATTCTTCTTAACCCACAAATTTTTGCAGAAATGGTATGGGAAAACTGCCTACTCAAGCCTCAGTAATGGCAGACACCCCTTCCCCCACCAAGCTTGATCGTCCCAGGTCAACTTCAGACGGCTGTGCTGGCAACGAGAATGTCCAGCCAGTGGTTCTTAGCTTGCTGGGCTCTGTGGGAGTGGGACCCACTGAGTGAGACCACTTGGCTCCCTGGCTTCATCCCCCTTTCCACAGGAGTAAATGGTTCTCTCTTGCTGGAGTTCCAGGCACCACTGAAGTATGAAAAGGGAAAACCTCATGCAGCTAGCTTGGTGTCTGCCCAAACAACTGCCCAGTTTTGTGCTTGAAATCCAGGGCCCTGGTGGTGTAGGAACACAAGGGAATCTCCTGGTCTGCAGATTGCAAAAACCATGGGAAAAATATAGTATCTCCGCTGGATAGCACGGTCCCTCACAGCTTCCCTTGGCTGGGGGAGGGAGGTCCCCGGCTCCTTGCACGTTTGGGTGAGGCAGAGCCCCACCCTGTTTCTGCTTGCCCACCGTAGACTGCACCCGCTACGTAACGAGTCCCAATGAGATGAACTGGGTACCTCAGTTGGAAATGCAGAAATCACCAGCCTTTTGTGTTGGTCTCACTGGCAACTGCAGACAAGAGCTGTTCCTATTTGGCCATCTTGCCTAACACTGACTTCTATGTCTTTCTTTTGCACAGTTATATTAGTCTGTTCACACATTGCTATAAATAACTACCCAAGGCTGGATAATTTATTTTTTTAAAAAAAGAAGTTTAATTGACACAGTTTTGCAAGTTGTACAGGAAACATGGCTGGGGAGACCTCAGGAAACTTATTTACAATCATGGCAGAAGGTGAAGGGGAAGGAGGTACATCTTACGGGAGGAAGAGAAAGGGGCAGGAGGTCCTACACACTTTTAAACAACCTGATCTCATGATAACTTACTTACTATCACAAGAACAGCATCAAAGGGGAAATCCACCTTCATGATCCAATTGCCTCCCACCAGGCCCCAACTCTAACATTGGGGCTTACGATGTAATGTGTAATTTGGGAGGTGACACAAATCCAAATCATATCATTCCACCACTGACCCCTCCCAAATCTCATGTCCTTCTCACGTTACAAAATGTAATCATCCCTTCTCAACAGTCCCGCACATCTTAACTCATTTCAGCATTAATTTAAAAGTTCACAGTCCAAAGTCTCATCCAAGACAAGGCAAGTTCCTTCCACCCATGAGCCTCTAAAATAAAAAGCAAGTTAGTTACTTCAAAGATACAATGGGGGTAAAAGCATTGGGTAAATACACCCATTTCAAAAGGGAGAAATCAGCCAAAACAAAGGGGCTACAGGCCCCACGAAAGTCCAACCCCCAGCAAGGCAGTCATTAAATCCTAAAGCTCCAAAATAATCTTTGACCCCATGTGTCATCACATCCAGGCCACACTAATGCAAGGGGTGGGCTCCCAAAGCCTTGGGTAGCTGTACCCCTGTGGCTCTGTGGGACTCAGATCCCATGGTGGCTTTCAAGGGCTGATGTTGAGTGTCTGTAGCTTTTCCAAGCACATAGTGCAAGCTGCCAGTGCATCTATAATTCCAGGGTCTGAAGGACAGTGGCTCTCTTTTCACAACTCCACACAGTGTCCCAGTGGGGACTCTGTGTAGGGGCTCCAAGCCCACATTTTCTTTCTGCACTGCCCTTGCAGGGGTTTTCTGTGAGAGCTCTGGCTCTGTACCAGACTTCTGCCTGGACGTCTAGGCATATTCACACATCCTCTGAAATCTAGGCAGAGTCTCCCAAGCCTCAACTCTCGCCCTCTGTGTATCCTCAAGCTTAACACCACGTAAAAGTCTACCAAGGTTTATGTTTGGCAACAAATGGAGCAGCAGCCTGACATTTATCTGGGGTACTTTTATCCATGGCTGTAGCTAGAGTGGTTGGGACATAAGGAGCAGTTTCCTAAGGTTGCACAGGGCAGTGTGTCTCTGGGCCCAGCCCACAAAATGATTCTTCCCACTTAGGCCTCCAGGTCTGTGATAGTAGAGGCTTCCCTGAAGGTCTCTGAAATGCCTTTGAGGCATTTTCCCCATTTTCTTGGTAATTAACATTTGGCTCCTCTTTACTTATGCAAATTTCTCAGGCAAGCTTGAATTCCTCCCCAGAATATAGGTTTTTATTTTCTAGCAAATGGTCATGCTGTTAATTTGCCAAACTTTTAGACTCTGCTTATTTATTAAATATAAGTTCCAGTTTCAGATCATCTCTTTGCTCATGGATATGAGCATATGCTGTTAGAAGAAGCCAAGACACTTTTTGAATGCTTTGCTGCTTAAAAATTTATTCTGCCAGATACCCTAAACCATCTCTCTCAAGTTCACAGATCCCTAGAGCAGGGCACTATGTCACCAGTCTCTTTGCTAATATATAACAAAAGTGATCTTTACTCTAATTCCCAGTAAGTTCTTCATCTCCATCTGAGACCAAGTTAGCTTGGAATTCATCATCCATAGCACTATCAACATTTTGGTCACAACAATTTAAGAAGTCTCTAGGAAGTTCCAGACTTTCGCTCATCCTCCTGTCTTCTTCTGAGCCCTCCAAACTGTTCCAACTACTGCTTGTTACCTAGTTCCAAAGCTACTACCACATTTTCTGGTATCGCTATAGCAATGCCTCACTTCCCAGTACAAATTTTCTATATTAGTTTATTCTTGCATTGCTATAAAGGACTACCTGAGGCTTGGTCATGTATATATTTAGAAAAAGAAGTTCAATTGGGTGACAATTCCACAGACCGTACAGGAAGCATGGCTAAGGAGACCTCAGAAGATTTAGTCATGGTAAAAGGTGAAGGGGAAGCAGGCACATCCTACATGGCTGAAGTAGGAGGAAGAGAGTGAAGGTTGTGGGAGGAGGTGTAGCTACATACTTTAAAGAAAGAGATCTTGTGAGAACTCACTCACTATCATGAGAATAGCAAAGGGGAAATTCTCCCCCAAGATCCATTTTCCTAAGACCAGGCCCCTCCTTCAACACTGGGGATTACAATTCAACATGAGATTTGGGTGGGGACATAAATTCAAACCATTTCAACATTTACAGACCCTCAAGATTATACTGAGCCCACCCAAATAGTACAGGATAATCTCTATATTTTGAGATCATCTGATTAGTAATGTCAATCTCATTTTAATTTTCCTTTTGTTATGTAATACAAAAAATTTACAAATTACCAAGAATAGCAAACTGACATTTTTGGTATTATTCCACCTACCACACATAACATGTTTACTACTGAATCATCTTTAAGCCACATTTGTCAATGCTGTTTTCTCAGAAAGCCCAGACTATGACTAAAGGTGAAAATATTCATGGAGAATTACCTTTCAATGAAATCAGCATACAGATGCTTTATAAAGCAACAAGAGAAAATGAGATCAATTAGGGAGTCATCGTATATGGAATTACTGATGAGACACTTGACTATTAGGATTCACAGAGATAAAGAGTAAAGAGACTAGTGTGAGGGAAGAGTATGGGCTGTAAATATTAAGGTTAAGCAAGAGAATGTTGTCTCTTGGAAACAAAATGGTGAAAGGGAGAGAGAAGAAAAACCTCAAGGTTTGCAGATGCTGTCAATAGGTCAGTGAATTTTAGACTGATAAACAACCATCACATGTAGTAGCTGTATTAGTCCATTTTGTGTTGCTATAAAGGAATACATGAAGCTGGGAAATTCATAGCCAAACGGGTTTATTTGGCTCATGATTCTGCAGGCTGTATAACCATGGCACAAGCATGTCTTCAGCTTCAGGTGAGGCCTCAGGAAGCTTTTACTCATGACACAATATGAAGGGGAGCAGGCATGATACATGGTGGGAGAGGAAGCAAGAGAGAGAAGAGGGAGGTCTCCAGACTTTTTAACAACCAGATCTCATGGGAACTCATTACAATGGTGGGACCAATTACAATGGTAAGACCAAGCCACTCATGAGGGATCTGCTCTCATGACACAAAAACCACCCACTAGGCCCACGTCCAACATTGGTGAACCCATTTCAACATTTGGAGGGTAAGAACATACAAACTATATCAGTCACATAAAAGTTATATACTATTTAATGTACAACATTGATATAGGCTACAGCTTAAGTAGTCCATTTGGTTTATCTCATCCTACTAAGTCTATATAATGCTATCCCCATTAGCTTTGACTTTTATTTCTATAACAAATAACACATTAAAATGTTCAGTTAAACAAGATCTATATCACATTTTACATTTGTATTGTAATCAAACTTTTTTGATCACATTTCACTACGTACAGATAACATAACCATGGGAAGCTATTATATAATAAAACACAAAAGTAATTAAGAATCATAAATAAGCATTTTTAGAAAATAAATAACAACTCATATTTCCTAGAATTTAACACTATGATGACTGCAGAATGGCAAGAATATATAATAGATAGCTCACAATGAAAAACTTCACCTAGGTTTACATTTTATGTTTATTTGTACAAATTCAGACAAAATATTTTTAGGAAAATTGCGGGGGGTGCGGGTTACTGTTTATATTCTGTTACCTCAGAAAGGTTTGAAATTTTTAAAAAATGCTATTATTCATTTAGTGGTTAATTAACCATACAGAACCTTTAACTTGTACTATAATTATTAAATCTTGTGATGGAGTAATTGCTGTGGTTTATTGAACACGAAGGTAGTTAAACGTCACAAAATTATTCTTGCATATATTTGCTTACAAATAAATGTTTTCATGCCTCCAAACATAGTGTGTATATATATATATATATATATGACCCCTAAAACATATCCATTTGTCATTTTCAGAAACTATTCTTGCCATTTACACATATAATTTTGAAGCCAAAAAAGGAATTTTAGAGTCTTCAGTGAGTATTAAAATGTGATTTTTTTTCTTTAACGTGTTATTTTAAAGGAATTTCTAAAATTATTTCAAAAGATCACCAGGGAGCATTTGTGTTGAATATTGTTCTTTTATTTCTGTTAAGAACCCAAGCATAATAAACAGAAAAAAAGGAGCTCTCTTTGACTTCAAAATACTTTTCTCTACAGATCTTGATTTAAAGAACTAGTCCTAGGTAAAAATAATAATGAGTTGGACATTGGCTATTGGAGAATAGAATGAAAAATAATGTTCATAACTAGAATAGATTATTATTTTGAGAAAATAGAGCTGCAGATGTTTGAAATTTTAGAAACAACATTTCTCAAGAGAGTAAGACAAGCCACAATCTGGGAAAAAAAAATATTTGAAAAAGACACATCTGTTAAAGGACTGCTATTCAAAATATACAAAAGAAAAACCCTCTTAACAATAAAAAAAGACGAGACTAATTAATAAATGAGCAAACACTCTGAACAGTCACCTCACCAAACAAGACATACAGATCACAAGTAAACATATGAAACTATGCTTAACATAATATGGCATTAGGGAATTTCAAATTAAAGAAAAACAAACAAACAAGATACCACTACACATCTATTAGAATGACTAAAATCCAAAACACTGAAAACACTAATTGCTGATCGGGATGTGAAGCAACAAGAACTCTCAATTATTGATGGTGGGTATACAAAATGATACGGCTACCTTTGAAGACATTTTGAAAGTGTCTTGTAAAACTAAACGTGTTCTAACCATATGATCCACCAATCATGCTCCTTGGTATTTACAAAAATGAATTGAAAACTTATCTCTACACAAAATCTGCATATAAATGTTTATAGCAGCTTTATTCACAATTGCCAAAACTTGGAAGCAATCAGGATGTCCTTCAGCAGGTGAATAGATAAAGAAATCCTGGTACCTCCAGGCAATGGAGTATTATTCAGTGCCAAAAGAAATGAGCTGTCAAAATATCAAATGGCATGGAGAAAATTTTAATGCATTTAATTAAGTGAATGGAATCAATCTAAAAAGGCTACATACTATATGACTCCAACTATAAGGCATTCGAGAAAAGGTGAAACTATGAAGACATTAAAAAACTACCATGGGTTAGGGTAAAGGGAGGGATAAATAGGCAGAGAACAGGATTTTTAGGGAAGAGAAACTGTTCTGTGTGATGAAACAATGATGGAAACATGTTAATATACATTTGTCAAAATGAATAGAATGTACAAAACTAAGAGTGACTCCTAATACAAACTATAAACTGTATGTAAAAATAATGTGCCAACATTGATTTCTTGATTGTGATAAATTTACTATGGTGGTATAGCATGTTGATAGTCATGTAGGTTGTGTATCTGTGGGGACAAGGTGCATATGGGAACCCTCTGTACTCAATTTTGCTGTGAACCTGAAAGCGCTTCAAGAAAATAAAATTTATTAATTAAAATTCATTTCACTTTTCCCCCTGAATGATATATGTTTACATGTATTAACATGTTTTACTCAAAATATATATATACATAATATGTACCATTATTTAGTAGAAAATTGGAATTTTTATATAAGTTCTCTTCTTTTTTTCTGTATTCGTGTTCCTGGCTCTCTCCATGAAAATTCAGAATTCCAGACAGAAGGCTTTCACCATGCAGATATCTTTATGTAGTTTAGGTAACTTACCCCTGTCTTAACCTTTAGGCCTACTACTGAGTTACTAAACTGTCCTTGCAGTTTCCCTGTACTCTGCTATTATCTTAATCCCCTTTTATTAATGATTCTCAGGTTACTCAGTTTGAGTATGCTGATTTGTGTCAAAACTCTTACAACATTAAGAGAACCCAAATTTATCACGGTTAAGTTGAGTCAAAAAGCCATTTTGGAAAGCATTTGTTTAACTGAATTTTCTCTTACAATGATAGTAGTTGGTGTTGTTCATTACATCATTTATTGTATAAGAATAATGGCACAAAGGTATATTATCATCTTTCAAGTACATTTTAAAATTATGCTACTAGAATTGTTAACAAAATCACTCACTGGTATTTTATGACCAACATGTATTGCTTTGGGTCAGTGCTTCTCATTTTCAAACTGTCTCCTGTTTCCTGAAGTTATTTAGATATAAATTTTCTAGATACAAATATGAGTTGCCTAAGATGATTTATTTCAGACACTATTTTTAATATTTTGCCAGAAATAGCTGGTTAATTTGCATAGCTAAATTGTAATTTATTTTCTATACTCTCAGAATACATCAATAAATATTAGATATATTAGACACCAAGAGCTGTGAAGATGATGGAAATATAGGTACTATTGATGATGAAGGTACATTTGATATTTCTAGAGAATGTAAAGGAAAAAATACAGGATAATAAAAATGTATACAACAAAATTATAGTATGGCAAAATTGAGGTCAATGTGCATCTTTTTTCCAAAAAATTATAATTAAACTAAATAAGATTCTCAAAAACTATCATTTGATGTTTCTGAAAAAGACCTAAGGCATACCCAACATTAAAATGCATTTGCTTATGATTATCTCTTGAACATCTGTAAAACCATTGGGAGTCTGAGGTATTTTCACCTTTTGCTGCTTATATGTCCACCCACTCTCTGATCCATGGTTTATATTTAAGTAGAGCAGGAAAATAGGGATGGCAGCCTTGCATGTAGGGTAGTCTAAGTGGAAGGCGGAGGATGGAAAAATCCCATGCTCAGAAATACTGTAAACAAAACTAGTGATACCCGTGGAAATAATCATGGAAGGCTAACTTTGCAGGTAAGTTAAGATCTCAATACTGGTTGAGAAAAGCAAAAGTTTAGCAGACCTGCCAAAAATTTAACAGGGAGATGTTAGGCAACTAAGAAGACAAGAGAGCCATGATATAGTTCTATCCTTTGTTGGACACCTGTGTGTATGTAAAAGGCTTCACACAAGCTCAGGATACATAACAAAGAAACTTAGTGAGTAGTTCATCCTTTACTGAACACAAGATCTAGTAAATGTAAAAGATGGAAAAAATGATGACACAATCTTGTAAATTGTCTAAGTCTTGAAAGAACTTATCATCCAATACACTTGTATTGGCAAAGGGTTGGTGCCTTTTTGGCTCACAGGATTCAATCACAACATCTGATCACTGGCTGAACCCTAAGCTTTACTAAATAAGTGGCAACACCTGGCAATTTATAATAAAAGTGAAAATAATCTTTAAAAAACCTGACCAGAGACCTTAGTGGCTGCATAATGCAGGGAAACAGACACTGACAATAACAACCTCACTCCTCTGCGTATATCCAAAATGAAGAAAAGCAGAACCTCGAAGAGATATCTGCACTCCCATGTTTATTGTAGCACTATACACAATAGCCAAGGTATGGAATCAACCTTAATGTCTAATGAGGTGATGGAAATCCTCATTACTCTAATTTGATCATTACACATTGAATGCTTGTATCAAAACATCACATGTACCCTATGAATAAATACAACTATTATGTTTCTATGATAATTTAAAATTAAAAAATTAAAAATGTAAATGATACTCAAATGTTATTCTAGAAATGATACTAAATGTTACTATATAAAATATTTAATGAAAAAGAAGATAGTAAAGGAAAACAAAGGCATAAAAAGACATTAAATATAATGAAAAAATATTAAAATGGCAAACATAAATTGAGCCACATCAAGAATAAGACTAAAATTAATTGCATGCATTGATGCCATGTAACCAATCACATAAACTAGATTTTAAATGCAAATCCAGAGAGAGCAGGGTGAGAGTAATACAAATTATTGAGTAGATTGAGAAACATGTACTAAATAACATTCAGACTTCTACAAGGAGAGAGAGCTGCTTACTATATACATTAGGTTCAGTTAGAAAAAAAATGCATATTTATTTTTTTCCACATTAATGATTTGTGGGAAAACAACAGTACATCCAGCAAACAATAAAATTATGCAAAATCAATTTTTCAATAGATTTTGATCTAAAATAATCTGTCTTTATACCAAAATATAATTTTTTTGAGAGAAAGACAGGGTCTTCCTCTCCTATCCAGGTTTAAGTGCAGTGATGTAATCACAGTGTACTGCATTCTGAAACTCCTGAGCTCAAGGGATTCTCCCACCTCAGCCTCCTGAGTAGGTGGGACTACAGCCACATACCTTTGTGGCCAGCCAATGTTTTAATTTTTTTTTTTTTTTTTTTTTTTGAGATGGGGGTTTTCCTCTCTTGCCCAGGCTGGTCTTGAACTTCTGGGCTCAAGCAATCCTCTGCTCTCATCTTCAGAGAAAGTGTTGGGATTACAGGCAAAAGCCGCTGCGCTCCACCAAGATATGGTCCTCGTATACAATGGGAGCAAGCATTTCTAAGAAAGCACCACTAAAATAATGAAAAATTAATACTTGCTACACATTTTTATATTAAAACCAATAATAATCTTGGCATTTCTTTATTGTTTGGTACTAATATAAAACAAGTAGGCTTAGATCCAACAGTTATTTCAGTGATGGTTAACTCTACGTGTTACAATTATTTTAGAAATTATGTGCAGTTAACATTTTTAAAACTGTCTACTTGATATCTTATTGCAAAATCATTACACTATATTTAAAAGTAGAATTAGGTATAGTTTAACATTTATATAGATAGCATTATTTGTACACCTTGAAGCAGTCCTTAAAAAAAGGCATTAGGTATGTCAAGAGAAACACTGCAATATTTATCTCCATTTGAACTATCTTGTATGGCAATATACTTAAATCAATTTACATGAAGTCATGGGAGAGTAAGAACTTTGCAAAAAAGGAAAAACAGAAACACAATAGATTTGATCAAAAGATTTGATCAATAGTATGATCATATTGCTGCTTCATCTCTTGTTGCAGTATGCTTATAGGGAAATATAAACTCAATCTTAAAGAAAAACATTTAAAATCAAAGAACAATGAAGAAGGGAGAAGAAACACTTTTTTCTACTTTTATTTTGATACCATTACAAATTTAGTTTTAGAGCATATTTGATGAAAAGAAAAATGAATCTTTACCATAATTAATAATATATAATTAAATATTTTTTATTCCACTCATGTAACTAAATGAAAAAGAATGCATAAAAACATGACTTCTTAAAGTACATGCAAATGTATATGCATGTTTTATACATAAGCACATTCTATACAAAACATAAGAAAAAGAAAGTGTTATTTTGAGATCTCTCCTTTACTATATATGACTATAACATGTTTTGGTAAATATTTTATTTCATAAAATAGCCATAATCTTATCCATTCACCATATATTCTCTCTTAATACTATGTATGGGTGTTCTTCTGCGAAGTCATTGATAGATCAAATATAACAAATATGACAATATTAAATTATATTTTGGGTTTCATGTTTATTTCCCTTCTATATCTACCAAAAGTAATTTTTAATCCTTTACTTTTTATTTCTCAATACATTGAAAGTTTTCTGTAAATAGTCATTAAAGATTCTAATATCAGCAATATTTTAGATATACTTCCGAGGTAAACACTCCCAACTGAAATAAAATACAATTGTATTTACAACTTAAACACTGATTTTCCTTAAAATTAAATTATAAAAGTCATAGATTAAGTAAAAATCAGAACCTTGTGAGATAGTGGAGTGCCAAAGCTGAAATTTGGTCTGAATATATCTGCTGAATGACCAAGAATATTAGCTTCCATGTGGGTAGCTAGAAGTGGTCTGAGACAAAGGGGAAAAACTAGGATGTGCACTCCAATTGCCTATGTCCATATGTAGCTTGAAACCCAAAGAGATAAACTTATAATTAACAATAAACTTCACATAGAAGGGGACAGTAATTTTGTTGTTGTTCCAAACCAGATGTTATTTGCAGAAAAGAATCTCATGAGGAATTTATGATCTTGAATTAGTAGTAGTTCTCATAATGACCTGTAGTCATAATGCTCTGAGTGATGTGTGTGTGTGTTTGTGTATGCATTTATTACTCTGATACATATATATGTACATTTATATATGTACATTACATTAAATAAATTTTGTTAAATTGTACAATAGATACTAAAGAACAATCCAAAATAATGAAACACTGCTAAATACAACAAAATAGATTATCTCAGGCATAATAATAAGCAAAAAAAATTCAGACAAAAAGATAAAAAATTAATATTTATGACACATTTTTAGTAAAATTAATGATAATCATATTGTTTGATCTAGTTATATAAAGGTCAAGACCTGAAAAAACTAATCTATAACAATAGAATTCAGAAAAATGGTTTTCTTTGTTCAGATATTGACAGAGAAAGAACACAAGGTAACATTCTGGGGGCTGAAAAGCTTTCATGTTTTGATCTGGGTGTAAGAAATTGGGTATATGAGTCTAAAAAATTAGTAAAGCTGGACAATTGAGATTTGTGCATTTTCTTTCTGACTCAATCTTGGGTGATTGTATGCTTTCAAGAATTTCTCCATTTTCTACAGATTTGTGTGCACAGAGGCATTCATAATAGTCTCTGAGGATCTTTTGTATTTCTGTGGGGTCAGTTGTAATGTCTCCTTTGTGATTTCTGATTGTGCTTATTTGGATCATCTCTTTTTTCTATGTTAATCTAGCTCGCAGTCCATCTACCATGTTTATCCTTTCAAAGAACCTACTTTTAATTTTATTGAACTTTATATGGTGTTTAGGGTACAATTTCATTTAGTTCTGCTCTGATTCAGGTATTACTTTTCTTCTGCTAGCTTTAGGATTAGTTTGATCTTGTTTTTCTAGTTCCTTTAGGTGTGATGTTAGATTGTTAGTCTGAGGTCTTTTATCTTCTTGATGTAGGTATTTAGTGCTACAAACTCTCCTCTTAAGACTGCTTTAGCTGTATCCCAGAGATTTTGGTATGTTCTGTCTCTATTTTCATTTGTTTCAAAGAATTTTTTATTTCTGTGTTAATTCTTTGTTTAACCAAAAGTTACTTAGTTTCTACATAATTGTGTAGTTTTGAGAGTTTTTCTTGGTATTGGTTTCTATTTGTATTTCACTGTGGTTTGAGAATATGCTTAATAATATGGTTTATATTTTCTTGAATTTATTGAGACTTGCTTTATGGCCAAGCATGTAGTTGATCATAGAGTATATTCCATGTGCAGATGACAAAAATGTACATTCTTTGGTTGTTGGGTAGAGTATTCTATAGAGGTCTATTAGGTCTAATTGTTCCAGCGTCAAATTTAAGTCCAGAATTTCTCTGTTAGTATTCTGCCTTGCTGATCTGTCTAATGCTGTAGATGTGGTGTTGAAGTCCTCCACTATTATTGTTTGGCTTTCTAAGGCTTTTCCTAGATTTAGAGTAATTATTTTATGAATCTGGGTGTTCCTATGTTGGCTGCATATATAGTTAGAATAGTTCATTCTTCTTATTGAATATGTAATGCCCTTGTTTCTTCTTTTTCTACTGTTGTGAGTTTAAAGCAACCTGAACCAATCAATAGCAAGTCCTGAAATTGAGTCAGTAATTTAAAAAACTACCAACCATTAAAAGTTCTGGAAAAGACAAATTCATGGCTGAATTCTACCCGATGTACAAAAAATTTGTACCAAACCCACAGAAGCTACTCCAAAAAAAAAAAAAAAAACCAAAGAGGAGGGATTTCTCCTTAACTCATTTTACGAAACCAGTATCATCCTGATACCAAAATCTAGCAAAGACACAACAAAATATGAAAATTACATGCCAATATTTATCATAAACATAGTTGCAAAAATCCCTAACAGAATACTAGGAAACAGAATCCACCAGCAATCCAAATAATTAATTTATCTAGATAAAGTAAGCTTCATTCCTGGGATAGAAGGTTGGTTCAACATATACAAGTCGATAAATGTGATTCACCAAATAAATAATATTGAAAACAAAAACCACATGATCATCTCAGTACACACAGAAGAAACATTCTATAAAATTCAAAATCCATTCATAATAAAGACCCTCAAAAAATTAGGCCTCAAAGAACATACTTCAAAATAATAACAACCATCTGTAACAAACCCACAGCCAATATCATACTGAATGGGGAAAAGCTGGAATCATTTCCCCTAAGAACTGGAAAAAGACAAGGATATTTACTCTCACCACTCTTATTCATCACAGTACTGGAAGCCTCACCAGAGCAACTGGGCAAGAGAAAGAAACAAAAGGAATCCAGATAGGAAAAGAGGAAGTCAAATTATCTCTCTTCATTAATCATATGATTCTTTATGCAGAAAACCCTAAAGACACCACCAAAAGCCTCCAAGACCTGATAAATGACTTTAGTAAACTTTCAGGACACAGAATTTGCATGCAAAAAACAGTAGTATTTTTCTCTACCAATATTGTTCAAGCTTTGTGCCAAATCAAGAGCACAGTCCCATTTACAATAGCCACAAAAATGTAAAATGTTTAAGTATGCATCTAATCAAGGAGGTGAAAGATCTGTACAAAAAGAACTATAAAACATTGCTCAAAGAAATCATAAATGACACAAAGAAATGGAAAAACATTCCATGTTCATGGATTGGAAGAATGAATGTCATTAAATTTTTCATACTGCCCAAAGCAATCTACAGATTCAATGCTATTCCTAGCAAATTGTCAATGTTATTTTTCACAGAATTAGAACAAAACTATTTTAAAATCCATATGGAACAAACAAAAAATGAGCCTGAATATCCAAAGCAATTCTAACTAAAAAGAACAAAGCCTGAGTCATCACATTACTTGACTTCAATCTATACTATAAGGCTACACTAATCATAATAGCATGGTACTGTACAAAAATAGATACAGAGACCAATGAAACAGAATAGAGAACTCAGAAATAAAGTCACACACCTACAACCAACTGATCTTTTACAAAGCAAGCAAAATAAGGAAGGGGAAAAGTACTGTCTGGTAAAAAACTGTGCTAGCATACTAGCTAACAATATGCAGCTACCTCTCACCATATACTTAAATTAATATGGATTAAAGACTTAAATGTAAGACTTCAAACATTAAAATGTGAAAACAAAATGTAGAAAATATTCTGGACATGAGCCTAGACAAATAATTTATAACTAAATCCTCAAAAGCAATGGCAATAAGAACAAAAATTGACAAGTTGAATCTGATTAAAGAGCCTCTGCATAGCAAAATAAGCTGTCAATAGAGTAACAGACAATTTGTGAAATTGAAGAAAATATTTGCAAACTATGCACTTTACCAAGGACTAATATCCAGAATCTATAAGAAACTTAAATAAATCAAGAAGAAAAAAAAACCCTATTAAAAATGTGCAAGGGATATGAATGACACTGCTTAAAAGAAGACATACAAGTGGTCAAGAAATACAGGAAAAAATGCTCCACAATGCTAGTCATCAGAGAAATGCAAATCAGAACCAAAATGAGATATCGTCTCACATGAGTCAGAATGGCTATTACCAAAAAGTCAAAAAATAACAGATGTTGATGAGGCTGCAGAGTAAAGGGAATGCTTATACGCTTTTGGTGGAAATGTGATAAATTAGTTCAGCCCCTGTGAAAAGCAGTTATGGAGATTTCTGAAAGAGTAGAAAATAAAAGCACCAATTGACAGGAATCCCATCAATGGGTATATACCCAGAGGAAAATAAATAACTCTACCAAAAAAGACACCTGCATTCATTTGTTTATTGCAGCATTATCCACAATTGCAAAGACATAGAAATAGCCTAGTTTGCATCAACAATGGACTGGATGAAGAGAATGTGGTATATATACACCACAGAATATTATGCAGCCATAACAAAATAACAAAATCATGTCCTTTGCTACAACACTGATGCAGCTGGAGGCCATTATCTTAAGCACATTAATGCAGAAACAGAACACCAAGTATCACATTTTCTCATTTATAAATGGGAGCTAAACTCCCATAAAATTTATAATAGAGTGAGATAATCTAAAATATGTTTAATGTTCATTCAATAAAAATATAACAGAATTATAAAATGAATTAAAAGCAGATAATAGAAAAAAAGAGAAAGAAAATATCAGGAAAAATGGTTTTGCATTTTATTTAATTATTGAAAGGAACAAATCTTGAAATCTAGAAGGTTTAAAAATACAAATTAAGTAAAAACTAAGTAGGATTAAGAAAAAAAACCCCAGATGCTTACAGTAATTCTACAAAACGCCAAAAAACACAAGAGAAAGTTTGAAATACAGTTAAAGAGAATATATGGATAAATCAGAAAGAAAAACTAGTTAGACTAAGTACAGATTCATTAAGCTAAATGTTAGGGAGCTAATACTTTGAATATATTGAGTGAAAATAATCAACTTTGAAACCTACTCAATGACAGTGTTTAAAAAAAGGATTAAACATTGATAAATATATACATGCACACATAAAACTATACACACTAACCTGCATGCATAGACAATTAAAAATGTTCTGCAGGATGCATATATTTGAGATAGATAAAAATAATATCCAATGAAATAGCTGAGCTTTAAGAAGGGATGTTTAGCCAAAATAATAGTAAATTTGGGGTTAGAATTATTCAAAAGCTTAGTGAATTAAATAGTAATGATTAATGTGAAAGACAGAGGTGCTTCTGTGGTGTTTTTAACTTTCTTGACTTTCCTTACAGTAAAAGAGCAACTTTGATTTAAAAAAAAGAGACACGTATTTTGCAAACTAAGTGAAAATGAGTTTCCATGAACTGCAGTGGATGAACTGAACTGTGCATATAAAACCTGCACAAGTTGACAGATGTGTGAGGAACCATCACAACCATGAAATAGATTTCTTCTTATGCTTCTAACTAAATACTGGGGGGCTACTGCAAATTTTCCAATCTTTCTACTCTGCATCCCTTTTAATTATAAATTCCATCTTTAAGTCATTTATTTGCTCAAACATTTCATTCTATGAGGTCAAAAGTAACCACAGAGAAGCCTTAATGCTTTGCTACTTAAATTTTTTTCTACAGATATTCTAGTTCAACATCCTTAATTTCATCATTCCACAAAGCCCTAGAACAAAAAAATTCAGACAAGGTCTTTGGTACTTTACAACAAGGAAAGTTTTCACTCCTGTTTCCAATACCCTGTTTTTCCATTTCCTTTTCATATATATATGTAAGTGTGTGTGTGTTGGTTCAGTAAGAAGAGTGTGCACACAGTAGAAAAAGTGGTGTTATTTATTATTAGGAGTGAGAACTGATTTTTCTTTACATTGTTAATGTTCTCTAGATGTGTTTTATTTTATTTTTAAAATTCTACATTTATTCTTTTTAGGAGTGTATTGTGTATTTATTTATTAAAATTTTGTAATTTTAGAGTCAGGCATTGTGGCTCATGTCTGTAATTCCTGTTACATGAGAGGCTGAGAATCTCTTGAGCCAAGGATTTCAAGACCAGCCTGGGAAACCGAGCAAGAACACATCTCAAACTAAATAAACAAATAATATTTAAAAACAAGTGAGAAAGATTTTGCAACTTTTTTGTTTGCTTCATGCCTAAGTATTTTAGTATTTTCTGTTTCATTAATTTTGGCCATCATATTTGATTAATTTTTAACATAATTAACTTTTGGTTTGATTTACTTTGTTCTCTTTTTTAATGATTAGGTTGAATTACATTTTCATTATAAAATTTGAATTTAGGTAAGCATTATATAGGTTATTAATATTTCCCTGAAAATTGTTTCAGCTATATTCCAATTGGTTCTAACGTGACATTTTTACTTTTACCTTCATAACATTAACAAATTTTGAAATGCCTTTTTTTGGCCCAAGGGCTATTTAATGGCTTTTTATAAGTTTTACTTTCCAAATGAAATCGCTGTTTGTTTTCAAATTTGGTTAATTTTTAGTTTTATTACATAACAGTTTGAATTGCTCTTTATATATTTTACAAGATCTCATTCTGTTTTTTTGTCACCTAATATGCAATCAGTTTTAATAATATAACATATTAAAAGATGTATTGTCTGTTTTGGGGTTCAGAGTTTGATATACAGCTGACCCTTTAACAATGTTTGTATGTATCATTTTACCTTGTGAAAATTGTGGTTTTGAGGTCCAGCATGAGAACACAGTGACAGTCTTGCTGCTGCTTGCTGTACATAATGAATAGATTTTTCATTCTGACCTTCAACTCTCTGTCTCCTGCAAATGTCTATGAAACAAACTTGCTTGCTTGCAAGTAAGATACAACTCACAGATCTCAAAAAGACATACTCTTTTTACAGTGGTGTTTATGTTTTTATATCTTTTTAATAATATTCTTATACAATTTTTTATATTATGATAGCTAATTGGCTGAGTCGTATTCCATAATGTATATATACCACAGTTTCTTTATCCACTCATGGATTGATGGGCATTTGGGTTGGTTCCACATTTTTACAATTGTGAATTGTGCTGCTATAAACATACGTGTGCAAGTATCTTTTCATATAATGACTTCTCTTCCTCCAGGTAGATACCCAGCAGTGGGATTGCTAAATCAAATGATACTTCTACTTTTAGTTCTTTAAGGAAACTCCACACAGTTTTCCATAGTGGTTGTACTGGTTTACATTCCCAGCAGCAGTGTTCCCTTTTCACCACATCCACACCAACATGTATTATTATTTTTTTATTTTTTTTATTATGGCCATTCTTGCAGGAGTAAAGTGGCATTGCATTGTGGTTTTGATTTGCATTTTCCTGATCCTTAGTGATGTTCCATTTTTGTTGGGCATCTGTATATCTTCTTTCAAGAATTGTGTATTCATGTCCTTAGCCCACTTTTTGACATGATTGTTTTGTTTGTTTTGTATTTTTTTGCTAATTTGTTTAAGTTCATTGTAGATTCCATATAAATCCATCATCCTTTATGATTAAAACTCTCAGCAAAATCTGCATACAAGGGACATACCTCAATGTAATAAAAACCATCTAACCGACAGCCAACATAATACTAAATGGGGAAAAGTTTGAAAGCATTCCACATGAGAACCAGAACAAGACAAGGATGTCATTTTCACCACCTCCATTCAACATATTACCAGAAGTCCTAGCCAAAGCAATCAGACAAGAGAAAGAGACAAAAGGCATCCAAATTGGTAAAGAGGAAGTCAAATTGTCGCTGTCTGCTGATGACATGACTGCATACCCAGAAAACCATAAAGAATCCTCCAAAAAGCTCCTGTAACTGATAAAGAATTCAGCAAAGTTTTAAGATACAAATCAATGTACACAAATCAATAGCTCCCCTATACCCCAACAGTGGTCAAGTTGAGAACTAAATCAAGAACTCAACTCCTTTCACAATAGCTGCAATAAAATAAAATAAAATACTTATAAATATACCTAACCAAGGAGGTGAAAGTCCTCTACAAGGAAAACCAGAAAACACTGATGAAGAAAATCATAGATGACACAAACAAATGGAAGCACATCCCATGCTCATGGATGGGAAGGATCAACATTGTGAAAATGACCATACTGCCAAAAGCAATCCATAAATTCAACGCAATTCCCATCAAAATACCACCATCACTCTTCACAGAACTAGAAAACATTTCGAAAATTATTTTCTTTGAGACAGGGTCTTGCTCTGTTGCCCAGGCTGGAGTACAGTGACACCATCATGGCTCACTGCAGCCATGATCCACCTGCCTCAGCCTCCTGAGTAGTTGGGACCACCGGCATGCACCACCACGCTCAGCTAATTTTTGTATTTTTTGTAGAGACGGGGTTTCACCATGTTGCATGGGCTGGTCTCTAACTCCTGGGCTTAAGCGATCCACCCACCTCAGCCTCCCAAAATGCTAGAATTGTAGCTGTGAGCCACCACACCTGGCTGTAATTTTCCAGACTTTATCACAGACTTTGAATTTACTTGGCTAACCAGTCTGAACTTTTTAAAAGTACATGAGTAAAAAACTCACATACTTGATTAATAGGACAAAAAAGGTGTTTGATCTTTGTTTTGTTTTCCTTAATGCATTTATATAACTCTTTGTCACTGTGTGCTCTCTTTTTATTGCTTTAATTTTTGGGATTTTCATATTTTCATTTTTTATATTTTGTTTGGAATTTAGAGATGTTCTACATTTGTTTTGATTGTTGCATATATCCTAATACCTTAATATAATATCCATATCATTCTTGCTTTTAACACAGTCTGTTGTTTTCCTACTTTGAGTAAGATTGAATTATCTAGTTTCTTTTGTTCCTGCTTTTCCTCATTTAACATCAAATTTAAAACATCTTTTATACTAAGTCTATGTCAGAAAATCAACAGCTTATTCTACTTTCCATAGTCCTCCTCTATTCTTCTTTATATATTGATGGTTATATTTTACGTAAATTGTCAGAGCATCATATGCAATATTCCACCATCATTATCCACATCATTTTGTCATAATTATACAGTTGTTTATTTGGTGATCAATGCCAGTTTTTATGCTGAGAATTCTTCAAGTGTTTCTAGGTAGGTGGAAAATTTTCAGTGTTTTTAGGATTTGTGAGCTCCCCAATATTCATCAAGATGATGACAGAAAGGATCCAAAGGCAATTTCAGAGATTTTGGGGTTGCCCCTCCCACCACTGGCCCAGAGCTCTAGAAAGGTGAACTGGTTTCCAGAGAGAGGCCTTGGATGCCCTCCACAAGTTTTGTTGCCCAGGGCTGCCTTGGAGCTTTTCTCCCCATATTCCAGTGCAGAGTGCCTTGGCCACCCCAGCTGTGGCTCAAGCAGGCTCAGGAGTGGTTCAGCTGCCACTCCAGCGGGTGTATGTGGTAAGTCTTAGCAGCATCCACAATGTGCTTATTCTGCAGGTGTGCTGTATAGGCATGTCTTCCTTCACCCTGCATTTTAAAGGATGCTGAAGACCACCTAGATGCCTAGGCAGAAAGTTGCTAGGATTGTTTGCTAACTTGCTAAACTTGTTTAGGATTGAACTCAGTCAACTAGTTATGGAACTTAATTACATCTGCAAAATTCCATTTGTCACATTGTGTTTGCTATTCCATGTGTTTACAGGTCTCAGCCACACCCAAGGGGAGGCGATCATATGGTACATGTATATCAGGATGTAGGAATCTCAGAGCGAGCCATCTAAAAAAATCTGCCTCACAGAATTTGAACGGCAAATATTAATGCCTATAATGGATTGAGAGGCATCAAATATACATGTAAAAAACCTAAGATATTTTAATTATACTTATAAAAACTAATTTGTCACTTTCGGGGATTCTTAGGAGTCCAGTAAATTATTCTGGCTATTCATACAGAGAAAGAAACAATAATTTATTCTACCTTCCTTATCAAAATAATTAAATAGAGGAAAGAAATTTCTTTACTGAAGACTTCTAAGTATTAAATTTTTTAAAAATGATAACATTAGTTATGCTTTGCAAATGTTAATTAAATAACATATCTAGGCAACTATTGTCAGTCATTGTTAAACTTGTGGGTGAAATATTAATGGATAAATTTTCAGCAAATGAAGCTGACCAAATCTAAACTTACTGGTTCATATTAGCAGCACTGAAATCAAGATGATAAGACAGTATATGGCTACTGGATGCTACAACAGAAAGGTTACAAGATGGTCTACACATTTATTTTTCTCAATGAATTGGGCCTGACTATAACATAGCCTTTATGTCCAAATGTTATTTCGCAGAATCATGAGGATGAAAATATGTGGGGCACCACAATGACCCAAATTACCAAATTAGGAATCTAAGATAAGTTTCTTGCACAAAAAGTGACATGAAGATTATAAAGTGGGAAATCGTATTAATTAGAAGAAAATTAAAAGACATAGCAACCACATGCAATGTGTGCATCAGTTTGTAACCTGGAAAAAAATGAGTGTAAAAATATGTTTATGAGGTAATTAGAAAATTTTGGACATGGAGAAAAATCATATAAAGTAATAATAGAGAATCTGCTTCAAAATGAGGATGGATAGATAAAATCAGATTGGTAATATGTCAACAAGCACTGAAGCCAATGATGACTAACTGGGATCCATTATTCTACCCCCAATTGTCTTGTTATGTTGAAAAAATAAATCCATAGCCTATAATGCACTGTATTTGGCTCATCATTGATAATTATCTGAACTCAGCTCAAAGCGAACGTCAATTCATTGGTATGAACTTATTAAAACTAATACTGGTAGCAACTTAGGTTTTGAAAACTTTATTTGTACTACCTTGTGGCAGGCTTTGTACATTTCACAATTATAAAAATTGATATTATGCCTGCCCCGAAGAATCTTGCAGACAAAATGTTATAAACTTCTCACACACAATAAACAGTTGATTAAGTTTTGTATATATAAACAGCTTCAGAATATTCATACTGATTTGTGCTGCAATGCTATCTTATCAGGCCTTACAGCAAGCAAAAA
Source organism: Homo sapiens (assembly GCF_000001405.40). Taxonomy (NCBI): domain Eukaryota; kingdom Metazoa; phylum Chordata; class Mammalia; order Primates; family Hominidae; genus Homo; species Homo sapiens. The sequence continues at coordinate 22,156,920 of NC_000021.9, read as the reverse complement.
AAAAAAAAAGGTATTTGCTTCTTAGATATTTCTGGTTATTAAATCCAGTTGAATTATACTGACTATTAATCATAACCCAGAAATTATAATCAAAGTTTTTGGGTGCAGTAACCTAAAAGAATGAGATATTTTTATTCTGTGTTAGTTAGCGTAGGTTTTAAAAACAAATGGCTATTAGGCAGCTTCAAAGACAATAAAGCTAAGGTAATGAAAGTTTGAAATGAAGCACTAGTCTTGTGTCAACAAGCTGATTACAGAACACAGGAATATATGGATGCATGGGAAATGAGAAAGGGTTCCTTGTCAAGAAGAAGCCTAAGCACCTGCCAAAATGTTGACATATCATATGCGATGAATTTGGGGTTATGACAGTTTGTGGAATGATCCACCAGCTACCCAAGATGAATCCCATTCTATGTCTCCGATTGCAATCTTTTACAAACAGAAATATAAACAGTGTTCACACAGATATATTTGAAATTTAGGGCCACCTCTCCTTTCACTTAACTAGACAAGTTGACACCAGATTCTCCCTACCTTAGCAGTGAAGTCTTAGCGTGAAGTACCTCTGGCAACATGTTTGTAGAGGCTTCAGGAGGACAAAAGAAGCAACATTATTTAGAAAGGCAGTGTTGAGGTCACTCTATCTAGCTTTCCTGGCAATATCAGCAAAGGTATCCTGAGAAGAGATAAAGAAAAATTGACCTGGTAAATATTTTAGGTGACTGCACAATTTGGAGATTTGGAAGTGTGGAGGAAGCAGAGTGGAATTGGGAGGAAGGAAAGTTAAGCATGCAGGGGTTATAGTGTATTTAAATTTTTTAACTTCAATGTTCAGAAGAGCACCAAAGCTTTTAAGTACCAATTAACGCCATTGCAGTTTCATTGTCTTTTGTCTGTTGGGGTCAATAATGGGTTTTCTTAGGTTCTTCAATAACTATCTGTAGACTATTTTTACCAGCCAATACTTCACGTTATTTTTATTTCCCCCAGCTTAGGACACATAGTTCTGCTCTATCCAGTTGATTTTTTTCCTCTGGTTTCTTACTGGATATTTTTTTGAATTTTTGCCTCTCCTAAAAATTGGAAAAAAAAAACTTATAGTTTTAAATCTTCATTAATAAGGAAATACATGTTAACACATGTTTTAAAAATATTAGTTCAAGTTATAATATCACTATGATTTTTAATCCACTAACAAAATTGAAAGATCATTCTTCCACTAAAATTGGAAGATTTTAGTATAGCTGAAATCTTTGTAGTTGTTCATATACCTAGATAGGAATTATTGTTCATTTTAATGCTCCACCAAGTAAAAGAGTCCTTTTTTAAAAAAAGCTTTCTGTTAAATTGGAAGCAGCAGCAAATTTCTTGAACTCTGCCCAGAAGAACCCATACTTTGAAGTTTTTTTGTTTGTTTGTTGGTTTGCTTTACTTTGTTTTTGTTTATTTGGTTTTTATAAGTCTAGAATTTGAATAAAGAAGCATGTTTGTGTCATATATTTCTGGTTTTTCTGTCCTTGAATTCCAGTGTAGACAGTACCCCAAAACAATGAAATACTTCTATTATTAGGACGCATCTTTACAGAAACCTCACTTTTTACCTCTGTTTAATTTTTTTAAAAAAAGAAAAGAAAAATAAATGTTGCAACAGCTGTCAGCCCCTACTGGTGATCTATTTTCAAAAAAGTCTCATCATACTATCCAAGAAGAAATTTCCTTCTAAACTCAATGTCACTTAAAAGTTTTCAAAGTACTTTTAATATTTTACCAATATGTTCACTCAGATCCTAATTATTTTTGGATCCTGCTGAGTAATTTCTCAGCTTCTTAGTGTGGTGATTTGCATTCCTTCTCACATCTGGGTTCTTTTTCTGCCTGTTAGTTTGTATTGTTTGAATTGACATAGGAGCTTTAATTTTCTCTTTTTAAGAAGACAAAATGAAACTTTTCTTAAAAATGATAATTTCCTGCAAACTTGTAAGTTGTCCCTAGATGTTTTATTTTTGCATGCTTGAAAAATGTAGCAGTAAGTATTGCTTTGCTATTTTTTTTTTCCTGTCAGAGAAAGTTGTTTCTGGGTTTGGTGTTTTTACCCCATACCCCTGCTCTGGCAGAGCCTGTGGTCATAGCCCTATCTTCCAACTCTGCCCTACAATAATGAGAGCTATGGTGTGAATGATGTCATCCCTTCTGAAGTTAATATTGAACTTAATTCTCCTGGTGGCAATATTGAGCCCTGGGGCCTTTTGGGAGATAAGGTTAAGTCATGAAGGCTCTCCCTTCATGAATGAGATTTAGTATTCTCAAAAAGGCTTGAGGAAGAGTTTGGCCTTCTTGTAGCCCTTCTGCCTTCTGACATGTAAGGATGCATCAAGAAGGCCCTCATCAGACACCAGATGCCTGGTATTGATCTTGAACTTTCCAGAAATGGGAGAAATAATTTCTATTATTGATAACTTACCCAGTCTGTTATATTTTGGTAGAGCAGCACAAATCAATTAAGATAGAAACTGGTATCAAGAAATAAGGTGTATTTTGATGTGAATGCTGACCTGATATGAGTTTGGCCTGTAATGTATTGCTGTGAATGGAACATCTAAGAGTGATTTTGGTGAAGACTCAGAAGAAACTGGACAAAGAAGAAGGTAGTGGTGATGGAGGTGGTGAAGAGGATCCCTCAACAGACACCAAAGATGTGAACAGAAAGACTGCCTGGCCAGCAGACTCTGGGACATCAGTCTGGCCCAGCCTGAGAGCATCCACAGGGACCTGGAAAACTCTCATACTTAGTCAGATGATGTACCAGACATAACCTCAGAGGAGTGTTGCTCACTCGGCTCCCATACTGTAGCCTGCTCCTTAACCCCCAGAGCCCAAGGTGCACTGAGCCTACGTGCCCATATAAACCTCACTGCCCTACTGAGGGACAGACTGTCTTGAAGCCAGAGGTGCAGAAGCAAGAGTAGGGAGTGGAATGAATGCTCCTGTTCTGAGAAGCACACTTATTGTAATAACTCCATCTTTTGGAAATATTTTTGGTAGGGGGCAGGGATTTATATATTTTATTTCAAAGATTCTCTGGTCACAGGTTTTCTCCAGGGAAATTCTGAGAAATTCACAATTTCTTACCAGATATAAGATGAAAAGTTTGTCATTAGTTCCCCTTCCCTTCCCTCCCATCATTTTAGTTTTAATTTATTGGTTAAATGAATGGTGGCAATACATGAGTTGTGTTAAAGAGTATATATGTATGTGTATATATAGTATGCTAACATATACCGAAAGACACATTTCAATAAAGATGTCTGTCCTAATTTTTTAAAAGTGGCTTAGTCTTAGTGATATCTAAGTGATCATGGGGCCAGCCGCGGTGGCTCACATCTGTAATCCCAGCACTTTGGGAGGCCGAGGCGGGCAGATCACGAGGTCAGGAGATCCAGACCATCCTGGCTAACACGGTGAAACCCCGTCTCTACTAAAAATACAAAAAATTAGCCGGGCAAGATGGTGGGCGCCTGCAGTCCCAGCTACTCAGGAGGCTGAGGCAAGAGAATGACGTGAACCTAGGAGGTGGAGTTTGCAGTGAGCCAAGATTGCGCCACGGCACTCCAGCCTGGGCAACAGAGTAAGACTCTGTCTCAAAAAATAAAATGAAATAAGTGATCATGAACACAATGTTGGTAGAAATTTGAAAACTAAAGGCCATTCTGATTAAGTCTTAGATGGAAGTGAGGAACAAGGTATAAGAAACTGAAGGAAAGTTAAACCTTGTTCAATGTCAATAAACTTGGTCGAATTGTGTTCATGTTCTAATGCTTTTTTGAGGGAGAACTTGCTGTTAATGAACTAGGATATCTGGCAAAAGAAATATCTAAGCAGAGTGCTCATGGTGCTGAGTGACTTCCATTGATTAAACTTGACCAATAGTAGAATGTTAGATGAGAGAAACTATATAAAGATAGAACTCATAATTAAAAGGGAAGCATAATGTAAATATTCTCAGCCTAGTCATACAAAGAATAAAAAAGCATGTTTAGGAAAGAAAATTCAGAGCTTAGCCAAGTGACCATTTCATAAGGAGACTAGTCTTATTAGAAGGAAGCCAGATGCTACTCATCAAGATAATGAGAGAATGGCCCTGACGGCATTTCTGAGACCATTGAGGCTGCTATGCCCATTGCAGCCCCAGAGTGCCAGAGTTTCAAAGGCAGAATGGTTTCAAAAGAGAAGTCCAAGTAACCATAGGATTTTGGGGCTTGCGGCTCAGCTATGCTTCAATCCTCTGCTCTCTGCATTCCAGGGGTATTTTGTAGCAAAACAAATGGACTACAACGATGAGGCTGTGCTGCTTCCCAGACAAGTCTATGGGCTGAAACTTGACTGCTCCCCACACACTGCAGTAATGAGATGGTGAACCAGTGATGCCAAGTCTATGCACAAAGCCCGGTGTTCTATTCTACACTATAGTAATGAGAAGGCAACTCTTTCAAACAGGGTCTATAGGTAAAACACTCCCTTCAGAATCCTTTAGTAACAAGGCTGTGTCCCACTCCCTCCTCAGCAGGCTCTATAGAGACTGAGCTGGAGTTTGTCAAGTGCTTAATGTACAATTGTGGCAGAACAGAGTATCATTCCAAAGGCTGTTCAAATTAAAATCTTACTTAAACCATCACCAAAAAAAGTAGGCCAGGATATGCATTCATCCTAAGTATAATGACTATTTTCTAAATTAGAAGATATAAATAGATTCTTATAATATATAAAATGTCTAGGATAGCGTCAAAATTACTCACCATATCAAACACCGTGGAAATCTCAGCTTAAATGACAAAAGATAATCAACAAATATCAATGTGAAGAAGTCACAAATATTGGAATTGTTGGACAAATATTGTAAAACATTCTTGAATAAATGGAAAAATAGAATGTCTCAGCAAAGTGATATAAGATGTAAGACAAAATCATACAAATTTTAGAACTGAAAAATATAATAACCAAAATATAAATCTTACTAAGTGGCTCAATAGCAGGATAAAATTAATAGGAGAAAAAAAGAGTGAATTTGAATTTATATTAATAGAAATCATTCAGGATGAACAAGAGAGAAAAATAAAAAAGTAAGAAAAGGATGAACAGAACAACAGGACATCTGAGATAGTAACAAAACATCAGAAACTGCAAAAGAAAAGAAGGAAATGTGGCCTGGAAAACTGTTTAAAGAAATAATGGTTGAACACCTCTCAAACTTTGGGAAAAACATAAGCTTACAGATCCAGGAAGGTTACTGACAATAGTTTTATTTGTGTAAAGACAAATAAATCTATGCCCAAGGATATCATAGTCAAAACTGTGGAAACTAAAGACAGAAAAAAATGGTGAAAGCATTTGGAGAGACACAATGCATTATCTATAGGAGAACAATTCAAATGGTATTGAATTTTGATATGGATGTCAGAAGGAAGCAGCACAATTGCTTTCAAGTGCTGAAAGAAAATTACCAATAAACTATATTTCTATACCGAGTAAAAGTATTCTTGAGTAATGGAGGTGAAACAAAGACATTCTTAGAAAAAAGAGAAAACTACAATACTTTGACAGCATTGTCTGCCTCAAAAAACATTTGACAAACTAAAAGAAAATGATAACAAAATGAGTCTGAAATAGCAGAAAAGATAAAAGAGTAAGGAATAGATAAATATGTGGATAAAGATATGCTTGTCTTAAATTTTTGAATTATAACTTACTGTTAAAACCAACATTAATGTAAATAACACGAATAGCTTACGGACATTATGCTGAGAAAAAAGCCCATTGCCAAAGGCTAGATTATATGTGATACTATTTATTAATTTTCTCTAACAAAATGATAGTCATGAACAGTTCAGTAGTTGTCAAAGGTTAGGTTTGAGGTAAGCATATGACTATTAAGGTGCAACATGAGGAAATTTCTCTGTAGTTATGGAACAACTTTGTATCATGAATGTGCTGATGAAATTCTACATGTAAAAAATTTATAAAATACTACTCAAACATAGTTTTTAGTCAGGCATGGAAACTCATGCCTGTAATCCTAACACTTTCGGAGACAGAGGTGGGAGGATTGCTTGAGGCAGGAGTTTATAACCAGCCTAGTCAACATAGGGAGACCACATCTCTATAAAATAAATTTTTTAAAAAAATTAGCTGGCCTTGGTGGTGCATACCTGTAGTCCCAGCTACTCAGAAAGCTGAGGTAGAGGACCACTTGAGCCCAGGAGTTGGAGGCTGCAGTGAGCCATGATTGCACCACTGCACTGCAGCCTGGAAAACAGAACAAGACTTTGTCTCAATTTAAAATAATAATGATAACAACAACAATAATAATTTTTAAAAAGGAATGCATGTAAAAATTGGTGAAATCCAAATATCCAACCATGTTTATCTGAGTTTAATTACATGTCAATGTCAATTTTTTGTTTTTGACAATGTACTGTTGTCCTGTAAGACATGATCATTGGAGGAGCTAGATGAAGAATACATGAAAAATCTTTGTACTATTGTTGCAAGTTTTTATGAGAAAAACTATTGCAAAGTAAAAACATTAAACAACAAATCAGGATGTATTTCCTTCTCTTATTTTCTGATAGATAAATCTTTTCTGCCATTGGTATTATTTTTCCTAAATATTTAGTAAAGTTTACCAATGAAGTCATTTGAATTTTGAGTAGTTTGTGAAAACAATGTGTATTTTTTTATTCAATCTGTATATTATATATAGGATCCTATACATTTTCTAATTTCTTTAAATTATACTTTAAGTTCTGGGGTACATGTGCAGAATTAGATATTTCTCCTAATGCTCTCCCTCCCCTAGCCCCACACCCACCAACAGACATTTTCAAATTTTTAAGTACCAGTAACTTGTCCATTTTATACATATTTTTAATTATTTAAAGTATGAAGTATAAAGCTCTTAAACATTCATAAAAGTATCAAGAAAGTTTTAAAGTATTTATTAACATTTTAACATCATTACACTTAGCATACAACCATGGGTTCTCTCTTATTATTGATTCTGTAATTCATAGTTTCTCTTTTTGTATTGATCAGTTAATTAATCTTTTATTCCTGTATTAAAATAGGCATAGATTAATTTCATTGACTTTCTAAATTGTCCACCCTATCTCTATTTTATTGGTTTCTACTCTTTTCTATTCTTCCTCTGCTTATTTTGTATTTAATTCACTCTTCTTTTTTCTAATTCTTAGGTACTGAGGTTACTGTTTTTAGATTTTAATTTTGTGTAACAGAAACCTATAGGACTATAGATTTTTCTTTAAGCACAGCTTTAGCTGCATCCCAGAAATATTGATAGGCTGTATTTTCATTTATAACAGATATACAATAGATTGTATTTTTTAAGTCAATATTCCTCCCAACATTACCAAAAATGAAAACATTATAACTGCTAGTAGATCATCAATTAAAGAAAAAATGAGAACTATGCAAGGACAGGGTTGGACTCTTGGTACATTATTCATTAAACAATATTGCCCCAAAATATATAAAGAAAATAAATGGACAACTATTTAAAGGCATACTGATATATCCTAAATTGTGGTGAGATAGGTTAGCCTAATTCTCACTAAAAGTGATAGACTAAGTAAGCATGTATTTGTCCATTCTTGCATTGCTATGAAGAACTACCAGAGACTGGGTAATTTATAAAGAAAAGAAGTTTAATTGGCTTATGGTTCCAGGGAGGTACCATACACTTTTTCAAACAGCCAAATCTTGTTAGAACTTTATCATAATAATAGCACCAAAGGGGGAAATTCACCCCCATGATCCAGTGCCCTCCTACCAGGCCCCACCTCCAACATTAGAGATTACAATTCAACATGAGATTTGGGTGGGGACACAAATCCAAACCATATTATTCTTCCCCTGGTCCCTCCTGAATCTCATGCCCTTCTCATATTTCAAAATACAACCTTGCCTTCCCACCAGTTCCCCAAAGTCTTAATCCAGCATTAACTCAGATGTCCAGAGTCCCAAGTCTCATCTGAGACAAAGCAAGGTCCTTCCACCTATGAGCCTGTAAAATAAAAAAAAAAGTTAGTTACTCCCACGATACAATGCAGGTTTAGGAATTAGGTAAATACTCTCTTTCCAAAAGGGAGAAATCAGCCAAATAAAGGGGCTACAGGGCCTGTGCAAGTGTGAAACTGACTGCAGGTAGTCATTAAATCTTCAAGCTCCGAAATAATCTTCTTTGACTCCATGTCTCACATGCGGGATATATTGGTGCAAGGGGTGGGTTCCCAAGGCCTTGGACAGCTCTGTCCTGTGGCTTTGCAGGGTTCAGGTCCCATGGTTGCTCTCATGGGCTAGCATTGAGTGTCTGTGGCTTTTCTAGGCACATGGTACAAGCTATTGGTGGATCTCCTATTCAGAGGGTCTTGACAATGGTGACCCTCTTCTTGCAGCTCCAGTAGGCAGTGTTCCAATGGGTATACTGTGTGTGGGGGGGCTTCAACCTCACATTCCTTCTCTGTGCTGCCCTAATAAAAGTTTTCCATGAGGACTCCACCCATGCAGCAGGCTTCTGCCTGGACATTCAGGCTTTCCATACATCCTTTGAAATCTAGCAAGAGGTTTCCAAACCTCAACTCTTGCACTGCATGCACCACACAGGCTTAAAATTATGTCAAAGCCACCAAGGCTTACAGCTTTCATCCTTTGAAGCAGCAGCCCAAGCTGTATCTGGGTTCCTTTTAGAGACAGTTGGTGTCTTCGAGTTGGAGTGGCTAGGATGCAGGGAAAGGTGTCCTAGTGCTGTACAGGGCAGCAGAGCCCTGGGCCTGGCTCTGGCACAGGAAACCATTTTTCCTTCATAGTCCTCTAGGCCTGTGATGGGAAGATCTGCGACAAAGGTCTCTGAGATGCCTTTGAGGATTTTTCCCCGTTGTCTTGGCTATCAGCACTTGCCTTCTTTTTAGCTATGCAAATTTCTGAAGCCTGTTTGAATTATTCCCCAGAAAGTGGAGTTTCCTTTTCTAACATATGGCCCGGTTGCAAATGTTCCAAACTTTTAGGCTCTGCTTCACTTTTAAAAATACGTACTAGTTTCAATTCATTTCTTTGCTCACTCATAGGAACATAGTCAGTTAGAAGCAGCCAGGACACATCTTGAACTCCTTGCTGCTTAGAAATTTATTCTGTCAGAGACCTTAAATCATCACTCTTAAGTTCAAACTTCCACAAATTCCAAGGGCAGGGGTAAAATGCCTCCAACCTCTTTGCTAATGCATAGCAAAAGTGACCTTTACTCCAGTTCCCAATAAGTTTCACATTTTCACCTGAGACCTCCTCAGCCTGGCTTTCACTGTCCATATCACTATTAGCATTTCAGTCACAGCAATTAACAAGTCTTTAGGAAGTTCCATACTTTCCCTCATCTTCTTGTCTTTTTTCTGAGCGCTCCACATTGTTCCAACCTCCTCCTGTTACCCAGTTCCAAAGCTACTTCCACATTTTCACGCATCTTTATAGCAATGCCCCACTGCTCGGTACCAATTTTCTCTATTAGTTCAATTTTGCATTGCTAAAAAGAAATACCTTAGACTGGGCCATTTATAAAGAAACAGGGTTTAATTGGCTCATGATTCCACAGAATGCACAGGAAGCATGATGCTGGCATCTGCTCAGCTTCTGGGGAGGTCTCAGAATATTTACAATCGTGGTGGAGGGTGAAGTGGGGAGCTGGCACTTCACATGCCTGGGGGCAGGAGAAAGAGAGAGAAGGTGGAGGTGCCACATACTTTTAAACAACCAGATCTTGTGAGAAATCTGTCTCCAGAAAAGCACCAAAAGGGGAAATCCATCCCCATGATCCAATCAGCTTTCACCAGGCCCCCACCTCCAACTTTAGAGATTAAAATTCAACATGAGATTTGGTTAGGGACACATATCCAAACCACATCAAAGCACAAAGCAATAAGGATATAGACAATTTGTAAAATATTAACAAATTATAAATATAAATCAAATCATTCACTAATGGAAGTATATCAATTTTCTATAAGCATACAGAGTCTGCTTCAATTTGCTCACATACAAAGTCTCAAAAGAAGGCTCAAAGTAACAAAATAAGCTGTATAATTATCTGCATACTTTGTTGTCAATAAAAACTTATGATTTCAAATTCTAAAATTCAAAAGTTTAATGTTTTATTTAAATTGTTTTATTTAAAATTAAAATCATTAAAAGTTTAAGCTTTTTTTTAAATTTATTTTGAGACAGAGTCTCACTCTGTTGCCCAGGCTGGAGTGCAGTGGCACAGTCTCAATTCACTGCAAACTCTGCCTCCAGGATTCAAGTGAGTCTCCTGCCTCAGCCTCCAGAGTAGCTGGGATTACCAGCACATACCAACAAACCTGGCGAATTTTTGTATTTTTAGAGACGGGGTTTCAACATATTGGCCAGGCTGGTCTCAAACTCCTGACCTCAAGTGATCTGGATCTGCCCTCCTCAGCCTCCCAAAGTGCTAAGATTATAGGTGTGAGTCACCATGCACAGCCATGAAAATTTTAAAAATTAAAAAATATACTATTCTTAAGGGATAAATCTGTAGCAATAAGTAAGTATTTTTTCTGTAAATGCAAATGTTTTAAACAACTTAGTATCAATAAGTTAAGTAACTATTTCAGAAAGCAGGAAAAAATGTTTTAGCCAAATCAAAAATACAAAAGTATGAAAACAAAGAATGTAATGAAAAATTAATAAAATAAAAATCAAGAAAAGATCTACAACACTAAATGCTAGTTCTCTGAGTTGAGTCATAATGTAACTCAACATAAAGTAACTCAATATTTAAATTTTAAAACGTAGACAAAGCACACAATGACACAAGGTATTCAAGACAAATTTTGAACATGAATGTAAAAAATATCAGTTATTATTAATAAATACTAATGGTAAGAATCTCAAAACTATCATAAAATGATAATACATGATAACAGAATTACTAGAGAAACACTTTAAGAGGATTGATTTCTCACTTACATGGGAGTGGATTAGCTTTTGAGAGAGCTGGTTGTTCAAAAAACAAAAGTCTGTCTTTCTTGGTTTCTCTCTCTTGCTTCCTCCATTACTATGCGACCTCTTTGCACAAACCCACTTCCTTTCGGGTTCCCTCCGTGTGTGGAGGCAGCATGAGGCCCTCACCAGATGCTGCTGCCCAATCTTAAACTTTTCAGCCACCAAAATAGTGGGCCAAATAAATTTCTTTCCTTATAAATAACCCAGTCTTAGGTTATTCTATTACAGCAGCACAAAATGGACAAAGACTATATATACATATAGTATATACATATACACATATAGTATGTATATGTATATACACACACATAGATAAACATTACATACACATGTATACACACACACATACATGCACATACCCACAAAAAACTCCAGTGTTAAACAAGTTTATAGGTACTGTGCACTAATCTCACAACACCCATATAATTATAATTGATGAAAATTTTTTTGATAGACAAAAAGGTCAGTCAGAATAAAAAACCTAGACATATGAGCACACATGTGCATAATTTTTAGATAATACACTTTGCACTACACAACAGCTAGGAAAACAAAGGTAGAAAGGATAATGCTAGGATAGCTACCAAATATGTATGATAAAATTGTAGTGAAAATTCACACTGGACATCAATTCCACATAGTTTAAAGACTTAAATATGAAAAGCAAAAATTTTGAGATGAAATGTATTTTAATACCAGGATATTGATGTATTTCTAATGCAGTGTGATCATATAAGAAAAATCCTTGCTATATAAAAATATTAAAAGAATATTATAATGAAGTTATGAACTAATTAAAGGATAAACTGGAAATGGCAATGTTTTCAACATAAACATTTCAATAGCTATTGATGTCATCAATATATTAAGTATCCTATAAATATACATTCAAAGAACTCAGTAAAAAAAACATAGTTGAACAAGTACATTTTGGACTAGAAATTCCTAAGACAAAACCCAAGTTGCTAATAACATATAAAAATTTGTACATCACTGCAAATTAGAAAAATGCAAAATACAACAAAGGAATTCCATTTCATACTGATTTGATATTACCTTCGTGTAGCATACATGTTGGAAGTGTGCAGTCTTGTGGATGCTGGAAGTGTAAATTATTGCAGCAACTTAGAAAAGAAACTTGGTATTTGTTACAATATTTTAATTCTCATTTTCTACTACAGGCCCAAAGAGATGCATAGAGTAAGAGTAGTATGTAAGCTTGAAAACAGCAAAACACGAGAAGCAATCTAAAGCTATTTTGGGAAAATAATTGATAAACAACTTGTGATATATTCATAGAATGATGTGTTACACAGAATTAACCAAGAGGAGAGAGCTAGCTCTTAGTAAGTAAAAATAGGTAAATGTTTGAAAACCATGATGAACAACAAAAAAAGTAAGTTTCAAAATGATATGTACAGCAAAATAGATTTTATAAATTATAGTATTATATGTTATATATGAGAAAACATTTGTATAAAAGTTTAAAATTATATATGGATAAGTACTCAAGAAATACAAGATAGTAGATATACCTTAATAGGAAAGAGAAAATATAATCTAATATTAACATTTCCTGAAATCCGCATAATTGTTACATGATTGGATGCTGCATTATTTTTAGTATATTTCTGAATGTTTTACAAGTTTCATAATTAAACACATGAACATTTTTCAAAGAGATGGAAATTACCTTTCTAGATAAAGCATTATACTTTTGGAAGTTCCTGTCACTTTAGATGTTTATTCAATTAAAAAAATAATCCTGAAAAAGTTATGTGGGCTGTTTGAAAAACCAAAACAACCTTAAGAAAAAAGATAATGAGAGATGTGGGAGGTATGGAATTCTAGATCAGGGTGGAAATATTACAAAATTGTTTGCCATACTTTTTGTATTTATAGAACTAATTTGTACCTTTAGTTATACAATTGTAAATTTTTTTGGTGATTTTGAATGTTTAAATCTAATTTAATACCATATTTGGAATTTTATTTAATAAATATTTTTGAAGGTATAAAAAATATATGTAATAAACAAAAATTAATATTTCTACTCTTTTTGCCAGAGGAGATTTGGAATATTCCTAATAGAATAAAAAGATAAATGTTTGAGTTAATGAATATCCCAATTACTCTGATTTGATCATTACCCATTGTATACATGTATCAAAATATCACGTATACTTCAGCAAAATGTACAATCAGTATGTATGGGTTTTTAAAAATTCTCCTATTTCTATCTCATTCTCAGTAGTATCAACTTTACATTTCTCATTTCTTTTATCTACACAGTGACCTGGACAGACTTTTATGTACCTTTTAATATCTGGATTTTTCCTATATTTTTATAAATAATAAAAGTAAAATATAAAAACTATTTTAAACAAGGGCCAAAAAACCTGTTTTCAATGTTTAATTCTTTACCCTTTTCCTTACACGGAGGAACACTTTTGACTTTTTATATGTTTAGCACATTGGATGAATACTTCTAAGTATCACAATGATAAATATCTTTTTATTGCATTTATTGATTTTTCAAAGGTAAGCTTCAGCTATTTTAGCCCTGATGTCAAAGGTGTTTGTACCTTCTAGCGGTAATTTTAGTGCTTGCAAATAATATATTTAATATCTATATCTTAGTTCAATAATAATAGGTCTTTTATGTTGGCACCCCATCATACACACTGAGGAAATGTGTCCCACACCGTTTTTTTCACATCTTATCAGTCCCACCAAATTATCTCATAGATAAATTAATTATACATTGTTTTACATTAATATTTTTGTAACTTTAAGTTATGCATGATCTATTGATTTTGAAAGATACAATAATAATTATAATAATTAAAGTAAGTTAGAAAATTTCTAACTTGCAAAATGTCAACGCTGTAGTCAACCTGAATTAGAGCTTTCAGCAAACACTATGATTCACAAGCTCTTTAGCAAAGCTGTAAATATTTCTCCTGTAATAATTAAAAGGAGATAAGAATTAAGAGTCTGATGTCTGAGGATAGCAGAGAAAAACTATAAAATAAACTCAAATTACTAACCTATATTGGACAAATAATGATGACTCACAACAAAGAGGCATTCACTTTCCAGCTCTGCTTTGCATTCTCTTCAAATCTATAAGACTACTTGTTTTGAACATGAATATTAATCTATTGATTCATGGAAGTAAAATCAACTCTCTGTACTCACGGCATCTGAATTTGCAGATTCCACCAACACTGGAGAGATCATATTTGAAAAAAAATAAAAATATAACAATAAAAAATACAAAATACAGTATAATAAGTGTTTACATGGCACTTATATTGTATTGGTTATGAGTAATCTAGAGATGATTTAAAGTATACAGGATGATGTGCATAGGTTAAATGTAACTACTACAATATTTTATATAAGAGATTTGAGCATCCATGGATTTTGGTATCTGTAGGTTCCTGGAACCAATCCCCCATGGATACTGAAGGCTGACAGTACTGGCTATCACTCCATTCCTCTGCTAATTCTTCCTCCTTCATATGGTTCATTTTCAGCAGGTACATGTGCCTAAACATGTTATAATGATTATTTTAAAGATGTAAATTGGGTCACAAACAAACACGTGTCATAATAAGGAGAATACAGCATGGGTATTGACTTTCCAGCAGAAATATACCAATCCAAGTTAGATATCTTAATAGTTCTTATAAAATAATTTTCCAATCTAAACCTAGGGTACCTCAAATTTTGTAACAGTCCATAAGTCAATTATCTTGATTTCTACAACCCTTATTATCCAGTTCCAACACAGATTCTTCTCCTTTACATGTTCTAAAATGGGGCCCACTCAGCATGAGTTTATTGATCATGGGACGCCAAATTTCTCCTGTTTTCCAGAAATTTATGGAACTCCGGACAATTGCTGTCACCTCTATTCCATACGTTTTCAAAATATTCCTTTTTGTATGCAATAATTGTTACTGATGTTTTGAACCATTTGATCAGTTCATTGTCTTAAACTGGAAATGTAGGCTCCTTATTTTAAAACTGTTATTTTTGAAAGAGTCAACAGTATCCCCTGTTAGTTTAATCAAGATGTAGAAACAACTCCAATTTCTGAATATATGATCTTTTATCAATATTTTTACTAGTGTTTATCCAAATTTACACATGCATAGACATAGTTAAACATTTATGTTTGGTCTGTGTTTGTAAGTATTTCCACTGGAATTTGGAAATGGGGAAGGTTTTATTATTATTATGTTAATCTATTACTTATTAGTTACTTTTGAAGTTTTCCTCATTTACCACATCCAGTGGTCACCAGATCGTTCATTTCTAATGCAAGAAGAAATCTACAAGTAGCGTGCATTTTAAAAATCAATAAGCAAATATACTATATTATTCAAAAAATGACTTATAACTTAAAATTATTGCAGTGATAAAAGGATGAAGTCCTAAAGCTTCATGAAAATGAGTTATGATATAACTGTTTGCTACCTTTAACTTAAGGTAGCTCTAAGTCTTATGTAAAATGTGGAGAAATCATGACATAGTAAATTATTTTTAAGGAATTGTATCTGTGATATTTTGACACAGATTCTTGCGATATTGTCCAGGTTGGAGTGGAGTGGCTTTTTACAGGCACAATCATAGGAGCTACAGCTCCAAACTCCTCAACTTAAGTCTCCTGCCTCAGACTCCAGAGTAGCTGGATCTACAGGCATGCACCGCCATGCCTGGCTTGCAACATTGTAATTTTTTACTTCAATTTCAACTGTGGGTAAATGAATACAAGTACAGTGAAGGGGGTGAGATTTAATTTTCTTGATACCAAAACTAATGGTAAATGGTTTGCACTTCTAAAAAAACTTATCCTTTGGTAAATGCAGTACAAATCAATGAAACAAATATGAAAATTGCACGAAAAGAAAATAAAGAACTAAAGAAATGTTCTGTATAAATTTTGTTTAGTCATATAATGAGCGTGAAAGAAAAAAATTTTTATGCATTCTACGCTATATTAAACTCTAGATTGTTTTAAATAACCACAAATTTGACTATTATTTCTTCTAAATTAAATGTAAGTTGAATTATGAGCATGGTTAACAGTGAAATTTCAATCTGTTTTATGATGATTGATTTATATTAGTTTCATTTAAATTAAAATGAGTTATTTGAATTAAATTCAATCTTCTTTTAAAAAAATCTTCAGTATATTTCTACAGGCCAACTTGCAAATACGGAATGATAGCATTTTAACATGTTTGACTAGTCTATGAAAAATGGCTAATGAGTTCTTTCTTTGGTATATCACTGTTGAAATGGGTAATAGATTTATTTACATGTTAAAATATATGTGTTTTGGCTGTCAATGTAGTTTTACATTGTGACTTTTAAAAAAAAAGTTATAACCTTCTATATAGGGAGTTTTGTCAGAAACTTGCCTTTAAAAATTTAAACACATGCTTTTTTTTCTTTAAGGCTTACTTTAATTGGTTTGTTAAAATATGACTAATTGATTTTTATTTCTACTTACAATATTCAAATATATTGATAACATTTTCTACCTTCTAGTTCCCATTTGGTGCTTTCCCTTAATTTATTACATAACAATAGAGATCCCTCTCTTTCAAAATTGTGCTCACTTAGGTAGTTAGTTACTTTAATTTTACTTAAGCAATTTTTTAAGACTAAAGACAATAGTATCTCAGGCGTATGTTTCTAAATATTTCCTTTAATACGAATATCTCTTTTCATAGCTGTTATACATTTCCACACTTCTTTCAAGACAGTTACTGATATGACATCTGGTTTATAGCAGCATTCCGAAAATGTAGACTTTGTTCAATTGAAATAAGTGTTCTGACCTCTACCCTGCCTTTTTCAAGAGACTACTGGGTCCAAATATATCATGATTTTGATCCTTTCCCTTTTATCTGTGAATAGTGTCATCCATTCTTGATGGAAGAGGGTAATATGGACAGAGTTCATGGCTATAGTGTGCCATTACCAGAACAATATCAATTTAACACACATGTACCATCAAAAAGAACTCCATATTCTCCTACTCCCTGAAGTGATACTTATATGCTGAGATGGAAAGCTACCTAAATCAGTTAACACTGCACTGTATGCATAGATCTGCTATTTGGGCATCAGAAGAAACAATAACATATCTTTCATAGGCAATAACATGGAAAGAGAAAATGAGGTTGGATGACTTGAACACTTGAATCCCAGCTCAACGAGCAGAAGCCACAAAAAGGCTGTTTCTCTCTAAACCATTACACAACATTCTGCAAGAAATGGTATTAACTAGTAAGAAATCGTTCAAAATACAAATGTATGTCACTACATAGTTTATTAAGTTCATGGTCATTACTGGAAAACTTGGAAGAAACTTTTCAGTTTCTCTGGTGTTATCAGACACAAATATGTGGTTCTACAAAGTCATTCAAATAGATAAAATAATAATAATAAATCATTCTCTGTTTTGTTCTCATTCAGATTCCTCTAGATTCCCGCCAGTACTCCCCTCAGGGAAGTTTCCAGGGCTGTATCTGTTCATTTTGTTTGAAATCATTTTATTTTAATACATGTAGAGTTTGTTATCATAGACACCTTGTTTGCTACATATTCAGCCTTGTCATGGCTCTATTCTCATCGGATTTTCTCTTATATATGTACAAATTATATTATCACAGTGTTCAAAACTACACAATTATTAATTCAATTTTTATAAACTTCTTATACATACCAGCTGGATTAACCCCCCCCATGTGTTTCTTTGTTGTGTATAAATCCCAGTACTGCAAGACTCTTTTGCTAAGATGATTAATATTCTTACAACTTGAGTACTATTTGTGACTTCTTAAAGTACAATACAAAGAACGAAGCACACATGCAGAGATACAGATCTATGATCCACTGCATTAGCATTTCCACTTACTATCTTCTCCCATTTCTAGTTGTTCCTTCATTTTATCTCCATCTTCCTACAGCGAGAATTCTTTTACTGTCCTTTGTAACTGGTGCTTCTTATCCAGGAATTACGGTAATATCTTAAATTGTCATTTTATTTATTTATTTATGTATTTTTGAGACATAATCTCGCTCTGTCTCCCAGGCTGGAGTGCAGTGGCACGATCTCCGCTCGCTGCAACCTCTGCCTCCCGAGTTCAAGTGATTCTTCTGCCTCATCCTCCTGAGTGGCTGGGATTATAGGCGCCCGCCACCACGCCCGGCTAATTTTTGTATTTTTTTAGTAGAGAGGGTTTCAACATGTTGACCAGGCTGGTCTCAAACTCCTGAACTCAGGTGACACCACCCCCCCCACAAGCCCCCGCGCCACGGCGGCCTGGGATTACAGGCGTGAGCCACTGCGCCTGGCCTTAAGCTGTTATTTTAAACTGCTATGTTCTGCCAGTTTACCTTAACTGAAGCTTAGCTCTTCTCCAAGGAAATCTTTTTTTTTTGAAGTCCTCCTAAATGGTATTCCTTATTCCCTCTCTCTTACACCTGAGGACTGCAAGGTAGATTTGTTGTCTTACTTTCTCACTAGTCTTATTTCATGACCATTATTCCATTATCAAATTAAGAAAAAAAAAATCTATATCATCTTCTCTACCTCCACATACCTCTCTGACACTCCCTAATTTATTAAATGCTTCCAGACATGATTTGTTATGTATTTCTTCGCTCCAGGCTCAACCGTCTTTATAGATAATTTTTTTTTATTGTGGTAAGAACACTTAACATGAGATGTACCCTCAACAATTTTTTTTAGGTTTAACAGTATTGTTAACAGGCACAATATTGTACAGTAGATCTTTTAAACTTACACATCTTCTATAACTGAATCTTTATACCTGTTGAACAGCAACTTCTCATTTTTTCCTCCCACAAACCCTTGACAACCATAGTCTTATTCTGTGTTTATCAGTTTATTTCAGATTCCTCATATAACTGGAGTTAGGCAGTATTCGTCTTTCTGTAACTGGCTTATTTCACTTAGCACAGTGTCCTCCAGGTTCACCCATGCTGTCATGTAGGGCAGAATTTCCTTCTTCGTTAAAGCTGAATGATATTCCATATCATGTCTACCACATCTTATTTATATTCATCCACTTACGGATATTCAGGGTATTTTTCTGTATCTTGACTATTGTGAATAATGTGCAAGGAATATGAGAATGTGGGTTAACTCTATGAAATCCTGGTTTCAATTACTTTGGCTATATATCCAGAAGTGGGACAGCTGGATTATATGGTTGTTCTGTTTTTAGTTTTTTGAAGAAACTTACAGGGTTTTTCATAGTGGCTGCATCATTTTACATTCCCACCAACAGTGTAAAAGGGTTCCAATTTCTCCACATCCTTACCAACACTTTTTTTTTCCCTTCTTTGTAATAACAATCATCCTGATAGCTGTGAGGTGATATGTTCTTGTGGTTTTGATTTGCATTTTCCTGATGATTAGTGATGTTAAGCACCTTTTTTTTACTTGTTGCCCATTTGTATTTCTTCTTTGGAGAATTGTCTGTTCAAATTCCTTGCCCATTTTCTAATTGGGTTATTTATTGTTTGTTTTTGTTTTGCTATTGTGATGTAGCAATTTATATTTATATATATTATATTTTGGAGAGTAACTCCTGACATGATACATGGTTTTGATAATATGGTTTGCAAATATTTTCTCCCATTTCATGCACTGCATTTTTACTCTATTTTTTTTCCTGTGCAGAAGTTTTTTAGTTTTATTAAATCCCACTTCTCTATGAATGTGGCCAATGTAACACTCTTAAAAAGAAAATCCTAGAATCTGGTCAATTCCAACTCACCCACCTCTCCCATGTTACATTTCAGAAAGTTGCATCACCTTAACTTCAACGAACCGTATCTATTTATCATCTAAACTGTGACTCTCCTGAGAGTAAAAATTGGCATTATAATAAATATGCCAGGAAAATAGTCACAAATGACTACCTTCTGGGACATGATAGGATATATGGCAATCCACAATCTCTTCTCTTCATTAATCGTATATCATTGAAATACAATTTCAAATGAATATGCCATTTGAGTTAAAAAAAGAAAATAATAGAATTATATGGGCATATTAAAGGCTTACTTGAAATACATATGCGTGTGTGTCTGTATATGTGTGCACAGTAATAATGATTGGACATTCTCAGCATAAATGCCTTTTTATATGAATTTGTGTTTTAATTTTAGTAATTCATTATTTCTAATATTTTACAAAAGTATTTGGCCATAACAGAATGCAAATAAAAGACAAAATTACAAACACAAACATAATGTTTTATCACCAATAGTTTAAGCAATAATAATGTAGATAATAGACTTGCATATATTTATGGATATTTTGACATTTTTAGATTTTTATTAAAATATCACAGTTGCACATAATTTTAGGTTACATTGCAGTACCTGTGATATTTTCATACATGTATACAATGTAGAATAATCAACTCAGGGTAAATGCCCTTTTGTGAACCTGCAAATTCATATTGTCTTCTTGGGTGAATAATGGAGCTTCCTCCAATGCCTAGTTGTCATTTTCTAACAAGTTTAGAATGGACAACATAAAAGCAAAATTCAACTTTCCTCTAATGTACTGTGATAACAACTAGTAGATAAATGTTTTCATTTAGTTAATAAAGGCAAGTTAATCGTCCCTGTGAACCTACTGGATCAGGTTGATGGTATTTCTATGCCTGAAGGAAGCATTACTCTCTCTCTCAAATACCTGCTAAGCAGGCATTTTATGTTCCTGAAAGATTTGTTGGGCCCATAAGTGGAGAAACCCAGTGCTGACTT
This sequence comes from Homo sapiens, assembly GCF_000001405.40. Taxonomy (NCBI): domain Eukaryota; kingdom Metazoa; phylum Chordata; class Mammalia; order Primates; family Hominidae; genus Homo; species Homo sapiens. The sequence goes on along the minus strand of NC_000021.9, from coordinate 22,136,004 downwards.
ATCTGCTTTCTTTTCATCCTGTCTGAGAACTTCTGTTTTCATGCAGAGGATGCTTCCAGGTCAAAAATGCTTCCAGAAATAAAAATAAATTTGAAACTGCCCAAAAGGAAGCATACCTAGTCCCACTTTCCAAGCGAGAGATTTTTCGGAAAAAAAAATGTTTATGGACTTTCTCTCCTAGTCACGGTTTCATAGTAGGAATAAACATGCTATAGAAAGCAAGTTGTTTCTTGATAAAGGAGAAGGTGAATTTGTTAAGTCTTCCAAGAGCCCAGAGCAATTCTTCGCAGCCCTAATAAGTGTAGCTAAAGCTGACAAGAGCCAGCTGATTGTCAATCTGTTGGTGAAGGCAATGGCCTAACTATTGGGGCAGAATAGTTTTACCTTCCTTAATATCTTCAATGACATAGAGATTTGAACTCCCATGTTTTGATAAAAAAAAGAAGCTGAAGTCCAGAAATGAGACAATGATGAAGGTGATTGTATTAGTCAGGATTCTCTAGAGGGCAGAATTAATAGGATAAATGTATATGTATAAAGGGGAATTTATTAAGGAGTATTAACTCAACACAATCACAAGGTGAGGTCCCACAATAGGCTGTCTGCAAGCTGAGAATCAAGGAAGCCATTCTGAGTCCCAAAGCTGAAGAACTTGGAGTGTGATGTTCGAGAGCAGGAAACATCCAACACGGGAGAAAGATGTAGCCTGGGAGGCTAAGCCAGTCTAGTCTTTTCAGGTTCTTCTGCCTGCTTTTATTCTGGCTGCGCTGGCAGCTAATTAGATTGTGGCCACCCAGATTGAGGGTGGGTTTCCTTTCCCAGTCTGCTGACTCAAATTTAATCTCCTTTGGCAACACCCTCACAATTATACCCAGGAACAATACTTTGCATCCTTCAATGCAATCAAGTTGACACTCAGTATTAACCATCACAGTGATGAGAAGTCTGTTGGCTGTGTCACTGCTTACAAGTTTGATGAGAATGCCCAAACTACAAAATTCCCATGGTGTCTGGCATAATTGCTGGCTAGATGTGCTTAGAATGCATGAAGAAATATTCTGATCATTTGACTTGGAAAAAAAACATACTGTTTAGAATAGACCTTTAGGGATGTTTGAATTAGAAGCCATTGACAGGGAACCAGAGTATTCGTGGATAAGGAGTGGGAAGCTACTTCTGGGTGCTGGGGACCCTACCCTTCACTGTGCTAAAAGAACAGGACAAAATCAATCATGTGATTTCTTGGTAAGTGTTGTGCCAGTCTAGAGATTCTGGAAGGTAAATTCTTCCTTTTGTTTGCCTCCTGGCTCCATGCATCATCCCAAATTCAAATTAATGCTTTCTACATGTCCACTCGATTTTAGTTAATACCTTCTCCACATCAAAATTCAGCCACTGGCCTTGAGGTGGGGCACCAGGAATCATAGCATTTCAACACCTGGGTTTTGATGTGCCTGGATTTAGATCTGCATACACTTTAAAGATCCCACCGGCATTTCCTTGTGTCAATAAACTACCGTGTCTTCTGGAGGGCATGTATTTATGTTTTCTAGATTAAAAATAAGTGACTCATATAGCTGTAAATCTGTTTTAGAATCAGTTTATTTTAATCAGCTTTGTGAATAGTTAATGACATAACATGAAAACAACATAAACATAGTCGAGAATAGGGAGGGAAATAAAGTTGATAATCTAGTAAATAGTAACAATGTATAAATATTGACATATAAAATTATTTTAAAGAAATGTATTTATGCTCCGAATGTGTGATATATCTACAAACGGGACAAAAATAATTGGCATTCAACAGACTCAGAACCAAAAACAGTATATTTAATTGGACAATGTCTTTCTCCATCACTGGCTAGTGATGACTATTATTTTGCCAGGTGAATATATGTCAGTGAATGTTCACTTTCCTTTTTTGGTAATCAACTTTATTATTTCTGTCATATTACTTTTCAGGACTGAATATTCAGCCATAATACTATCATTATGACTGGTACCTTTCATTCAATAATAAAAAGAGTCTGTTGTTTCAAATTAGAACACCAGTGGAGACATTATTTTCATAGGCACAGTGAAAGTGTGATTAAATTAATCAAAACTCTCTGATTAAGAGAATACTTCCCTTGTATCAGTCTCTGATAATTACTCAAAAACCATCGTGTTGCATGATATTTTAGTTGAAAATATTGTTGCCCATGTTTTCTTAGCTGCTTCACTTTTTATGAATATATGACTATGCTTGCTGGTTTAGGATTTATAAAAATATTGCAGATTACTTATGCCTACAACCAATCTGTGTTTAAGTGAAGTGTCTGCTATACGTCTCAATTATGTATTTGTATAACCAAGGGCATGCTAGAAGTCCTCAGTAAGAGGACTAAGAAAAAAATGCTATATATTTGTTTTCACTTTTAAAGGAAAATAAGAAACCTACAAAAACCCTGGAAATCTCTTACCCACATTAACAGGAGAGCAAATAACTCCTTTTGTAGTGGAACATAATTATCTCTGCTTCAGAGCTTACAGGAAATGATTTCACAGACTAAAAATAAGTATTATCTTGTTAAATATTTTCCTATTTTTAAAGCTCTCATCATATGAAGAACTAGTGTAAAATATATAATTTTTATTTAAAATGTGCTTTAAATATGCCAGTAATCCTACGCATACATTTTTCCGAAGGCCTCTTACCTTAATGAGAAAATAGGAGCTGTCAAACGAATCTTGTTCATTATCACACTTCAAATCATCAACCTAGGCTTTTGTAGTGATAATATGTATGTTTATATTTTTACAAAGTGATGTGTTTACTATGGTCTTATTGTTCTTATGTAAGGACAACACATTCATTAAATTATTTTTTGTTTTCCACACTCTATACCTTTTGCAAAAACTTGACTTCAGCATTTCGACCCCCCCCCCCACTGTCATTAATTCCCAATGGCCATTTTCACTGGAAAATTCCCATCAGCAACATATAAATATGCTCTAGCTGTTCTCAGAGGAAATAGCAAGCAAAGACTCAAATACACCCTACTCTGGCTGCCATTCCATTTCTGTCTTTCCATTCATGGCAGGGGAAATAGCACTTCTACTTAATCACTTGTCTCAGATTCTCTCTGGAAGCCCTTTCACCCCTCGTAACTGTATGAAAACTGCTTTTGCATGATTTCTATACCAAATGCAATCGTCTTTTTTCTGGGCTCTTATTGCATATCTTCTAATTAGCATTTGAGCTCTTGATTTGAAAGCACTCTCCATTATTGGCTTTTGTGATAACTCTTGATTGAAATAGATCATTTGAACATTAAATTATTTAACATCCTTGGAGTCATATATTATTTAGCTGAAGATCATACCTGAAGATTTGAGTATAACAATATTGTAGCTTCTCACCACGGTGATTAATTACAAAACAATCAGCAGACACAGCCCTCTTTTCCTAGCACACATTTATCAATGACTATATTTCCAGTTACGGCCTTTAATTACAGTAGGTGGAGACTAGATTAAATTGAAACTATAAACTCTACTGGGCTCAGAGAGGTTTACTTATATTCTTAGGGCTGATATGCACAGGTGATGTATTAAGAGAGATATGTAAATTACCACGAGAATCCATCCATACTCCCAGAATTCTATAAATCATTCATTATAAGACAAAATAAACATTAACTTCATATTATATGATATATAAATGCAAAGTAAATTTGATATATGCTTATTAAAATTAATTTCTCAAAAATTCCTATCACGCTAAAATATGTTAAAATACATAAATTGGTTAGAATTATGAAAATTATAACAGTTTCGAAGAAAAGCAAAAGGACAAAGTAATCAGACTCAGCCAGATAAATGGTAGGAAGGTAAATTCATAATTTCCAATAAATAACTTGCCTATCAGAATAACCTTAGAAATAAGTTGATGAAGATGGAAGTGATGGAGAAAATACTAAGTGGATGAGTACCCCAGCTTTTTTATTTTCAGGTAAGAAAGCTCTGAGACAAGCACTACACAGTCTCCCAGAGGTTTCTAGTTATACAGTTACAACCTATTCTCTGATGCAATTTGCATTGCCTTCCACCGGCTGCTCACTTTCCCATTCACTCAACATTGTTTGCAGGAATTACCTCCTAAATGAATTACTTGCAACCAAGTTCTGCTTCCACTTAGAAGGTGGAAAGCCGCAAGTAGACATTGCTTCCACCCTAAAGCAAACAAACAAACAAAAGGCAACAGGGTAGTCAACAGAATCCTAACATTTCTCAAGTGCATCAGTCAGGAAGCTGTGGTTCCAAGGTTACCAGGTGAACCAAGGTGCCAAGCCTCTCCAAGAAACACAAGGTGGAGCATGGTACCAAGGACTTTGTGTTTCTTTCTTTAGAGTTTCATGCTCTAGAAATGTGAAAGAAGAAAACAATGAAAACTTTACAAATTCTTCAGGGTCAAATGTTGTCAAGTAAGAGAGCGTAGTGGGAGCCTCAGACATAATGGAGTTTACACTAACTTGTGAGGTCTTTTTCACCTCTAGATACTCATGAGATAAACTACATGCAGGGCAAAGAGCTGAGAGAGGAACCTTTGGTTGGACAAAGGCACAAAACTGACAAACGTGGACAGTGACATGAAGCCCTGACCATGTTCTGGAACTTTTCTCTCAGAAAAGTAAACGCCATAAACAGCTCCATTATGGGCAGGAAACAGTTCTGCTCCCAGCGTTGTAGAATAAGTCCACTGCCTCTAGGTAGAAGTAGAAGCAATCTACCTCTGGGGGAAGAGATAACAAACTACCTCTGCTGTCACAACAAGCTTTGCACAAACAAATAAGCAATATCACTGGGAAAGAAGCAGGATACTACCATCTTGGACCTAGTCTCAGGCAATGGTGCACTGCCTCTGAGGGAGGAATAGACCCAAAACCTGGCAGTCTCTGGTGGAGAGCAAGAAGCCTACTGGGGTTGATTGATTCAAAGCACTGATTCAAAGCGAGATCAGTATTGTCATGGTAAGTTGTGAAAACTGTTCCTGCCCAAGGCTCTCTCAGACACAAGGCAGATAATGGCTGTCATAAGTCACACTGAAAAAGCTCCATTTGTAAAGGCCAAGTCAATGAGGCTGACGAAGTGGAAGACAGAACCAACCCTACCTCCACTTTGACACCTGCACCCATTAACAGAAATGACAGTCTACTGTTTATTGTGGAAGGGACAAAATGATATATAAACACTCTCTGTGGCACAGGCTTGTTCAGAAATTACGGAAAGCGGAAAGTAGATTAGGAACACAAAAATCTCTTCAGCACCCCAGACCCCACATCCAGTATATGGTACCAGCTGACCAAGATGAAAGGAAATTGACATCTCAGTATAAAGGTAATAAATGTAGCCACAACAAAACCCAAACCCAACTCAACTCCTGACAACAGTGACTAAATACTTTACAATTACGACTTGACAAAAGAAAGGACAGACCCATTTCAAAACATAAATGTTTACCTCATTCTCCACTGTTCATTTGCACATAATTTTCATTCTAAAATCTAAGATGTGTTACATAAAAAAGTTAGAAAAAATAGCCATTGTTAAAAGATAAAGTAGTCAGCACATCCAGACCTTGAAATTATCTAAATGCTGCAACCATCAGACAGAAAGATGGATTTATATGTTAATGCTAGTGATGACTTCAATAAGTACGTCTATAGGAGCTGTTGTTGAAGAAATGACTGTAGTTTCTATTTTGAGCATGTTAAGTTTAAAGTAAGCATGTGAATATTCCTACAGGCTATTGCTAATATGGGACTTGATTACAGAGACATGAGCAAAAATACAGAAGACTTAGACTATATAAGCATCTGTACAGAAAAATCTTAGAGTATGTGATTTCTAGGGGATAGCTTTAAAATGATTTTTTTAATGAGACAACTTAAAAAACATTTATATTTAGGATGTGAATACTTCACAAATGAAACTGAAATCCAGTTTGTTATCAGTTTAGAATAAAAATCAACTGAAAGATTCTATTACAGATTACAAAGGAGGAAAGAATTTCAAACAGAGCACGTGAATGGAAGACGACACAAAACCAAACCAAAAAAAGAAAAAAAAATACAAGGCAATGAGATGTGCCAAACATTGAGTCCCTGTGTTTTTCTAGGTAGTGGTTTTACTAAACTGATGGTAGAGCAGGTGAAAATTAAAATATATTTTACACTAAACATTTGGAATAAAAAGATTTTTAGGGACTTATTTTATGACTTAATATTTAATACATTATAAATACACATAAAAGCAATATTGATAATATGTTCATAACTATATACTCTAATTATTGAATTCACTTTAGTTTAATGAGAAAAGTAAAAATTTTATATCAATAAAAATAAATACTGAGGAGCAACAAATTGTGCATACAATTATTCTTGTTATTTAGAATAAATGACAAAATGGCATCCTTAAGTCCTGGTAAGGGTAATTTAATAAAAAAATCAATGTCTTGGTCGGGCATGGTGGCTCATGCCTGCAATCCCAGTACTTTGGGAGGCCGAAGTAGGCAGATCACCTGTGGTCAGGAGATTGAGATCAGCCTGGACAATATGGTAAAACCTGTCTCTACTAAAAATACAAAAATTAGCCAGGTGTGGTGATGCACGCCTGTAATCCTACCTACTCAGGAGGCAGAGGCAAGAGAATCCCTTGAACCCAGGAGGTGTAGGTTGCAGTGAGCTGAGATGGAGCCACTGTAATCCAGCGTGGGTAACAGAGTAAGACTCTGTTTCAAAAAAAAAAAATTCAATAATATATACAGATAAAAATCAGCAAAACAAAAGAATATTAAATAAATCAAAGCTGCATCATTGTATGCTCAATAAAAAACAGGAACAATAATATTTTACTAATAATATTAAACAGTTTATATTTTAATTCACAAGTAAAAACTACATTTCAATTCTGTCATTTATTTTTAAATTAGCATTTGTGTATAGAATATCATGTTTAAAAATATTTATTTATATTTTAGTAAAATGCAAATTAGGTGGAAAATTATATGTATGTATATACTCATACACATGTAAGTGTGTTTGTGTTTATTTGATCTTTCTTCTAAAATTGCAATGGAGAATATTGCGGAGTAAGCAATATTCTTATTTTGATTGCTCTAAGTTAAATAATTACCATTTTCAGATATTTCATCAGAAGTAAAATTAAAACATTGTTATTTATACTGCCTTTCTTTTCCTGAGCATCAATAAAATATTCACGTTTCTAGTACCATTCAGGGCCAGATTTATTGTTAATCTGTCCACCATAACTATTTATTGATATTGTTTCCGAAATAATAGACATATTTCTTCTTTATATAACCCAAAACACGGATATATAATAAGTAGTTTAAAATTAATATTCACTGATTAACTTATATTTCTACCATTTATGTTGCCAAACATGCTACAAGCAAATACACTCTAATAGAGAAAGTTTTATTCCATTTTTATCAGTTTCTATTTAGATATAGACTATTTTGTGATAGAAGTTGTCACCATACTTTGGGAATCCATGATAAAACCGTATTGTTTAAAAGTCTAAGAGTAAAACCATTGTCCATATGGTTTTAAAATTTTAAACAGGTTTAAAACAACATTGTAAGCAAATCTAAAACAACATTTTGAACAAATTTCCACTGGGAAAGAGAATCTAGCACATTAGAAGTCTGTTTTTATCTTGAAATTTAGAAAATTTTCTGCTATTAGTAAAATGCAGTTGGAATGAGAAAATTCACATTATTTGCAAATTTCATTACACGAAACACTACAGAAGTATCAACATAATCGAGTAAATCACATGGTTAACTCACAACCTCAACTGTGCCTGTGGCAGAAATGAGAGACTCATTTTCAAACTATATAAAATTTGCTTCACATATATTCAGCAATCCCCTAAATTTTTTTCAGTATGTTGGTATTGATTGTTTTCCTGAGATTTTAAACCAATTAAGAAGGAAAAATTTTATGCATATTATTTTTAAAGAGAGAAAATTGATATTAGTTCATAAATTTAAAATTCAACATGGTAATATACCATAATGATAATAAAAGCTCATTTTTCCTTTGGTTTATTTTATGTCTTTTTTAACCATTAGAAGCATAGTGCTTTATATGTCTGTTTCTGAGGCAAAACTATAGTATATTCAGCAAATTTTAATTAAGATTTAGAGAAGAAAATCCATGAAAACTTAAAACCTTGGCAAAACATTATTTAAGATTCAGAACACATATTTTAAAATTTTATTTTTGATAATAGCACATAAAAAGTCTCATATCATACTTACATGGTTTTAGGCACATGAGTATCAAGACCTACTTTTGTAAACTCTTGGAAAACACATTTGTGAAGTAACATTATGTCCTTCTTAAAGTCCTGTAATCCCTTGACTGATACATGATTTGTACATCTATCTTTCAGGCCCTCCTACACAATCTAAAGTATATAAGCTCCGCTTTTTTTCAAAAAAATGTCCATACCTGCTAATTGCTTCCTGAGTAGGTTTTGTTGTTATTTCAATGAAAGGTATATTTAGCAAACAGATTTAGCCAGCAGCAGATAAAACAATTAGTACAAAGATCTTTTGTGAAAGAAGGGGCTGGCAGTACACCCGCAGCGAAGGCTGAATTTGTAATTTAGAAAACAGATTTAGCAAGTGGCAGATACAACAATTAGTCTAAAAATCTTTTTGTGAGAGAAATAGCTCACAGAATAGAAAGAGGGAAGACACATTTGCATAAAAATGATATGTCAATTCCACTAAAAAGCAAATCATTTTCCATGTTTTAACCTATTCTTTTCCTTATTATTTTCTTTTTTCTCATATATTATAGGTGGTCAAGGCAAAAGACTATTCAGAAATCATGAAATAAGTATTATCGTCTCATCTGATAGGACCACTAAATTTTTAAAGAATAATCACTGCCTTTCCCTGGGTCACAGTATGTACTAGATTGTGGAAGGGGATGAACCCTTTTCGCTTTTCTCTACTGATTTATGCTTTGTTATTCATAGTTTGGACTTCACAAATAGAATTGACAGTTAATAAAAAATGTAGAAACGCAAACTAATGTGGCCTTTCAATAAGAGTAACTTTACAGGATATCATTCGTTATTAGATTCCCAATATAGAAGAAAGGAAATAATATAATTAAAATGTAATAATAAATTATATATATAATTTATATATAATATATAATTTATGCAGATATAATAAAAATAATAAATAGTATAATATAAATATAAACAAAATAATGTAAATAGATTACAGAATGAACTCACAGTAGGTCTCATTGGAGTCTATTAGCTTCAAATTTCTTCCTCTTACTTAAGAAAGGATGCCAATAGTGTGGACACTGGATCCTCAAGGCTAGGCCCTGTGCAACTCCTAAATCAAACTGTTGTCAAGGGATCTATAATAAAAACCAATGGGGTTAATTAAAACAACAGAAACTGTTGCTTCTGTTCAGCAACGGAAGACCTTACTTGTTGAGGTTGAGCTGCCCTTGATGAAAAGTCATTAAAAGCCCTAAAGAACCCACAACTATTGCCAGGGACCTTTCTTGACATTTACAGTTATAAAGTTCTTGGGGCTTACACGGTTTTAAATAATTTAATGATTTCAGAGATACCATGTCAGTCATTTAGGTTTAGAACTCATTTGTGTACATTTGATGTAGACAACCACTTGTGTGTTGGCCATAGTGTTTAACCATCAAGCCTCATGGATAGTTCTGCAACTATTTCACTCTAAGCTTGTTCCAGCTCATGGACAATGGGAAAAAGCTCATAGACCCAGACTGTTTATTAAATTGATATTACACACATATTTATATTTAATTTTTATTTATGTAACTCTACAGGTGAAATCTACTTAATTTACTCAATTCAGAAAAACGCTTTGTACAAAATGCACATTCTTATTCATTTCTCAATTTCTGTTTGTTACTCATACTCACTCTGGCATTTTACTTATTGTTGTTCAATGTTACTGTTTTCTGTGTTTGTTTAGTTCTTCATTACTCTCAAAGGAGTTGACAACTATTTTATATAATGGGCTTTGCAGGCAATATGGTCTGTTGCAACTACTACAATTTTGCCATTGTAGTGTGAAAGGCATCTGAGATAATAGGCATGTAACTGGGCGTGTTGAATCAAGTTTCAATAAAACTTGATTTACAAAACCAGGGATCAGACATGATCTGGCTTATACTAGCCATAGTTAGTCAATCCTTGCTTTAGGGAACCATCAATCAGTGTTAACTTGCATACATTCACTCATGATGTTCATGCTGGCGGAAACCTGATTGGCTATGCACTTAGACAATAATTGCTCACTATAAGGCAACCCATGAAATATGAATTTAGTGTTGAATAATAAAATATCTAAAAAACCAGTATTTTTAATTTAGTGAAAAATCTTCTAAGGCTTCCTGTACTCTGTCATAGTGAAACATATAATTTTATTTATAAAATGATTGATACATTTTAAATTTTACATTTAATGTGTGATGTCATATATTATATATTACATATTTATATATAACAATTTCAAACTGTTTTCATTTTTAATGATTATAAATATAACTTCATACACTTTGGAATAAGGATATTGAAAATAAAAGAAATTGAAGTACTAAATTAACCTACCTCCATATTTCACAAATAGGAAACTGATACCAAGAATGCCATATATTTTATTATTCTAAGGAAAACAAGATTGGGATATGATTTATTTGATTATGAATTATTATTTTTAAAATTTTTGCAAAATTTGTTATTTCTTTTCCCAGTTAATTGATTGATCGGATTCTGACACAGCACAAATTCTGTCAGCAGCCTAAACGATCAAATATTCTACGTATTACATAAACCCCAGTTGTGATGGTTAATATTGAGCATCAACTTGATTGGATTGAGAGATGCAAAGTATTGTTCCTGGGTCTGTGAGGGTGTTGCCAAAGGAGATTAACATTTAAGTCAATGGACTGGAAGAGGCAGACCCACCCTCAATCTGGGTGGGCGTCATCTAATCAGCTGCCAGCATCGCTAGAAAAAAGCAGGCAGGAGAAGATGAAAGAACAGGCTTATTGAATCTTCTGGCCTTCATCTTTCTCTCATGCTGGATGTTTCTTGCCTTTGAACATCAGACTCCAAGTTCTTCAGCTTTAGGACTCTTTGCCTTACACTAGTGGTTTGCCAGAAACTCTTGGACCTTTGGCCACAGACTGAAGGCTGCACTGTTGGCTTCCCTACTTTTAAGGTTTTGGGACTTGTACTGATCCATCACTGGCTTTTTTGCTCTTCAACTTTCAGATGACATATCATGGGACTGTACTTTGTGATCATGTGAGTCAATTCTCCTTAATAAACTCCCTTTCACATATACATATATCCTATTAGTTCTGTTCCTCTAGAGAACCCTAACTAGTATACCAGTAATATAGTTTCTTTCTTTATTTAAATTTAAACATCATGGCTTACATTTTAATATAAATATTATTTATAAAATTAATGATCATTAAATAGAGATAAGTATATGTTGCACTTTTACAGCTTAAATCCTAGCAATAGGTTATTTTTCTTTAGTAAGATCATAAACTGAAATTGCTTCTAATACAGCAAAATACTCCAGTTGTGGTCTATCTATTGTTTAGACAGTAATATGGATTTTTTTGTAATTAAAATATCTACCTATTAAGTTTTAGAGGGTTAGATTTGTCTTCCAAAAATGGCGGAGACCATCAGTAGATAGTTTGACATCGATCATATTAATTAACATTGAAAATAAATCAGCTAATTCAGCATTTCCATAATCAATATATTAAAAAATATATAACAAATTGTCCTTGAGATCAAAAAATTAAAATTTAACACTAATAAATACAACCCAAAACATGTGTCATTTAATTTAATTCAATAGCTGAGCTATTTGATTTAAAATATGCATAATGAACTGGTAGAGTTCCCAGATTCCCCTCACAGGACGTGCAACAGGGGTGTGGCTCACCTGTTGGGTTGCCCTGAATCTCAAACCCTGAGGGAAGGGGGAGTATGCAGATGGATAGATGCCAAAGCCCAAGTAGGTGTGTGTTTCAAGCCTTGCTGCCCGCGGGTGGGTAAGTATTAACCACCTCCCGCCCAGATTTTTGTCCAGCATCCTGGACGACTCAGCTCACATGAACTGTTTGAAAGGTGATGAATGTGGAGACTTTATTAAGTAGTGGAGGTGGCTTTAGGGATCTGGAGTGGGAAGGTGGAGTTGCGGGGAGATAATCTTCCTCAAGAATGGCTGAACTTCCCTCGACCTTCAAACACTTCTTCTCTCCTTCCTCTGCCACTGTTTGCCATTCCCTGATGCTCTGTTCCTCTGCTCCTCTTGGTGTTCAGTCACTTGTGTGTATGCCTGCTAAGGTCTCGGGTTTATACCGGCACAGTATGGGGCGCTTGGCAGGCCAGAGTGGTCTTGGAAAATGCAACATTCAGACGTGAAAACAGGAGTGCCTGTCTTCACTTAGGTCCGCAGGCACAGGCCCGAGGGTGGCGCTCTCACCAGAGACTCTTACCTTCTCTACCCAGCACTTCCCTGCCCTCCTCCCGTATCATTTCCTCCCTCTGAAGAGGCACACCTAACTGCTGTTAGAATATAGACAACGACCGGTCTTAGCTACTTCATGTTGACAGGGAACGTTGTTTTGGGGAAAAGGGAAGTCAGATTCCTTCCAGAGTTCTACCTAAGGGTTCTTGGCAAAGGGGAGCCATTGTCCGAGGCTCCGGTTACCTGACCGTTTGGAGTTCGATAGCCTCTCGGTGTGAGAGAAGAAACAAAACAAATTTTTATAAAGTTACGTATGCATAGGTTAAACATGCGTCTTGGACAAGGAAAGAATTTAGTGCCAACAATTACAGAAATAAGAAGTGAAATATATTAATTATTCTGAAAACACTGTCGTGCCCCGTGATACAGAACAGAACAAAGGTAAGAACAGCAAGCATAGCCAAGACTATATAGAGGATGTCCATGGAAGGTTAATTATTAACACTTATCTTTTGTGATTTTTAGCTCGAGGTCCCTGATCTCTTCACGTTGGTACTTTGGGTACTCTTCTGGGTTGACAGAAGTGGCTCCATCCATTTCCCAGGCCTTTACTTGGGTATAATAAATTCAAGAATCCATTCCAGTGACCTACTATAAAAGACCGAGGTGACCACTTTCAGAAGGTTCTCTAAAGTACTATCTGGTCCCAGGGCCTGTTCCCTCAACTTCCTCCTGATATCAGGGGCTGCCTGAATAATAAACTTATTCTTTAAGATTAGTTGTCCCTCGATGGAATCAGGAGACAGAGAGGTGTGCATTACCAAGCCTTCTCTTAGCCATTCCAAGAAGGCAGTGGGATTTTCATCAAATCCCTGATCGATCATGGACAATTTAGCATAATTGGGAGGCTTGATCCTGGTCTTAAGACCCCGATTATGCATACCTAGAAGTGTCTCCTATTCCAGTCTCTCATCTCATCATTGGGATCCCATCCAGGGTCATTCACTGGTACTGCTTCTCTACCAGTTAGATAATGTTCACCGTCTTCCCTGATGCTATATGTTATACAAAGCTCCTCCCCAAATCTCCCTGTCACTTGCAAAGTGGCTTGCTTCTCAGTATGCATCAGAGTCTGATTCACAAGTAACATAATATCTCTCCAGGAGAGTTCAGATCTTTGGGTGAAATTCTGGAAAGCCTCTATATATCTGTGAGGGTCCTCTACAAACTTGTCAATAGCCCCCTTAATTTGCTTTAAGTCCTATAAAGAGAAGGGGTCTGGACCTTACTGGGGCCAAATTCACCAGGCACTTGTTGCAGAGGCAAGAGTAAGACTGGGGCTTGTCTAGGGTGAGAATTTCTTGGAGGGGAAATGTGAGAGGCTGAAGCTGGATAGGGAAGTTGGGGAGGACCTGAAGGAGCAGGGTTGGAGGGAGCTGGCTCCTCTTCTGGGGGAACCTCTGGGGTTTCTTTCTTTAGTTGCTTGAGATTGCCCCTGGTAGCCTCTCCCGAAGTGGCAAACAGGAGGGCTGGATCAATCCTACACTGTTGGCAAAGATCAGGATTGCCCTGCAAGATATAGAAAGCCTGCACATATGGGTCCTCAGACCACTAGTCCTCATGTTTACAGAAAAGGTCCAATTGCAGGATGGTATTGAAATAAATGGTTCCTTCCTGAGGCCAAGCCAGTCCTTGCTATAAATCATAATTTGGCCAAATCTTTGTACAGAGGACTATGAGACATTTTTTTTCCTCCAGATTCTGAGGGTCAAAGCAGTTCCAATGGTTTAGAATACATTCCAGAAGAGTACAAGCTGGGGGTGGTGAAGAGAGCTGGTTACTCATTCCGAAAGATAGGCTATAGAGCCGTCCCTCACTTCCCTTCCTTCTTTCAGCGAACCTCGGGGTGTGGAGAGAGAAAACAAGTGCCCTCCCTTTCTCTTCCATCTTTTTATCCCTGTGTCCAGGTGACCTTGGCAGGTACTGCTCATGGGTGCCAATGCAGCATGCACCCATAAAACAGGGAAAGCGTAGAGAACAGGAATTTTCTGACCTTACCTTCGCCTCCATCTTTCCCTGCTGTTGACAACCTTTGAGTTTCCTAGGTCTCATTTACGCCACAGAGCATGGCCTGTTTCCGTGGGGTGGGGGCTTTGGTCAGCAGGAATTGGTCCTGTCCATTTACATTGTGCCTATTGCCTGGCTTTGGATCCCTCAGATCTGGTTTTCCTTTCTAGGGCCTCAGCCTGAAGCTTGTAATCAAGTTTGGGACTCAAAAGTATTTCAAGTGGCTGCATGAATCAACTATCTCAAATGAGCCCCGCTAAATTTGCAGTTATCAGCCAGTAGGGGTCGCTTCTCCATTAACTTCCCTAACAGAAGCAGCGTGCTGGGGAAGAAAACCTCTTGGAAAAGGAAAACAAGAGAAAACAGTTTAAGGAACAAAAGGGGAAGGTCCTGGGGGAAGAACCCCTTGCTCAGCGCAAATGTGTCTCCTTAATCATTGTATGCTTCCCCTCTGTTCAGACAGAGCTGAATTCCTTGGCCAGAGTAGAGTTCCACTGGCACACCGGGCAGCAAGCGCCAGCCAGCCAACCGTGCAGGCTCCCAGTGGCAGCTGTGGTTTTTCCCCCGCCCGTCGTGGCCGTTGCCGTGGCCATTTCATCTGGGGGCTCCATCTGGGATATTCATCAGAAGGGTGAGTTGAAATGGAAAACTGTCGGATCTGTCTCTTTTCCAAGACCCTGCCACCTCTCTCTTTCATGCTCTGTTTCCTTTCGGGGAGGTCTAACTACCACATGGGTCGGGAGTAAAGCCCCGGGGCAACTGAAGGCATCTTTTGCTGGAAGGCCCCAAGGGTGAGCTCCATTGGTCAAGAACCCCAGACTTCCTTTGGTGTCTTGTCTTCTCTCATGGTTTGAAATGGTTCTGATCTTTCCTTTATAATGCTAAGCGTTTTGCTACAGATTACGGCTGTAATACTAAATAGAATGAGCATTTGGCTCAGCCATCAAAGGTGCAAATCAGAACAACATGGTTCTGTTTCCACCCCCACATCCACAGGCACTCAGGGAACTTGACAAATTCATGCCCTGTCCCCTCCCAGCTTGGGAACCTGGTCATGTTCACTGCATGCAAAAGCCATGTTCACTGGTCACGAGGGGCGGGAGAAAAACCACGGCTCTCACAGTAATTTGTTACAGACAACAGAAAAGCAATAGGGAAATAATACATTAACATTATTTAATCTGCATATCTCTGTAGGTGTATCAATCTCTTTCTATATATGTATAATTATAATACATATATCTATGCATCTTCCAAAATGATTTAAAAGTGTCTTGAATCAAAAACTATTTTATTTTTTGAGACAAAGTCTCACTATGTCACCCAGGCTTAAGTGCGGTGGCGTGATCACACCTCACTGCAGCCTGGACCTCCACGCCTCAAGCAATTCTCCTACCTCAGCCTCTTCAGTAGCTGGGACTATGGAAGTTCATCAGCACACCAGGTGAAGTTTTTGGAAATTTTTTCATAGAGGTGAGATCTCATTATGTTGCCCAGGCTGGTCTCTAACCCCTGGGCTCAAGTGATTCTCCTGCCTTGGCCTTCCAAAATGCTAGGATTTCAGGCATGGGCCACGGCACCCCAAAAACTGATTTTAATTTGGTACATTTTATATGCCAGGCATGTCCTGAGTAGCTACTTATGATAGAAGTTAAGCTACGGGTAAATGTAAATGACCATTTACATTCAAGTAAGCATAACTTGATTGATTTATTTGGAGTAAGTGGTACACTTATTCCAAAGAAAGAGAGTGAATAGTAGAATTTAAACTAGAATTGGGGAAATGTCACATCACTATTCACCATAAGCACTAATTTAGAAGTTTCCACTTTCCCTTGAAGGCTATTGAGGGTTATTAAATAATTTTATGATCAAATAATATAAAATGAAAAAAGTAGATACAAGTAGAAAGCTTAAGTGGAAAAACAGTCTTCTTCATTCAAAGGGTCGTATTGCTATTTATTGGCGTCACTAGAGTAAAATATTCCGTGAGGTGTATTAAAAATCTTGTTAAATTGAAATTTGACATAGCATTTTATAAAATATAAAAATTTAAATATGGTAGTTCTCTAGGGAGTTTATATCGGAGATGCAAAACCCATTTACCTTTAAAGGAAATCTTAGAAGCTGCTAATGTAGCTATGGTTTATAATATTATATGTCTGTTTTGCTCACCAGTCTATCAGGTAATTCTTCAAGCAGCAGACCCCTGTAATGACCAAGGATTCCTGGCCCCAAAAACACCAGACAGTACATGCAAACTTATGAAATATCATAGGCTTTCTCTGTTATAGCTGACAAGTGGGATCTCAACCCACTACACCTAACTTTGGTGTTTATTCAATTCCTTACTCATACTTTATGTATGAGTGTGATTAAATGCCTGCTAATTACATGGAGTATTTTTAAAATCAGGAGCTCCTTCTATTTATGAACAGAAATGCTGTATGCAAAACCAATGAAAGTAAGATTTGGCGGTTCTCATTTTCACATGACTTTGTATAAACCCATATGAAAACTGAATAAACAGAACTGTACCTTTACTTAATGAGGACTCTAGTCTCATATTATTTATGTCTGCCTCCTGATCTGCCATGCAAAAGGTAAGGTCACAGGAAATGGGTGATATTTTATGGTCATTATATATTGAATATGTTTGTTAAGGGGTCCAGGATAAGCTTTTATATGGTCATGCCAAATAAAGGCACAACTCTGTAATTAGATTTAACAAATCAATCAGTGAAAAGATTGGAAAAGAGACTCTGAGCTAATTTGCTCACTTTAAAATAAGGTATTTTGTTAATTGAATAAATCTAACCAGGTGCAGGATTTTGAACTGTGATTAATTTTAAAAAGAGAGTGATATAAATAGAACATTTAAGAGGTAACAGGGAACAAATATCTTCAAAAAGAAGAAATTTTAACGTGAAAATGTGAAACTATAATACTTTGGGAAACAATAACAATTTTGTAATTCACTGAGTTACAATTTTGGGCCCTCAGCTCATTTCTCCGAGGAGAACTAAACTCACCTACAAGAATAGGTTTAGCAACATAAACTGGTCTTATTGAAAATTCTTTATTTTTTACACATTTAACTGATTTTCCACATCTAATTAATAAAAGATTTTCAATGGAATCTTCAGATTCAGATGTTTTTGGACTAGTGATGATAAAGGATATTATCTGGGTTTCCTACATTGTCAAGTTTTGCTTAATTTTTTTGTATTTCTTTCTCTGCCACTAATGAAATCTGTTCTCTGTATGCCTTAAGATTTGATAAGTCCTTAGTAACATACCAAATGTTTACAATATTGCATGTGTTCAAGATTTGTTATTTTAAGAAGTTGAATGATTGCATGAGATTTAGTAAACAGGGAAATCGTTTCTGAATATTTACAATAAAATGACCAGGAAGTCAAATCTGGCAAACATGTTTTTGATGATTTTGTATCACTTATAACAAATACATTATAGAAAAAATTAGCAAGTGAATTAAAAGTTACATAACATCCAATTTTTCTGGTGATTTCATGTGTGTGTGGGTTTTGTTTGTTTGTTTTGAGACAGGGTCTCACTCTGTCACCAAGGCTGGAGTGCAGTGGTGTGACCTAAGGTTACTGTAACCTCCACTTCCTGGGCTCAAGTGATTCTCTAGCCTCAGCCTCTCTAGTAGTTGGGACCACAGGCTCTTGTCACCACATCTGGCTACTTTTTGAATTTTTGTAGAGACAGGGTGATATGATAAGACTTTACGTCCCCACGCAAATCTCATCTTGAATTGTAATCCCCATAATCCCCACATGTCAAGGGAGAGACCAGGTGAAGGTAACTGAATCATGGGGACAGTTTCCTGTATGCTGTCCTTATGCTGGCCTTGTGATAATAAGTGAGTTCTCATGAACTCTGATGGTTTTATAAGGGGCTCTTCTCCCTTTGCTCGGCTAGTCTCCTTCCTGCTGCCTTATAAAGAAGGTGCCTTGTTTCCCCTTAGCCTTCTGCCATGATTGTAAGTTTCCTGAGCCTCCTGACCCATGCTGAACTGTGAGTCAATTAAACCTCTTTCCTTTATAAATAACCCAGTCTCAGGCAGTGCTTTATAGCAGTGGGAAAATGAATTAATAAACAGAGTTTTGGCACTTTGGCCAGGCTGTTTTTGAACTCCTGAGCTCAAAGCGATTCTCTTGCCTCGGCCTCCCACGTACTGGGATTACAGGCATGAGCCACCTCACCCAGCCAAATTTATGTTGAACACTGAATTTATAGTTTTTGTATTAGTTTTCTATAATCCCCACTCACTCAACTTCAACATCTATACCCAGGCAGTGTTGAAATGCATTAAGTCCTCGCATAACATCGTCCATAGTTTTTGGAAACCACAAATTTAAGCAAAACGATGTGTAAGAAAACCAATTGTACCATAGGTTAATAGATATAAACAAGAGTTAAGATCCTACAGCATGTTTGTTGTCACAAAAACATCTCCAAACTTCTAAATAAATACCTCCAGCCCTCCTAATATAAAGTGTAAAATAAATGTGAGCTATATATATATATAAGAAAGATTAATACAAACAAGTATGATAATTATTTACCCAGTGTTCAGTGAATCAGTCAGTGACTGTGGTTTTAGTGGTGGTGGGTTAAAACCAAGAATAAATGTTTGGAAAATGAAAATTATCAGGAGCATCTCCATCCAGCACTCAATTCAAAAATAATCACAAACATGGTGCGTTCACTGTGTGCTTTGATTCCACCTTGTTTATTAAAGTGCACTTGTGTAATTATAATCTACTTTACAAATTTTTATTTTACAATCATTTATACGCATCATTCCTTTATTCAGTCCACTTATTCTGCTTCAGGGTCACAGGTCGCAGGAGCCTCTCCCAACAGCTCAGGGCACAAGGTGGAAACCAGCATTGGACAAGACATCATCTTATCTCAGGTACACACACACAGACATTCACTCCTCCTGGGATGATGTAGACATACCAATTCACTTAAAGTGTACACCTTTGGGATGTGGGAGAAAACCCAATTACTTGGAGATATTTGAGAACCTGCTATATAAACTCTTCTTATGCTACATAAAATAGGTAATACCTAGAATTTATCAAAATTAACTCTAACTAGATATTAATTTAGTCATTTCTAAAGTCTTAGTGGGTTGCATAAAGCAGTGCTGTCAACTGGTGATATAAAGAAAGTTTTAGGCCATACTCCCTTTCCCACTGTCACCAGTGGTATCAATTTTGTCTACATTTTTTCTCTCTGGCATGTTTCTGCAGTTTTCCTTCTATTAACTTCTTTTCTCTTCAAGACTGCCCATAGTCATTAACAAACATGTTCTTATTGCGGAAATAGAAGAAAGATAAATATGCAGTGTGATCTCTACCGCTTAATCAAATATTTGTCATTATTCAGGGTACTTGGAGACATTTTCAGCTGTTGAAACAGCTGCAAACTTAGGGATTTCCAATGGAAGCAAAGAGAGAGAGATTGATACTCAGATATAGTAATGTAAAATACTCTCATTTTACTAACAAAAAATTAAAACTCAGAGCACTGGTTGACTTAGCAAATGTCATCCATATATGTTGGGGAAAAGTGAATACTTGAACTGGTATGCTGACAAGACAGTGCTTTCCATTCGGATTTTCACATGTATGTCCCTGCAATATAACTTTGCCTATTTTTCAAGATATTTTCTAGCCCTTCTTTTAAGAGGTAAGTACAAGCTGGGCTCGGTGGCTCATGCCTGCAATCCCAGCACTTTGGGAGGCCGAGGCAGGTGGATCACCTGAGGTCAGGAGTTTGAGACCAGCCTGTCCAACATGGAGAAACCCCATCTCTACTAAAAATACAAAAATTAGCCGGGTGTGGTGGTGCATGTCTGTAATCCCAGTTACTCGGGACGCTGAGACAGGAGAATTGCTTGAACCCATGAGGTGGAGGTTACAGTGAGCCGAGATTGCGCCATTGCACTCCAGCCTGAGCAACAAGAGTGAAACTCCTTCTCAAAAAAAAAAAAAAAAAAAAGAGGTAGGACCAATTTCTTCTTTCTATGATATGATATATATTTCTTCTTGCTATAAGTTCTATGATTATATTATTTTTGCTTATGTATTATGAGATAATAAATTAAGATCTCAGTAATTTTAAATTTCTAGAATTTTATATTATTTTAGTCATTTTTGGGAATGACAGAATCTTTCACTCACATTTCTGCTTAATACCTTTAGTGGATGAAATAGCCATCCTCTTTCCACAGGCTGGGAGACACTTTTTTCCTTGTATTCTTCCTCTACTCGCTTCTGCAGTGGCGTGAGGGTATCTGAATAAACAGCCTAACACTCATCGTTGCTTATTCACTGGAGAGTGGGAAGAAACCCTAAATTAAAGGGAGGGACCCAGCTGAAATTTCCTCATTCTCTTTTCGCATTTTCTCACCTCATGCAGCAAGCACAAATGGTTAACCTTGCTCTCCACATACAGTCCTTCAGAATCCCATTCATTTATTTAGCTGCTCATGTAAGTGGACTTGCAGTGGACAGAAGAGTTCTCCTTCAGCATCAGGCCCAATTTCTCTCTCCAAAAAGTATCAAGAAAACATTTTAGGAGGTACGGGGAGAAGTACCATCTATATAAAGCTTTACTACCTTTCCCAGTTTGTTAAAGATGTTTAAATCCACATTATCAGTGAAATCACCAAAGAGGAGGAGATGTACGTTGTACCTCAACCCCACAGCAATATGATCCTGGCAGCAATAATGCAACATGGGTTTGCCAGACATTATTATAGTTTATATTTTGCTAATGAGGAAATGGAAATGATACAACTAATCAAAACATACCCAAGACTCAGACCCAGTCCTTCTCATTTAAAATCTGCCTCTTATCCCATATAGAAAAACATAATTATTAATTTTCATATTAAGCTTAGGAAATTTAAAAAGTACTAATTGGGTCTTAAATTTGCAAAGGTATCTTTCAAGTCTAAATTTTCATTCTGCTCATATGCATAAACTTCCACTATATATGTGTGTGTTTGTGTGTGTGTGAGTGTATATATATATGTATACACACTTCTCCTATCCTCATGTCCTTATGCAGTTTTCTTGGCTTGGAATGCTTTGCTTTATCTATTCAAGGTTCATTTTAAATTTTGGGATTTTTCTTTTTTTAATTTTAGTTTTTATTTTTTTTCTTGATTTCTTCTAAAATTAAAAACCAGGATACATGCGCAGAACGTGCAGGTTTGTTACACAGGTATATGCACGCCATGGTGGTTTGCTGCATCTATTGACCCATCCCATAAGTTCCCCTCCCCTCACCACCCAACCCCCACAGGCCCTGGTGTGTTGTTCCCCTCTATGTCCATGTGTTCTCAATGTTCAACTCCCACTTATGAGTGAGAACACGTGGTGTTTGGTTTTCTGTTTCTGTGTTAGCTTGCTGAGGATGATGTCTTCCAGCTTCATCCATATCCCTGCAAAGAACATGATCTCATTCCTTTTTATGGCTGCATAGTATTCCATGGTGTATATATATCACATTTTCTTTACTAAGCCTATCATTGATGGGTTGGGATGCCTATTGTAATCACATAAACATACATTAAGAACTAAATAACAAATCATTTATCTCACATGTATTCAAGATTTCATGATATTATGAATTTGAAGTAAAATATTAAGTTCTATACCACCCTTTTTATTATGTATAATCAGTATTAATAATACAAAATGAAGTCATAACTGTAAGTATTTTATATCTAACATCTTTCAAAGTAACTTTAAGATATGTAAAAAAAAGAATAAAAGTTCAATGCTCAGAAGCTGACACAGAATTTAAGACAGACTTAGATTTCACAGAGTAGTAATAATATCAGGTACTCAAAATCAAACATATGGAGTCCCAAGGAAATTTGTCTTGTCTCTTTAGATCACCACTTTCCTTTTCAGAGGCATAAACAATATCTCATTCATCTAGATTGCCAATATATTATACAAATACATTCTAAGATATTTTAGACATAAGAAATACACTAGTGTAAAATCCATATTGCAGTGTGATAAAGATTTGGTCAGAAGTCAATTTTTTTAAAGGTTGCACCAGAAAATAAGAATATATACACCATGCAATACTATGCAGCCATAAAAAGAATGATATTATGTCTTTGTTTTTTTTTTTTTTTTGATATGGAGTCTCGCTGTGTCGCCCAGGCTGGAGTACAGCAGCGTGATATTGGCTCACTGCAACCTCTGCCTCCCGGGTTCAAGTGAGTCTCCTGCCTCAAGCCTCCTGAGCAGCTGGGACCACAGGCATGTGCTACCACACCCGGCTAATTTTTGTATTTTCAGTAGAGATGGGGTTTCTCCACATTGGCCAGGCTGGTGTCTAATTCCCGACCTCAGGTGATCTGCCCACCTCGGCCTCCCAAAGTGCTGGGATTACAGGCGTGAGCCACCATGCCCGGCCAATATTATGTCTTTTGCAGAGACATAGATGGAGCTGGAAGTCATTACCCTTAGCAAACTAACACAGGAACAGAAAACCAAATACCACATTTTCCTGCTTATAAGTCGGGGCTAAATGATGAGAACACATGAACACACAAAGGAGAGCAACATGTGCTGTAGACTTTAAGAAGGTGAAGGGTGGGAAGAGGGAGAGGATTAGGAAAAATAACTAATGAATACTAGGATTATTACACGAGTGATGAAGTAATCTGTGCAACAAATCCCCATGACTCAAGTTTACCTGTGTAACAAACCTGCACTTGTACACTGGAACTTAAAAGTTAAAAAAAAGAAAGATTACTACTAAAAGCTGAGTCAAGGTAAAGTTGATTTTTTTTATTGTCGATTATTTTGGCTTATTTCTGATAGACAAGTTCTGAACTTGTTAGAAAATACAAAAGGCCACATATATAGGTGAAGTTGTAAGATGCTTGGCAGAGAAAATAACATTTGGTAGCACTGACCGTGTTTTTAAAGTTCTCAGTTTATGTCAAAAAATTTCAAGTGAATACCTCTAGAGCTTTTCTGTGTACTGCAACTGCTAGCTACATGTGGCTATTTGAGTTTAAATTAAATGAATCTAAAAATCCAATTGTTCAGTCCACTAGCCTCTTTTAATAGCCATATTGGCCTGGTGGATAACATAGCACAACGAAGATGTAAAATGTATCTTTCCTCACAAGAAGTTCCATTGGTCAACAGAAGTCTAGATAGAGAGATGAGTGAATATATGGAGTTTGGAATAAAGTATAGCTAGATAAAAAATACCTGCTACAGGCACAAAACCAAGTGTCCCTTTGGTATTCTACTTTGTACATGTGAGATATTCAGGCATCCCTGATAAAGAGGCCTCTGAAGACAGCTCCAGTTTATCCCTAGAAAAACCTTGTACTTTTGATGTGTTACATACAGAGGATACAATATCTTGCAACTTTATGAAATTCTTTCCTTGGATTCATTGCTTTGAGGATCTTTTTCATTGTCTTTGAGGTATTCTTACCATAAGAAGAATGAAAACTAAAACAAGCT
This sequence comes from Homo sapiens, assembly GCF_000001405.40. NCBI lineage: Eukaryota > Metazoa > Chordata > Mammalia > Primates > Hominidae > Homo > Homo sapiens. Next base: position 22,111,797 of record NC_000021.9, on the reverse strand, counting down.
TCAGGTGCTTTTTTGGGACTGGGCTGTCTGCATTGAAAAAGCATAGGTTTGGTTGTATTAGGACAATTTTTCTCCATAGAGTTTTTTTTCATACTCTTTTACTTAGCATTTATATTTTAATGTCTATGCAACTTAGGAAAAAACACAATGAATAAGTTGCCTAAAATAACTGGCAAAGTCAGAGAATATGATTGATTAGTGAATCATTTTGAAACAAAAGCAAGTTTAGTGTATAGGAGGGAGTTGGAATAAGGGAGATGACAGATAGCATTAATATTGTAGAAAAAAGAGGAAAGAGACACAATTTGCCATGTAATAGTTAAGATAATGATGATCTAGAAGGGAGATAAAATTCTGTCCTCTTAAAAAGTTTGAAGAATCTTATAATCAAAGACTCAGAAGAATCCTTGATATAGATGTTAACATCACCGAAGATGATTTCCAGGATCATGTAAAGAAAAAGCTTATACATCTCTATGTATACATCTTGACAGGGTCATACAAGACAATAGTAGATGGCTACGATAATTAAAAAGGGTGAGAGATGGCGGGGCGTGGTGGCTCACGCCTGTAATCCCAGCACTTTGGGAGGCCGAGGCGGGTGAATCACGAGGTAAAGAGATCGAGACCATCCTGGCCAACATGGTGAAACCCATCTCTACTAAATATACAAAAAATTAGCTTGGCGTGGTGGCGGGCACCTGTAGTCCCAGCTACTCGGGAGGCTGAGGCAGGAGAATGGCATGAACCCGGGAGGCGGAGCTTGCAGTGAGCCGAGATCACGCCACTGCACTCCAGCCTGGGTGACAGAGCGAAACTCTGTCTCAAAAAAAAAAAAAAAAAAAAAGGGTGAGAGACACAGGATATGAAGTTTAAATATTAATAAGGAAAGAGAAACACGGATTGATGATGTGGAATGGCACAGAGGAATAAGAACACAGTCAATGTTACAACTACTTTTAGTGGAAATCCAAGAGGAAAAAGGAAAAGCCCTCACAAAAAAAGCATCAGGGCCGAGTGTCTGAAAGAGAAATACATGCATATAGTATTTGCAGAAATAAGGGTAGATCAACATGGGTTACAGTGCAAACTATTGTACACAGAGAATAAGTGAAAGTAACTTTTTAATGAATGAAATAATAATTTGCATATAAAGAACTTATGCAAGTAAAGAGATGAGTTGATTTACATAGTGGTAGACGTGATGAGGGGTAATGATTGAAACACTTGATTAGGAACAAAATACATTCTGACATTTTAAGTCTAACTTACCCGACTGAAAAGAGAGGGTTTATTCTAAACTAGAATATGACCATCTGACTTAAATGATTATCTAATCTTCTGCCAGAGTTTAAAAAACTGTGTAAATTCAAATTGTCATCATGAGATAGGATGAACTCATTTACACAGCATGATATTTGCAAGCTAAAATTTTATTCAATCTTTGTGTCCCAGCTCAATTGTTTTCTCTTTAATAAGACTTGCTTTGATCCCTGTTCATGACTGGATTCATTTTGATATAAGGGGCATAGAACATCAAATTCTCCAAAGAAAAAAAGAAGACATAGAGAGGCAGACAGATGTCACAGAATTACAGAAATAAATGAAAAGCCAGACAGAGAAAGGGTAGGAATCAGGGTATTACTGAAAACAACAGGAAGAGACCATACAATATAACACCAGCATCTGAAATTAACATAAATCGACTGTACTCTACTTTTCTTCATCATTCTGTTTTACTTATTGATTCAGTTAACTGGGATAAATCTCAATTTATTTCCATGCAAAACCACAGGACACTGTCTAGTCAATGACTGATTTGACCATGTGTAAGAAGTAACTACACTGCACCATCCAGCATTGAATGGAGAAAGGAGATTATGAGGGACAGTGGTGCATTCATTGACACATTGTTCATTCATTTGAAACTCTTGAAAGAACAGATTATTTGAAAGAAGAGAAGAAGCAGAGCAGAAATTTCAAGAAAACTCTAAATTATCCCTGCCTAAAAGTTATCTTTCTTTTCTTTTTTCTTTTTGTTTTCTTTTGGTTGTTGTTTCAAAGACAAGGTCTTCCTTTGTTGACCAGGCTGGAGTGTAATAGTGTAATCCTAGCTCACTGCAGTCTCAAACTCCTGGGCTCCAATAATCCTCTCACATCAGCCTCAAGAGTGGTTAGAACTACAGGCATGTGCCACCATGCTCAGCCAATTTTTAATTTTTTATAGAGACGAGGTCTTCTTACATTATCCAGGTTGGTCTTGAACTCCTGGCCTCAAGCAATCTTTCCACTTGGCTTCCCAAACAGCTGAGATTAAAGACATAAGCCATCTTGCCTGGCCATGTTTCTTATCTGAAATGTAGTAGGACTTTATTTATACATACAGCAACTGATACACTTATCAAAGCTTCCCCCATTATAGTAATGAAAGCACATATCTGTCTTTATAAATGTACGTTCCTTGAGGTAAGGTCAATGATGTATCCTTTTAATGTCTTCCCCACTCTCCTTTGGTGACTTCTCATTTTTTAACCAATTGGTGAGTGGTTAAATATGTGACAGAAGACTCAGTCCTTTGCTTTTCTCTAAACACATTCACTCTCAATATGACCCCATATCTCCATGTCTTTAAATATAAAGCTGATGGTGCACATACCTCTTCTGTAAATTCAGCCTAACTATCTTTAAAAACCTTCAAAATTTCAGTTTAGATGTCAAGAAGCATCTCAAAGTTAACATGCCACTAACAGTTGGCTTAGAATCTTTTCTCCCCAATCTGTCTTGTTCTTTGGTATTTTCTGTTTCAGCAACTGATACCATCAGTTGACCCTGTGGCTAAAACCAAAAACCTATGATTCTATCATGACACCTTTCTTTTTCTAATACTGTGGTATAAATCCCAGTATTTAACCTATCAGAAAGTTCTATATTCAAAGTCATATTTTCAATCCAACCATTTTTCTCCACCTGCAATCCTAAATTTAAGCAAGATTGCCTGTTGTCTAGTCCAGTGGTCTTCTGTCTGCCCTCCTGAATTCTACTCTCCCCCTTTTCTGTCAATACCCAGAAAGTTGACAAACTGAGCCTCCAAAAAGTAGAAATCAGATTGGACTATGGACTGCTTTCTAAATATCTCTCAGACTTACCCTGGTTTATTATCTCTATATGATCAGGTTATTTGCCAATTTCTGACATTATCTCACTTTTTAATGTTCATATATCTATTACTTAAATATATTTTACAATATTTAACATATGATTAGGCTTATTTGGATGTAAACATTGAGCTGCATGTAAAAATGCTATTGTTTCACATTTTTAATATTCTCATGAATACATTTACCTCTTGTCATGTTATTAACATTTTGATGAGCTGTGCTTGATCACTGAGCAATTCCCACCTGTTAAAGATAATTTCTGTAGGAGAGAACACAGTCTGCTGTCCAGCAGTTACTTACACTTGTCTTCCCTTCTAAAATGAAATCTTTTGTTGTAGTCATATCTCAGTAACATGTTTCTTTTAATTTTATATATTAGTTCAATTGTTACTTGAAATTGATGGTAGGTAATGACAGAGATGCTAAAATTTTGGTCACAATATATTTCTTAAAATCTTTGGGCACCATCTACATTTATAAAATATTTTTGACATGCGACTTTTCTAAACATAACATTCACAATAGTAATGATGAAAAATCTGATAACCTTCAGGTTATAGTTTGAAAATTAATGGTGCAATGAACAGTTTCTGAGTAAGTATACCAGATTTTAAATAAATGTTGTATATTTATGAGAAGAATTTGGTGTCGGAAAATAAATACAACAGCTGCTTTTTAATGTTATGTAGAAATTATGATTCTAATCTGTTACATTTAATAGCACAATACATTTGAAAGAATGTACTACTAAGTATTCATGTTACTAAGCATTTTTGCACAATAAGCTTCACCAAAATAACTCACACTTTATGTTTTTGAAAATAGATTGGCATTTTTTTAGTGAGTTCCTTTCTTTCTCTAACATGTGCCACTGTCAAATAACCTTGGGCTTGGTTAGAGGAAAGATTTCCACTTTTGTTTCTTAACTCTTCAAGTTAGCCATCCATATCTCTGTACTACAGGTAAAACGTTTTTCCTCTGAGAAGTGACACATCAAGGGTAGACACCAGGGATTAATGCCCCCTTTGCTTAAATACTTTAGTGAGAGAATACAATCACCATTGCTAGAATAAACAGCAAATCTTACTACGTTAAGACTGCATTGTAAATGTTGGCACTATTGACAATAGAACTATCCATGTATAACTTTTGTGGTTATGGTATTAACATACTTTGTTTTACATGGGTAATAAATTTCATTTATTTATTAGGGAATATTGCACATATTCCTTAAAAATTCCAAGATAAATATTCATCACTATTTATAATCTAGGTCCAATAAAAACTTATTGTAAAATGTTATCATTTTAGGAATCTTTTCAGGGCTATTAAAATCAACCAAAGGTATTCAACAAATTGGGAAGTATTACTTATTTAAAATGACTCAACATTGAGTAAGAGCAGGAGCAGTCTGACATGTTATTACCTGGGTGAACTGCTATTTTCTACCCAGATCTATGGCATGGTACTTTAACTAGAACAGGCTGTCTGTAAAAATCAATAGCTTCATAAACAGAGGAATGTAACTTGATTTGAACATCTGATAGTTTAGTTTCCAAAATATATAAGAAACTCAATAGCAAAAAAAAAAATACCCTGATTAAAAATTAGAAAAAGGTGTACATAGACATTTCTCAAAAGAAAACATACAAATGGACAACAGGAATACTAAAGAATGTTCACTATCACTAAGCATCAAAGGAATGCAAATCAAAACCACAACGAGATATAATCTCACACCTGTTAAAACGGCTACTCTCAAAAAGACAAAAGGTAACAAGTATTGGAAAGAATATGGACTAAAGGGAATCTTTGCATACTGTTGGTGAGGATGTAAATTAGTATAGTCATTATGGAAAACAATATGGAGGTCCTTCATATAATAAGAATAGGATGAATGTAAATTCCAGCAATACCACTTGTGGATATATATTAAAAGAACTGAAGTCAGGACCTCAAAGAGTTACCTGCACTCACATGTTTATTGTAGCGTTATTCATAATAGCCAAGGTATGAAATCAATCTAAGTGCCCATCAAGGAATAAATGGATAAAGAAAATGTGAGACACATACACATACACACACACACTGGAATATTATTAGTGTTAAAAAGAAATAAATACTACTATTTGTCACAAGGTGGATGAACTTGAAGAACATTAGGCTAAGTGAAATAAGACAGTCACAGAAAGACAAATATGTTATGATCTCACTTATATGTGGAATCTAAAAAAGTTGAATTTACAAAAGCAGAGAATAGAGTGGTGGTTGCCAGGGGCTGGGAGTGGGAGTATTGCTGAGATGTGAGTCAAAGAGCACAAAGTTTCAGTTAGGCAGGATGAATAAGTTCTGGAGATCTAATGTATAGCAATGGTGACCATAGTTAATAACACTGAATTGTATATTTGAAATTTGCTAACAAATTAGATCTTAAATGTTCCCACAATACACACACACAAAGATACATGTAGAGTGATAGATACATCCATTCACTTGATTGTGTTAACCATTTTACAGTGTATACATAGATCAAAACATAGCATTGTACAGGTATTCCCCATTTTATTGTGCTTTGCTTTATTGCACTTCTCAGATATTGTGTGTTTTACATATTGAAGGTTTGTGACAATTCTGTGTATAACAAGACCATCAGCTCCATTGTTCCAACAGCATGTGCTCACTTCATGTCTCTGTCACATTTTAGTAATTCTCACCATATTTCAAACATTTTTGTTATTATCATATCTGTTACAGTAATCTGTGAGCAGTGATCTTTGATGTTACTATTTAATTGTTTTAAGGCACCACAAACCATGCCATGTAAGGTAGTGAATTAATTAATAAATGTTATATGTGTTCTGACTGCTCCATCACCTGGTTGTGTCTTTATCTGTCTTTCTCTCTTCAATTCTCCCTATTTCCTGAGAAAAATACAATATTAAATTTAAGCCAATTAATAATCCTACAATGGCTCCTAAGTGTTCAAGTGAAAACAAGAGTCACATGTCTCTCACTTTAAATTAAAAGCTAAAAATGATTACACTGAGTGAAGAAAGCATGTGAAGAAAACATGATTAAGCTTGGCGAGGAAGGCTGGGAAGGACAACATTTAGGCATCACATACCAAAGAGTTAGCCAAATTGTGAATAGAAAGAAAATTTTTTGAAGTAAATTAAAAGGGCTCTATCGGTGAACACACTAATAATAAGGAAATAAAATAGTCTTATTACTGATAGTAAAAAATGCTTTAGTGGTCTGGATAAATGATTCTGGAAACCATCCAGAACATTCCATTCAGCCAAGCCTAATCCAGAGCAAGGCACTAAGTTGCTTCAATTCTATGAAGGCTCAGAGAAGTTAGGAAGATGTGGAAGAAAAATGTGAAGCTGGCAAAGGTGGATCAGTGAGGTTCATGGAAAGCAGTTGTATCTACAGCATAAAATCCCAAGATGAAACAGCAAGTGCTGATGTAGAAGCTACAGCAAATTATCTGATGAATTAGTTAAGATAACTGATGGGAGATGAACCAATAGCTAGACTACCAAGAAATGAAGACAGAAGACCCAAATAAACAAAATCAGAAATGAAAAGAAGATATTACAAATGATGCCACAGACATACAAAGGATCATCAGAGACTTTTGTGAACAACTATATGCTGACAAACTGAAAAACCTAGAGGAAATGGGTAAATTTCTGGAAACATACAACCTACCAAGATTGAATCAGAAAGAAATAGAAAACCTGAAGAAGCCAAAAATAAGTAGCAAGGTTGAATCAGTAATAGAAAGTCTTGCAACAAAAACGACCCATGAGCAAGTGGATTCACAGCTGAATTCTACCCAAATGTACAAAGAACTGGTATACCAATCCTCCTGAAACTGTTCCAAAAACTGAATAAAAAGTATTTCTTCCTGTCATGGTTTTTGAGGCCAGTATCATCCTGATACCAAAACTAGACAAGGACACACACAAAAGAAAAATATAGGCCAATATCCCTGATGAACATTAACACAAAAATCAACAAAATACTATCAAATGGAGTCCAACAACACATCAAAAAGATAATACACCATGATCAAGTGGAATTTATACCAAGGATGCAAGAATGGTGCAATATATGCAAATCAACAAATATGATATATCTCATCAACAGAATGAAGGCCAAAAGCCACATAATTATCTCAATAAACACAAAGAAATAATGTAATAAAATTTGACATCCTTTCAAAACAAAAACTCTCAACAAACTTGACACAGAAGGGATATGCCTCAAAATAGTAAAGGTCATATACAACAAACCCACAACCAACATTATACTGAACAGAAAAAGATGAAAACATTCCAGCTAAAAACTGGAACAAGACAAAGATGCAAACTTTCACCTTTCCCATTCATCATAGTACTAAGTCCTAGCCAAAACAATTGGCAAGAGCAATAAATAAAATGCATACAAATTGGAAAAATAGGAAAGGAAGTTCAATTATCTTTATTCACTGATGATATAATTTTGTACCTAGAAAATCCTGAAGTTTCTGCCAAAAGACTCCTGAACCTAATCAACGACTTCAGTAAAGTTTCAGGATTCAAAATCTAGTTACAAAAATCAGTAGCATTTCTGTACATAAATAATATAGCTAAGAAAGAAATCAAGATGACAGTACCATTTACAACAACTACACTAAAGTAAAATACCCAGAAATAAATTTAACCAAGAAAGTGAAAGATCTCCACAAAGAAAACTGCAAAAACGGATGAATGAAATTGAAGATGACACAAATAGAAAAATATCCCATGCTCATAGATAAGAAGTATCAATATAATTAAGATGACCATACTGCCCAAAGCAATCTACAGATTCAATAAAATCCCCATCAAAATACCATAATTTTTCACAGAATTACAAAAAATTCTAAAATTTATATGGAAGCAAAAAGACCCCAATAACCAAAACAATATTAAGAAAAAGATCAAAACTGGCATCACGTTATCTGACTTCATAATATATTACAAAGCTATAGTAATCAACATAGTATGGTATTGGTAAAAAGATGCACAGACCAATTAAAAAGAATAAAGAACCCAGAAATAAAGTCATATATTTACACTCAACTGATCTTGACAAAGCTGACAAAAACTTACATTGGAGAAATAAACCCTTCTTTAATAAACAGTGATGAGAAAATTAGATAGTCACATGGAGAAGAATGAAACTGGACCCCTATCTCTTACCGTACACAAAAATCAATTCAAAATTGATAAACAACTTACATTTAAGACCAAAAACTATAAAACTACTAGAAGAAAAAACCTAGTGCAAACTATCATGGACCTTGGTCTAGGAAAGAATTTATGACCCAGACCCCAAAATCATAGGCAACAAAAACAAAATAGACAAATGGAACTATTTTAAGCCAAAAACCTTCTGCACAGCAAAGGAAACAATCAACAGAGTAAAGTGACAGCCTATTGAATGGAAGAAATATTTGCAAACTATTCATCCAATGGGAGACTAATATCCAGAATGTATGAGGAATTCAAACAACTCAACAGGAAAATATAAATAATCTCATTAAAAATTGGAGACAAGACATGAAATGGTATTTCTCAAAAGAATACATACAAATGGACAGCAGGTATATGAGAAAATTTTCAACATCAATGAAGAAACACAAATCAAAATTATAATGAGATGTGTTATTAATCCAGTCAGAATAACTATTGTAAAAAGGCAAAACAATAACAGATGTTGGTGTGGATGTGGAAAAAGAGAAACGCTTATACACTGTTCACATAAATATAAACTTGTACAGCCACTGTGGAACACAGCATGGAGATTTATCAAAAAACCTAAAGATAAAATTATTGTTCAATCCAGTAATCCCACTATTGGATATCTACCCAAAGGAAAATAAAGCAATATATCAAAGGACACCAGCACTCACATGTTTATTGCTGCACTATTCACAACAGCAAAGATATAGCATCAACCTATATGTTTGTCAATGGATGGATGAATAAAATGTGGTGTATATATACAGTGGAATACTTTTCAGCCATAAAAAAATGAAATCGTCATTTGCAGCAACACGGATGGATCTGGAGATCATTATCGTTAGTAAAATAAACAAGGCACAAAAATACAAATATGGCAAGTACTCACTAGTATGTGGGAACTAAAATCTAGTTGATCACATGGAGGTTAAGAGTGGAGAAATACTTAACAGAGATTGGAAAGGATGAGTGAGAGCTGGGATGATGAAGAGAACTGGCTTAAAGGGTACTAAATGTAGGAGAAAAAGCAAGAGAACTAGATGTGACTGAATTGCTGCAATTTCATGATAAAAGTTGAACGAATGAAGAGTTGTTTCTTATGGATAAGCAAAGAAAGTGGTTTCTTAAGGTGAAATCTGCTCTTGGGGAAGATACTGTGAACATTGTTGAACTGACCACAATGGATTTAGAATACTTGTATGGTAAATATATACAATTTTTATTTATTAATAAAGCTGAGGGGAGAAAAATCATATAATTGAGTCCAGAGACATTGAATAAAGACATTTTCAGATAAGGAAAAAAGAAATAATTTATCACTGGCAGAGCTGTTTACCAGAAATATTAAAGTGGGAACTTTAGGCTGAAAGGAAATATCACCAGGTAATAATACAAGTATATGCAAATACAGAGAAAGCACCAAAAATGCAAATATTTAGGTAAATATAAAAGTCCATATACTTCTTTTAAGTTCTTTATAAATAATAAAATTGTATACAATAATTATTTTAAAAATAAGTTTATAACATATATAGATGTAATGCACAGGCATAACTCATATTGTGCTTTGTTTTGTTGTGTTTTAAAGATATTGTGTTTTGTTTTTTTCACAAGTTGAAAGTTTATGGCAAACTTGTGTAGAACAAGTCTATCAACACCATTTTCCAACAGCATGTGCTTACTTTGTGTGTCTGCACAAAGAGATTTTTTAGCAATAAAATATTTTTCAATTATGATATGTACATTGATTGTTTCAGACATAATGCTTGCATAGTTAATAGAATACATTATAATGTAAAAATAACTTTGATATGCACTAAGAAACAAAAAACTTGGTGTGACATGCTTTATTGTGATAAGAGCTTTATTGCAGTGGTGTCCAACCAAAGCCTCAATATCTCAGAGATATACCTGTGTGTGACAATCATAGCCGAAAGTTGAGGAAGATGAAATGGAGCTATATTGAAGCAAATTCTCCATAGTTTAAGGAATTAAAGCTACTATTATTCTTAAATTGAATGCTATAATTTGAAGTTCATATTGTTGTTCCTAGAGCAATCACTAACAAAATAAATCACAGGGACAAGATGGCCACCTATAAGCCAAGAAGGGAGGCCTCAGAAGAAACCAACCCTCCCTACACCTTCATCTCAGACTTGCAGCCTCTGGAACTGTGACAATAAATTCCCGCTGTTTAAACTACTCAGTCTGTGGTACTTTGTTATGACCACCCTATACACAATACAGTCACCTAATAAGATTCTGTTGTAGCATTATAAATGCATCAGTCAGTTCTGAAATGGTTAAAGAATTATAAGCATCAAAAGAAACAAAGTCCTGAATGATTTCAAATCATAACATGAATAGAAAATCCCCAATTAAAAAAAAGTAAAAGAAAATAAATCAAAAAGTATAGTGGATTTGAATAGCTCTTTCTTCAAAGAAGAATTATATATGGCTAATAATCATATAAAAAATGCCCAACATCACTATCCACTATGAAAATGCACATGAAAACAAGAAACACCACTTCTCAAACACTAGAATGGCTTTAATAAATAGGCAAAAGACAACTTATGCTTATATATTATTTTTCCAAAAATGTCTCAAGTATATGATTCTGTAACTTTTTCTTTTAATGAACACTTCTATACAAACTTAGCTCTCAAACATAAAATCAAAAGGCCAAATCCAATTGAATAAATTCACTGCAATTGCCAGTTCCATCCTTTTGGAAAGTTCTGTAAGTTTAAGTGATTACATGTGAATTCATCAGGTTGAAATTTCAGTTTTTACAACCACTTACTTATATTCAAAGGGCTTCCAATTTGAGTCACCATTATCATTAATAATAGTACTATAGGGATGTGGAGATAATTACCATCAGTCTCCCTTATATGGAAAGTTATTGCTTGTATCTGAGATGGAACATATAAACTTCCCTCTCAATTTGTGCCTTTTTCAGAAGCAGGAAAGAATCAGTAGTCAATGTGCTTTATAGGGTACAGGAATATTATAAGTCTTGGTTTATTCAAAAACTCAGCCGCAAAAATTCAATTCTAGTAAGATAATCAGATCATTTATCTCCATATCTGGCACTTACTGTCTATAAGATAAAATCTTATTCTCCTTTAAATGTTAGTTAACTAGATTTTCATAATTTTTATGTAAATCTGGAAATTATGAAGAAAATACTAGGAGTTGTAGATAATTTTTGAGGAAGGAGAGAGAGGGTTTTCTTGCTGATTATTCCCAAATCTTTTTCAAACATGTACACATGGCAGTCTCAACTAAATTCAGGTAAGTGTTGGGTAGGAACATTATTTATTATTTTATTTTCCTTTCAAAATGCTAGGCTGTGCAGAGATACTTTCATAAACTGAGGAATTGTATGATGATTCATCTCAGAAGATTAAAAATTAATAAACTTGTTCTGAAAGAATCAGTATGAAGGGGCAAATCAGGCTTGTCCAATATTCCTCTAGTGTAGGGATTTGTAACCCTTTTCACACCAAAGACTGGGAAAATCCAGTGAAGCTTACAGGCTTGTTCTCAGTATATGATTTTTACTGAAGTAAAACATACATATCATACAATTTTCCACTTTTAAGGGTATAGTTTAGCAGTGTTAAGATCTCCAAAATGTTTTTATCATGCAGAATTGAAACTCTGTATGGATTAAACAACAAAGTTCCTTTCCCCCTGTTCCCAGCCCCTGGTAACAACTATTATGCTTTCTATATCTACACTGTAAATAGTGTTGCTATGAACATGCATATGCAAAGATCTCTTTGAGAACCTCACTTTTTGGGGGGTAAATACCCAGAAGTGTGATCGCTGATTATCGTATGATATTGGTATTTGTAATTTTTTGAAGGAAGTCAGTATTGTTCTCCATAAAGGTTGCACCATTTTACAATCCAACCAACAATGCACAAGGGTTTCAACTTGTCCATATCCCTGCTAACACATTTGTTACTTTCTGGTTTTGTTTGTTTTTTATGGTTTCTATCCCAATGGATGTGTGGTGATATCTCACAGAAAAATGAATTTCTCTGATGATTAGTGATACTGAGCATCTTTTCATGTTTGCTGGACTTTGCATATCATCTTTGGAGAAATGTTTATTCAAGTTTTTAACCTACTTTTAATTGGGTTACTTGAACTTTTGTTCTTGAATTGTAGGAGTTCTTTATATATGCTAGATATTAACCTCTTATCAGCTATGTGATTTACAAATATTTTCTCCCATTTCATGGGCTCTCTTTTTACTCTGTTCGTGATATCCTTTGACAAATGAAAACTTTTAAGTTTGATGAGGCCTCATTGGCCTATTTTTGCCTTTGTTTCCTGTGTGCTCACTGTAATTTTTATACATTTATAAAATAAAATACTTAGGATTACAAATAAATTTAATTATTTTGAAACATATTAGTCAAACTATAGAGATTATAAAATTCAGTTATGTATGTGATCATACTGACACATCAAATGATGAAGTCTTAAGGCTGGACTAATAAGTAGCAAAATATTGTGGTAGCTTTGATTTTAAATGTGAAGCAGGTTCACTCTGCACTGGTTCCCAACTTGCTTTTGTTTGATGAGATAGAACACCTATACATAATGAGTTATATGAAGTAGATTTATTACTTACAAATATACAGAAAGAGACAATAGAAGCCTAGTATTGCTTGTAAGCCAGACTGCCATGGATCAGGAAAGCTGCCCAGGGTAGACAGAGTCTTATCTGTGCATACCTTAATTGCACCATGGCTAAGAGGCCCTGGAAACCAGCACATAATGGGTTTTATAACCACAGAGTTCCATGGATCACTGGGTTAAAGCATTGAAGGACATTCTGTTTCTAGGGAAGGACTGGGAAAGAGACCAGGCTGTTCCAGATAGTTCTTTCTTATCTCAGGACATTGCATTCACAACACATTCTGCAATCATTCTTGAGAACTCTAAGTGAGAAAATGGGGAGAAACGGGTTGGTCTAAGGTCACCCAGAGAATTATTCTCCAGTCAACATATTTCAGTATATCTGCAGCAAGGTAATGTGATATGAAAATATACAAAATTTTAATTGGCAACAAGATAGGCCAGGCACTCTAATACTACTTTGTATTGTTTGCATATATCTAAGATGTACTAAATTTCAGTTAGATATATTAGTGAACATAAAGATTTAACTTTTTTGTTCCCCTACAAAGTTCATAGGTTGAATCCCATTGTGGGCTGTGGATACAGAACCATTGTTGTAGTGCTTGGGTGCATGGTTCAACAATGGCTATTAAGAAAAGTGAAATACTAATTTTCCCCCACCACATACCCCTATTATACTCTTCGAGGGCCTTCTATCCAATATTGTCCAAAACAAATTCCACACGTAAGGACCTTAAAATCAATATGGTGCAGAAGACAGGCTGCATAGCAGAAGAAACAACTCTGTCAATGTGTTTATTAAAAAGTCCTTTAGGTGTCAAGATTATTTTACTGACAACAATTAATTTTACTGACAACAATTAATATGTAAATTAACCTTACAAATATACACATTTAAAAAAATTTTTAAATCTTTTGCAATATTCTTTTCTTACGGATTTTTATAACAAGAAACATAAAGATTTAAGGCCATTCAATAAAACATGTTTTCACAATAGGCATATATGAGTACTTAGCCTAGCCAATCCCCATATTGGCAATGAAAAAGTAATTCCTTGCAAGAAAGAATATTTGTAAAGGAGATATAACTCACACATATGTCTCATTCCTTGGAAACTGATTCAATCAGAGAGCCAAGAAAAATACTGAATAAAATATAAGTTTTCACACTTTATGAACTAGGGAAAATGGAGTGCATTAAACACAAAACTCCAGGAACTACTTCTATTGAATAAAGCAGTAGGGATTCTTGAGTTGGTCAGTTGCCCTAATGAATAGAGTCTATAATTAAATCAAGACCCTAACAAAATGACTTTTATGATGAAAGAAAATGGCTGACAGGAAATAAAATGTGTGAATGTGTCTTAAAAGCTTATCAAAACAAAAGAACAATATTTTCAAAGGAACTTTGTAAAAATATAATTTACAGAAATAATCAAATTATAAGCAGACATATTAAGAAAGCAATTTAATTGTCCTTGACCTACTTTAGCAATTGAGTCCTTCTTGATATTCCTTCTCTTTTAGGGATTTCTTTTCATTTTATAATTTTTTTCTGAATTAAAATGTAAAGTGACATCAGGCATACCTTATGATTTTTATTTGAAATTTAAAAGGGTTTATAAGGCTAGAGTTAGCATTTTATATATATATATATATAGTATATAAATATATACACATCTGTATGTACATAAAACACACATTATGCAACCACATATATAGATATATAGCATATCTATAATAATGTTTATATTAATTAAAATAGTTGTTTTTTTGGTAATGTTAACTTCTCTGAAATTAACACAGCTTCACAGTAAAAAATAAAGGGGGGTACTGCTAAAGAGTATTTTTAATGTCCTTAAATAAGCAACTTACAATTTCCATAAAATCAGTGAGTAATAGGCAAATTTATTTTGGGATTTATAGTTAAAACCAACACAAAGAAAACAAACTTTAACCAGACATATGAAATCATTCAGACCAGTGTTTATGATGTTACTTGCTGGATGACATTTATTTCATTTACTCTAATTTGTAGTATATTTGCTTCCTATAAGTGCTAATTCCTATGAGTGCTAATATAATAACTATGTATTGTATATTTCACTTTTATAGATCATATTTCAAGTGTGCTGGTAGAGCTTCTCCTTTGATGGAAACATTTGTTATACAGGTAACTTTTATATGCTTATACAGCAAACATTGCATGGGTGAAAGTTTGCTCTTGGGTGTGTGTGAAACGTTTCTTTAAAATGATCACTTACTAGGAAATGTATTTTTTTTCTAAACACAGGCAACTGTTCTAGATTTTGTGTATGGCTTTTTTGATACCCTTATAATTCTCACAACACAATATCCATTCAATAAATGTGTGTGACAATATATTATTTCACTTACATTGCTCAACTATTCCATCAATTTCATCAGTTGAGTATGAAACAAGAAAAAAAGTACACATATATAAAAGATAGATATATCAGTTGATTGGATGGATAGAAGGATAGATACGAAATATATAGATAGGTTGGTAAGTGGGAAGGCAAAAGATAGAATTGTGGATGGGAGAAAGAGAGAGACAGAATGAGAGAGCACAAGAGAAAAGAGAGATGACAACATGGCATTTTAAAACATAGCTTTCTAAAATCAGATCTGTGGATTTGATTGCCTCAATCAGAGTCCTGGATTTATACTTGACTCTGTGGTCATAGAAGAGTCTTTAAAAAAAAAAAATATATATATATATATATGTATGTATGTATTTAAGATTCATTTTTTTTCCAATTTAAAAAACATAATAATTTAAACAGAAATATAAAAATCAACCTAAAATGGCCAGGCACAGTGGCTCACGCCTGTAATCCCAGCACTTTGAGAGGCCGAGGCAGGTGGATCACCTGAGGTCAGTAGTTCAAGACCAGCCTGGCCAAAATGGTGAAACCCCGTCTCTACTAAAAATACAAAAAATTAGCCGGGCATGGTGGCGGGCACCTGTAATCTCAGCTAGTCGGGAGGCTGAGGCAGGAGAATTGCTTGAACCCGGGAGGTGGAGATTGCAGTGAGCCAACATCACGCCATTGCACTCCAGCTGTGGTGACAGAGCAAGACTCTGTCCAAACAAACAAACAAACAAATACAAACCTAAAATGTGTATAAATGCCTTTAAAAAGTTCTTATAAAAAGGGCTTACTTTTAAGTGAAATTCTTGCAATTACTTCAATATCTTTTTTCTTTTATTTCTTTTATTTTTTTCTTTTTTGAGACAAGATTTCACTCAATCTCTAAGGCTGGAGTGCAGTGGCACAAACTTGGCTCACTGCAACCTCCACCTCCTGGGTTCAAGCGATTCTCCTGCCTCAGCCTCCCAAGTGACTGGGACTACAGGTGCACATCGCCATGCCTGGCTAATTTCCATATGTTTTACAACTTAAAATAACACCCACTACAAAGAGTAAGAAACAAATGTTTTCAGAAAAATGGGGAGAGTATAGTTATACTTTTTGAGGCATTCCTAATGTTATTAGCATGTTTTCTTTCTACATTAATCCAAAGAGCACAATTTCCTGAAAATACAGTGCAAAGAGGTATATTGTGAAGAATGAGAGTAGAAATGCATAGTCTTGACCAGTGAAACTGACTTTGGGGAAAAAGAAGTATTTTAGGGAAGGGAATAATTCCACAGGTGGTGCACATTGGAGATTGTTTATGCACTTATGTTTTCAAGTTTCATAATAAACCAGAGAAGTAAGCAGAAATTGTAACAAGAGAATATATATTTCTAGATGATGAATCTTGTAAAATTAACTTCTTTCAGAGATAAATATATGAAAATTTTCAAACATGGGCCTTCTCAGTGGAAAAAAACTATAAAAAAGGAAAAGTTAAAATTATTATGTCTAGACATGATATACACAATATTTCAGAGACAGTTTTAGAAATTTCTTGTCAATATTAATGAATAAAGGAAGATTGCTGCAAGAGATTTTCATTTACATAAACTCCACTTTCCCTGTGGAGGGATTACATCTTGAGGAACATTGCCACCTTTTTGCTGTGCCTGTTCATCATGTTGGTGAATGGCATCCATTTCTTAACTCTTCTCGATTAGGTAGAAGTAATTTACTATAAGTTGCAAGCGTTAACTGAATCATTCATGTTCTTGTTTTATTGTTCTACCCTGTTTAACAACAAGTCTAGCTAAATACATGAAGCTTGAAAATGTGCACTTTCCTAGGTGTGATATCCTGGTATTGAGACTGGTATTGTAAGCATTGCTGGAGATGGAGAGTTTGCAAGGACTTTGGCCACAGATTTTAAATGTTCTTTACCAAATCCACTTTCAGTGTCAATGCTTATATTGTAGTTCCATCTGAACGTATCTACTTTTTTCTTAGATTGGCACAGACCCAGGATGTAAAGAAAAACACACTATTTTTACCTCTCCTTATAAAATAACATCAGAAAATTATAATCACTACTTTTTTTTTTTTTTTTGAGATGAAGTCTTTCTCTGTTGCCCAGGCTGGAGTTCAGTGGCACAATCTCGACTCACTGCAACTGCAACCTCTGCCTCCCTGGTTCAAGCAATTCTCCTGCCTCAGACTCCCAAGTGGCTGGGATTACAGGCGTGCACCACCATGCATGTCTAATTTTTGTATTTTTAGTAGAGGCGGGGTTTCACCGTGTTAGCCAGAATGGTCTCCATCTCCTGACCTCGTGATCCACCTGCCTCGGCCTCCCAAAGTGCTGGGATTACAGGCGTAAGCCACCACACCCAGTCATAATTACATTTTAAAAAATATAATACCTATGAATTATGTAAGATAGGTAGAACACAGAATTACTGTCATGAAAATTAAAATGTATTAAACATTATTTTAGATTAAGATAGAGGCTATATAAAATTGAAGGAGTAATAACTTAAAAATCTTTGAACTATTTTTGCTATAGAAGATAGGGAACATATAAACACAAATGAAATAAGTAATGATATAATGGAAAGTTAATGATAACTTATTATAGGATTAATAGATAATCTTGGTTGATTTTAGAAAATAAACACCAATTCTCCACTAACTAAAATAAAAATACTTATGAACTAGGAAAAAGGCAAAAACTCTCATGAATGCACGTAGAAAGGTAGATGCATATTCAAAGAAAAATAAAAGCAAAGCAGTGCAAAACAAAAACAACAGCAATTTCTATACCTTGATGACACTGGCAAATTTGAATCAAAGAAAAGCATAGAGAAATAAAAGTCAGATTAATGTAAGACGTCTTTGTTATAGAAATAAATTTCAAAAAACAGTTGGGCAACATTTCTAAACTTTGAGGGCAAAATGTTTTGCCCCAATACTGGAATATTGAGATAAGTTTTCTTTCATATCTTTATATGATCTTGGACAATTTCGGATATCCAGCATCTCAGGGGATCTGAGATGATTTAGGAATAGGAATATTGACTCAGGTTAGGTACCTTGCAAGGAAAGCCTAAGAGAGGAATTCTTGTAAAGGCAATTCTTAAGGTAGCATTCTTAGAAGCGGAATAGAGAAATTGACTGGCTAGACAATGAAGAAAGAATGAGATCTTAATTAGAGACAAGAAGTGGCCCAGTTTCATAGGGCAATTGGAGCATGAGTGGCACCATAATGTTGGAGCTTCTTTGAGGGCACACCACCAGCCTTTGTACCTCTGTGCCAGTCAGAGGGACACTGGATGACTGGCTGCCCTGGGAGCCAAAACTTCCCAGATGAAACACCTCTTATTTAAGTGAGGGCAATAACCTAATAGAGACAACTGTGTGCCACTAGCAGCCAGCAATCAAAGCAAGCAGAGAATGGGCACGACAGCTCAGTGAAGCGGCTCTGACTGGGGTCCAAGACATCCTTACATTTCCTCCCCTACAATGCTTAGTTTAACTTGTTTATTAATAACATTACTGTTCACAATTTCTGTGAAATGTAGTAAAAGGAACATTAATGTGAGGATCTGGAGTCTCTGCTGCTTTAGTTGCTACCAAGGCTATAACAAATATCTATCATCCCTCTTATTCTCTTTGATTCTAGATTCCAATTTCATGCACCAAACACTTCTGCTGAGCTCACTTCTGAGCAACTAAATAGTGGCTTCCCTAGTAGATTAAAACTGAACCTTATCCATGAAATGTCTGGGTTCTTGATAACCAAGCTTATCTAAGGCTCCGTGTGCTAACGGCATTACAGTTAAGTGTGTCATATGGCAGGGGCAGGGGACCAAGATGGCCAACTAGAAATAGCGGCAATCAGAGGCTCCCATCGAAAAGAGCCAAAACAAGTATGTGAATCTTTCACCAGCAACCAAGGTATCCAGCTTCTCTCATCAGAACTGACTAGGAAGCTGGCATGCTCCACAGAGAGAAAGGAGGTGCAGTGTGGTGTAGCAGCCCACCTGAGAGCCACACGAGCAGGGGAGCCTCCACCACCCAGCCAAGGGAGGTGGTGAGTGAGCATGCTACCCAGGCTGGGAAACCGTGCTTTTACCACAGAAATGTGCAACACATGAAGTGGAAGATCCCACTCACAAACCCATGCCACGGAGCCATGCAGATTATCAACAGCCTCTCAGCTGGAATAGGCTTAAGCCTACCAATCTCCCAGGGGGAGGGGCGACCAGCACCACAGCTGCAGCTGCCTGCTGTCTCAGCCATCTGAGCTTCTTGGGGAAGGGGCAGCATTCAGCACTGGGACTCACAACTTCCTAACACACTAAGGTCCCTGGGCAGGAGAAGGGTGGCATTCATCTCTATAGCTCCAGGCTGTGCTTTTCCCCTGCTGGAGCCAGGGAGGCTGGACGGCTTGGTCCCAAGATGTGTCCCCCACAGCCCAACACACCAGCTGTGGAAGACTGCAGCCAGAGTGCCTCTTCAGGCCTGACCCCGACTCATTATTCCTCACTGGGCGGGGCTTCCATGCAAGAACTCCCGTAACTCCAGCCAGAGGCTCAGGGACAGAACCTGAATCTCTCTGGGCCTGATCCCCTAGGGGGATGGGTGGCCACAGACTCTGTGGACCAGGAGACTTATCCTTTCCTCCTGGTAGTTCTGAGGAATATGGGCAGCCTAGTTGAGTGGGTTTCCCCCCAGCAAAGCACACCCCCTCCACCAAGGGACAGTCAAGGTACTTTGTTAAACATGTCCTGTTTCCCGTTTCACCCAACTGGGTAAGACCCTCTGACAGGGGTTGTCAGACATCCTATACAGGAGCGATCCTACTGGCATCAGGTTGGTGCCTGCCCCTCAAGGTCAGAGATCCCAGAAGAAGGAGCAGGCATTCATCTTTGCTGTTCTCCAGCCTCCTTGAGTGACATCTCCAGGAGTGGGAGTGAACCAAGTGAATAGAACCTGAAGTGAACCCCCAGCAAACCCCAGCGGCCCTGCAGAAGAGAGACATGACCATTGAAAGAAAAACAACAAACAGAAAGCAACAATAACAGCATTGACAACAAGATAAAAGCCCCCCCCCAAAAAACCCCATCAAAGGGTTGGCAGCCACAAAGATCAAAACTAGACAAACTCACGAAGATGAGAAAGAATCAACAAAAAACAGCTGAAAACCCAAAAGGCAAGAGTGCCTCTTCTCCTCCAAATGATCACAGTGTCTCTCCAGCAAGGTCACAGAATTGGATGGAGGATGAGATAGACGAATGGACAGAAGTAGGTTTCACAAGATGGGTAATAAAAAACTACCCTGAGCTAAAGGAGCATGTGCTAACCCAATGCAAGGAAGCTAAGAACTTTGACAAAAGGTTAGAGGAGCTGCTAACTAGAATAACTAGTTTAGAGAGGAACATAAATGACCTGATGGTGATGAAACACACAGCATGAGAACTTCATGAAGCATATACAAATATCAATAGCCAAATTGACCAAGCGGAAGAAAGGATGTAAGAGTTTGAAGAACACTTTGCTGATATAAGACATGCAGACAAGATTAGAGAAAAAGAATAAAAATGAATTAACAAAGCCTCCAAGAAATATGGGACTTCATAAAAAGACTGAACCTACGATTGATTGGAGTACCTGAAGGAGACGGGGAGAATTGAAACAAGCTGGAAAACACACTTCAGGATATTATCCAGGAAAACTTCCCCAACCTAGCAAGGCAGGCCAACATGCAAATTCAGGAAATACAGAGAACACCGCTAAGATACTCCATGAGAAGATCAACCCCAAGACACGTTATCACCAGATTCTCCAAGGTTGAAATGAAGGAAAAAATGTTAAGGGCAGCCAGAGAGAAAAGCCAGGTCATCTACAAAGAAAAGCCCATCAGACTAACATTGGACCTCTCAGCAGGAACTCTACAAGCCAGAAGAGATTGGGGGCCAATATTGAACATTCTTAAAGAAAAGAATTTTCAACCCATAATTGCATATCCAGCCAAACTAAGCTTCATAAGCAAGGGAGAAAGAAAATCCTTTTCAGACAAGAAAAAGCTGAGGGATTTCATTACCACAAGGCCTGCCTTGGAAGAGCTCCTGAAAGAAGTCCTAAATATGGAAAGGAAAAACCAGTACCAGCCACTGCAAAAACACACCAAAATATAAAGACCAATGACATTATGAAGAAACTGCATCAACTAGTGTGCAAAATAACTAGATAGCATAATGATGACAGGATCAAATTCACACATAACAATACTAACCTTAAATTCAAATGGGCTAAATGCCCCTATTAAAACACACAGACTGTCAAATTGGATAGAGTCAAGGCCATTGGTGTGTTGTATTCAGGAGACCCATTTCATGTGCAAAGACACACATAGGCTCAGAATAAAGGGATAGAGGAAAATTTACCAAGCAACACAAACAAACAAACAAACAAAAACAGCGGGGGTTGCAATTCTAGTTGCTGTCAAAACAGACTTTAAACCAACAAAGATCAAAAAAGACAAAGAAGGGCATTATGGTAAAGGGAACAATTCAACAAGAAGAGCTAACTATTTTAAATATATATGCACCCAATACAGGAGCACCCAGATTCATGAAACAAGTTCTTAGGGACATACAAAGAGACTTAAACTCCCACAATAATAGTGGGAGACTTTAACACCCCACTGTCAATGTTAGACAGATCAACGAGTCAGAAAATTAACAAGGATATTCAGGACTTGAACTCAGCTATATAGACATCTACAGAACACTCCACCCCAAAATCTACAGAACTCTCCACCCCAAATCAACAGAATATACGTTCTTCTCTGTGCCACATGGCAATTAATTTAAAATCAGCCACATAATTGGAAATAAAACACTCCTTAGGAAATGCAAAAGAACGGAAATCATAACAGTCTCTCAGACCACAATGCAATCTAATTAGAACTCAGGATTAAGATGCTCACTCAAAACCACACAATTAGATGGAAATTGAACAACCTGCTCCTGAATGACTACTGCGTAAATAATGAAATTAAGGCAGATATCAAAAAGTTATTTGAAACTAATGAGAACAAAGAGACAACATGCCAGAATCTCCCGGGACACAGTTAAAACCATATTAGTTGAAAATTTGTAGCACTACATGTCCACATCAGAAAGCCAGAAAGATCTCAGATCGACACCCTAACATCACAATTAAAAGAGGTAGAGAAGCAAGAGAAAACTAATCCAAAAGCTAGCAGAAGGCAAGAAATAACTAAGATCAGAGCAAAGTTGAAGGAGATAGAGACATGAAAAACCCTCCAAAAATTCAATGAATCCAGGATTTGTTTTTTTGAAAAAATTAACAAAGTAGATAGACCACTAGCTAGACTAATAAAGAAGAAAAGAGAGAAGATTCAAGTAGACACAATAAAAAATGATAAAGGGGATATCACCACTGACCCCATAGAAATACAAACTACTACTATATAGATAATATTATAAACACCTCTATGCAAGTAAACTAGAAAATCTGAAAGAAGTGGAAAAATTCCTGGACACCTACACCCTTCCCAGACTAAACCAGGAAGAAGTCGAATCCCTGAATAGACCAATAACAAGATCTGAAATTGAGGCAGTAATTAATAGCCTACCAACCAAAAAAAGCCCGGGCCAGACAAATTCACAACCAAATTCTACCAGAGGTACAAAGAAGAGCTGGTACCATTCCTTCTGAAACTATTCCAAACAATTGAAAAGGACAGACTCCTCCCTAACTCATTTTATGAAGCCAGCATCATCCTGTTACCAAAACCTGGCAGATAACACACACACAAAAATAAAACTTCAGGCCAATATTCCTGATTAACATCGATGCAAACATTTTCAATAAAATGCTGACAAACCGAACCCAGCAGCACATCAAAAAACTCACCCATGACAATCAAGTAAGCTTCATCCCTGGGATGCAAGGCTGGTTCAACATACACAAATCAATAAACACAATCTATCACATAAACAGAACCAAAGACAAAAACCATATGATTATCTCAATAAATGCAGAAAAGGCCTTTGATAAAATTCAACATCGCTTCATGTTAAAAACTCTCAATAAACTAGGTATTGATGAAGCATATCTCAAAATAATAAGAGACATTTATGACAAACCCACAGGCAATTTCATATTGAATGGGAAAAAGCTGGTAGCATTCCCTTTGAAAACCAGTACAAGACAAGGATGCCCTCTCTCACTACTCCTATTCAACATAGTGTTATAAGTTCTGGCCAGGGCAATAAGGCAAGAGAAAGAAAGAAAGTGTATTCAGATGGGAAGAGAGTAAGTCAAATCGTCTCTGTTTGCAGACAACGTGATTTTATCTTTAGAATACCCTATCATCTCAGCCTAAAACCTCCTTAAACTGATAAGCAACTTCAGAAAGTCTCAGGATACAAAATCAATGTGCAAAAATCACAAGCATTCTTTTACACCAACAACAGACAAGCAGAGAGCCAAATCATGAATGAACTTTCATTCACAATCGCTATGAACAGAATAAAATACCTAGGAGTACAGCTTACAAGGGATGTGAAGGACCTCTTCAAGGAGAACTACAAACCACTGCTCAACGAAATAAGAGAGGACACAAACAAATGGAAAAACTTTCTGTCCTTATGGATAGTAATAATCAATATCGTGAAAATGGCCATACTGCCCAAAGTCATTTATAGATTCAATGCTATTCCCTTCAAACTACCACTGACATTCTTCACAGAATTAGAAAAAACTACTTTAAATTTCATATGGAATTAATTGCTTGTTGATAGAACAAGGGGATACCAATGTTAAAATTGTTTTCAAAAGAGATTTTACTTAGCACTTCTACAAAGAGTATATATGAGTCTGTTTAAATTCAAAGTAATAAATTGGTATTATTATATTTCCTAGATGTTTCCAATCAAGTAAGTGTGAAATAGTATCACATTGTGGCTTAATTTACATTTTCCTGATTACTAATGAGGTTGAGCATCTGTTCATATGTTTACTCAACATGCGTTTTCTTTTTTTTGCTGCTATATCTTTTCCCCATTTTTCTCTTGCCTTGCTTGTGTTTTTCATATTGGTTTATAGAAGTTCCTTATATACTGTAAACATTAACTTTTTGGCAATTATGGAAAATCTTTTTAAAGTTTAGTCTTGTTTTACTTTCTTTTCATAAAATGAATTCTTAGTTTCCATGTGGTAAACTTTGTTATTCTTTTATTTTATGGTTAACAGAATTTGTGTTTATTTAAGAAATTCTTGTTTAATAAATTTACTCAGATCCCAACATCAGAAAAATACCTAATACACTCTTTGAAAATATTTAGAGATCTGTTTTTTACTTCTAATTGTTTGATTCTCAAGTGATGGATTTGTGGTTACTAAGGTTGTTCTTACATCCCATTGTGCATCTGTATCACTTAGATGGTTCATTATAACATGAATTGTTGTCCCACCTAACAGAGTTTGTGATTCAGCCATTCTGTGGTTGGGCCCAAGATTATAGATTCAAACATGTTCTCAGTTTATATTGATGCTCTGGACTAGGCGCCATGCTTTGAAAATCAATTGTGCACACTCTGAGGCTGGAAAACCAATTTAACTTATATTCTCTAAGGATAGTCAATGTAATTTATTTTCTGTAAGGATAATTTATTTTCTATAATTGTTTTAGAATGTCTACTAAAGTAAGTCTATAAAGTTTATAATTTCCCCAGTGACCTAAAATGCCAAATGTCATACATAATTTTTATTTCTTTGTGGTTTTATAGCTCTTTTATTCCATTGATCAATTTGTTTATTTCTGTTTAATAGCACATTAACTTATTTGTATGGCTTTATAGAATAGCAAGTTAACCAATGTATTCTTACTTAGTAAGATTTGGGGTATTCTTGGCACTTAATTCTTGTATACATTTCATAATCAATATGAACATGTCACAAGAAATCCTATGGGTTTTTTGTTGAAATTGCACTGAATAATACAACAATTTTCTGAAATTAGATGGCCTTTTTGTATTTTTTCCTCTGTACATATAATGTAATTTAATTATTTCTCTTAGAATTTTCTTCAGGTAGTACTGAACATCTTTTTAAATTTTAATTTGTCACTAAGTTAAATTTGTATATCTATGTCTATCTTTCTATCTAAACTTATAAATAAGCAGAATCTATAGCTATGTCACTGCTTTTTTCAGTTTTTATTGTGAAATATGTGTATGTTCATAGGCAGATGCACAAATAAGGTAGTGAGATCTGGTGCAGCCTTAACTTCATGTCCTCTTATGGTAACATGTAATTATAGTACCATATGAAATTTATAAAATTAGTCTTTGTACAATCCAGAGAATTTACTCTGATATTTTAAGGTTAACATACACTCATTTGTGTAGTTTATATGTATTTGTGGTTTTCTCATATGTGTAGATTACTGTAATGACCACTCAATCAAGATAAAAAAAAAAACTGTTTCATCACCACAAAACTTCTTTGTGCTATCTCTTTATAACCAAACCCATGCCCTTGTGCACTCTCCCCTAAGCCATATCAACCACTATTCTATTCTCTATCTCCACACAATTTTATCATTTTGACAATGTTATATAAATAGAATCATATATAATTTGTTTCTGATATTGAGATTTTACTTAGCATAATTCTGTTGAGATGAATCTATTTTGATTCATCTATGGAGATTTTGAATGTACCTCTTTGGAGAGTTTTTAGAGGTTGTTCTAGGAATCACATTATGAAACTTAATGTGTTAATGTTGCTGGACTTCACAACAAAGCATTTGTAGTCTTGATGCAATTTATTGAACACATAATCACAGCGTCTAAAGGAAACCACACATGATAAACTCTGCTATGCATGTATCTGCCACATCAAATCTGGAAAAGGCATGAAGCTACAGAGATGTCAATGTCTCTTGAAGACATGACACCTTGGTCAGTGTGTCAAAGGTCAACTCACGTACAGTTACTTGAGGTGGCTTTCTTTCCATTATTTTTACCTTAAACAGGACAGTTAATTGCTTTTTCCCCCTTCCCTACAGTTTGTTTCAATCCCCAGGCAAGGCCTTGAAGTAAGTGCTGTGTAGTCATCCTTGCCACATGGCATGGTTGCATGGGTAGATGTTCAAAGACAGCCCACAGTGAAAGCCTTTCAAGGGGGAATTTACCAATATCCTAGAGCTCACCACAGCAAAAAGGAAACAAAATCTTCTAATTTAATTATTTTTTTTTAGAGTATACCAAACATGGGGGAAAGTATACACTCAAGCACAAAGTAGGTAACAGGTTTTCCAGAGAAGCTGGTGAGCAGGTGAGACCCAATTATTCCGTGAGCTGTTCTTAATTTTGGTTTTGCTACCATGCATCACATGCTTATTATCTGCTAAGAGCTTGATACCCAAGTCTTTCTAACAAAATTACAAAGTAGATGTTATTTTTTCCCATTTTACAGATGATTAACTGAGGCTCAGAGAAAGGAAGTAAATTTGCTCATAACGGCAGAACCAATAGGGGAGGAGTCGAGATTCACAGTGGGTCTGGTCTCTTTTCAGGCACTTGTTAACAGTCACTCCACAATCCTGTGGGCTGCTGACCATCCCTCTTCCCATGCCTTGCATCTGTTTGCTGTTTAATAGTCTATAGATCTCTCAGCCTGTGAAATCTCATTTGTACATCCCTCCTATCATCCTCCAAATCAATTTAAAAATCTACAATATCCAAGGTGGCTCACATTTTAGTCCAAGCATAACTTTGCAGCCCAACTTCCTTCAATCACTACTTATATATCCTTTACTCTCAGTTTTCCAGAACACCCTTGACTAATTTTTTAAAAATAATTTCAACTTTTATTTTATATACAGGGGGTACATGTACAGGTTTGTTACACGAGTACACTGAGTAATGCATCCATGCTGGCCCCTTTGCACGAGGATTCACACTGAAAGTAGAGTTCCGGGAGGAGGAGGAGACAAAGAGCACGTTACTTCCTGGAATGTAAACTGTACCAGTAGGTTTATAATGGCTTTTGGGGAAAACCTCAGCAAAATGTAGGCAGTGATTATACAGTAAACCACCATATCAGAAATGTGAAATTGAGAAAAAATATACATCTTAGAAAAGAGGAAGTAAGATATACTCTATTTGACTGGTGACGTCCTGGTAAAACGATGCATCTTGCATGAATGAAGAACTGCATTTTCAGGTATAACACTCATATGATAACCAAGGAAACCAGTGCTTGGAGATTTCAGCCCAACATCTTCATCTCTTTGCCATGAGTAAAATATTTTGAAGGCATTCTTAGTCATCTTTGATGATATGCAATCACATATAAGGAATATAGCCTCCTTGGCTTTTTGGCATTTTAAATGTAAGTTTCCATGTCTTAATTACTGAATTATTAAAAACCGAAACTTACTTCAGCGTGGAGTATGAGTAAAGTGGTAAGAATAGGTTAGCAGTTCTACTATTTTAGTGATATGAAGGAGAAACATAAAAATAAATCAAACTGATTTCAGTACTCTTTTAAAAATATTGTTTTTAAAAAGTTTGTCCTTACAAGTTTTTAGGTACATTTTGGCTTTTGTTTTCCTAAATATAAGTAAACATAATTATACATGTAGTTGATTGGTAATGAACAGTTTTTTGTTAATGAAGAAAAACAATATCACATGTACCTCAGCTCTCAATTCCTAGTTCTTTCTAATTGTTATTAGAGTATTCTAACTTCTAATATCTTTAAGATGGAAAGTCTTATGTATCTAATTCATTTTAATTTTATTTAGTTTACTGAATAAGTTGTAATTTTTCTCAATTTTATATTACAGTTGTACAACTGTTACAATAATAATCTATACCATTTAATGACTCCTAATATATGTGCACAACTTTATATCCAGTTAGAATCTGTCTTATAAGTTACCATTGAGTTTTATTGCAATTCTGAAACTTTGTAATATTTTACAGAATTTCAGAGGTGTGGAGGCTAAGTTACCAAGTAAGTAAATAGCAGAGCTAGCCTCTGAACTTATTCTGTGAAAATTGCTGAGCTATTGTTATTCTAAGGAATATTTTGTTACAAAATTTATTTATAGTTATTTACAAAATTTATTTATAAAGTTATTTATAGATAAAGGTTACAAAAATTATTTATAGAGAAAAGACCCAAATAAGGGGGTAATTTGGGACTGAGATTCAGCCCACACGCTGCATATCTATGTGCTATGGCTCCCAGCAGGTTACTTCTGCTCATATAGGTGACCTTTCTGATTTGTAATCAAACAGCTTAGGAATGGGCTAGTGGCAGCCCACTGCAATATACATGTTATTACTGGTGATCTTCTTATGCTGCTCTACGTAAAGAAAACTCTAAGCAGCTGCCCTGTATTATTAAGTGTAATCTACTACCCCCACTCCTATTAATGAAAATTGAGAATCTTTGAATAAAAAAAATCCAGCCTTGACAAATGGTCATGTTGAAGGAATTAAAATAGCAACCTTTTAAATGCTTGTGAGTCCTTTAATTAATGTGAAGCATGGTGAAGGCAAATATTCAAAGATGATTGTGGAGATAGGATTTACACCTAAAGAATCATGTAGTAGCTACATTGAGGCATGGATCCCATTTTCATTTAAATTTATTTTATTCATTGAAAACCTAAATTCAGAAATGATAGCTAGAGAAAATATGTAGGTCATTACAAATCTTAATTCATTTTCTTAAATTATTTTTGCCTGCATTTTTTTACTTCTCTTGGATTAATGCCACATACTGAATGCTTATATATTTATTTTTCCTCTTGAGTAAGCACATGAATATGAGTAAATCAGTTTTCCATAGGGTGTTGTGAACCTTATTCCCATTAATAATAACTATATCTATTAAGTGCTTTAAAAAATACGTTGATTTTTGTAATCTCAAATGAGATTTATTTATTTTTTTGGAAAACAAGACAAAATATTCTTATTTATAATATCTTGTGCTAAGTAAGAAACCAACATACCATTTTTTAAACCACATAGCATAACAAATGCTCTGGTCATTTTGCTACGCTGATAAGAAAATTGGTTTGGCTCAGTTAAAATGGGGAAAAAGCTGAAAGCCACTGATGTATGTCAATGTGCTTAAAGTGGCTGGACATTTTGACCATAAAACATTGATTTGCACAGACTTACTGAAACCACCTTTGCAAAAATTATAACAGTGAGAAAATTATAACAGTGAAACAGATCTGTTCTAACCAACTCCAACTTGCCTTAACCTCCAAACTGCCCTTGGTCATTCCTGTGTGTAGGTCAAACTAACTTTGGGAGATATTTAGTTTACAGTTTAGATGATAATAACCCTTTCCAAAACTAAATCATTTTTGTAAAACTAATTATGAAAGACCACCAGGTTAGGAAGATGAGAGGGTCCTGAAATCCGCTAAGAGTATAGTTGAATGATTAGCAGCCATTATTCTGGAGGTCACAAAATTTGTAACTCCTCCAATTGTTCCTGCAAATAACATCACTATTATACAATCTAAGATTGCCCTTTTGAGATGCCTTTTCAGGCTTTTGCATTTCTGATGACCAAATTGCTCCACCTGGACCAGTGACTCCTCTGTGGCCTGCACACACAGGCCAACTCAGCGAATCAGGACCATGTTGCACAGACCTGTGATTGTATCCCCAACCAATCAGCAGCTCCCATTCCCTAGCCCCGTGTCCACCAAAGTACCCTTGAAAAATTGTAGCCTCCAAATTTTGAGGGAGGCTTAATTGTGTAAAAACAAAACTCTGGTCTCCCATTTAGCTGGCTCTACCTGTATTAAACTCTTTCTCTATTGCAATTCCCCTGTCTTTATAAATTGGCTGTATCTGAACAGTGGGCAAGATGAACCCTTTGGGTGGTTTAATTGTTAGTGATGGCTCATTCATAAATATTTTTTAGATATTGTTCTGAATATAAAAGACCAAAATTAAATGATATGATTAGTAATATTGAAAGGCACAATATCAAAGAGAAAATGTGTACTTTTAGTGTAGTGATCATCGGATCAATCATTTGAATCAGATATTCTCCAAAAAATGGTTCTGATCAAAAGAGATCAAAGGCGAAGCCATTCTTGGAATAACTTTACTGATCTGGAAAAGACTTTTCAAGATAATTTGCTCTAACCCAATCATTTCATCAACACTGATGTAGAACTCAGGCTCAGATAAAGCAATAGATGCTTAGGATTAAAAGGCAAAGATGATCACTGTAAAATCTCAGGGGATTTTCCATGGCATGTGCTTTCCCTAAGACATCAATGAGACCCTAATGATAAGTTCATTGATGATGAACTTACTTAAAATCATGCCAAAGAGAATTTATTAGAACTGGAGTTAAACTGTATATTCACTTATATTATTTGAACAAGGAAAAATTAAGTTTGTAAAACATCCTCCACATTACAATTATTAAAACAAGTCTTTTATTTTACTTAAGTAGCCAATAAAAGTGGCCAAAATATAAATTAGACCAAAATGGAATTTCTTCTTCAATTAATTGATAGGAAGTCACCTTTTTAGCCTTATGACTATTCATGCTTATTTTATTTTGTCAGTGTGACTTTAGTTTGATCTCAAAGCCATGGACTCTGTTCAAAATATCCATAATGAGCTGTATCCATTTTTACAAAAGAAGTATAAATTGGCAGAGAATAAGCTGTTAAAGCTATCTGAAATTTACACATAAAGCCAACCTCATGTTTTCTTTTCTGCCTCTCTGTAGGCTTCTGTATAAGGATGAAGGGACCACCTATGATTTTTAAATATACTTTTCTTGCAGTAAAAACATTGTTAATGTTCATGACGGTTAATTACTCTTGTGGGAAATATGTTTACTGATAATTTACAAATATTTACACATTAATATGTTTTCCACATCATTACACAAATGGTGAATTTAAAAAGTCCAATGGGGCTGTGCTTCATCACACCATGGTGACCTCATGGTGGTCACACTAATTATATAACAGGTCAGGACTCTGAAGTTCAGTGACCAAAGAAAAGCAGATGGAAGTGGAATGTTTTAACCGCAGAAATCACAAAATACCAATTCTGTTATACTCTGTTGATCAGGGCATGTGTAAGCCCTCCCAGATTCAAGTGGTCAGGAAACAGACCCCACCTTTTAACAAGAACCCACCTTTTAATTGCTTGCAAGTAATTTAAAAACTGTTTTAAAACT
The DNA here is from genome assembly GCF_000001405.40 of Homo sapiens. Lineage (NCBI taxonomy): Eukaryota > Metazoa > Chordata > Mammalia > Primates > Hominidae > Homo > Homo sapiens. Next base: position 22,080,036 of record NC_000021.9, on the reverse strand, counting down.
GCCCTGAGAAGGTGGTTATTTACCTACAAATTTCCACCCAAAAACTAATTTCTTCTAAAACTTCAAAAATACATCCGGTTATTGAAAGCTCAAATTTCCGAGTCTATTGCTTAACAAAAAACAAGTGCATATCAGAGAGCAGGAAGGAATTGTGTCAAAAACTGGAGGTAAAATCAAGCAGATTTTGTGGGCCTAAGGAGTAGGGAATAGTTCAATGTAAAAGTGGAACCGATTCTGACAAATGAAGTTGTATCATTCAGTGACAAGATCATGAAGCTTTTTGTGTGCCATAGTACTTTTTATGGCTTCTCTTTACTTGTATTTTTCTTATTTTGGATGTCATATAATTTCTTCAATTTATTTATTTATTTATTTATTTTTTTTTTTTGAGACAGAGTCTTGCTCTGTTGCCAGGCTGGAGTGCAGTGGCACAATATCCACTTGCTGCAACCTCCGCCTTCCAGGTCAAGCGATTCTCCTGCTTCAGCCTCCCAAGTAGCTGGGCCTATAGGCACTCCCACCACTCCCAGCTAATTTTTGTATTTTTAATAGAGATAGGTTTTCACCATGTTTGCCAGGATGGTATCCATCTCTTGACCTCGTGATCTGCCCGCCTCGGCCTCCCAAAGTGCTGGGATTACAAGCATGTGCCACCACACCCCGCCAATTTCCTCAAATTTTAAAGGTGTCAGTGGAGAAAAGTATATGTCTATGATTCCAAATATTCCTGCCAAATAATTGCCAGGAATTATCTTTCTTGGTAATTTACTACTGGGTTACCTGACTTTAAAATGAATCTAGTTATGCACAGTTTGTGACTATCATCTATCACAGCATTACTTTTTCCAGGTTCTCTTTTGTATTATTTCTATTTGCATCAAAAATAACTTTGTTTTAAAAGATATTTATTATGTGATCATAGTCATGTCTTCATTTTCCTATACACAAAATAAAACCATTTAAAAATCATCTCATAACTTTTCCTCTGTTGAGATTTTCTACATGACTCTTATTCTTTAGAACTCGCCTTATATGTCACTCAATCTGGAAATCCATTATTGCCTTTCCCAATTTGGGATTATTGCCTTTATTCTGGGTTTTTACAGCAATCTAAGCATATTTTACTGCCAAGCAAAAGTCACACAATTTAACATTAAACAATAACTATTTAAACATTAAACAATAACTGTCCCTTTGGAATTCTTTTGAAAAGAATCAATAAACAGACCTATAATGTAGCAGGTGGTTATATGACTTACACCAATGGAGAGTCTGACTGTGATATGGAAAGATCCTTTCTACTGGAAATCCCAAGGAACCGGTTACCTTAACAACAGGCAATTTAAAATAACATAAGCCACCCTAAAATGCCCTTTAGCGTTTATAAAAAGTTTGTGATAGCTATTTAGGAAACACAAATACTATATGACATACCATTTTAAAAGATTTGAAAATTTGCTCCTTGCTTTTTGTCTCATGTATTCCAATTGACATTTCTGGTTTGTCAAAAAATATATAATTATTTAATAAAAACATTTAGCAGTAATATTAATACTCATTTAAGCCTATGCATCATTTTGCTTTCTCTAGAGTGCTTTCTCATGCTTCAATTAATGATTTTTCTGTGTTGTTGGCAGATGTATATATATATATATATATATATATGTATATATATTAATGTGTTCATTTAACAGATAAAGTATCAGAACCTTAGATAGGTTAAGTGACTGTCAGGATTGCCCAGTGAGTAGTGGAAAAGAAAGAAGAACGTATTTGGAATGATATACCCATACTTTTCTCCACTGGCACCTTTAAAATCTGAGAAGATTAACTTGAACCCGGGAGATGGTTGTTGCAGTGAGCTAAGATCACGCCATTGCACACTCCAGCCTGGGCAACAAGAGCAAAACTCTGTCTCAAAAACAACAACAACAAAAACAGCAACAACAAAAAACTGAGATGATTAAATGAAGTTCAAAATAGAAAAAATGCAAATAAAGATAAGACATAAAAAGTACTATGGCACACAAAAAACTTCATGATCAGGTCAGCGAATGCTGCCACCTCATTTATCAGATTGTGTTCCGCTTACACTGAACAATGTCCCATTCCTTAGACCCACAAAGTCTGCTTTATTTTACATCTAGTTTTTGGCACAAATCTTTCCCGCTCTCTAATGTGCACTTTTCCTCTGTTAAGATTTTCTACATGGCGTTTACTCTTTAGAACTCACTGTACATGTCACTCAATCTGGAAACCCATTATCACTTTTCTGAATTTGGGATCATGGGTTTTTATAGCAATTTGAGCATATCTTTATTTTACTGCCAAGCCAAAGTCACACTACTGGAAATCTCGCTAACTTGCTGGGGCTCTTCACTAATCTGCTAGCAATTTGACAGCACTGTCTGTCTTTAGAAAAGCATTTGTTTATGAATTTCCTAGTTTTACTTAACACATAGTACCTAGCCCACAGCTTATTCAGAATGACAAAGTCATTGAAAATTAAGAAGAAATTGATATGTATTGGTGTCTTTATTTGTACACTAACTTTAATTGTAAACAGCCTGAAAGTTAAGTTACAAAAATACCTTACTGCCTTGCTTTTTTCCTAAAAGCCTTATATTAACCAATGATGTGACAGTTCAATAAATACTTGGTGAGTGTTATCAAATTGTACATGTGGAATTCCAATTGTTTTCCTCTTTATCATTGTAGAAAATTTTAGATTCTTAAAATTTGTGATCCTAGATTATAAAAATAATAAAAACGAAAAAGGAACATCTAGATAAATTTGAATTTGAGATAATTTATAATTTTATATAGTTATTTCATGTTTAATTAGTGTATACTTCCTAAGGTGTAGTTTTTCTTTCTTCATTATAAAACATTTATTTATTTATATTTCAAGCCCTTTTCTTTTAGCAACATGTGATTTGGTCTTGTCTTTTTTATTCTATCTGACAATCTGCCTTTTAAGTGAGATATTTATACTCTTTATGATATGGTTAGTTTAATTCTGTCATCTTTCTATTTTAAAAATTGGTACTATCTGGCATTTCTTCCAGTTTTCCTCATTAAAAAAATCTTACTTGAATCAATTATTTCTATTTTATTCATTTATTTGTTTATTTATTTTTAGTAGGAGAAAAAGCATACAAATGTATTTAACGTGCATACACGGGAGCCTTCAGAATGAACACTCAACTTCCTACTGTTACAGAAATTTATAATCATATTGAGATTACAGAAAGAATGAGGGTTTAGGCTCTGATAAAACATGTTTTGGAAAGGGGAGAAGAAGCTTAGCTAGCAACTTTGTTACGGCCTTTGTAGGCAGCTTTGTTATGTGAATAAAGACTTGCTTAGAAAGAATAGATGGTCAGTGTTTCTTTTCAGCCTTTTAAAACTGGCAGACTCTCAATTGCTCTTGGATTGGAGAAAGGTATAGAAAGTGGAGGTGGCATGGCTGTCTTAACAGAGATTCTCTACAGATGCAAATGTTCCCCACTTAAGATAAGGCTACTTCTGTCTGGTAGCCAAATGTAAACCGTTTTTAAATATGTCAAAGAAATATATTTTGAGGTAAAATATTTTAATTTCCTTCAGCCCCGACTTTGAAACTTAAAATAAGTTTCACATATTAAAAACCTAGCTGACAGTGCTAGCAGAAAGGGGTCAAGATGTTGTAGGACTTTTTCTTAGTTTAGCTAAAGACAGAATCCTTGTCATAGGACCATGAAAAATTAGGCTTGCAGGCAATTTGAAGGGTGAGAAAAATGAATTTCTTGGGCAAAAAGGAAAAATAAAAAGGAAACAGGGACTCTCAAGCAGAGCGAGAGTTCTGCTAATATAGGTTTCCCACCACACAAATTGAATCTCAGGTTCCACCCAGGAAGATGAGGGGCCAGCTTCCACCCCAGTGTTCATTGCAACTAGCTTGCAGAGCAGTCAGAGGTTCTCTGGGAACCCTTTATAATTGGCTGTCTCACTGATCCAGACCCCAAGAGACGGTTCTTGGACCTCACTCAGGAAAGAAATCAGGGCAAGTCCATAGAGTAAAGTGAAAGCAAATTTATTAGAGAAGTAAAGAAACAAAAAAATGGCTACTACATAGGCAGAGTTATTTCTTGATTATATGTTAAACAAGAGTCTTCTGGGGAAGGGGCAGAGATTTCCTGGAACTGAGGGCTCCTCTCCTCTTCAGACTACATAGGGTGACTTCCAAACATTGCCATGGCATTTGTAAACTGTCATGGTGCTGGTGGGAATGTCTGTTAATGTATTATAATTAGCATATAATGAGCCACTGCTCATTGAGTGTTACTGGAAAGGGGTCCCTATCTAGACCCCAGGAGAGGTTTCTTGAACCTCGTGCAAGAAAGAAAGAATTCAGGGCAAGTCCATAGACTAATGTGAAAGCAAGTTCATTAAGAAAGTAAAGAAACAAAAGAATGGCTACTCCATAGGCAGAACAGTGACATGGGCTGCTCCACTGATTGTACTTATAATTACTTCTTGATTACATGCTAAACAAAGGGTGGATTATTCATGAGTTTTCTGGGAAAAGGATGGAATATTCCTGGAATTGATGGATCCTCCCCTTTCTAGAACATATAGGGTAACTTCTTGATGTTGCCATGGCATTGTAAACTGTAATGGCACTGGTGGGAGTGTCCTTTAGCATGTTAATGCATTATAATTGACATATAAAGAGCAGTGAGGATGACCAGAGGTCACTATTGTTGCCATCTTGGTTTTGGTGGGTTTCTGCCAGTTCTTTTAACACATCCTTTTATCAGCAAGGCCTTTGTAATCTGTACCTTGTGCCAACCTTCTATTTCATCCTGTGATTTAGAATGGCTAACCTCCTGGAAATGAAGCCTAATAGGTCTCAGCCTTATTTTACCCAGCCCCTATTCAAGACGGAGTCACTCTGGTTTGACCGCCTCTGACAAAAGCTTTGGAGAGTTTTGGGTTAGAGGTTGTTAGACAGAGATAGACAAAGGAGTGGATAAGACAGAGATAGACAAACTAGGATAAGTAGAAAGGAACAAATTTAAATATATGTTTCTCTCTTGCTTTATTAGCTATAACTCTTTATTTTGTTATTTCAGTGCTTGTTTTAGGGTTTATGACATGCTTATAACTTGTCATGGTCTGCCTTTAATTGACACTAAACCATTTCACATAGAAAATAAGTCCTTTAATTTCTTCTCTTCTGGCCTTTTTATGCCTTCATTATCTTACATTTTACTTATGTATCAATGTATGTTATTTACTCCACATTATATTCTTACTATTATTGCTTTTAAAACAGCTAATTAAAACAACTAATTATATTTTAAAGAGATTTGATGAATAAGAAAATAACATGTATATGGTTATATAAACATATATATCCATGTGGTTACCATTTTCAGGGTTCTACATTTTTAGAATATATCCATATTTTTATGGGTAAAAATTTTGTTTTTTTCCATACTTAGTTCAGGATGTCCCATAGGCAGCCAAGTAGGCAGGTAACAGAAACAGGTTATGACTAAATTTATTGCTTTAGCTGTAGCAGGGCTAGTCTCTTCTGTATAATCAGCATAGAACACATCACTTAAGATCTTTGAATTAATTTTAAAAAATAAACTATGTGAAGAACCAGACACATATATGCTAAAGAAATAATTATAGACATAATAATTAACATCATGTACATATTAATAAACCAATCTTTATATTTATGAACATTGAAATTGCCTTTGCAAAAATTATAACAATGAGAAAATTATGACAGTGAAATTGATCTGATCAGACCAAATCCCATCTTTCCTTTAACCTCCAAACAGCCCTTTGTCATTCCTGACCTTGGGCCAAGCTAACTTTAGGAGAAGTCTAGTTTATAGTTTAAATGATAACAGCCTTTCCCCCAAACTAAACCATCTTTGTAAAATGAAAGGAAGTCCACCAGGTCTAGAGAAGAGCCTGAATTCTGCTAAGGAGTAGATGTAAACAATTACCAGACCTTATTCCTGGAGGTCACAAGATTAGGCAACTTTCTCAATTTCTCCTGCAGATAACATCACTATTGTAGAACCTAAGATTAGCCTTTTGAGATGTCTTCTCAGGCTTTCGCATTTCTGAAGACTGATAACCCTATCTAAAACCCACAACTTTTGACTCAACCAGCCCTGTGGCCCCTACCCAGAAGTAGAATCAGCACACAAGGACCCTTTTCCACTCCCCTATGGTTGCATTTTCCCACCAATAAGCAGCGCCAATTCCCTAGCCTCCTGCCACAAAACTTTTCATGAAAAACCCTAGCCTCCAAATTTTGGGAGAGGCAGATTTGAGTAACAATAAAGCTCTGTTCTCCAATTTAGCCAGCTCTAGGTGTGTAAAACTCTTTCTCTATTCCAATTCCCCTGGCTTGATAAATTAGCTTTATCTGGGCAGTGGGCGAAGTGAACTCATTGGATGTTTCAGTGTGAAAATGATGTGTTAATTCCATCAAAATGTTTCTGTAAGAATGAACAGAAAAAAAGAAATGTAATTTCAAATGGTTCCTCACAGGCTAAAATATGAAGATAGACATGGAGTTGCCACATGTGATAACTGATGCAGAAAGTGACCAAACCTTCACAAAAACCTTCAAAGATGGGTTTAATAAGTCTTAGAATTATATTCTTTTACACATTTAATATAATTAAATTAACTGTAAAATATATGTATGTAATTATCTGTTTCATCTTCATAAATTTATTTCTTTGATTTTTTTGTAATAGGTATATCTACTGAATAATACACATTTTGGTTGTTACAGTTGAAAATTTGGGGAGTATAAGTGGACATGTGGTAAAATATACATGAAAGAAAAGTAGGAAATGTAAGCAGCTTTCAGAAACTTTTAAAAAATTACTTAATTTTAACTCAATATTCATATTTTCTATTATTGACTTACATTCAAATCCATGTCTTTATAAAAAGAAAATTCTGCTCTTGTAAACAATTATGCATTTTACTTTAAACTCTGGGTAGACAAGTTACAACACAATGCAGATAAATTTTTTAACATAATGTTGAGTAAAATAAGACGCAAAAAAAGGATAGAGTGTGATTCCTGCCGTATAAAGTTTAAACACAGGCAAAACTATCTTATGCTGTGAGAAGTTAAGATAATTTCTAACCCTAGAGCTAGGAGAGGTAAGTACTGGAAAGGAACAGCAAAGGAACTTTGGGGGCCCTTGTAATGTTCCGTCTCTTGATTTGTATGCTGGAAAAGAGAGCTTAATTTATGAAAACATATTCCTGATAACATGCAAACTTTTCCAAATATATATTACACATCAGTAAAGTTTAAAACATTCTTAATCGAAATACTGAGACGCCTTTTTAGGATGTAAAAATGTTGCTTTCTCTTTACCATCCGTCCACCAATTGCTCTTTCTATCATAACTTATTCCTATTATATTCATGATTGTTATCTCCTTTTGGCAATCTAAGGTGCATCTCCAACTTGCACTGAAAACAAAATAAGGCAAAGCAAAAAAATTTTAAATTCTCCCTAAAAACAAAAACCTACAAGCCGTTTTTCTTTTACTCCTAAAGCTAATTTACCAATACCTTAATAATGTCAGCAAAAAAATACATGGTAAATCTATCCACTACTTTTCATTTCTCCTGCTTTAATCTGAAATTAAGCGTGTGTCAGGAAAACTGTTGTAATAATCTCTTAATATTTATCCCTTTTTAAATTTTATTGCTCTAAAGTCCCCTCTTTATACAGCGACCAGCATGAGCTGGTTCTGATTGTGTTACTCTGTTGTCTAAAACGTGTTGATGGCATTTCTTTATACCTGGCATAAAATGCAAATTTGGATTAAACACTGCATGCTCTGCCCTATCTACCAGTATAAGAGCACCATGGAAAGTGGCAATCTAGTTTCTGCTTTAGTGTTTTAGTTGTAAATATAAATCTGCAGAATGCATAGCTTTTCATTGCGTCTTTTCTTTTTACCCTGAAGATGTTCATGACAGCTTGTTCAACTGCTAATTAAAAGTATCCACTATGACTCTATCACCTCTCTCTATTTTAATTTTCTGTCAGTCTTAAGATTTGTTTGTTTAGTATTGTCTCAGTTCACCAGAATGGACAACTTGTAAAAGAGCTGTGACTTTGTCTCATTCCTATTATAGGTATAATTTCAAAAAAAGATACATAAAATCTGATAGGTGCTTAGCATTTTTTCAATGAAAGAGAGAATAATTAAAAGAAGTTATAAACGTACTTCATACTCAATTAACCTTTATTTAATTTTTACTTTTGTTATTTGAAATGTACCTATAGATCACTTTGATATTAAATTTCATTTTTACATTAAACATGAATATTATTCTCTCATGTAAACTACTAGAAAATCTATATAAATCATGATAACATTTTTCCCTACAGTCTTTATTAGCTTCTTAAATATAAAGCAAATTTATCACTTTCAAAGATAAGACCTAATTATAAAATTAAAAGAAAAAAGTAACATTAAAAATTTAAAAATGTGTCACTTTCATCTTCATTATAGCCTCTAGTATTGTCAATTTGATTAAAGGGTAATACCAGCTCGGAGATTAAAAATAAAAAGGCAAGAATGATTTTGATGAGATCATTTCTAATTAGTTTTAAGATAAAATCAGTCTTTTACTACTGCATGTTTAGCCTTGGCTGGGAGGTGAATGTCATCCATTTTGCATTACCTATAACTGCATTATAAATAAACCCTAGACTTAAAAAACGTTTTTTTCCAGCAAAAAGTTGAAATCTTTGTTTGTTTTTTAGCTGTTTAAGTATACTAGGAATAATTACATTAGAATTATTTAGTGTATCCATGTGCGATTTCAGATTTCTAGTTCGGTGAAATCAATTGTTTTTACATGGGTGACAAATTTATCTTTGTTTCATTAATCAATATATCTTACAAAAAAGAATGCATATTGTGTGCTTTCAACCTGAGGAGAGCAACACTATTACCTTTTCATTTTGCATAATAACTGACCTGGAATATAAAAAAATACAGAAAATTAATTTTCTAATTTTCAATACCTATAAATAAACACTTCTGCAACTATAAATGTGTACAGTATTAACATATGAATGTTAAAACATGGAGAATAAATTCATGACATTATCAAAATAGTTTTCAAATTAATAAGAAACTCAGTAAAATGTCAATCATGAAAAATGGCTTATAGCTTCTTGCTATATGATTATAATTATTTTTAAAATATTGAATATGCTTCATTAAATTTAAGAAATATGTTTAAGCCAATTTACCCTTTTATTTTTGCTTTTGTATACTATTCTCTTAGCAATGTTAAATATCAGTTAATAATTGATGTATTAACCTTATAATAAAAAAATCAGTGTGAAAGACTCTGCATTCAATCAAATGCCGAGGATATTTTAGCAAGTATAGCATTATAAGGTTGTTCAGATATTACTCACTTTGATGTTAAGGGTGGTTAGGTCTTCCTAATCATTTTATATAAAGGGATAAACTATTTTTTAAAAAATAATTATTGATTTTAATAGAAACATATAGATATATTTTCATTAAAAAGTGAACAAATATTAACCTTAGTTGTGGTCATTTTACCATATATAAAAATATTAATAGTGAATATACTTATATCATCCACACAGCTAATATAGAATTTTTTTATTCAAGCCACACTTTCATGCAACCAATACTATTGCTAATTTACCTCAAATCCTCTCAGCCCATGCCTGAATTTACCTGCAGATGTAATCGATATTTTGAAGTACTTTGAAGCTTTGACAATTGATAGGAACTTGTTTCACAAAGCTGTGTTGTGGTGAGAAACCCCAAATGGTTAACATTTACTTTTTCGTAGGCCCAATGGAGAGGAGGTTAAATTCTATTTTAGTAAAATAGATAATCCAATATACAATCATTGTCCATCTAACTTTAGGATTGGTAATCACAATCATTATGACTGATAAAGACACTTGTCATGGAATGCTAGTATAAAACACTGTCTTCTAATAACTGTTTATGGTAGGAAGAGACTACACATTTCAAAATGATTGCTATATACTTCAGGAACTGCATTTACTGAATTTTAAGTTTTCAGTAGAATTTAAACAGGTTACAAATCAAATAGTAAAGATCGCAGGAGGGTTCCTCAGAGTCACTCAGTGAAAAATACTCGACTTGAACCCTGTTCTCACTCCTTTCTCAAACCCCCTTATTTCTAATGGAGTAAATATTGATACAGTAAAAAGAACCCTGATTACTTCACAGGCTTTGTTCATCTCTGCACATTTCCTAAGGCTCATCCCAGTTTCTGGTCTAGAGTAAACATTTATCAAACAAAAAAATTAATGACTAAATAAATGAATCGATGATTCCATGAATACTGATATGAGAAAGTATTGCTCTTTCATTATTACAAGGAAATAATCAAAAATATCTGAGCATAAGTCTATTAGCGTCTAAGATTGTACAATAGGTATGTGTGGGAAAAGAAATCCCGAAAATGGAACAGGTTACAAAAAACCAGGATCCATTTAGTGGATCCTTGATTACCAACTTTCCTAGACCTTTTTGAAAATATAAAACTTACAGATCCTGTTAAACATTTAACTATTTAATTCAATAATGGAAAGTATATTCTCTACTGATACTTTGTGTGTTATAAGAAGATACCATTTTATTTCATTCTGATATTTACAGAGCACTGTTTTGTTTTATTTTTTATCCTCACTAAAATCCCTCTGTGTCTGTTGTTAAGTCTATCTGAAAAATGAGAACACATGGACAAGGGGAGGGGAACATCACACACTGGGGCCTGTCGGGGGGTGGGGGGCAAGTGGAGGGATAGCGTTAGGAGAAATACCAAATATAGATGACAGGTTGATAGGTGCAGCAAACCACCATGTCACGTGTATACCTGTGTAACAAGCCTGCATGTTCTGCATGTGTATCCCAGAACTTAAAGTATAATAAATAAATAAATAAATGAAAGTAAGCTTTAAGGAACAAAAAATAGACAAATGAAACATAAATGTAAGTCTTTTGTTTCAACCGATTATTTTCTACCCATGCCACATTTATATGAAACTAGTGAGTTCTCTTTTACTTTCCAGTGGAGCCTCACTACATAATGAAGTATGCATTTAATTCCTATTCTTGATTTACAAGTTGTCTGTTGTCTCATCTTTGACCAGAAAGACCAAGTGGAACATGTGAAAAGCATGCTTGCTGTACAGATTGGTCTAGCAATTCTTCATGTCTTAGTGTCAATACTAAAGAAAGATGCTGCCAACATTAAGATCTGAGCATTGCTGATAAGATAACCTAATAATAAAGTGTGAATTAAAGTTTTGCAGACCCCTAAAAATAAAATAAAGGGAGTTTCAGTAATCACAATCAAGCTTTCTTACAAAACATGACACACTCTTCCAAATATTTTAGGCTCTTTAGAAGCAAGGACTAAAATTATTATGAAACATAATTTGTCTCAAAGACGTTCTAATATTTTCCTTTTTTTCTTTTTTCTTTTTTTTGAGACAGGGTCTCACTCTGTTGCCAGACTGGAGTGCAGTGGCACCATCTCAGCTCACTGCAACCTCCGCCTCCTGGGTTCAAGTGATTCTCCTGCCTCAGCCTCCCAAGTAGCAGGGACTACAAGCACGTGCCACCATGTCTGGCTAATTTTTTGTATTTTTAGTAGAGATGGGGTTTCACCATGTTAGCCAGGATGGTCTTGATCTCCTGACCTCGTGATCCACTCACCTTGGCCTCCCAAAGTGCTGGGATTACAGGCGTGATCCACCATGCCCGGCCCTCTGATATTTTCTTCTGCTTCCTATACAAACAAGCCAAGTGAGAGTTAAGGAAAAAAAGACCATCAGAAAACAGAATAAAATACTGTGATAGGCACATGTAATTGATAATATTTCTTATTTAAAATAGTGAAAAAGTATAACATGATAACACAATCTAGCTTTGAATATATGAACACCTTTATAATATGATGTTCCAAACCAGAAAAAAAAATTTCTTAGGTGTGCATGACTTTAAAAAAGTTAGAGAAAATTTTTGTTAAGAAGTATTGGAAATGTTTAAAAATCACATTCTGATGCTTACCTCTTGATTCTTTGAAAAACTAACATCTGAATACAGTTAACGTATTTGATTTTGAGAAGTTGTGAAATACTTTTTCTCTGGCCTTAAGAGGTAATTTACAATATGGCATTGGTATAATGTGAGACTGCAGATTGTTGATTTAGAATCTTGCTGCATCATCATTAGATTTTAGACGGTAGTTTTTTTTTTCATGTTACATAGCAACCTTTTTAATCTACTTTAAAAAATATCTGGGAAGTTAATAAAAAGGTGCCAACCTTCTAAGATTTCTATCCATAAACTATTTTCAATAGTTTTACTTTAATATTTGTTAAATACAAGGTAATTCAGAAAATATATGTAAAATACTTCTAATTCCAATTAAAGCTTGGTTACCTAAATTAAAAACTTTTGGGAAAACCATTAAAAAGTTGATAAGAGCATTTAAACAAATTTTATTAGCATTTGGAAAAAGACATTACCACCATAGAACATGCATTTTTTTCTTCATGTTTAATATATTCATTAAGAAATCAAATGAGTAAACAGAATAAAAAGTTCACGGAGATAGAAAATAAATGAGAAACAAATTAGTGTTAGTTCTAATTTTTCAACAAATTAGAAGAATGTTGAGTTATGTAGAGAAAATAATTCAGAAAGTATTTATTTAGTATTCAGAGGTAATCAAGATACTTCATTGCTCATTGTTTAGCAACATGGAATAGGTTAGGAGGTGGAGAGAAACAGAGCCATAGATCACTAAACCCCAGGGTTTAGAATGACAATTACCATAAATGAAGAAAAAAGTGAAGTGAATATACAAAAGAGAAATTATATCTGTTTAGTAAATCAACAAAGCTTCAAAAAAAGAGGCTTGTCTAAGGTAGTTCTTGAAAGATTAATTGCTGTTTCATGGGTGTATTGTGTAGGAAGAGGATTTTCGATGATGTGAATGGCAGGAATAAGTGTTTGCTAATTTGGAGCATTTTAGGCCATCTCAAGTAGTTCATGTTGACTCTAGCTTTTGGGTCACCTAGAAGGGTCCACTGTGAACCAAGGCAAGTGAAATATTTTGGGGTAGACCATGACTGCCTTTAAAGCCAGCATTAATGTATTCATTTTTCAATCAGCAGGATAAATGGAATAAAAGCTTTCTTTGTCATCTGGAAATATTTTTGTATTAAGCTCTCTAGAGGGGGCTGCCCAGATGAGTCCTAATCACATTGTATATTCCTTTTTTTCTCTACAATTTTATAGAGTTAAATTTCCACGATTTACATTGAAATTAAGAGAAATCTAGCATTATTTTTCGAGAACCTGGTAAGTCCCTATATCAAGCTGATTGTTAAAACTGCTTAAAAATGCTTTTCTTTGGTTGGTTCTTGACTGCTCCACATAACTATTTCAGACCTCTATACTGTTCAAAATACACTCACACTCCCTTCTCCTTCAAGTGGCTAATGACTATACAACCACTTTACTGTGAAGTCTGATTTCATCTTATAGAAGTTTTTTTTTCAATTTTTCTTTCTTCTCATTTAATTTTTTTGAATTCCCACCAGTTATATTCTCTTCTACATGTATAGTGGAATTGTTTCATCCATACTCCTCAAGAATCGCATGTTATCTACATACTGTTCCTATGTCCTTCTTAACCCAATTTCATGTTTTGTGCATCTCGTGTTATTCAATTTGCAATTATTCTTTCTTGGAATAATATTATTAATTCAAAAACTTAACTGGCATAAATACTTTCATTTAAACTAGGTTTTATTCTCTTTCTAGATTTTCTCTTTAATTATTTCATAAAACTTGTTTATGTCTCCACTAATACTATCTCAAAACGCTGTGCTGAAAGTAACCAATGATCTTCTAATTACTCATCCAATAGTCTTTTGCAGTGATCATCCAGTCTAATTTTTGTCTATGTCTATTGTCAATGACTTTTTAAATAAATGCACTCTTTGGTTGACTTTTAGGACATCACATTTCACCTGTTCTCCAACAGGATTCTTTATTTCTACAACATAATTTTGACAACATGAGTCTTTCTTGATAACTGTGACAAGTTAAAGTCAAGGGGTGACATGGAAGCCCAAGAGAGTAGACTATTCAGTACTATACAAATATTTTACAAATGCCTTCCTCTTTCAGGAAGTCTCCTGTTTTGCCTTCTTAATGTTCTCATGAAACAGTTTAGTGCACCAATTAAAGGTTGAGTAGGCATGAAATTCAGGCAAAAATGGTGCAAATTTCTGTTTCATCATTTATTCACTGGATGGGCAACCTTGTCCTTTAGAGCAACATGAACTCATAAGGCTGTTGTGATGTTTCAGCCATAAATGCTTATGAAGTTAAAAGTATTAGTGATTTTTATAAATTAATCTGTCAAATCTTCTGCTTTTCATTGAAACCCCATTTGCATTCATATAATCCATTTGCATAACTCCCTACATCTAATAATGACAAGCATCCCCAAAACTTTCCCTGGTGCATTTTCTTTATCTTCTTCTCTGTTCAAGATGATTGTTCAACCAGCAGATACTTTTTAAAATCCTATTTCAATTTTCTTTCTTACTTAATTGTAAACCTGTGAAAGTACAGTTAGTTACGTTGTTTTGATACATTTTTAACTTTATTAATCAAAACCTTGAGGGTGATTATGTGGATTAAAAATTGAACCTTACAACAAATGTGAACACAGCTTCAAAGAGCTTTCACATTGAGACAAAGCAAAGCAAGAATCATTAATTCTGGAAAGTACCAAATCATCTTAATTACCTTATTTAGTATTTATTCATGTCCTAACTCAAAAAATTGTGCAACATAGTCCAAATTATTTAACATGATTGTATTAATCAAAATAGGGATAAACCTCAATCTTTAATTTCAAAGATCTGTAACAAGACTTCAAATCAGGCATGAGACATAGTCAGAGAATAAAGTCTATTTGAATGATTAGAGAAAGCTTCCTGAAAGGCAGTTCATGGAGAAATATCCTTGTAAATAAGTAACATGCTTTTTTTTTCTATCAATTCATCTTCCAAAGTTGTAAAAAACACCTTATTTTTTTTTAGTAGGGAATAAATAAGAGCAATATATGTTGCCTTTCAGAATAAAGAAATCTTCTCTAGGTTTAGCATGTCAGTGGTTTTTAGATTTTCTGTTTTCTAAACACTAATTTTGCAGTAGCCGTGTGTTGATAAAGCCCTTTTATCTATTTGGCTCTTTTTCCTATATACAGTTTTTTTCAATTACAAAAAGAATGAGCTGGAATAAGTCACCATGTAATCCATGGCTATGAATGGACACAAGGATTTTAGATTTTAATTGAATTTAATGTTGAGAGCCAAGACAGAATAAATGAGAAAATCAATTAAAAATTACAAATGGACCAGTACAAGGACCAGTACATAGTTTAGTACAGGATTGAGCTCTATATTTAGATAATTTTGTAAGTGAACGGATACTGACAAAATTTCTAGTGCCATCTTATTTTCCAAATCAGAACACTGAAACAACCAAAGGATTAAATAACTCATCAAATGTCATGCATTTGATTTAAAAAATTGGAACTAGTAATTATATCACCTGATTTATCCATGGTATTTCAGTATTATGTACCACGATTCAATGCTGTCAACCCCGGTAAACTGAGAAGTTCCATTTATGTTGACTGAGTTACAAAACCTTGGAAAGGAGCTGTGTTTTAAAATCTATGGGGAGATTTTTTTTTTCCAAAAAGTTTATTTTTAATCTCTTCACATTCTTCCTGAACCCTAATGAACAATTTTGTTGAACTACAGTTGGGTTATTTTAAGTAAATCAAATTAGTTATTTTCTCGTGAATTGACAGACTTAGAAACTGCTATGGTTTGAATGTCTGTTCCAATATTCATATTGAAATTGAATTGCCATTGTAACAATATTAAAAAGCAGAACCTTTAACCAGTAATTAGGTCATGAGGACTCCATCCTTGTAAATGGGTTAATGCTGTTATTGTTAGAGTGGGTTCTTAGTGAGAAAACAGACTAAGAAAAGAATGGGTGACCCAATATTGGCTGATAAAATGTGAGAGAAATTCAATTACTGTAGTCATGGGAATTTGGAGAAAGGTTTCCTTGCTCTTGAAATATAAAATATAAATTTCATATATTTTTGTAATTTTGTGCATGAAGATATAATATCTGTTGTTGCTGCATATATCTTGTAACCTCAAGGAGAGCTAAATAACATGATGACGGCAGAAGAGAAACAGAAATTACTTTGGTCTTTGATGGTAGCACTGAGCCACTAAATTAAATCTGGAGCTTCATTATCTTAGAACCATATTTAAAGTGAGAGAATAAATGTTTCTTTCTGGTAAAGCCACTTTCATTGGGTTTTCTGTTATAAGTAAAAAAATATCAACTGATCAGATTAATAAAATCCACAAAGGAAGGTAAGTGCAGGACATTGCAACGATCAAAAAAATTCAAAGGATAAAACCACCAGGATGTGAAGAGAAACCAGGGTAATTACAGTAACCTGTGAAGGAGGAAGTACTAAGCAATTTCATAAGAATGTTACCAAGGAAAGTGAATATATTATTTTCTGTTTGTGATTTTGCTGAAGATATAAACGCCAGAAAGGGAGCATTTGATTGCCCTAACTTCTATTATGTGTCTACCCCTTGGCTACAAGGAGTAAAGATCTTCTGATTTACAGTCCCTTGAGACACTATCTAATAGAACAGAGGTAGTTTCTAAAAAAAAAAGGAAAGAAAGAAAAAAAAGAAAAGAAAGGAAAGAAAAGAAAATACAAATAAGAAATGAATATATTGTTAAAGATTTGGGGTTGGATAATGTTGAACAAAAGTTAAAAATTAACAAATGTCCACAATAACAAAAGTTAAAAATTAACAAATGTCCACAATAATTGTGAGAATTTTACAGACATTTGTTATGTCCATAACAGTGCATGAGAAACTGTTCTAAGTACTGGAATTTTACTAGGGAGTCAGCAGTTCTGCTAATCCTCATGGAGCTTAGAATTAGGAAGGCAGACAATAAAATGTAATAAGTTCCTTAATAGAATACAAGTAGATTACAAAGGTAAAGTATAATGGTGGCTTTTGAATTGGTGCAATTTAAAAGGAAATTTCTCTGACATGGTAACATTTAACTGTGAACCCAAAGGGTAAACAAATCAGCATTGCCAAGACCTGTGGAAATTTTCCAGGCAGAAGAAAAGGCATAGGTAACAACTCTGACCAGGATAGCTGTCAGTGTTTTAGAAAGTCAAAGAAGGCTGCTGGGCTTAAAATGTCATGAGACCAAGAGACAGTGGAGCAATGCATGTTTGAAAAGGTACAAAGGGCTCAGATCAAACATAGCTTCTAGATCATAGTGAGGAGGTTGGAGTTTATTTGAAATCAATGGAAAGTTTAAAGATTTTTCTTTACCATAGTGGCATGGCCCAGTTAATGTTTTAAGGATATCTATACATGACATATACAACAGATATGAAGGACCAGGAATAAAATTAAGAAGATATGTAAAGATGCTGTTTGATCTCTAACAGGGGGAATGTGGTTTCATTTTTGGAGGCTTAGACAGGACCAGTTTTGGAACTGGTTTGAGAGTTTGATTTGAGAGTGCTAAATTTAAGATAGCTGTAAGATGTCCAAATGTCAATATGTAAATATCCAGTATTTACATATAATTTAAAGGCATGGAAATGTATTAATTACTAAAGGGAAAGAGAAAAGAAGCTCAGAAGGAATTCCAATATTCAGATGTGACATATAGAAGAAAGTGTCGACATGAAAGAATTATCCGCCAGAGAATTCAGAGGAAAATCAAGAATGCATTATATCATGAAAGTAAAGAAAGGATAATGACCCAAAAAAGAGGTAGGAGAAACTCTTCTTCCTAATATTTAGCTGAATTTTTGCTCCCTGTTCTGATTCATGGCTTTTGCCACATTGTGGAACATCAGTAACAAAAAGTGACTTTTAGCTCCTTCTTGGCCTTTAAATAGCATGAAAACTTAAAATAGTCGGTGTATATAGTACTAGACTTTGCAGTTTATTTTTGTAAAACTTCAACAATATTTTGTGGTTAATTCCTGTGCTGTAGTAACCTAGTTCAAAAGGTTGAATGATATGCAGTTTTCTAGAACAGTTTTCAGTAATCAGCAACTAAAATTAACTGTCTGGTATTTGTTAAAATGTCTAGTATTTCTGAGCTAAGCTACCTGTAGTGTACTGATAGGAAGGATAAAGAGATGTGAACTGGATTTTAAGTTCAATTGAACTGGTATCAGGAACAGTCTAACTAAAATGAGAATATTACACATTATCCCAATACTTCATAAGCATCTTTTGCTTCATCATCCAAGCAGATTTGTTGTTTTCATTCTAAATTAATAATCCATTTATCAATTTCCCAAGTCTATATTTCTTTTTCCTTATTCATATGAAGGTATTAAAATTCTGTTAGAGCTTACTGTGAAAGATAACAAAAGTAGATTTGGGTTGCAAGTTTGCTTTTTTTTTTCTGTTATTCACATTTAAAATAATATAGTTATATTTGGGTAAATAAGGCGCATTCATAATATGTTTTGTGACATCGTATCTTCTTTTTTTCATGTTGGATGATACATAATAGTTATACATATTTATGTGGTACATGTGATAATCTAATATATGTATACGATGTATAATGATCAATTCAGGGTATTTAGCAAATTCATCACCGCAAGCGTTTATCTTTTCTTTCTGTTGGGAGCGTTTCAAATTTCCTGCTCCAGCTATTTTGATCTGTGCAGCAAACCACCATGGCACATGTTTACTTATATAGCAAAACTGCACAACCTACGTGGATACCCCTGAACTTAAAAGTTAAAGAAAAATAAATAAATAAAACAAAATAAATTATTGTTAACTATAGTCACCCTACTGTGCCATTGAACACTAGAATTTATTCCTTCGAACTATGATTACATCCATTAGCCAACCCCTATCTTATTTATTTATTTATTTAATTATTTATTGTTTTATGATACTTTAAGTTCTGGGGTATATGTGCAGAACGTGCAGGTTTGTTACATAGGTATACACGTGCCATGGTGGTTTGATGCACCCATCAACCCATCATCTGCATTAGGTGTTTCTCCTAATGCTATCCCTCCCCTTGCCTCCCACCCTCTGACAGGCCCTGGTGTGTGATGTTCCCCTCCCTGTGTCCATGTGTTCTCATTGTTCAACTCCTACTTATGAGTGAGAACATGCGATGTTTGGTTTCCTGTTCTCGTGATACTTTGCTGAGAATGATGGTTTCCAGCTTCATCCATGTCCCTGCAAAGGACATGAACTCATCCTTTTTTATGGCTGCATAGTATTCCATGGTGTATATGTGCTACATTTTCTTTATCCAGTCTATCATTGATGGGCGTTTGGGTTGATTCCAAGTCTTTGCTATTGTGAACAGTGCCACAATAAACATACATGTGCATGTGTCTTCATAGGAGAATGATTTATAATCCTTTGGATATATAACCAGTAATGGGATTGCAGGGTCAAATGGTATTTCTGGTTCTAGAAACTTGAGGAATTGCCACACTGATTTCCACAATGGTTGAACTAATTTATACTCCCACCAACAGTGTAAAAACATTCCTATTTCTCCTCATCCTCTCCAGCATCTGTTGTTTCCTGACTTTTTAATGATTGCCATTCTAACTGGCGTGAGATGGTATCTCATTGTGGTTTTGATTTGCATTTCTCTAATGACCAGTGATGGTGAGCTTTTTTTCATATGTTTGTTGGGTGCGTAAATGTCTTCTTTTGAGAAGTGTCTGTGCATATCCTTCGCCCACTTTTTGATGGAAACAAACCCCTATCTTCTATACTTCCCAGACTCTGGTAAACATCATTCTACTCTCTGCCTATATGAGGTCAACTATTTTGGTTCCCACATAAGATTAAGAATATGCGAAGTTTGTCTTTCTTTACCTCACTTATTTCATTTAGCATAAGGACTTCCAGTTTCATCTATGTTGCTGCAAATAACAGAATTTCATGCTTTTCTGTGACTGAATAATATTACATTATGTATATATACCACATTTTCTTAACTGAGGGACACCTAGGTTGATTCTATATTTTGACCAGTGTGAACAGTGCTGCCATAAACATAAGATACAGTTATCTGTTTGTTATGCGGATTTCCTTTCCTTTGGATCACTACCCAATAGTGGAATTTCTATATCATATTGTAGTTCTATTTTTAGTTTTTGAGAAACCTCCACACTGTTTTCCAAATGACTGTACAAGTTTACATTCCCATCAATAATATATAACAGTTTCCCTTTCTCCTCATCATTGCTAGCATTTGTTATTTTTTTGTGTTTTTGATATAACCATTCTAACTGGTGTGTTATATTGTGTTTGTTTTCATTTTCATTTCCGTGCTGAGTATTGATATTAAGTTTTTTTATATTCCTATTGTCAATTTGTATATTTTCATTTGAGAAATTCTATTCAGATCTTTTGTCCACTTTTTAATGCAATATCTGTTTTTTTTCTCTTGAGTTGTCTTGAGTTCTTACATATTCTGAATATTAGTACCTTTATACAGATATTTGTTATGTTTCCATATATGCAAATAAATAGTTTACAAATATGTTCTATGATTCTACAGGTTATCTCTTCACTTTGTTAATTGTTTTCTGTGCTACGCAGAAGATTTGTAGTTTAATAGAATTGTTTGTTTATTTTGTTGTTGTTGCCTGTGCTTTTAGGCTCTTAAACTTAAAACCTTTGCCAACATCAGTGTCCTAAAGCATTGCCCCCATGTTTTCTTCTAGTATTTTTATAGTTTTGGGATTTAACATTTAAGTCTTTAATCCATTTTCAGTTGATTTTTTTATATTGTGAGAGATAGAGATTCATTTTAATACTTCTGTATCTGGATATCCAGTTTTCCCAGAAGGATTTACTAAAGAGGGTGTCCTATCCCTAATATGTATTTTAAGCAACTTTGTCAAAAATCAGTTGACCATGAATATGTGGATTTATTTATGGTTATCCAGTCTGTCCCATTGATCTATGTGTCTGTTTTTATGCCGGTATTATACTGATTTGTTTATTGTAGCCTTGCAGTATATTTTGAAGTCAGGTGGTGTGATACCTAAGTTTTGTTCTTTTTGCCCAGGATTGGTTAGGCTTTTCAGGTTGTTTTGTGGTGCAAATAAATTTTAGGATTTTTTTTTTTCTGTTTCTGTGAAGCATGTCTTTGGTATTCTGATAGGGATTGCATTGCATCTATAGTTTGCTTTGAGTAGTATGGACGTTTTAGGAATATTAATTCTTCCAGTGCATGAGCATGAGATGTCCTTCTATTTGTCTGTGTCCTTTTCAATTTCTTTCATTAGCATTTTGTAGTTTTTATTGCAGAAGTCTTTCATGTCTATGGTTAAATTTATTCCTAACTATTTAATATATGTAGCCATGGTAAATAGGACTGTTTTCTTGATTTCTTTTTCAGCTAGTTTGTTATTTGTTTTACAGAAATACTACTGACTTTTATATGTTAATTTTGTATTATGTAACTTTACTGAGTTTATGAGTTCTAAGTTTTCTGGTGAAGTCCTCAGTTTTTTCTATGTATAAGATTATGTCATCTGCAAAGAGAGACAATTTGGCTTCCTCTTTTCCAATTTGGATGCCTTTTACAATGTATCTACTCTAACTTAATAATCATATGTACTTTAAAACTACATAATAATGACTACACAATTCTGTTTAAATTTTTTAAATATGATTATATTTACAATTCTTTTAGAAATAAGAGCATAAGTAAGTTTTTATGGCTTCTACAGCTAAGAAGCACAATGTAGCCAATGAAATGTGCAATGAAATATTTTCAACATTTTGTAATTAATGCTCATGTTCCTCAGTTTCAAATCCACCGCACAATCATTCTTTTTCTTTTTGGCATTTAATATTAAATGTGGTGAATCTCACAGCTTGTCTTATCACAATGCCAAATTAACAATTCTAAAAGCAGTAAGTAGATGAAACCATGAATAGGCATTTTTTAAAAGCAAATAATGTTGCTTGCTCCACAAAACCTCTCATCAAAATACTTGTTTCAAACCAGTTTATTTTGTATAGTAAAATAATGTTGCCTGCCCATATTCAATTTTTTTCTATTTCTCTTAGGAATGAATAACTTTTACTGTGTTCTATTGGAGAGTAAATATTCTATCCCTACATCTTAAAAATGAAAATTTTAATCAATTTGTAGGAGTAGAATTTATTAACAATTATACAACAGCCCAATCTCAGAAAAGATTAAAGGGAATGACTTTGATTCTGTAACATTCTGATTACTTTCTTAAGATTTTAATCTTCTGGCTGGGTGCAGTGGTTTACACCTATATTCTCAACACTTTGGGAGGCCCAAGGTGAGCAGATTGCTTGAGCCCAGGAGTTCCAGATCAGACTGGACAACATGGCAAAACTCCATCTCTACAAAAAATTACCTGGGTGTGGGGGTGCACGCCTGTAGTTTCAGCTACCCCAGGAGGCTGAGATGGGAGGATCATCTGCCCCTCGGGGGTCAAGGCTGCAATGAGTTGTGATTGAACCACTGCACTTCAGTCTGGTGACAGAGCAAGACCCTGTTTCGAAAAAAACAACAAAAAGATTTTAATTTTCTCATAGCTTGTGAGTTTAAATCTTAAATCTTCGCTGTGAAGCAGCCAGAAGAAACACAAAAAATGAAACCTCAACACAGCCACTAAGTTGGGCAACTAAAGCCCAGTCACTTTAAATTTCAGGGTTTCGGTTTTGTGTTGGAGAACTTCAAAAGCTAGAGCATAATGAATTTTAAATCTCAACCGTGCTTTTTAAATTTCTCAGATTGCCTTTTGAATCATTACTAATTTCTAATAAAATATTTTTCAGTCATGTTTTATAACATATTATACATACATGTAGTTACATGTGTATTTATATATAATATATGCAAATATATGTCTACATACACATATATAATTTATGAGCTTGTAAAAACTCATGATATTCCAGTTCTAAACAAAATTATTAACAATTCTACTAGTTAAGATTCAAGATAACTCAGCAGTTTATTTTTTCCTCTGATGCAATCTTCCAAGGGAATAGTCAGAGCACTATATCCAGAAGTTGCTTAAATCGATTTATCTTTTTGTCTTCATTGGTTCTGTTATGAATGTTAAATTTATATCCATTGCTATTTGTTTTGCATTCAATTATAGTCCTTGTTTATTTTTTTAATTTTTGTCATTATTTTGGGTAAGGTATATGTTTTGATCATATAACATATTTATCTTTTTCTTTTTTTGCTAAATTGAAGTGTACAGTCATTATTTGCTAGTATTGGGGGTTGGTTTGCTTGCATTTTTATCATGTTTTCGATCCCTTAATTTTCACGTTTTGCTTCCTTCTTTCCTTTCCGTACCATGTGTAAAAGGATACCTTCTGTTTCTAAGCAGATTGCTTTTTGCCCAAAGGCTGTACCCTCTAAATATTGCTGCTTATTCTTCACATTTTTAAGACCATTTCTTTCAAAAATACAAGGCAATGATTCACTGAATTAGAAATTTGTTCTTAGTATTTTCCACTCCTGATGGGATGCTCTGTATCGGATGAGATTTTATTTTCTTTGTCAGAATACATAAAACTATAAACCAAATGGTTTTTATGGTTCAGTATTTGTTAAGCTGATATTTGCATGTACTGTTTTTAGCAATACATTTTGTTAATATAAAAATATTTACTTCTAATCTATTACAAGGAAAACATAAAATAAAAACTGCAGCCTATTAAAAATTAGTCATTTAGGTAATGAATTTCTCAATATTGGGTTGGATTCTATCCTTCATAAAGATTCTTTATTGAATTTTTCCTTTTTATCTTCTTGGATAAATAACAGATAATTATGAAATATATGTTATATCATCAAAAAATTCAGTGATTATTTAAATTGCTTTCAATTGTTATTCAATATGTCATTTTGGGACACCATCTCATCAAGTTGCCTGTTGTTCCTGAAAACGTTAATGGTGTGAAATCTGTTTCTGAAGAAACTCTGGTTCCCTACAGAATGATGTATCTCTGTGTTTATTTTGGAAAGCTTACATGACGTCTTATACCTTATTTTAAAATTGTTTATTTTGTATTCATCTAATTTATTCTAGAAGGGCTTTCTTTTCTTGTCATATGCTAATTATAAATTCTTGATATACTGATTGAATTCAAATTTTACTGCTCAAAACTTAAAAATAGTTATTAAATATTTCAAAGGTAGTTAGAATAATAATTCATTAAATAATGATGCATATTTCACATATAATGATTCTGTGAGTCAATTTTCATTAAGAAAATCATAATTTATGATGCCTGTATTCAAGTGAGTCCTCTTGTTCTAAGTCTCAGGATGTACCTCCCTGGAGAGACACTCATTCAGTTATTTTTACAAAGAAATAATAGATTGTTATTTTTGTAACTCTTAAAAGGGAAAAAAAATGTGTTTGTAATTCATTATCCTATGTCAGAAACAAAATAAGTAAACTATGGTTGAAGTATTTAAAATAGTCCATGGACGATAGAGAGTGTTGGAGACAGTTTAGAACTCATAATTATCTCACTCTAAAACCAATGTTTCTTTCACCCACACGAATTCCAGAGGCACTATCATTATAAATTTCATTGTTTTAAGAGCACTGTTAATTGGAGTAATGAGAAACATAAGTTTACATGAAGCTAAGAGTGAAAGTACCAGTATTTAATTTGCTTAACGTGTTAAGTTTTTCATATTTGTTTCTATTCACTCATAGTGTTGTGGGGTTTTTAATGTCATTAATAACTATTCAGTAATTAAACATTATTAAAAATACTTACTTTGCATACACTTCCATTTCTTCTTCTAGGATCTAAGAAATATAATAACTAGATTGGAAAACATCACACAAAGTAGTAATCTATTTTAAGTAAAACTTTTCTTTCTTTTTCTTATCCTATCAATGATTCTATCTGTAATAGGTATAGAAAATGTTAGAAATGAATTTTGTCTAATGCTCATGATGATTTAGACCTGAAGGATGGGATTTATAGTTACTTTAACATTATTTTTCTCATATATTGAATTATTCTTAATCACAGTGTGATCTACCAAAAATACATTTAATTTTTTAATGTTCAACATACTTAAATATTTGAGTATTTAACTCATATTTATGAGAGAAAAATTTCAGTTTATAAGACTATATTACTCCATTTGTCCAGCATCTTAAATTGAGTATATTAGTTTTATATTCAGATAATGTTATGGACTGAATGACTAAGAGAGAAATTAGTACCGAGAGTGGAATGGTTCTATAAGAAATACCTAAAAACATAAATGTAGCTTTGGAACTAGGTTATGGATAGAAATTGGAAGGGTTTTGAGTAAGTGCTAAAAGAAGCTAATACTGCCGTGAAGGACCTTTCTAAAGGCAATTCTGGTTAGAGCTCAGAAAGGGAAGAGTGGAGTTGTCGAGAAAGTGTTCATCTCCTTAGAAAACACGTAAGTAATCATGAACAGAATGTTAATAGAAATATGAGTTATAAGGGTCATTCTAATGAGGTATCAAATGGGAATAAGCGAGATGTTTTTAGAAAGCAGACGGATAATCTGTGATATAAAGTGCCAAAGAACTTGGCTGAACTGTGTTTGTGTAGTAATGTTTTGTGGAAGGTAGAATGTATAACTTGTGATATTGAATATTTAACTCAAAGCATTTCTAACCAAAATGTTTACGGAATGGTTTCATTTCACCTGAATGTTTACAATAAAATGAAAAAAGAGATAAATGAATTGGAAAAGAAATTGTTAAGCCAAAAAAACCCAGGACTTAAATATTTAAAACATTCAAAGCATATATACATATACACGTGTGTATATATGTGTATATGTGTGTATATATATACACACACATAATGTGAATGAGTGTTTGTTTGGAGGAGAACAGTAATGGTGTGGCAAACCAACCATTTGATAAGGAGATTAGTGTGGGGGTAAACCAGAAATTCCCAGCTCTCTCAATAGAAGCCCAGAATAGAGATAGCATGATTCCAGGAAAACACTAGGACTAAAGGAAACACGGAAAATGAGATGTAATGAAGCAAGACTGTAAATGTGTGCTCTTCTTCAAGAAATGTGTGCTGTTCTTCAAGAAAAGGGAAGAAGAATCACTGAAAGTGATTCAGAGACCATCAGGGACACTGTCTAACTTTCAACAGGGCAGAAGTCTTCCTAAAGAAATTGCGGAGGCAAAGCCACCCTGCACATCTCTGGAGCATGACCTCCTACCCATTAGAGCCTCAGCATGGGTGGGGCCGCTACAGATTGCCACAGCATGGGGCACTGAGCTGTGGGGATAACAGTACTACCCCAGTGGGTATGAAAGGCAAAATATCAGGCCAAAGGAGATTGTTCTCAAGCCTTAAGAACTCATGAAGTTTTCCTTGCTACATTTTAGAATTGCTTGGGACAGATCGTCCCTTCCTTTTTCCCTATTTCCCCCTTTAAAAATGGAAATGTCTTCTCTATGCCTGTCCTATAATTATATTTTTGAAGCAGATAACTTGTTTGGTTTCACAGGCTCACAGCTGCAGAGAATTTTGCCTTAGAATGAATCTCACTTCAAGTATTATCTCTACCTAATTTAGATGACGTTCCAATAAGACCTTGGACTTTACCCTTTATAGCTGATATTGGAATGAATTAAGACTTTGGAGATTATTAGGGTAAAATAAATGTATTTGGCATGCAGGGATATACATTTTGGGCAGCCAGGGATGTAGTGTTATGGGCAATGTCTGTGTCCCTCAAAATTCATATGTTAAAGTCCTGATTCCTGATGTGATGATATTAGGAGGTGTGGACTTAGGGAGGTATTTAAGTTGTGAAGGTGGAGCTCTCAGGAATTAGATTAGTGTCTACATAAGAAGAGACCTGAGAGCTTGCTGTAAATCTCTGCTTTCTGCCATGTGAGTATAATATGAAAAGAGGGCTATCTGAAAATCAGGAAGAGTGTCCTCATTAGACAACAGACTTACTGTCACTTTGACCTTTGACTTCCCAGCCTTCAGAACTATTAGAAATGAATTTACCTGGGTGAAGCCACCCATTCTATGGATTTTTTCTATAACGGCATAAACTAAGACATACAATAATGTCTAAACATATTTATTGTTTTTTGCATTTTCCTGAAGAGATAAATTTTCATATATCATTTTTTAGTTTTATTATTCTTTACATTTAAAAAATGCTGCCATGTACTCAATAACTGTATTGAAAATATTTATACAAATACATATTATATATTTTAAAATTAACATTTATATTAGACAATAATACTTCATATTTGGTGATCTGGTGAGCAATCACTATTATAATCATTATAAGACCATTAATAAATAAATTAATAATATATTCGTGTACATTATTTTAGCTAAAATCTACTGAATTTCTTCTTCATCACCAGCATTAACTAGGCCCTAAGCTGAGTCCACACTTTCTAGAATGTGAGAGTTTCAACAAGAAAAATAAAAGTATCACAGAATGGTGGGGGTAGGGAGTTTGGAATAAGTAGTTAGTTTTTCAACAATACTATTGTGATTTTTGTAGATTCCTACATGTTATAGATTCACTTTTGAAATAGCAGAATTAAATAATGTAAAGCATGTATTCATGGTTTTGTAAATCATTAATAAAATATTGAAAGTAGTAGTTGCAGCATAGGTACTCAAATTTTCTTGTTTCAGGTTATGGTTTATGGGACTCATGAACATTTAGATTTCAGAAGTGCATGCCTATTATTGACCCCAAGCTGCTGCATGTTTCATGCAGATATGATCTACTATATTTAGTGTGCATATATGATCTACTATATCTAAAAGAGAATGTTACCAGAAGTCTCAGGGCACTACAGTATCAAGCATAATATATACGTTACAACTGTCGGGAAGAATAAAAAGATTCATTGGTATCAATGTTTACAAATTTCCATATATCATTACAATGTTTCGTTGTTCATTACTTTGTAATAGTAACTATAGAAGAATAGAAAAGAAAAGCATATATCTCTATAACTTAAATAGGAAAATGAATATTGTAATTAGGTATTATCACTGATGATCCTCTTTGTTTAAAAAAAGAGATGTAAGTATTCTTGATGTAGAAAGGAGAAAAACAAATTTATGTCCACAGTGCTTGTCCTTTATTCTCTGATTAGTCAGTTATAATGTAATCTATTGAAAAATTAGATTTTTGTCTGAAATGTGTCTTGGCATCAGATTGGTACAGGATTAAGAAATTGATATTATAAGGAAATTTACTGTTTTTATTACCATAATAACTGAACTCAAGTATCACTTTGCATGTTATAATACATATTTTATTTTTTCCTTTGTAAATTTATTTGTATGTTGGTTTAGAATGAGGCCCTAGGAAAGTAAAATAACTATATATTTATATTTAGGGGTAGGAGGAAAAGACAGGGAGGCATCCTAAAAGAGTCAATGGTCGAAAATACGAATAAAAATGAGTTACCTCCATCTTCAATCAACTTCAAAAACAAACAGTTTCAGCAATTAATTCATATGCAACTAAGAATATAAGAAAATGTATGAGATGTACTCAAAGATAAGAAGTTTACTAAATATATATACTTAATACGTATTATATTTTTACTTTCTATGTAATCAAGAATTATAAGTTTATTAAATATATATTTTCTAGAAAGAATATACATACATGTAAAAATAGAAATATATTTATTTTACATATATGTAAAAATAATGATTTCTCTATATATTTCTCTGTTATATACGTGTGTGTGTGTGTATATATATATAAATAAATATATATATTCCTTTGTAAACCTCTAATTTCTAAGATAGGTTTGCTAGGGGTTAAAGGCAACAGCTTGGTAAGTGTCAGTAAGTCAGAGGATGAGTTGGTTCATGAATTATTCCACTGATTTGACATTATGACCCACTGCGTTTGTTTGGACCTCTTGATAAAAGCATTCTGAAATGCTCAGCACTACACACTAATGCATTTTACATTAAACCTAATCAGCTGGATATCCAGAATCTTGGTTTTTAAATGCCAAGAAGAAAATTTTCAGTATTGTTTTTAAGAGCTAAATTTCATTTTGTTGCACTAAAATATTTTTTAAGTCAAAATCCTCAAATATCCTATGCTATAATTAATAACCACTGAAAACATATATTAAATTGGAAAATTGTAGATTCAATGAATGTTTTAAATCTTTAAAAATCCTGGCTGGCTCACACCTGTAACCCCAGCACTTTGGGAGGCTGAGGTGGGCAGATCATGAGGTCTAGGAGTTCAAGACCAGCCTGACCAAACTGGTGAAACCCTGTCTCTACTAAAAATACAAAAATTAGCGGGTGTGGTGGCAGGCGCCTGTAGTCCTAGCTACTCAGGAGGCTGAGGCAGGAGAATCACTTGAACCCGGGAGGCGGAGGCTACAGTGAGACGAAATCGCGCCACTGCACTCCAGCCTGGGCGACAGGAGACTCCGTCTCAAAAAAAAACATCCCATTGACCACTTTCTCATTGTTAAAGCCATGTTTATCCTTACTTCCTCCTTGTCTAAATATAAAATAACTATATATATATATATATATATTTTTTTTTTAGACAGAGTCTCACTCTGTCTCCCAGGCTGGAGTGCAATGTGCACGATCTCGGCTCACTGCAACCTCTGCCTCCCGGGTTCACGCTATTCTCCAGCCCCAGCCTCCCGAATAGCTGGGATTACAGGCGCCCACTACTGTACCCGACTAATTTTTGTATTTTTAGTAGAGACGGGGTTTCACCATGTTGGCCAGGTTTGTTTTTGACTCCTGACCCCAGGTGGTCTGCCTTCCTCGGCCTCCCAAACTGCTGGGATTACAGGCATGAGCCACTGTGCCCGCCCTAAAATACTAACTTCTTTAAGTAGTCAATAAGAACATAAGTTGCTAAAAACTGCAAATGTTACTATGTCTTAAATTTCCAAATAAATTTTAAGTAAATTGAAATTTAGGTATCAACAAACTTAAATCAATGACACTTAGGATGAATTAAAAAATTCGGTGGAGGAATTTTTCTTCTCTGACTTATAGAATCTCTATTCTTTAACTGTATTACTGCAGGATATTTTAATATTCAATTATCTTTTATTTATGTAATAGTGTTTTCACCTTCCTTTTTCACGTATACTTTAATAATTATGTCAAAAATTCGTGGTGCTTGGAAAGATGTTTTCATTTAAATGGGGTGATTATGTTGATTCGTGCTGTTATAATAAAATATATAAATGCAGGAAGAAACATGGGACTCATGGAGGAAATTCCAGAACAGAGTGCGCTGGCCCAACTACAGAGTGTGCTTTTTAGCCTGCTCTCTCCACTCCTTTAGTTTATTGGTTGAATTCAATTCAAAAACTGTGAGTGTGCATCACTGACCTTTACCCAGCTTGGGGTATAGCTACAATCATCCTCTAATTAGTACTATAATTACAAGAAAATTGAAGGGTAAAGTAGGTTAGAGTCTTTTCCTCTCCATTTATAGTAATGTAAATATTGAAAATTACAGTTTATCAACTCAATTTTGCATATGTTGTCTTCAGTACTCACCACAAGCTTTCAAATTTATTACTCACATTCAACAAGTCAACAAAACAAATAATGAAAGAGGTTAGATGATTTGTTCAATTTCTCCCGATTGGTACTTTTCAAGGCTGGATCTGCATGTTGGTCCAGTGTGCTCCTGCCACCTGTTGCCGAGTGTGCTTAGATTTCCCATCCAGACCAAAAAGGCCCTCTTCCTAACAGTGATGTATCTGCTTGATATACATCTTTGCTGTTTAACAATGAAGTCTTTTAGTTAAAGACATATTTTTGTGTAAATTCCAGCTGCTATAATCAAGTACCATAGAGTGTGTGGCTTATAAAAACCAGAAATAGATTTTTCACATTTCTGGATCCTCAAAATCAAAGATCAAGGGATGATCAGGTTTTGGTGAAGGCTCTCTTCCAAGCTGCAAACTGCTGACTCCTCACTGTATCTTCACATGGCAAAGAATAAAGAGGGGAAATAAGCTTTTTCATGACTCTTATAAAGGCACAAATCTTACTTGTGAAGGCTCTACCTTCATGACCTTATGTAATCCTAATCACCTCCCAAAGTCCTCATCTCTAAACACCATTGCATTGGGGATTAGACTTCAACATATGAGTTTTGGGAGGACATAAATATTTAGTTCATAACAAAAATCTGTAATTTTACATGTGTATACACACACAGACATACATATATATGTATGTATGTGTATAGATAGAGATATAAAATAGATTTTTAAGGTATGAGAAAAAGTCAAAAGAGAAGGAAATATTTATGAAAAAAGGGTGACATTATCGTACCCTTGAAAATTGTAATTAAAACTCAGTGAATTTTTTTCATCAAGTAGTATTCATCACGCAACACAATCATATCTCCAATGTCTATTAAGGAGACTTTTTATGAGCTATGCTTTACAGCGTTTGGGAAGAAAATAACCAAGAGTTAGTAGTAAAAATACAAAAATTACATAAAAAACATAGTTTTTATGAAAGAACTGATTAAATTAGAAGAGACAAAATCATAAAGGCAACTGAAATAAAACAGTAATTGTTTTTCAAACCCCTAAAGAAATTGCATAAAATTTTTCCTGCTTAAAGAGAATATAATTCATCTTTTGCGAATCACACTTTTAGAAGAAAATTTATAGTTAGAATGGTAGTTCAGTATAATTTGTTTAGACTGTTGCTTAAAAAATATTGTGTTTTTTCATTTCCAAAAAAAATTATTTCTCTTGTTTTATACTCAGAATCTACACTTTTTCTGACAAAAATAATGGCAGTATTTTGCTTTATGTGTTCACAAAACAAAAATCTCAATTGTAATAGTATATCGTAAAAATTAACATGATTTTTATTTCCAATATGATTGATTTTATATTTTCTTTATTGCTCTCACTTTAAAATTTGTAAATAATTTCAAGTGTATAAAAAAACAGTACAAATAACATTTTTGCCTTGAACTATTTAAGAATAAATTGCTGTCAAATCTCAATATTTCTTTGTTTGACATTTATTCATGATTAGATTTATAGTGTATGTTTGATTTTTGCTTTTAATATTGTAAGGTGACTTTGAAGAAGCTTTTAAAGAAATAAGTACATAATTTCCCTCAGTCTTATGATTGTATTATGCTTGTGAAAGATAAAATAACGTCTCTGTAATATGCAAAAGTCCTGTTACATAAGGTCTCATAACATATTAATATTACTCTATAAAAATCACTTCTGGATTGAAGCAATGAATTAGACAACAATTTAACTTAATCTAGGTGTTCTATTCCTCACACATTGTTTCATTAAATCAAATTTAATAAATATTATCCATGTAAAGCACACATTTTGAAGAGTTGTGACAGATGTATATACTCATAAAGTCACCGACATAATTAAGATAAGAGAATGTGGTCATAATCCCCTAAAGATTCCTTTTGCCTCTTGCTAGTTGATTCCTTCCACTGACTTTGGACCTATGTAACCACTAATGATTTGCTTACATTTTATTAACTTTTACTAAATTTAAGATCTGCTATTTATGTTACTTTGTATCTGACTAGGTTCACTTAGCAAAATAACCTAGATTTATTCATGTTGTGGTTGACCAGTATTTTGTTTCTTTGTATTGCTGAGTAGAATTACATTGTACGCATATAACAAGTTGGATTTATCCATATACATGTGGATGGGCATATGGGTTGGTTTCAGTTTGGAATTAGTGAAAAGTAAAAATCCTATAAATATGTGAAAATAAGTTTTTGTGTGTAAATATGCTGTCTTTTTGTGGGGGGTACATGTCTAGGAATGGAAGGAAAACATTATATGTTAAGTGTATAACTTTAAAAAAATAAATAGTTGCCCAAAGTGTCATGTTTTATGTACCAACCAGTAAGTTTTCATATTCCAAATATTTGTCAACACAGATTTGTCAACACAGCTGCACCATATTTCTGCTTGGAGACATCTTCCAGAATATTGGCTTGGGAAGAAAACCTAAATTGAGTCTAGCAGATTTCCAGTAGGAGAAAAAAATATCAGAATTTAGGGAGGCTGAGACTACAGGAAATAACAAGGCAGAGCTGTGGAAAGAAACAAGCAAGAAAAGAGCTCAAAAATGCATACTGGGTTCCTTCTGGGTCAAAACTAAAAACAGCACACTGGTAAATTTAAAGCCAACCATACTTTAATCATATTAAATATATGTGCTATAAACATTACAGTTGATAAAATAGAAAACAAAAACAAAGCACCTTCCAACTATATGCTATCTACAAAACAGAATGGTTTGACCCACCATCTTATGTACTAGAAGCCGTATTTATGTATCACTTCAAATCCTTGAAAAATAGTACCAATGTTTCTCCTTATTATGATACTATTTTCTGACTCTTCTAGTCAACTGATATCCAACAGGTTCATCAAAGTATATTCATTATTGTTGTATCTCTCTTTAAATCTATTATTAATGGATACACAATTATGGATATTATCTTTTTCCCAAAAATATATTTTCTGTACATAAATCCCTCAAAATAATTATGTTGTGTAATTATAAACATAAAAGGAATAATGTAAAGTACAAAAAAGTAGGAGGGAAACCAGCTTTACTAAACTGACTGATTTTTCTCTCATCACCTTGCTCTTTTCCTTTATTTTAGCACATAGATTAGTTTAACTAAAGAGCAAGGGAGATGATGGCCAGCCAATGTGTTCAGACTTTGTCAGAAATTGAAATACTCTCTGATGTAACAGCAGTTAAATTTTGGAATTTCTTTGTAAACTCAAAATGCCTACATACGAGTCTCTCCATTCCATATCAAAGAGACAATTGTA
The DNA here is from genome assembly GCF_000001405.40 of Homo sapiens. Classification (NCBI taxonomy): domain Eukaryota; kingdom Metazoa; phylum Chordata; class Mammalia; order Primates; family Hominidae; genus Homo; species Homo sapiens. The sequence continues at coordinate 22,045,869 of NC_000021.9, read as the reverse complement.
TCTACACCTTGGAAAGGACAGAAATTCAGATGTAATGTTCAAATATGACATCATCTTTTTATCCATTGTGGATTATCAGGCAAAAAGGAGAACATAAACCAATACATTTTCAAATTATATGTGTACAAAATTAACTTTGAGAAATATTATATTATCTAGTAAACACAAAGAAAGATTTTTAATATAAATTATCTCTCTCTTAATTCCAATCAACTTTGTAAAGAATCATGTGCTTTAACATAATAGCTATAAATTGTTTTACAGTTAATTGTCTTTCTGTCCTTTTGTTTCAGCATATTCGTTTCTTCATTTATTCACTTATAAATATCTTCTAATTTCAGTCAGGTGTTCAAATTTTCAACAAAAACTGAATATTTATAATATTACCTGTGAATAAGCTCCAGTGCTGAAGTAGCTAGATTTAAAGGGCTCGTAAGTTAATAGAAAAATAAGTTGCCAAACATAGGACTAAACAGTAGTTTCTAATATGTTAAATTTTTTTTTTCTTTTTTTTTTTAATTATACTTTAAGTTTTAGGGTACATGTGCACATTGTGCAGGTTAGTTACATATGTATACATGTGCCATGCTGTTGCGCTGCACCCACTAACTCTAATATGTTAAATTATTTTTCATGCTTGGTTGCTTACTGGAAGAGCTTGGCCTTACCAGTCTCTGCAGGCAAAAAACCAGGGTAAAAGATCTCTTTTTCATCTGAGTGTTTTAAGAAATTAAATTATCATGTAAGGCACTCCCTAGGAGAATGTCCTGTTCTCTTTTGTCAGCATTCCCCTTTTCATGACCTTTGAAAACATTTTGCTTTTCAACCATATCTCTCCTCCCACTATTCTTTAGAAAATAAATTGAAAGTTCACCTGATGGTGATCAACTAATAAGAAAGACTTTTCAATGTCAGATTGAAATTGGAGAAACACATTAACATTTGTCATGATTTTAGATATATTTTTCCCCTGAATCTAAAGCATTTTTTCTCAAGACTTCTGCTTTTTTCTGCTGAAAAATTAAATTGAAAAAAACCTCCTTTTTCACAGGGTATGTGAGCAGATGAAATGAGGTACTCTGTACATTACTTTCTAATGTATCACACACTTCTTGATGTATAGTTTTAGAGAAAAATTTATAAACAGAATTGCTTTTTCTTCCTTTGCTTATACTATAGTGATTTATGTGCATGCTCTTTCCCTTTAAACATAAAATTTTTAAGTTAGGTACCATGTCTGTTTTGTTTGCATAATTACTCATAGCTAATACAATGGTGAATTTCACCCACAAAGCACTCAATAAATGTTAAATAGCGAAAGTAATACGTTATATTTTTTGTAAGTTTTGATCATACCAAGTGGCTATAAATTTACTATTTATGTTGTTTATTACATAAAACATTGGAGGCAGTCATCTTTATTCCCATTTTACTGATAGATATCTAAGATTTTCAAAAGTTAAGTGATGTGCTACATAAGGTCATATGGTTGATTGTAAGTATGTTTTACAGTTTAGAAAACAGTGTCAAATATCATTATACTTGACGGTCAATACCTCAGACAGATGGTTAATATAATTGTAAACAGTGATAAGTTATGTTGATGACATGTACCCTTGATATATTATGAAAATGACACTTTGCCTCTGTTATTTTTCTGCTGAAAACACATAACCCCAAGAACAGTCATGATAAAAACATCAGAAAATTTCCAGTTGAGAAACATTATTTAAAATAACTGACCAGTAGTGTTCAAAACTGTCAAGGTCATAAAAAACAAGTCTGAGAAACTGTCATGGCCAAAAGGAGTTTAAGGAACATGATGATTAAATGTAATGTGGCATTCTGAATGATATTCTTAAACAGAAAAATGGCACTTCATAAAAACTAAGGAATCTTAATAAAGAAGAGACTTCAGTTAATAATGCATCAACCTTATTTATTGTAATTTATTAACCTTATTTATTATAGTTCATTCATTGTGACAATGTACCATAGTAGTAAAAGATGCTCTAAAAATTTGAAAAAGAATCTTTCCTCATTGCTGTCAAGTATCATGATGAATCTAAAAATTGTAGTTACACCTAGTTTAGTAAAAATCTTAAAGGTGGATTGACACATTTTAAGCAGGCAAAGAAGATACTTGCTCTTTCTTACATTTTCATTAGCCACTATAGCTAAGCTTTAAATTATTTAACTGACTCATGTGCCTGCTGACAATAGCTTCTTTTCAATAGTACATCAGTTAAATCAAGATAGATATTGCCCTGAAGGTTTTTTTTAAATAATAACAGCCCTTTATATTGGTGTGATGCTTATAATGTCCGAAGTGCTTTTACATTCGTTTCTTGATTAAATTATTAAGAAAGACTATTTCAAAAAGTCAGCAGTCTTCAAAACTATTCCCATTTATGTGGTGACCTTTCACATTATCTCCATTTACACCAATGTTCTTCCCAAAGTGGATGCTCTGTTGTGCTTCTCATATTCTTCCTTCAGGGTAAAGGCACCTTTTTCCCAGGTACTAGGAGTCTTCAGTGCTACTAGTTCACAAGAAAATGCAGTCTGCACAGGGAAGTTTGCTCTTTCATTTTATGCCCCCTCTTGGGGGCACTCTGCATCCCATTTATTAATCTATCTGGAATTCAAAATTCCATGCCATTTTCTCTTTCTGGGAAATTCTGAAGTTTCATGCCAATTTCAATTATTTCTGTAGTTATCTTTGTAACCGCATCTTAGTTCAACATTTCTGTTATTCCAGTTCTGCTTCCTTCACTTGCAGAGAGTTGTTGTTATGATGAGTCTCCAATGAACCTGCTGCATCCCTGCTGCATATCTATTATCTGGGGTAATCTTCCTAAAAAGCAGAGTGTCAAGCAGCATGCCTGGTTATTCCAACTTATGCAGAAATAGAAGTGTCCTAAGGTAAGAATGAATGAACTTATGGGTAATGAGAAATAACATAGATGATTATCAAGAACATGAAAAGAGGTCTGTGGAAGAAACGTGGGTGTGTCTACGTGAGTTGGAACAAATTGTGTAGATCTTTGTATTGCATTTTAAGTTTACAGCAAGGATTCATCATAGAAGAGTCAGTCCCAAAAAGCCACACAGAAGCAGTGACTTGGCAAGTTCTCATTATCCAGGTTCTGTCATTGGCTACCCCATAGCAGGCACAAAGTACATATATGAAGTGGACATAGTGTTAGAGATAGAGAATATCCATGGATTAACAGCGTAACCTCCCACCCACAAAAGCTAATCTAGTTAATGCTGCTGCAGAATACCAAATATCTAAGAAACAGAGATCTTTGACATGGCATAATTTTTCAAGGAGAATTTCCAGCTACTTCATAAAAATCTGGTGCATGCAACACTCTCAACCTGGAAGGAAAGTTGGTTTGTCACTATTATAACATGTATCTTTCTTTCCTCTGTGCAAGGCATTGTAAGCACTAATATCAAAGGATTTACTGAATGTTTGAAATGTGATCTGGTAATCCATCAATACCATTTTTTAAAACAGAAGAGTCACTTTACAGCAAAGGAGATATGGTGGTACAGATATGACGATGGGACCCATAAATACTGTTATGTACTGCACTGCCAAAGATGAACAGGCAATAAAAAAAGCCAGCATGTTGTCAAGAGTAATTAACCCTGATAATCAAGGGGAGGTAGGGCTGCCATTATCCTATTGACCCACAGCTCTTTATTTTAAAAATGGCCCTGTACTCATTATTCTTCTTTGTTATAAATTAGTTCCTTTTATACCTGTCTGTTTCTAGAGATTCTATTCTGTTCAATTTTTTAACTTACCATTGTGCTAATATCACATTTCTGTGCTTATTGTAGTATGTAATAAGCCATGTGTTCTAGTAGAATAGATTCTCCATCTTGTTCTTTTAAAAATGTTTCCTGACTTTTCCTGACCATTTTTTATTTCTTGTAAATTTTAGGATTTGTTGGTAAATGTTCACAATAAATACTGCTTGCATTTGGTGGGACTGTATTGAATCCATGATTGTGTTAGAAACAATTGCTGTCTTTGCAATGTCTTCAACTCATAAACTCGATATGACTTTATTTATTTATGAAATTTGTATAATTTATAATTTTCTCTGTAGATATCCATCTCATTAGGTTCAATTCTAATCCCTTCATACATTTATAAATGCTGTCTTTCTTCTAAAATTTCACTTTCCAAATATTATTGTTTCCATATAGAAATAAACTTGGTTTTTACATCAAGTTTAACTTGTATCTATAGCCAATATCAAAGTTGACGTTTAATTATAAGAATTCTATAAGTTACACCTGCCTTTGGATTTTTAGACAATAATTTCTTTGAAAAATTACAGTCATATGTTTTATTCCAATTCTCATGAAATTTATTTTCTATTTCTGTTTTCTTTCTCTGCTTAACACTCTTAGCTTGGGGCAAGATGGCCGACTAGACACAGCAAGTGGAATTACCGCCAGCAAGGGACTGAGACAACTGGCGCACTCCTAACAAATCATCCGATGGAAGGCACCAGGAGTGGCCGAGGGAAGACACAGAAGGAAGCTGGGCTGAAACAGGAGGAACATTGCACTGGGCTACCATGCGCTGGGACTTGTTCCTGGCCCCCAAGGACTCTCAGGGAATGGGTGAGTTGAACTTGCAAGGAGCAACCTGTTCTAACCACGGACCTCTGGAATTCCAGCTGCAGGAGGCCCCTCAACTGCCATGGACACTCAGGTTGGCAGCCAGAGCTGCTTAGAGAAGTGGTAGGGGCAGCAAGCCAGCGGATGTAGAACCCAGGGAGTTTGGTGCGAGAACATTTGTAGCGGAGCACGGTCAGGGACTTCCATCCCTCTAGGCTTGACATGCTTTCATAGGAGACTTTAGTTCTAGGGCAACAGTCGGACTTGAACTCTGCAGGGTGGTCTTGACCATCAGACAAGGTTGGCCCAACATGAGCACCCTTTAGTTTGCTGGCCTCTCCCAGAGCCCGAGCCTGGCAGCACCTGCTTGCAGGGAAGCCTCAGGTACCCTGAGGGCCTGCATCATAGCTTCTGTACTGGAAGGCCTTCCATGACAGGGGGTAAGCGCTCCAGAAGTGCAGCTGCCATGGCCACACACCAGCCTGCCCACTCCCACCCCACACTACAGCTTCCTGTGTGTCTACAGCAAACACCCACATCACTTTGCTGACACATATGTGCACAGATGGGTTTTGCTTTCTTTACCTTGCCAGCATATATGTGTAAGTGCACCCTGCCGTGCTACTGCTGCAAGAAGAGTGCAGTCCACACCCCCTACCACCACCATGGCAGTTAGAACCTTGGTGGTCCCAGAGCCAACCAGTCCTACACCGACCATCACTGGCCATTTTGCCAACACTGCCATGGGAATGAAACTAGTCACAGGGAACAGCAGACCTCCCCACCCTGAGTGACCACCCCTGCCTGTGGCACATAGAAAACACAAAGAGAATGCACACAGACCTGTGCCCATCAGCGCCCTCCCCTATTGCCAACACTTGTGCAAATACAATCGCCAGCAGGGGCCCCTGCCCCCATAAGTTGCCTTTCCTCTGCCACTGTAGTCTACACTTGAGTGGAGACAGGCATGCAGGCACCTGCTAACACCCTGCTGTAGCTGACCAGCATGCACCCCACTGTGCTTCTGCTGCTGGCACATGCAAATGAGGATGTATTCCATTGTCACCAAACTAGAAAAGGCTTTGACTGGTACCACCCATCAGAATGTAGGGACCAGTGGTTGGAGAGCACCATGGCTCCCTCAGTGCAAAGGGATTCGTAACCTCAAGGAGACAAACAACAAGATTTGCTGGATACAAGTTCCCCAGAATTAGAGCAGGCAATCCAAGAGTTTGGTAGCTGGGTGTTGGCTATCTAGAATCTTCCAGAAATGAAGCAAGTTGGCTGAATTCACCTTATACCACAATTATGTCCTCAAAATTATCAAATAGGATAAAAGAAAAAAATGCATCCAAAGGTCAGCAACTTCAAAGATTGAAGGAACATAAGGAACGTTAAGTCCAAAAAGATGAGAAAGAACCAGTGCAAGAACCCTGAAAACTGAAAGAGCCATAGTGCCTTCTTTCCTTCCAATGACCACACCACCTCCACCACCTCCTCTCCACGGGTTCTGAACCAAGCTGAGATGGCTGTAATGACAGAAATTGAATTCAGAGTATGGATAGGAGCAATGCATTGAAAACCAATCCAAGGAAGCTAAGAATCACAAAAAAATAATGCAGAAGCTGACAGACAAAGTAGCTAGTATAGAAAATAATGTAAAGGAATTCATTACCAGCAGACATGCCTTACAAGAGCTCCTGAAGGAAGCACTAAACATGGAAAGGAAAGAATAAAATAGCCAGTATAGAAAAGAACGTAAGGGAATCCATTACCATCAGACCTGCCTTACAAGAGCTCCTGAAGGAAGCACTAAATATGGAAGGGAAAGAACATCACCAGCCACTATAAAAACACACTTAAGTACACAGACCAGTGACATTATAAAGTAACCACATAAACAAGTCTGCATAATAATCAATTAACATCATGATGACAGAATAAATGCACATATATAAATATTCACCTTGAATGTAAATAAGCTAAATGCCTCAAGTAAAAGGCACAAAGCAGTAAGCTGGATAAAGAACCAAGACCTATTGATACACTGTCTTTAAGAGATCATCTCACATGCAATGACACCTTTAAAATCAAAATAAAGGGATGGAGAAAAACCTACCAAGCAAATGGAAAACAGAAAAAAAGCAGGAGTTGCAATCCTAGTTTTACACAGAACGACAAGCCCAGGACCAGATGGATTCACAGCTGAATTCTACCAGATGTACAAAGAAGGGCTGGTACCATCCTTGCTGAAACTACTCCAAAAAAATTGAGGAAGTGGGATTCCTCCCTAAATCAATCTATGAGGCCAGCATCATCCTCATACCAAAACCTGGAAGAAACACAACAAAAAAAGAAAACTTCAGGCCAATATCCTTGATGAACATTGATGCAAAAGCCCTCGAAAAAAAAAAAAAAAAAACTTGCAAACCAAACTCAGCAGCACATCAAAAAGCTTATCCACCATAATAAAGTTGGCTTTATCCCAAGGATGATAGGTTGGCTGAACATAAATAAATCAATAAAAATGATTCATCACATAAACAGAAATAAAGACAAAAACTACATGATTATAGATGCAAAAAAAGCTTTTGATAAAAGTTAATACTTCTTCATGTTAAAAACTCTCAGTAAACTTGGTATTGAAGGAATATACCTCAGAACAGTAAGAGTTATCTATGACAAAACCACAGCCAACATCATACCTGAATGGGCAAAATTTGGAAGTGTTCCCCTCGAAAACCAGAATAAGACAAGGATGCCCTCTCTCACTACTCCTATTCAACATATAATTAGAAGTCCTGGCCAGAGCAATCAGGCAAGAGAAAGAAATAAAGGGCATCCAAATAGGAAGAGAGGAAGTTAAAATATCCCTGTTTGCAGACATGATCCTATATCTAGAAAATCCTATAGTAAGGACCCAAAAGTTCCTTAAGCTGATAAACAATGTCATCAAAGCCTCAGGATGCAAAAATCAGTGTACAAAAATCACTAGCATTCCTATACTCCAACAAGGGTCAAGCCAAGAGCCAAATCTGGAACGCAACCCCATTCACAATTGCCACAAAAACAATAAAATACCTGGGAATACAGTTAATAAGGGAGGTGAAATATCTATGCAAGGAGAACTAACAAACAATGCTCAAAGAAATCAGAGGTGACACAAACAAATAAACATCCTATGCTCAGCTCATGGATTAGAAGGATCAATATTGTTAAAATGGCCATACTGCCCAAAGAAATTTTTTAATTAAATGCTATTCCTATTAAATTACCAATGACATGCTTCACAGAACTAGAAAAAACTATTTTAAAATTTATGTGGATCCAAAAAAGAACCTGAATAGTCAAGGCAATCCAAAGCAAAAAGAACATCCAGCTTAGGATACCTCCTAAGCTGGAGCCAACGCTCTACCTGACTTCAAAGTATAATACAGGGCTACAGTAGCCAAAACAGCATGGTCATGGTACAAAAACAGACACCTAGACCAATAAAGCAGAATAGAGAGCCCAGAAATAAAGCCACACAACTACAACCATCTGATCTTTGACAAAGCTGACAAAAACAAGCAATGGGGAAAGGATTTTCTATTTCATAAATGGCCCTGGGATAGCTAGCTAACCACATGCAGAAGATTGAAATTAGACCTTTCCTTATTACCATATACAAAAATTAATTCAGTATTTAAAAAATACCTAAATGTAAAACCCAAAACTATAAAAACCCTGGAAAACAACCTGGGCGGTACAATTCTGGACATAGAAACAAGCAAAGATTTCATGAAGAAGATGCCAAAAATTATTGCAATTAAAACAAAAATTGACAAGTGGGATTTAATTATACTTAAGAGCTTTTGCACAGCAAAAGAATCTATCAGCAGAGTAAACACACCACCCACAGAATGGGAGAAAATTTTTTCAAACAGTGTATCTGACAAAGGACTAATATCCAGTATCTATAAGTAACTTAAAAAAATTTACAAGAAAAAAACAAACAAACAGGCAGTGTGCAGTGGCTCACAACTATAATCCCAGCACTTTTGGAGGCCAAAGCAGATTGATCACTTGGGCCTAGGAGTTTGAGGCCAGTCTGGGCAACATGGTGAAACCACATCTCTACAAAATAAATAAATAAAAATAAAAATAAAAATTACAACAACAAAAACGCTAGGTGTGGTGGTGTGTGCCTGTAGTCCTAGCTACTTGGGAGGCTGAGATGGGAGGATCCCTTGAACAAAGGAGACAGAGGCTGCAGTGAGCTGAAATTGCACCACTGCCCTCCAGCCTAGATGACAGAGTGAGATCCTGTTTCAAAACAAACAAATAATTCCATTAAAAAGTGGGTAAAAGATATGAATGGACACTTTTCAAAAGAACACATACATTCAGCCAACAATCATATGAAAAGAAGCTCAACATCACTGATGATTAGACAAATGCAAATCAAAACCAAAGAGAAAAACATCTCACACAAGTCAGAATGATTATTATTAAAACTCAAAAACTAACAGATGCTGCCAAGGTTGTGGAGAAAAAGAAACACTTATACACTGTTGTTGGGAGGGTAAATTAGTTCAACCATTGTGGAAGACAGTGTGGCCATTCCTCAAAGACCTAAAAATCGAAGTACCATCCAACCCAGCAATCTCATCACTGGGTATAAACCCAAAAGAATATAAATCATTTTATCATAAACACACATGCACACATATGTTTGTTGCAACACTATTCACAATAGCAAAGACATGGAATCAACCTAAATGCCCATCAAAGGTAGAGGGGATAAAGAAAATGTGGTACATATAGACCATGGAATACTATGCAGCCATAAAAATGAATGAGATAATGTCTTTTGCAGGAATATGGAAGGAACCGAAGGTTCTTACCCTTAGCAAACTCACATGAACAGAAAACCAAATACCACATGTTTTGACCTATAAGTAGGAGCTAAATGATGATTACACATGGACACGTAGAAGAAGGGAACAGCAGACACTGGGATCTATTGGAGGGTGAAGGGTAGGAAGAGGGAGAAGATCAGGAAAAATAACTAATTGGTACTAGACTTAATACCTGGGTGATGAAATAATCTGTACAACAAATCCCCATGACACAAGTCTACCTATATAACAAATACACACAGGTACCTCTAAACTTAAAATAAAAGTTAAAGAAACAAAGGCACTCTTAGAATGCTGAATTGAAATGGAGTCAGTGGGCAGGCCCAGGCTTCCATCCCAGAAAAATGATGGAGATTTTTTTCCACTCTTGAAAAAGCACAATGAGATACCATCTCACATAAATCAGAATGGCTATGTTTAAAAAGTTTAGAAAACAACAGATGCTGATGAGACTGCAGAGAAAAGAGATCACTTACACATTGTTGTTGGGAATGCAAATTAGTTCAGCCACTGTGGAAACAGTTTGGAGATTTCTTGAAGAACTTGAAACAGAACTACATCTGACCCAAAAATCTAAAAGAAAATAAATCATTCCACCAGAATGACACATGCACTTGTATGGTTATCATGGCACCATGCACAATGGCAAAGACATAGAATCAATCTAGGTGCCCGTCCATGGCAGATTGGATGAAGAAAATGTGGTACATATACACCATGGAATACTATGCAGCCATAAAAAACAATGAGATCATGTCCTTTGCAACAACATGGATGCAGCTAGTGGCCATTATCTTAAGCGAATTAAGACAGGAACAGAAAACCAGATATCACATGTTCTCATTTATAAATGGGAGCTAAACATTGAGTACTCATGGACATAAAGATGGGAATAATAGATCCTGGGGACTATTGGAGGGGCGAGGGAAGCAGGTAAACAAGAATTGAAAAACTAATTGTCAAAACAAAGGTTGAAAAAGTATGCTCACTACCTGGGTGATGGGATCATTCAAATCCCATACCTCAGCATCATGCAAAATACCTATGTAACAAACCTGCACATATACCCCTTGAATCTAAAAAAAAAGTTGAAATTATTTTAAAAATTTTAAAATAAAAATACTTAAAAGAATCAATGCGTGCATGGGTGGTGGTACCCATCACTACATGGACATAAGCCATAAATGTTTGGCAGCTTACTACAGTTTCACTCAATGTGGCCTTGGCAAACAGGGGTGATGGGAAATCCTCCCTCTGGCCAGGACTTCAGGTAGTGTATCTGTTATTACAGTTTGTGGAATATATAGAGACTCCTTAGCAGTAGCAATTTTTCTAGCCAAATGGTTACAAATACCAAGAAGAAGAAGGAGAAGAAGAGGAAGAAGAGGAGGAAGAGGAAGAAGAAGAAGAAGAAGAAGAAGAAGAAGAAGAAGAAGAAGAAGAAGAAGAAGAAGAAGAAGAAGAAGAAGAAGAAAAAGAAGAAGAGGAAGAAGAGGAAGAAGCAGAAGAAAAGAAGAAGAAGAAGGAGGAGGAGGAGGAGAGGAAGAAGAAGGAGGAGGAGGAGGGGGAAGGGGAAGAAACAGGGAACAAGGAATTACAGAGTAGAGACAGTGAGTAATATTTATCACATTTTAACGCCCACCAGAGAGCACTTCAACACAGCACATGCAATAAAGAGCCAAATATAAAAAATAGCCAGGTGATATGGTTTGGCTTTGTGCCCCCACCCAAATATCATCTTGAATTGTAGCTCCCATAATTTCCACGTGTTGTGGGAGGGACCTGGTGGTAAATAATTGAATCATGGGGGTGGATCTTTCCTGTGCTATTCTCATGATAGTGAATAAGTCTCATGAGATCTGGTGGTTTTATAAAGGGGAATTTCCCTGCACAAGCTCTTTTCTCTTGCCTGCTGCTATGTGAGATGTGACTTTGACCTTCCGCCATGATTGTGAGGCTTCCCCAGCCACATGGAACTGTGAGTCCATTAAACATTTTTATTTTGTAAATTGCCCAGTCTAAGATATGTCTTTATCAGCAGCATGAGAGCAGACTAATACAGCAAGCAAATTTTATTAGCCGGGCTTAGTCACTGGACACATCAATATTGGCATGTTGGGCACATGAACAAAGTGGTTTTAGTGGCAGAGATGGAGGCTAAGTATGAAGATATCGATATGACTATTCTAGCTATTAGCACCACCAAATGTCTATCCCAGCAGCAAGAAAGCTGAAAGCTAAACCCCAACGGGAATTTAATTCTCAAGGAGATCAGATGGCCTCTTGAAGACAAGTTGCCTAAAATCAGCCTTTCTACTCTGCAATGGTGGGTGGCTTATTCTCATGTAAATATACATGAATTCTGGATCTGAGTTTCTTTTTCTTACATGCACGGCCTTGGCCTCATGTTCTATGCCTTACAGCAAAGAGTGAGGAAAGGGGCTCAAGTTTATGATACCCACTGATCTTATACCATCCAGAAACTTCTACTCTCATAGAGCATTGCCTGCTCAGAGTCTATATGAAATTCAAGTGTGAATATAATAACAGATGAAACTTGGGTGCCATCCTTCTAGATGTAGAATACACAATGAATCAAAGACATTGTGTTCCTAGCATGAAGCACCCATAGGCCTGGAACCAAGTCACAGAAGCATGAGCATTCCCACTTACTGTCATTCACAATGATCCATTGAGTTTGTGCTTCTTGTTCCTACATGTAGGGTTCTGCAGGATTAGAGGTCTCAGTCTGTAATGGCAGCACAATTTCTCTAGGAGACATAGCAAAAGTTCTATTTAATTCTAATTTAATTATAAAATTACATTTCTGTTTAATTTAATTTAATGATGGCTGTTTCCTGTGAAATTTTGATTCTTTGGGTAAAGGGAAGAGTAGGCAAAAGAAAGAAGTACTAAATTGGCAGGAATTAATTATCAGGAGGAGGTAAGGTTGCTCTAGTACAGAGAGAGAGAAAAGAATAATATGCCTGGGAACCAGATGATCTATTTAGTGCCTTCCTTTGTGAAAATATGAATGTAAATGGACAAGTAAAACAGCCTTTGGGTACATGGTGACCAGGAGGCTCAAGCACATCATGAATCAGGGTAAAGGTCACCATACCAGATAAGCAAAGTTTCACTAACTTCCTTATTCTAAGTGTCTCTCAGGAAGGGTGGTCCATCACTTCATAGCAGAGCCACCTGTTCAATGTTCACGTGGAATTAGAGATGATCTGTCTAAGGGTTACACTGTGGTAGACATGGTGACAGGCTGCTTACATACTCTTGCGAGGGAAAATGTGTCCTATGGCTCTGGGGAGTTGACCTGGTCATCAGACACTTCGGGATCTTCCAGATTTGCAGACAGCTCACTGGTTCAAGCTCTCAACCTTCTCAGGGGATGATCTAGGTGGAGAAGAAAAAGTCCAGCCAGTTTGGCCTTATGGAGGACAATTCTCATATGAAAATCTCAAGCCATGCTCTTTGCAAATTGTCTGCACATTTGTCATAGCTCACATTCTCCCTCTGCCAATCCTGTTTCTTCCCATTCTTTTCACAGGTGTGGATCCTGATAAATACCTTAAGACTCACATTCTGTATTATTTTCTGCTTCCGGAGTACCCATCATAAGGCATCCACTGTAAAAAATAAAAAGGAATCTGATTTTCAATAAGCAACTTGTTGCAACAAGGCAATATTCTTTACTCAAGTTCTAGAGTTCTCATACAAAGATGATTCCAAGCAAGCATTAGATATTTTTGTTTATTATTTTATTTTAATTTTATTTTATTTCTTTTCTCTCAACTTTAATGTTAGGTTTAAGGTGTACATCTTCAGGTTCAACACATGGACAAATTTTGTGTTACTGAGGTTTGGCGTATGAATGATCCCATCACCCAGCTAGAATTCAAGCCTTAGATATTTTGAGTTTTTAAAGGTAAGCCAACAACACATTCTAGAAATAAACAAGCTATACATGCAAATTTCCTTTTTAACGAAACACAACATTCACTTCTAACACAGCTCAGAAAAATATATCGCTTGAGGAGAAAATGTTAACACGCTTGCTACATTCCAAACTGTGAATCTGTATGTGATGTGTTTAGCACCAAAAATCAGCATTGGCACTTATCTGAAAAAGAGTAAATATATTAGTTATTGAAAATTCTACTCCTCCATTATCATTTATTTACGTGGAATGTAAAATTCCTGGGTTATAAAAATACAATTTAAATGTTAAATTTAACCAATTTGATATCTTAGGTGATTCCAGTAAAATGTATTATATTTTTCAGTAGGTATAGAGGAAAAAATGTTACTGTAATAAAGTAGCTTTAAATAGTTATAAAGTGATAATTCATCCCGAATTTTTTGCTATTTTGTTTTTGTTTAATTTTCTTGCTAATATTATTAAATTGTGGGACAAAAGTTTGATCTTTGACTATGTATGTTGTACCTACTTCTAAATATTTATGTTCCCAAGTGTGTTTATTCTTCACTAATTGGGAAAGTTATAAAAATGGCACTAGATCACCCTTTTTCATACCAGTGAATACCGAATATGTGAAAGATTAGATCTTAACAGTTTTCATTATTACATTTTCTTTTTTATAATATAGCTAGTTATACATTTGGTATTGTTAGTTTTAATATTTTCGTAATGCATTTCATCAATGTGAGAGGGCAGGAGGCAACCAAATGCCTAGGCAGATAGGGGTGGGTCCCTGGTGAAACGTCACCTCTAAGCCGAAGACAATTTAAAGCCTGAAAGTCAAGCTACAAGTTAAATCCTCAGACTGGCTTGGCAACTTGTCTCCCTGTTTAGTGGGCTTTCCTCTGATTTCCCCACCCTTCACCTATTTTACATATACCTACCCTTCCCTAATTGGTTTCTACACTGTCATGCCCACCTTTGAATGATGTCTTCACTTTAACCTTTTATCGTTATTGAAAAATTACATTTAAAAATTATCTGTAAATATTTGGGAGAAATGTCATAGGCAATCACTTAATTTGCTTATGATGGTTGTCCTTCTGTGCAAAAAATACTGACTATCCAATGTGAGACACAGAAAGGGTTGTGGAGCCATGTTTTTCATTTCTTCCAGCAATAAATGTTTAATTTGCTTGGGAAAAGCAAACACTAAGTTGACAATGACTCAATTTTTATGGTACATGGAAAGATCTATCATTTTCAAATATGTATGTCATTCAATATTTTCAGTAAATACTTCCATATTGGTAGAACATGCTGTAAACCAAATTATTCTTACAGTTTAGAAGTCAATTTTTCAGAAATTCCACGAATTAGATTATCATTACCTTTTTTTTTTTTTTTAATTATACTTTAAGTTCTGGGATACATGTGCAGAACGTGCAGGTTTGTTACATAGGTTTACATGTGCCATGGTAGTTTTCTGCACTCATCAACCTGTCATCTGCATTAGGTATTTCTCCTAATGCAATCCCTCCCCTAGAGCCCTAACCCCCAACAGGCCCCGGTGTGTGATGTTCCCTCCTTCCCTGTGCCCTTATGTTCTCAGTGTTCAACTCCCACTTATGAGCAATTATGAGTGACAACATGCGGTGTTTGGTTTTCTGTTCCTGTGTTAGTCTGCCGAGAACGATGGTTTCCAGCTTCATCCATGTCCCTCCAAAGGACATGAACTCATTCTTTCCTATGGCTGCATAGTATTCCATGATGTATGTGTGCCACATTTTCTTAATCCAGTCTAAAATTGATGGGCATTTGTGTTGGTTCCAAGTTCTCGCTATTGTGAATAATGCTGCAATAAACATACATGTGCATGTGTCTTTGTAGTAGAATGAGTCATAATCCTTTGTGCATATACCCAGTAATGGGATTGCTGATCAAATGGTATTTCTAGTTCCAGATCCTTGAGGAATCGCGACACTGTCTTACACAATGGTTGAACTAATTTATACGCCCACCAACAGTGTAAAAGCCTTCCTATTTCTCTACAACCTCTCCAGTAACTGTTTTTTCCTGACTTTTTAATGATCGCCATTCTAACTGGCATGAGATGGTATCTCATTGTGGTTTTGATTTGCATTTCTCTAACAACCAGTGATGATGACCTTTTTTTCATGTTTTTTGGCCGCATAAATGTCTTCTTTTGAAAGTGTCTGTTTATATCCTTTGCCCAGTTTTGATGTTTTTTTTTTATTTTCTTGTAAATTTGTGTAAGTGCCTTGTAGATTCTGGATATTAGCCCTTTGTCAGATGGAGAGATTGCAAAATTTTCTCCCATTCTGTAGGTTGCCTGTTGACTCCGACGATAGTTTCTTTTGCCATGCAGAAGCTCTTTAGTTTAATTAAATCCCATTTGTCTACTTTGGCTTTTGTTGCAATTGCTTTTGGTGTTTTAGTCATTAAGTCATTGCCCATGCGTATGTGGAACAGAACAGAAGACTCAGAAATAACACCACACATCTACAACCATCTGATCTTTGACAAAAACAAGCAATGGGGAAAAAATTTCCTATTTAATAAATGGTGTTGGGAAAACTGGCTAGCCATATGCAGAGAACTGAAACTGGACCCCTTCCTTATACCTTATACAAAAATTAACTCAAGATGGATTAAAGATTTAAACGTAAGACCTAAAACCATAAAAACCCTAGAAGACATTTTATGTCTTAAGTGAAAGTTTTGTGATAAAATGTTTATTCTATCATTTTATGATGATGAACTTTGGTTTATTTTAAACCCCTATAATGATTGGAATTTTATTTTGTTTTACCAGTCTTCATAATAAAGGAATAAACAAAATCATGAAAAATAACCTACTGCATTTAAATGAGAGTGCAGTGAGCCATTTAACATTATTCGTGTTATATCATGAACATGTGAATTGCTTGGCAATAGCAGACTCATCCAAAAAGTTCAGACAATTAAAATGGAGAAATAGTGTTGTCCAAAGCATGTTTAATTCCCTAGATTGCTTTCAGCTATGATTTTTCAAATTTACTCACTTCAACATTTCTGATGTTCAATATTGACCAATGATATTTCCTTGCCTGAAACTATTAGCCAAAAATAAGGAAATAAATAAAACAAGCTTGAATTTGGGTGAAATTTTATATAAAGATGAAATGCTATACATTGTTTATATAGTGTATGAATAGAATAACAATTTGTCAACCCAGTCTAATGCAAAGTTAGCCACATAATTGTCTTAAATATTTGAGGAAGATATTTAAAGTAATGCAAGTGAGATATGTGATTTTGTTAAAATGCCATAATGATAAAAATGTACTATAGACTGTGTGGCTTATCAATAATGGAAACTTATTTCTCATAGTCTTGGAGGATGGAAATTGGAGATGAGCACCATCCTAACCGGGTTTTATGAGGAGCCTTTTCAAGTTTGCTGATTATTATTATTATTATCATTATTATTATTATTTGAGATAAAGTCTCGCTCTGTCGCCCAGGCTGGAGTGCAGTGACATGATCTCGGCTCACTGCAACCTCCGCCTCCTGGATTCAAACGATTCTCCCACCTCAGCCTCCCCAGTAGCTGGGATTACAGGTGCCTGACACCGCGCCTGGCTAATTTTTTGTATTTTTAGTAGAGAGGGGGGTTTCTTCATGTTGGTCAGGCTGGTCTTGAACTCCTGACCTCAGGTGATCCGCCCACCTCAGCCTCCCAAAGTGCTGAGATTACAGGCATGAGCCAACGTGCCCAGCTGACTACTAGTTTTCATTGCATCTTCACTTGCAGAAAGAGCTAGAGCTAGCTCTATGGCTTCTTATTAAGGCACTAATCCCATTCATGAAGGCTTCACCCTTGTGGCCTAACTACCTCCCAAAGGCCCCACCTTCAAACACCATTATTCAGGGACTTGGATTTCAACATATGAACTTTGCAGGGGGATGTTTGTGGGGGGGTTACAAACATTCAGATCAAAGGCTACATCATAGTCACTTTTCTTTGTCTATTTTGTGTCCTACGAAGACATAGATTGGAACTTAATGCCTTTAACATGTTTATAGAGGCTAGTTTTAATAGGCTTCTTTAATTGTTACCTCTGAAGTTTGAGTGATCTCTTGGTATTTGAAAATCTTATCTAAAAGATTTACACAACTGTCAAGAAAAAGAAGTTTTAAAAAGCTTATATCCACTACCAAAAAAAAAAATAATTTCATTAGGTGTTTTGAAACAACATGCTCAAATATGTCAGTCAAGTTGAGGAGCTGTGAGCTCACCTATATATCAATTATTGCAAATCTATTCAAATAATACTAAAGCTTTGCATTGTCTTAGCAGCAAATCATCTAAATATGTAAAACATTTCTTTCTTTTCTTTTTTTTTTTTTTTTGAGATGGAATCTTGCTCTGTTGCCCAGGCTGGAGTGCAGTGGTGCAATCTTGGCTCACTGCAATCTCCGTCTCCTGGGTTCAAGCAATTCTCCTGCCTTTGCCTCCTGAGTGTCTGGGATTATAGGCACAGGCGCAGGCCACCACGTCCAGCTATTTTTTGTATTTTTAATTGACATGGGATTTCCCCATGTTGGTCAGGCTGGTCTCAAACTCCTCACCTCATGATCTGCCCGTCTCGGCCTCCTTTTAAAGTTCTGGGTTTAGAGGCATGAGCCACCCAATATACCCAGCCAAATGCTTCCTTTTTAAATTTCTTCCTCTCCTTCTCCATCTCTCTCTTCTGTTCCCCACCTCCACAATTTGGAAGTAGCGGAGCACCTGCTTATGAATGCTAAGACTATAATATTAAGGGAGACTGCTAAAATATTAAGTTACTTTCATGCATGCAACCTGACATGTGTTATAAGAAAGCTGCATTTAGGTACCAAAACTCGAATGCAATGTATATGCCAGATTTATTCTCTTCCAATGTAGAGATCTTAGAGTTTTTTTTTCTTTTTCTTTTTTTTTTTTTTTTGAGACGGAGTCTCACTCTGTCGCCCAGGCTGGAGTGCAGTGGTGCAATCTCAGCTCACTGCAAACTCCGCCTCCCGGGTTCACGCCATTCTCCTGCCTCAGCCTCCCGAGTAGCTGGGACTACAGGCGCCCGCCACCATACCCGGCTAATTTTTTGTGTTTTTAGTAGAGACGGTGTTTCACCGTGTTAGCCAGGATGATCTCGATCTCCTGACCTCATGATCCCCCCTTCTCGGCCTCCCAAAGTACTGGGATTACAGGCGTGAGCCACCGCACCTGGCCAAGTTTTTTTCTTAATTTACTAGAATTTATGTTGTGGATCTTTTGTAGAAAACCTGATGTTTTGCTCAGCTGCATGTAATTAGACTATTTTTAATAGAAAGGATAACACAGTTTTCAGTTCAGCAGAGGAATGAAGGACATACTCAGGTCACTTAATAGTTGCCCATCACCTGGTCATGCCTGCCCCAAAGATTACTTTTCTCCTTTCCCCTCCTCAGGTTTCTGAAAAAACATGTGAGCCAAAAGAGTTAGTTACATAAGTTAGGAAACTATCATAGAATATTGCTTCTTTGATTCAAAGTATAAATTGTTCCCGCTTTCCAGTTCCTTGGAACCCCTAGTGTGATTTTGAGTCTAAATTATTGGGATAATCATCTCAATTCCTCATTTCCCTCAGTTATGAAAATTTGCCCTGGGTGTTTTATGTGAATGAGAATATGTAATTGAGCTGTTAAATGAATATAAGCTTAAGACATTTAAAAATTTTGATAGAATTATTTGGTGTGTGCACTTAATACCACCGGACCCTTCCAACCATTTATATAAATGCAACTACTAATCACTTATATTAGAATGAACTGATATGTCAATAGCACCATCTTTAAACTCTTGAGGCTTTTGTCTTCTATATGAGGTATTTAATTTCATGCTTTAATAAAACTGCTGATTTATATTCTCTACTAACTAATCCTTCTGACTGTTCAATAATAATTAAATTGTATGGTGTTTTCCAAAAAGACAATTTTAAGCTGTTACTGGAAAGAGAAAAGAGCTGCTTGCATAAATGTCAGCTGGCTTTGTTGTTTGTTAAAGTGGCTAAAAGTCTTTACTAAATTGAAATATGTCAATGTTAGAGTGTAGAAGTTTAGAAACTTTTCAGTTAGTTTATGCTTTATACTTTTATTATGTTTCAGTGCAAAATTTAAATAAACAACTCAGAATTTCCATTATTTTCTGTGGCAAAATAAATCACACTATTTGTACTTGCCTATTCATTTATGTAATCTTTCATAACTCCAACCAAACAAAACTACTTAAATACCTAATTCATTTCCTCAGTTTGATCTTTTGTTAATTTTTAAATCCCAGAGTATTATTGTGATTGTTATTTAATTTGATGTTTTTCATTTTTGAGTTCATGGCATTCTGGCTTACTCTTAATAAAACCAAAATTCATGGGTTCAAAATTTAATTTCAAAAAACTACACATTATGTTAAAAATTAAAAAAAAAATTTAGAGTACATATTATACTAAAATTTTAGATTTTCTCTAAAATTTGATTACTATACTGAGTTTAGATTATCTGCTTTAGAAATATGTGATTAAATATGCATAAGCAGTACTATGAATATATACTTTTTTTTTCAGATTATAAACCTAAAGTAATGTAACATTTTAAACATTTAAATATTTTAAAAGGAAATTAATATTTCTGCTTTTGATTTAGGTTCTACTGACTTTGAGTATTTGAATTATTTGTTGGAATGGTACACCTAAGCAAACATATTATGCTATTTCTCAGAGAAATCAGTTCTTTCAATTCAAAGCAAACTAAAAATCTGCTATGTGCTGGGTAATTTAAAAGAGAATAGTGAGTGAATTTCTTTGCTAGAATGTGTTAAGTTTTAGGTATGTTCTGCTCCTTACTTCTACTCATATTTGCTAGATTGTATTGAATTATGGGGGAATGTAGTAATGTCTATTTTAGGAAGAAAGAAAAATACCGTTTCAGATATCTACTTTTGAAATACTACAAATATCATATTTACTTTTTTACCTAAATCAACTATTTTGGTTTTGTTTTTATTTATTTATTTATTTTAATGGCATACTGTCCTAGATATATGGGTGTTTTATCTTCTTTTATCTCTATGAAAATATTGAGTTTTAAAAAACATTTCCTGCTTCTTGTTTGGACTATCTGCTGCAATTTGTTTGTCATTTAGTTTGATTTTACTCTTTTTCATAGCATATAATTTTCTCTAATTTTGGCCATCTTAGCTGGCAGGTTATGTTGAAGAGTAAGACAGGGAAAGAGACTACTATGCATTTGTACAGGAAGACTAATCAAAGGGTCCTCAATTTAGGGTGTGGTATTATTGAGTTTTCCCTTGAGGACAAAGAAATGCCATTAACTAGATGCTTTTCTCTGGTATCATTATTTTCTTCATTTAAAAAACTATCATTCATCTTACTTGTTGGCGAAAGCTTGAATTTTTGCATGCTAGATTTAAAGTAGGAGAATAGAGCTGGAACAACGGCCGCATCATTAAATTAACACATTATCTTTTAATCTTTCGATTTTCCATATGGTAGTCCCACCTCAGCTGTGCCTGATTTCCTTAAGTACATATTACCTCTGGTGGGTAATTTTCTAGAAGCCTATTTGTATCTTTCAAACCATTCTCCTAAATTAAACCTTGCAGCCACTTTGAGGGCACTTGGTGTCATAAGAACCTGAACCTATTCTAGATTTTGCAAGACGCATAGATGACATCTGAGCTTCCTATTGGTTTTTATCTCTGCTTTCTCAGTCTAAGTCAATTATCACAAATTTATTTGCTTTTCAACTTTCAAGAAAAAAAATTTAACCTGCCATTTTTCTACTATTCCGTTCGTTCTTGTAAACTGCATGCTTTCCTCCTTTTCAGGTCTTTTTATTGTGTTTTTTATTGTTGGGAATTCAGAAAGTATTAAGGAAAACACATGTTAAATCCACCATCTTTAAGTGAAAGACCTTATTTTAAACTACGTAAGGAAAATAAGAGAAATTTACTATTTTCATTTGTTTTAGTTAGTTATTTTATTTTTTAATTTTTATTTTAAGTTCAGAGGTACAAGTGCAGTTTGTTACATAGGTAAACTTGTGTTATGGGGATTTGTTGTACAGATTATTTCATCACCCAGGTATAAAGTCTAGTATCCATTAGTTATTTGATCTTCTCCTTCCTCCCACCCTCCACCCTCCAAAAGGCCTCAGTGTTTGTCATTTCCTTCTACGTGTCTGTGTGTAAAAGACAGAAATAGCCCTTGACTCAGCAATCCCATTACTGGGTGTATGCCCAAAGGAATATAAATCATTCTATTATAAAGACACGTGCACACATATATTCATTTCAGCACTGTTCACAATAGCAAAGATATGGAATCAACCTACATGCTCATCAATGATAGACTGGATAAAGAAAATGTGGTATATACACACCATGGAAAACTATACAGCCATAAAAAATAGTTCTTTGCAGGAACATGCATGGAGCTGGAAGTCATTATACTTAGCAAGCTAACACAGGAACAGAAAACCGAATACCACATGTTCTCACTTTTAAGCAAGAACTAAATAATAAGAGAAAATTATTTGAGAAAAATATTTTAGAAAGTTAAAATATGATAAATATATTTCCTCAATTAGAATGCTTCAATATATATTTTTCTAAAAATAAAACAAAAAGTTATATATCCCAATTTGACCAAGGTTGCTCTTTTTTGGGGGAAAGAAGCTAATATCATTTTGATTGTACTAGTCAAGAAAATGTCATCATTAGTTACTAATATGTTCCTCAAAGTTCTAGGTTCTAAGGATGAAAAAAGAATTATAAGCCAAAATTCTTCCCCTTATGAGATTTATAGTATGAAATAAAACTCTCTCTGGAAGTTTCTTTTGATCTTAATTTTTGGTGATTCTTATAACTCAATTGGCATTTTTTTCTTTAATTATCTTGTTAGTGTTGCTATGTGATTGGAAATTCAGTTACTTTTCAAAGTCTTAAGTAAAATTTTCAACACTGATTTTCTTGTAAAACTTTTTTTTCAAAAACTGCAGTTTTGATGGACAGTTTTCTTGTATTTAAAATTTCTTAAGGTCTTTGATTCAAAGTAGGGGAGTAGATTTTAGACATTCAAGTGTACCAGAGGAAGTAAAGCTGAACAAAATGCTAGATATTGCAAATACTGAATCTTTCAGTAATAACATCCAGTTCTCCATTACCTTAGTTTCTTCAGCAATAGCTTTGGAATTGTGTATGTTAGTTGAATATTTAATGTATCTCTTAAATCTAAGGAAAATACTACTTGATATTTGTAGGTCATTTATTAATTTTCCTGATAACTGTCTTATTGCCATTATGAATTAAAATGTCTGTTTTGTTTGTTTGTATCACATTGTTCATAAATAATGTTGCCTCAAATTTGCATTATGTAGTATTATACCTTCAAATGTATATTTGAAGTTTTTTGTTTTTTATTTAACAAGGACTTTATATTTTGCAGAGATATTTTTAGATTTCCCAATCTTGAGAGTTTTTAGATGCTTCAGAAAGGATCTACAAAATATAAAATAACATGGAAAACAGATGAGGAAAAAAATGAAATAAAGTAGATCTGAAAACAAAATTGTTAAAGTTCCCAGGAAACCCAGAATAATTGTATATTTAGGTACTTTAGTTATCTTTTTTTCTGTGATTCCATGGTTAATTCACCTTTGTAAAATCATCCTATTCTCTGTCATTTCTTTATTTATATTTTCCTTTTAAAAATTATCAAAATGAACTGTTGCCTGTAACCATAGCACGCTCAGATGTTTTTCATGTAAAACATTGCAACCCTGTCTGCTTTGTTGTATTGGTCAAATTTGACTCATCCGTTAAATCAAGAGTTAGAAATGGGAGACTTCCTCTTGATGTTGCAGAAGTGAACACTCCACATGAAAGCAGGACTGCAATGGACTGTAAGCAAGGTTTGCTTTAGAGAGCAGGATTCTGTCATTAACATAGAATTTGGAAGCCCAAATATAACACAGGCGTCATGTTCGCCAATAGGCTCACTATGAAGGTGTATAAACATAATGAGGAACAATCTTGGCCAGGATCATAGAGCTTGCCATTAACCTGGCCAAATTATGAATACAGAAATTCAGATTTGCCAGTCCATTTCTCCTATGGCTTTTAGTAGTTTATAGATAATATTTATCTTAAACAAACAAACAAAGGGCCATTCAGAAGCATTGGAATGTAGCCATTATACCCATGACCAGTCAGTATATTTCGTATTAAAAAGGTTTTTCAGCAAGCATATTTATGCATCCCTTACATGAATGAAATAGTAAATTACTTAAAGGTGATTCAGACTTTTATGATATAATTAGACCTTAACATATATTTATATCTTTAAATGATTTAAATACGTGAAATGTAGGGAGGTGCCAGACATTATATCAGAGGACAACTAAAATATTTATATTATTACTAAAATGGTTCTTTTTTATTATCTCAAAACAGTTACTAAATATTTTAAATTACAGAGAGCAAAATAACGTTTATTGCTTTTCTTTCATATTTTTATCTTCATAGATATCATTATTTCCTCATAATGCAGCTACCAAATTCAGATACTATGATTTCTCTCTCTCTCTCCCTCTCTGTGCGTATGTATATATGTTATATGATATATGCATATATGATTTGTTTATAAATACAAAAGATTATTTGTATTTTATTTATAAACATGATTTATTTGTATTTACACACAAACATACATATATTTGTGCTTATATATTATATGACTTTCATTAAAATTTTGCTTTGCCACATTGTGTCAGATTGTTTCAATTAAGATTTTCAAGTGTACATTTTATTTCACTTATTATGTTCCATTGATATTTTACTTACATATTTAAAGTTTTTTTACTCTTTTTCTTATTCTTTCATACATGTCTCATGTCTACTTCCTCATGCCAGTCACTCTAATTGCTCAAGGGAGTTCTTCTTTGTAATTTAGGCAATTTTGACATGTTCTCTCTATATTTGAAATATCCAAGGTAATGTACAAATACCTCAATTTTTTTTCATTTATTAACTCTACCAGTAAAGGTAAATAATTTTAGAAACATAAGCACTAGCTTGAATCTTGGGATTAGAAGCTAGCAACATCTTTTTCTTTTTCTGGATCTGAAGGCCTCTGGCATTAATTTACATATGAAATTATTTTGGTTGTGTAATCTTAACAGAATTACACGTATAGATATATTTGTCGTTCCTTGAAATGAAACAAATAAATACAAAATGTGTGATCTCTAGGTTTGGCAAATAATTATTGAAGTAGTATGGAAAAATAATTTCCTGTTAACTAGGAATTTAATTCCACTGTAAGACCGAAGAATCATTTTAATTAAAAATATTAATTTATTCCTTGGAGTAGAATATAAGTTTTTCAGAATATTGTTTAATACAAGCCACTGAAAGCAAGATTAGTTGATCTGCTTAACAGTAGAAATAAAAGGCACTTGGAGAATAGAATAAAGCAAACTCTGAAAGAAAAAGAAAGGGATAAGGAACAAAAAGCATCATCCTCAGACCATTTTATAGAACTAACATACAATGAGACAATCAGAAAACTATTGTTCATAGTTCTCTCTCATTTCTCTATCTCTTTTGAGCAGAGTTGTTGACAACTTTTGTTCTGGACTATCTTTTTGAGATTACTTGTATAACCAAATGCCTTGGAAAAGAGAGATATTGTCTCATTCCAGAGCAGAGGACTGATTTGTCTGTTGTCTAGTTTAAGAAAGATAGTTTCCATCTGTTGGAAAGGTTGAGCTGATTTCCTTGCAGCCCACTTACTACAGATGGCGTTTCTTAAGCCTGGGCTTTCTCAGCTGGAGCTTAAAGCCACTAGATGTGTACCATTCAGCTGGAATAGCCCTCCCCTCCATATCGCCACAGAGAGACTCGTGGGGCAAGAAGAATCTAAACAAACATGAATCTCATGCTGTGTGCTGTGCCCTGAGTAATGAAGTCTGTTTCACTGAACCAATAAGATTTTGTCTTCTTCCAGCATGCAATTAACTGTATGGCAAGCTAAATTGCTTGCAAGTAAGGCAACATCACAGACACTTCACAGTTCTTGAAAAGGTCTCTTTGAAGATCTTTTCATTTCTATTATGAATTATAAAACCCCAAATTTCTCATTGGATTTGATTTCCCTCCTTCTTTTTTTTCTCTTTCTTTCTTTCGTTTGTTCTTTTCTTTCTTTTTTTCTGTCTTTCTGGATTATTGTGTTCTTGTTTTCAGTGGAAATCAGAGAAATGGTCTCAGTTACCCTTCTGGATTTAAAAAACCCAAGAAGTACAATGTCTGAGTCATAGTCATATGATAACATGAGTAACTATTTAGGATTTTGCAAAGTAAAATTATGAGGTCTGAAGTGTACATGAAAACATAAACCTCATGAAATTCACAGAAAAAATGAGAAGGATGTAGAGTTTTCTTACAAGTAAAGAAAAGTCCAAATCTATCTGGTGTTGATAAAGGAAAAATTAAAACAGCTGCCATCTGTGTTTCACTATTTAAGCACAAATAATGAAACAATGTATGCATTCAAAGAAACGTGAGTTCTTAATTCACAACAGAGATTTAGAGTATGGCTATATATACGTGCGAACACACACACACACATATATATATATATATAAATTCTGTGATTTATGGTTGATTTTTCCTCACATTTTCTGGGACTTTTAAATTTTCATCAACAAAATTATTTAACGCTACAGATTTTGCCTGTTTTCCTTTTAATAATCTTTTACCCAGAAATTTCCCTCTCCATTGTAACAACCTGTAAAGAAGCTATCTCACCAAGTCAAATCAGATTAAACACTTTCTAGGTTAATTGTTGGAATTCTTATCAATTCAACCAACCAATATTTATTATCAGAAACAATTATGCATGCAGGTAGATTCAGAATTATCAAAATACATATTACAGAATTGCCCAATTTATTGACTTTTTTGTTACTTTTTTATAATACTGGGGAAATTAAAACAATGAAGCAAAGAGACATTTATAATGACCTGTATAAAATCAGATCAAATGGGAAATAGAAACTAAAGATTTTTAGTAATAACTGAGAAGAAAAAAATGTTCTACTCTCTCACAGTGGTGTTCCCCCCTAACCACTATTTTTTGTTATTAAGGTCTTCTGGGATCCTTCCGATGCGATATTATTCATTTAAACTATTCAATGAAACTTGAAATAGCATTCATTAGAAACAAACTTTGATTTATTTTTAAATTGTTTTCCATTAAAGTTACAAAAGTTTGCAATTAGAATAGACCCTAGAGAATATCTTGTTCAAATCTCTTATTGTACAGATAATGAGTTAAAAAAATTGTTAAGATGAACGAAATATTCCCTAATCCCTTTTCCTACCACAGAGAATACTAAACGTTGTCATTTGCATTCAGTCCACTGCTTCTTTCTATCATATTATCCTACATTAGAGACATGATCTTATTCTGAATTCAGGGAAACAATGCCTCTTATATTCCCTAAAGTAGTGCCTACTCTCAGGAATTTTCATGTATTTTCATTTCTAATTTTTCTCTGATATTTTATCATTCAGTGAGCCATATATTATAAAAATACATTTTAAAAAATCCGAAGTTATACTTGCTAAAATGAGTAAAAATTATAGTGATTATTTATTAGGCAGTTAATTCATACCATGATATAACAGACTTCTAAAGTTACACACATACACACACACACACACACACACACACTCACACGAAGGCCAGATCATGAAACAATCAAGTAAGCTATAAATATGAAAATACCAATAAAGACAAAAAGAAAAGAGCTTCATAGGATAGATACAAAGTAGACATAAAGTCTTAATAAAAACCTAGCCTGGCACAACATAAACTAATTTTGTGTTTAACATCTGTCTACTTTGCATTTATTCTGAAGTATCTTAATATATTATAGCTTTTGTGTTATCTTTATTGTTGTTAATGTTGTTATTTTAGTAGAAAAATAGAAATTTAAATAAAAGAAAATCATACCTTTGGGAGAATTATTAGCTTCCAAAATATATATGTGAGATGGTTAATACTGTCAACTTGATTGGATTGAAGGATACAAAGTATTGATCCTGGGTGTGTCTGTGAGAGTGTTGCCAAAGGAGATTAACATTTGAGTCACTGGGTTGGGGAAGAAAGATCCACCCTTAATCTCATGGGCATAACCTAATCAGCTGCCAGCGAATATAAAGCAGGCAGAAAAACTTGAAAAGGAGAGACTGGCCTAGCCTCCCAGCCTACATCTTTCTCCCGTGCTAGATGCTTCCTGCTCTCAAACATCAGACTCCAAGTTCTTCAGTTTTGGGACTCGGGCTGGCTCTGCCTCCTCCTCAGCTTGCAGACAGCCTATTGTGGGACCTAGTGATTGTGTAAGTTAATGCTTAATAAAGTCCCCTTTATATATATATTGTATTAGTTCTGTCCTAGAGAACCCTGACTAATAAAGATTTTGTTACGAGGAAGGGTTATAGAGAAACAGAATATTAAGGATGGAGTTCTTTCACTGGTTTTGGGGTTATCTGGAGTTGGCTGCTTAATATGATTAGATCCAAAAATGCAAAAGACTCTACTTCTCACAGTATGGAGAACACTGATAGTCCTTGGCGTGAACTGTCAAGAGAGTAGTGCAAAATAAATGCATTTGACACTCCTGATTCACCACTGGCTAAGAGGCAAGAAGTTTAGTGACTCTATACATAATACCTTTGACTATATGTGGAGATCCAAGGAAAATAATGAAGGTGGTTGGCTGCTCCTAAGTTCAGTGGACATAATGATGAAAGAAAATGATGAACTTAGAGCTTCTGTCTTCTAGCTTCAGAAGCAGACACTGAGCCTCAAATCTGCTAAGATTGCCCTGAGTGAGAGTCTTATCTCCTGTAGAGAAAGAGCTGAAACTGTGAAAAAACAGACAAGCTCTTATCATACGAGTGAGTGGTGTACCTGCAAGGAAAGATGCATGCACAGCCTTGCCAGGTGTCTACTGTTAAAGTGAGGGCATTGATTGGAAAATAATGGGATGCTGCAAGTTGGAATGGGGATGTGTGGGAGGACCCTGATGAAGCTGGGGACACTGAGTTTGTGAACTCTGATGAACCTTTTTTGCCAGAAGGAACAGCTTCCCCATCCCCAGTAGTGGCATAATTTCCTCCCCAACTCATGCTGCCGTCAGCCTTTCCACTTTTGTCTGAGGAGATAAACCCTGCGCTGCTTGAGGCAACAATGATGGCCTCTCCTGAGGCAGTTGCCAGGCAAGATAATGTTGGTTCTCCTCAGCAGCCACCCCAACCCTTCTGTTTGCTTCTAGACCTATAACTAGACTAAAGTCCCTATGGGCCCCTAGAGGCGAGGTTGAGAGTGTGACCCATGGGAGGTGCACTACACTCAAAAAGAACTGTTTGAGTTCTCTAATTTATATAAACAGAAATCTGAGGAACAGGCATGGGAATGGATATTAAAAGTATGGGATAATTGTGGAAGAACATAGAGTTGAATCAGACTGAATTTATTGATTTGGGCCCAGTAAGTAGGGACTCTGTCTTAGTGCTGCACTCAGGGAATTAAAAAAGGTTCTAACAGTTTATTTGCTTGGTTAGCTGAAATATGGATTAAAAGATAGCCCACTGTGAGTCAGCTGGAAATGCCTGATCTCCCTAGGTTTAATGTCAAGGAAGGGATCCAAAGGCTTAGGGAGCTTGGGATGGTGGAATGGATTAGTCACTTTAGACCTACACGTCCCAGCTGGGAGGGTCCAGAAGATATACCCTTGACCGATGCCTTGTGAAATAGTGAGGGCAGCGCCTGCATCGTTGAAGAGCCCTGTAATTGCTCGTCTCTCTATTTCAGATCTAACGGTGGGAACCTAAGTCACACAACTACAAAATTTAAATACAATGGGAATAATTGGATGCTGAGGTGGTAGGCACCAAGTGACAGCACTCAACTATCAACCTCAAGGTAGGCATAGCTACCATAATGGACAGCAGAGGCAAAGTGGCAATCAGAATAGTCTGACTCGTGTAGAGCTCTGGCATTGGCTAATTAATCACAGTGTTTCTAGAGCTGAAATTGATAGGAAGACTGCAGCATTCCTGTTTAATTTATATAAGCAGAAAATTTCTAGGTCGAATGGACAAAATATTAATTTGAATTATAAAAACAGAGAATCACGGCCCCTCAAACAATTTCCAGACATGAGTCAGTTTACAGACCCAGAACATCTTGAATGCACGGGGAGGGTGGATCCTGTTTAGGAAGGACCCCACTACATTACCGACAATATGCAGTGAATCTTTCTCCCATCCTTCCCCAAGGAGACCTCTGGCCTTTACCAGGTAACTGTGCAATGGGGAAAGGGAAATGATGAGACATTTCAGGGACTACTGGACACTGGCTCTGAACTGACGTTGATTCCAGGGGACCCAAAACATCATTGTGTTTTTGTTTTTGTTGTTATTGTTTTTGAGACGGAGTTTTGCTCTTGTTGCCCTGGCTGGAGTGCAATGGCGGGATCTCAGCTCACTGCAACCTCCACCTCCAGGTTCAACCGATTCTCCTGCCTCAGCCTCCCGAGTAGCTGGGATTAGAGGCATGCACCACCACACCCAGCTAATTTTGTATTTTTAGTAGAGACGGGTTTTCACCATGTTCAGGCTAGTCTCAAACTCCTGACCTCAGATGATCTGTCTGCTTTGGCCTCCCAGTGCTGGGATTATAGGTGTTAGCCAAAAAAGGTCATTGTAATCCTCCACTTAAAGTAAGTGCTTATGGAGATCAAGCAATTAATGGAGTTTTAGCTCAGGTCCGACTTACAGTGGGTCCAGTGGGTCCCTGGACTCATCCTATGGTCATTTTCCCTGTGCCAGAATGCATAACTTGCATAGACATACTTAACAGCTGGCAGAACACCCACATTGGCTCCCTGACTGGTAGGCTGAGGGCTATTATGGTTGGAATGGCCAAAGGGAAGCCATCAGAGCTGCCTCTACCTAGAAAAATAGTAAATCAAAACAAAATCAATAGTAAATTAAATGAAAAACAATATGGCATCCCTAGAGGGATGCAGAGATTAGTGCCACAATGAAGAACTTGAAAGAGGCAGGGGTGGTGATTCCTACCACATTCCTGTTCAACTCTCCCATTTGGCCTGTGCAGAAGACAGATGGATCCTGGAAAATGGCAGTGGATTATGGTAAACTTAACCATGTGGTGACTCCAGTTGCACTTGCTGTGCCAGATGTGGTTTCATTGCTTGAGCAAATTAACACATTTCCTGGTACCTGCTATGCAGCCTTGTAAATGCCTTTTTCTCCATTCTTGTCCATAAGACCCACCAGAAGCAATTTGCCTTCAGCTGGCAAGGCCAGCAATATACCTTTATTGCCCACCTCAGGGGTATATAACTCTCCAGCTTTGTGTCATAATCTTATTCAGAGAGGCCTTGATTGCTTTTCTCTTCTGCAAGATATCATATTGGTCAATTACACTGATGACATGATGTGGATGGATCCAGTGAGCAAGAAGTAGCAAACACACTGGACTTATTGGTGAGACATTTGCGTGCCAGGGGATGGGAAATCAATCTGACTAAAATTCAGGGACCTTCTACCTCAGTAAAATTTCCAGGGGATCCAGTGGTGTGGGGCCTGTCAAGATATTCCTTCTAAGGTGAAGGATAAGTTGCTGCATTTGGCCCCTCCTACAACCAAGAAAGAGGCACAATGCCTAGTTGGCCTATTTGGATTTTGGAGGAAACACATTCATTCCTCTTTTGGGTGTGTTACTCCATCCCGTTTATCGAGTGACCTGAAAGGACGCCAGTTTTGCGTGGGCCCAAAACAGGAGACGGCTCTGCAACGGGTACAGGCTGCTGTGCAAGCTGCTCCCGCTTGGGCCATATGACCCAGATCCAGCAGATCCAATGGAGCTTGAGGTGTCAGTGGAAGATAGGGATGCTGTTTGGAGCCTTTGGCAGGCCCCCAAAGGTGAATCACAGCGGAGGCCTCAAGGATTTTGGAGCAAGCCCTTCCATCTTCTGCAGATAACTACTCTCCTTTTGAGAGACAGCTTTTGGCCTGCTACTGGGCTTTGGTGGAAACTGAACGTTTGACTATGGGTCATCAAGTCACCGTGAGAGCTGAATTGTCTATCATGAACTGGGGGCTTTCTGACCCATCTAGCCATAGAGTGGATCGTGCACAGCAGCATTGCATCATCAAATTGAAGTGGTATATACATGATCGGGCTTGAGCAGGTACTTAAGGCACAAGTAAGTTACATGAGGAAGTGGTTCAAATGCCCATGGTCTCCACTCCTGCCACTCTGCCTTCTCTCCCTCAGCCTGCACTAATGGCCTCATGGAGAGTTCCCTATAATCAGTCAACAGAGGAAGAGAATACTAGGGCCTGGTTCTGCACAATATGCGGGCACCACCTGAAAGTGGACAGCTGCAGCACTACAGCCCCTTTCTAGGACATTCCTGAAGGACAGTGGTGAAGGGAAACCTTCCCAGTGGGCAGAACTTTGAGCAGTGCACCTGGTTGTGCACTTTGCATAGAAGGAGAAGTGGCCAGATGTGCAATTATATACTTATTCATGGGCCATATCCAGTGATTTTGCTGGATGGTCAGGGATTGAAAGAAGCATGGTTGGAAAATTGGTGACAAAGAAATTTGGGGAAGAACCTCTCAGAGTGGTCAAAAACTGTGAAGATATTTGTATCCCCTGTGAATGCTCATCAACGGGTGAACTCAGTGGAGGAGGATTTCAATAATCAAGTGGATAGGGTGACCCCTTCTGTGAACACCACTCAGTCTCTTTCCACAGCCACCCCTGTCATCGCCCAATGGGCCCATGAAAAACGTGGCCGTGGTGGCAGAGATGGAGGTTACACATGGGCTCAGCAACATGAACTTCCATTCACAAAGGCTGACCTGGCTATGGCCCCTGCTGAGTGCCCAATTTGCCAGCAGGAGAGACCAACACTGAGCCCTCGATATAGCACCATTCCTTGGGGTGATCAGCAAGCCACCTGGTGGCAGGTTGATCATATTCAACTTCTTCCATCATGGAAAGGGCAGAGCCTTGTCCTCACTGAAATAGACTCTTACTCTGGATATGGGTTTGCCTGTACTGCATGCAATGCTTCTGCCAAGACTGCCATTGGTGGACTCATGGAATGCCTTATCCATACAATATTGCCTCTGACCAAGGCACTCACTTAACGGCTAAAGAAGTGCGGCAGTGGGCTTGTGCTCATGGAATTCACAGATCTTACCATGTTCCCTATCATCCTCAAGCAGCTGGATTGAAAGAATGATGGAACAGCCTTTTGAAGGCACAGTTACAATGCCAACTAGGTGACAATACTTGCAGGGCTGAGGCAAAGTTCTCCAGAAGGTTGCGTATGCTCTAAACCAGCATCCAATATATGGTACTGTTTCTCTCATAGCCAGGATTCATGGGCCCAGGAATCAAGGGGTGGAAGTTGAAGTGGCACCACTCACCATCACCCCTAGGGATTCACTAGGACAATTTTTGCTTCCTATTCCCATGACACTATGTTCTGCTGGCCTAGACTTCTTAGTTCCAGAGGGAGGAATGCTGCCACCAGGAGACACAACAAGAATTCCATTAAACTGGAAGTTAAGATTGCCACCTGGACACTTTGGGCTCCTCCTACTTTTAAGTCAATAGGCAAAGAAGGGAGTTACAGTGTTGGATGGGGTGGTTGGCCCAGATTATCAAGATGAAATCAGTCTACTACTCCACAATGGAGGTAAGGAGTATGCATGGAGTACAGGAGACCATTAAGACATCTCTTAGTATTACCATGTCCTGTGATTAAGGTCCATGGGAAACTACAACAGCCCAATCCAGGCAGGACTACGAATGGCCCAGACCCCTCAGGAATAAAGGTTTGGGTAACTCCCACCAGGGAAAAAAACCATGACCTGCTGAGGTGCTTGCTGAAGGCAAAGGGAATACAGAATGGGTAGTAGAAGAAGGTAGTCATCAATACCAGTTATGACCATGTGACCAGTTGCAGAAATGGGGACTATAACTGTCATGAGAATTTCCTCCTTCTTTTGTTAAAAACATGTTTGTGCATGTATACACTTGTACTAAGAAATCATCTTTATTTTATTTCCTTTTCCTTTATCATATGTCATAATACTTACTGACTTCACGTCAGCATTTAAGTATTGTTAACTTTATGTAATAGTATTTGAGTTGGGGATTGGTGTGTTTCTGGTTGTATGAAGGATAGTTATAGTATGTTAGGCATAATTAGGACCTTATTATTGTCTTTATTTGAAGATTATGTATGATCTCAGATGTGTATGAGTTCAAGTTGACAAGGGGTGGACTTGTGATAGTTAATACTGTCAACTTGATTGGATTGAAGGATGAGTCAGTGGGCTGGAGAAGGCAGATCTACCATTTATCTGGTTGGCACCATCTAATGAGCTGCCAGGGAATATAAGGCAGGCAGAAAAACGTAAAAAGGAGAGACTGGTCTAGCCCCTCAGCCTACATCTTTCTCCCATGCTGGATGCTTCCTGCCCTCAAATATTGCACTCCAAGTTCTTCAGTTTTGGGACTTGCACTGGCTCTCCTTGCTCCTCAGCTTGTAGACAGCCTATTGTGGGACCTTGTGATCATGTAAGTTAATACTTAATAAATTCTTCTTTATACATATACATGTTCAGATATATATATATGTATATATATCCTATTAGTTCTGTCCCTCTAGAGAACCCTGACTAATACAACATGTAAATGAAATAAATATTTTATTAAAATTAATTCATATAAATTATATTCTGTATCTATATAACAAAAGCTGAAGCTTGTTGGGGTTTTTATAGAAAAAGCATAATATAAGACTTTTTCAGATGCAGACATTTTATAACCTGGATACTCTAGAAAAATAGAGGTAAAGCTTAAATGCAAGTATTCAATGTGGGTGCAATCTCATGGGACTCACTTTTGAAATCCGTGCCTTAATTGGCAAAGAGATGCCCTTCTATCTTTTGCAAGCACAAATATTGCCTGTGTTTCCTCTGGAGAGAATAACATGCCTGTCTTAGGGCACCAGGCAATGGTAGAGCTAGCCAATGCTATTTACTGAACAAAAAGCTCAGGGAGCAAGTGTGATCAAGCCAATCTAAGGCAAGTAGAAAGCATGTGCAAATGGCACCAAAAGTATACCCAATGCAAAGTTTTTAGTTTGATGTGTTTTTGTTGTTATTTTACTTCTATATTCATCCCAATAGTGAATATGCATACCCAAAATTTAGTGAATAATTTTTAACCAGGCAGTTTACATTGCTTCTTCTTATATATAAAGGTACAATTTTGATCAATGCACTTTTATAAAACAATTTGATGTGTATAGATAATATATGTCTACCTTTGTAAGTCCTTCAAAGTTGGTCTATTCGTAGACTCACCCTTTTGTGCACCAGAACCCAGAATAAAATTGGAATCACATAGTGTGGAATGAGGATAAGTAGCACATACCCCATCCTCTCACCACAGCACAAAAAACCATACTGGTGGCTGGGTGGCCTGTGGGGCAGGCGGAAGGCTTGTGTTCCAGTGCAGAAACTCCTCCGTGTTGTTTTTCTACAATCAATAAAATTAAAGTGTCTACAATTTTGACCAATATTTAACACAACCCTTAAAAAATGTAAAATATATTGACATAATTACATTTAAAAAGACAGATAAGGCCTCAATATTTAAAACTCAAGCACATTAGATAATTGTGTTTATTCTATATTGCTATGAGAAGGTAAATTAAAAACACACTTCTTTACAAAATGTATGTCTATCCATTTTTTTGGCCAAGTTTAAAATCTATTAATAAAATAGAGTAGATAAATTATCTTATAAATGAAGTAAATACTACCTTTTCGCATCAATTCTTTGAATAGTTTACCAAACCAGTACTTAAAATATTTTATGCTTTCAAATAAATAATTTAAGTAAATTAATGTTTCACTTCACATTTCCAAAGTAAGCTTGGCATTGACCTGGATTATAAGAAAGAGTTCTAATTTTCTTAATAAATGTTATATTCAAGTACACATTAGATTTGTTATGAAAAGAATTTTGACCTACTTTACCACAGCTGTGTTTCATGAAGTCTATAGACATTTTTCTAATATATAGTGAATATATTGCAAGAATGTATACCTACAAATTCAATGTACTAATGTAAGATTATGCAGGCCACTAAAACTCAATTTTTAAAATTAATAAATGATAGAGGACTTTTTCTTTTCCCAGAACAAAAAATAATAATGCTTAATATCAAAATGCATGTAAATATAATATCAAAATGCATATAAATATATGTTTATAACTACACACACATATCTCCTTACTAAAGCCAATGCTTCCAAAGTTAAAATATATTAGTGATTGATACAAGGTGATATAAGTATATGTATGGAATATCATATCTGATATTTTTATCTTGTAATTACAATTTTCATAGTATTCATGAGTCAGTCATTTACAAAATTAATTATATGTGTTAGGTACCATGTAAGTTTCAGACCTATATCTACCTGAATTTTTAGTTGTGTTCAGAAATAAAATGCATTTCCCTTGATAATGTCATACTTGCACTCTTGAGAAATCTTACATGATCTAGAAAGGTCTTAAAACTTTTGTTTCAATGAGGAACTGAGGGGTCAGACATGCAATAACCAATTTTATTAAATAACTTCAGTAACAACCATTTCATTATTACAATTATTACAAGAAAATCCAAATTATCTAGGTCAAAACTGAAAAAATAAAAACATCACTTTCTTCATTTCTCTTCAATCTGCAAACAAACCTCTGTCACCTCTAGCCCTGATCTTACTTTATTTTTGTTGCAGGTCATCCTACATTGGCCAAAGGAATAAAGAAGAATGACAGGGTTAATGATGGATATTTGAATTATTCTGATTTTTCTGACGTGCAAGGTGTAGATTCCTTTTGTTAGTCATTCAAACCAACAGCAGCTTTAAGTATGTAATTTGTGATATCTAATTAATCAGTCATTCATATCCAAGGTTATAAAAACTCATACTGTACAATAGAGACTTGTATCATGTATAAAATAAGAATGTAATGTTCTTTTAGCACCACCCAATTGGTGGGTCTGGAAATAATGACTTCTCTGACGAGTCCAAATTAAATTGGAACAAAGGTAAAAGTTCTCTCCAGGAGGCCAGACAATGAAGAACAGGCAGTTTCTTACACATCTCTACTTTAATTATAGCAAATGGCCCATCTGCTTCAAAACCAGAAGTAGGCAATGACTTCTCACTCCTCTGCTTGAATTTCTCGCCCTCCGCCTATCTTCGTGATACTATAACACTGTCTAGGTATTATCGCATTTATAATGATGTATTATAATTTATTTGATTATTTATTTATTTATTTATTACCTCAATTTGATGAATTATTTAAGGGAATAAAATACACTCTACACTTGTTTACTCACAGTATCTTGCATCTGGGCCATCCCTACAGGAATAAAGTGCCCTGGGAAAGTTCAGTTTGAATCTGTTCAAGATAATAATATTTGCGGGAAAATAGGCACTGCTGGCATCTTCAATGGTACTTAGACATCATAAAAAAAAAATGGAAATCAGACGCAAGGCCATAGCCCACATTCCCAAGCTCTGGGCCCAGAAAAGTCATTCCAACATCAGTATTTTTTATAGCTCACCAAGTCTAAGGTGTTTTGTTATACTCATACAAATGTACTAAGACATACATTGGTACCAGATGTGAGATGTTGACATTACAAATATGAAAGCAGTTTTGGGACTGGTTAAAAGGTAGAGGCTTGAAGAATTTGAAGGTGAGTGCTGGAGGAAGCCTAGATTGCTATAAATGAAATGTTAAGGGTTGTTTTATTGTGTGCTCAGAAAAATAGAGCTCTAGACAGAGTCTCAGTCATCCCAGAGATTACCTAAGTGGTTGTGATCATAATATTGGTAGAAATGTGAATGGCAAAGGCAATTCTGATGAAGTCATAGAAAAAAATGAGGAACAAGGTATTAGAAACTGAATAAAGGCCTTTCTTTACTATAAAGTGGCAAATAACTTGGCTGAATTG
Organism: Homo sapiens; assembly: GCF_000001405.40. Taxonomy (NCBI): domain Eukaryota; kingdom Metazoa; phylum Chordata; class Mammalia; order Primates; family Hominidae; genus Homo; species Homo sapiens. The sequence goes on along the minus strand of NC_000021.9, from coordinate 22,008,126 downwards.
TGTCCACATCCTAAAACTTTGTGGAAGGCAGAATTTGGAAGCAATTAATTAGGATAGTTAGTAGAAGAAATATCTGAACAGAGGGATCAGGGGCCTTCATGGCTTCTCTTTATTGCTTATAGTAAAATATTAAAAGAAAGAAGCAAATTAAAGATGAAATGTATAATCAAAAGGGAAGTGGAATGTAAAGATGTGGAAAATTCTCAGCCTGAACAGTTTGTAAAAAGAAAGAGGGCACGTTCATGACAGAATACCAACAGTGTGGCCAAATTACTCTTTTTTCTTTCTTTTTTTTTTTTTTGAGATGGAGTCTTGCTCTGTCACCCAGGCTGCAATGCAGTGGCATAATCTCGGCTCACTGCAAGCTCCACCTTCTGGGTTCACGCCATTCTCCTACCTCAGCCTCCGGAGTAGCTGGGACTACAGACACCTGCCACCACGCCTGGCTAATTTTTTTTTGTATTTTTAGTAGAGACGGGGTTTCACCGCATTAGCCAGGATGGTCTCGATCTCCTGAACTCGTGATCCGCCTGCCTAGGCCTCCCAAAGTGCCGGGATTACAGGCATGAGCCACCGTGCCCGGCCCCAAATTACTCTTGATAATGAAATTAGTATGGATAGAAGGAAGCCAGATTATATTCATCAAGACAGTGGAATAATGGCCCTGAAGGCATTTTAGATGTCTTAAGGCTGCCACTTCCATCACAGGACAAGAGTGACAGGCAGAACAGTTTCAAGACAGAGCCCTAGGGAGCTCATGGTACCTCAGAGCTCATTACCTAGGGCCATGTCGAGTTTCGCTTCATGCATTCCTGTGCAGTGTTCTTTGGCCTCCCCAGTGTAGTGTAAGGAGGCCCAAATGCAGCTCAGCCTATCACTATGCAAAGCAAATGTGGTAAACCTTGGCAGAATGCAAGTGGTGCTAACTCTGCAGCTGTATGGAGTGCACAAACTATGGAGACATGGCTCTCTCCATCTAGACTTCAAAGAATGCCTTGAAGAGTCTCTGGACCCAGGCAAAGAACTGCCACAAAGTATGGCTGCCACAAAAGCCTCCACTAAGGCAATACCCATTGGAGCCCCTGGTTCAAGTCCACTGAGCCTTAAATTCAGGGATTCTGCAGAGAAGCCCCACAAGGGCTATGTGTAGAGGAGCTCCAGGAGCAGTGCCACCCCCATGACCCCAGAACTGTAGGGCCACCACATGCAATTCTAGCCTAACAGAGTTACATGTACTGAACGCCAGCCCATGAAAGATGCATCATGGGTGGCACCAGGCAAAGCCATAGGCTAGGGTCTTCTGGAAGCTTGTGGACCCAACCCCACCCTAGTGTGTCTGGAAGGTGGGACCTGGAGTCAAAGAAAAGAATTCTCAAGCATCAAGGTTTAATGTTGTTTACTTTGTGATTTCGTACTTAATTCCGATCCTCCTTCTTTCTGTTTTTCCCTTTGAAATGGAACTAACTGTCCTGTGCTTGTCTCACCATTGTATTTTGAAAGCACACAACTGTTTGACTGTACTGGCTCACAACTGGAGAGCACTTTGTTTCAGAATTATTTTGTACCTTGTGTCTCACCTATATCTGATTTAGAGATGCTAGATGTAAGACTTTTGAGTTGATGCTGTAACAAGTTAAGATTTTTGAGGGGTACTGGGATAAAATATATGTTTTTTGCATGTAAGTAGGACATGAGTTTGGGGATCCAGAAGTGAAATTATGTAGTCTGAAAGTTTCTCCTAAAATTTATATGTTGAAACTTAAGAAGTGGGACATTTAGAAGGTGATGAAGCCATGAGAGCAGGGCCCTAATAAATAGGAGTAAGGCCCTGATAAAAGGGCTTGAGAAAGTAGGTTCACCACTTTTTTCCCTTCTGCCATATGAGGATATGGTGTTTCTCTCCTCCAAAGGATGCAACAACAAGGTGCCATCTTAGAGCAAAGACCAGGCCCTCACCAGGCACCGAAACTGCCAGTTCTATGATCTTAACACTTCCAGCCTCCACAACGGTGAGAAATGTGTTTATGTTGTTTATAAATTATACAGTCTCAGGTATTTTCTGATACGAGCACACATAAATAAGACACCAAGGTATTTTCAGAGTTGATTCCTGCTGAGGACCGTGAGGAAAAATTTTGTCCAGCCTCACCTCATTCCTTGGCTTGTAGGTGGCTGTCTTCTTTCTGTGTCTTCACACTGTCTTTCCTCTGTACATCTGTGTCTAAATTTCCTCTTTTTTATAAGAACATCAGTGATACTGGACTACGGCCCACTCTAAAGGCCTTATTTTATTACCTGTGTAAACACCCTAACTCAAAACATGGTCACTTTCTGAAGTACTGGTGTTAAGACTTCAACATATAAATTTTTCAGCTCATATCAATGGCTAAATCAATTCTATAAATGCCTTATATCATAAATAGATTTTACTGAAAGTATCTGGAAATTTGCAGTAGATACTCTCTGTTCTGATAACAGAGTCTCAGTTTTACTGGTTGGCTGCTAAAGAAAATTATTTAATTCCATTCCCCAAGGAGCACGTCTACACAATGTATCTTAAAATGTTTATTTTGGACAGGAATGCAAAGCTGCTATCACCTTATAACATCACATTTTCACTTACTCATGTGCAAAGCCATATGCAAGATTTTAGAAACATACTCGCTTTGGGTTGTAAAACTCATAGTAAACCTGCTAGTCCTGTTGCCCGAAGAGAATGTCTATGCCGTCTCCTCTTCTGTCTTCTGGATACTTTATTTTGCGCATTAACAATTGATAATGTTACAAATACTGACAACTGCTCTTTTTAGAATCACCTATACCAAGTAGTATATGTGCTTTTAAAATCTCAAATCCACATCTGGCTAGAAAAACGTGTTAGAAATATCTAGACACAGCATTTAAAAAAATTTTACCTGCCTTCCACCTTTATTTGCTGATGGCATTAAAAGAAATGATTGTATAACTATTGCTTCTACCTGGATAAAATGCAATTATGGTGTCTTATAATATTAGTTAGCTATGTCTAAATAAATATAACTATGTAACCAATAAAACAAATAAACTGCTAAAAAAGTGTCAAAGAATCATATAAACTATAAACCTACAAAGCTTTCAGCCTTCCCAATAGGGAATTGGGCCTTAAGAAATGATAGCAAACACGCAGTGCTTACTATGTGCCAGGCACTCTTTGAAACTTTTCAAATATATGGTAGCTATAAATCCATGTCATCTTTACACCTATCTTAGTAAGGAGTCCCTATTATCATCTCCATTTTACATATGCGAAAACAAAGGCATAGATCAATGAAGTAATTTATCCAACATCAGCCTAGTGAATAGACAGCTGTGGTCGAAAGAAACTTTAAAGCAAGAAAGTCTGACCCCAGAATTAAGAATCTTAGCTACTGCATATACTACCACTTATTAGAACCAATGAAAAGGTGCTGAATGGTTAAGCACGTTGACCCGTGATCATGAGACCCGCATTCGAACGAGCTTTATCACTCATCGTCTGCGTGACCTTTCTGTTTCTCAACATATTCTTAGCATTCAGCCTTAACCAAACCCTCAATATCTACCCAATGCAGAGCCTCTTCTTTGGTGTTGCCAGCTTCATTCTTGTTCATTCTAAATGCATCCCATAAAATATATTATGGCTCTCACTTAAATAATAATGCCTCTCACCTATTGTGATAGGCAAAAAAGTGATTATAAATTCAAAGAGCTTAGCATCATTCTAATCACAGGGTAAGCACTCAATAATCCTTAGCTATTATTACCAATACCTTTTTGTAATTAGTGCCACCATCCTATGATTACAATTACTACTATCAGTACTGTTGATACTACCAATAAACTTGAATTATATAAGATTTAACCCTTTTCTTGTTTAGAAATAAAAAAGTGCAGCTCACTGCCAGTACTCATTTAATTTTACGTAAACATGCTCTTTGAAGCTAAACCAAATCTAACTGATTTTCAATGAGGAAATAGAATATAAAAACTGTTCTTGGAGTTATTCGTAATCAGAACTAACATCAGAATCATCTGAATCATGAGAATCATCTATTTTGGAAAAATCAGATTCATCAAATGAATCTTCCGCGAACAGCTGTTCGAGAACGATGTTAACAGCACGAGAAGGAGCTACGTTTTCTAGGAGTTGACATTTTCAGCAATTGAGAATTACTGTATTTTGTAAATTGAAATACCACTACTAAAAACAGAATGCTATAAATAGAATGATGTCTTTTGTTTCCAAAGTCAATAAACTACAGCGATGCCAAAGTAACAATAAAAGCAAGATATATCGTGGCAAAGTTATCTAGAGTGCAAGTGCTGCCGGGGAGTATTCTCTGGGCAAACGAGTAAAGGGTTAACATAAGCAGTTAGTCTAAATGTTGTTTAATGTAAATTTTCTACTGTGACTTAATGTTCAGTACAAAATATAAACTTTATACATATAACCATGATACTTAAAAGATAGAAAAATGTGTAAGTCAAAACTTCAGAGAAATGTCATCGTTTTAGAGAGAAAAAAAGAGATTTCCTTGCATTGCCTTCCTTTTCCACCAATTTTGCCTCTACTGCTTTCCTGGAGCAAGGGGTTCTTTGTAGACTAAGAAAAATAAAAATGCTATTTTGGCTGGATTCCCAGTACATTACATATAAAGGAATTTACTTTACTAATTTATAGTTTCCCAAAATTGTACTTCCAAAATTTTGTCAATTTGGTGGAATTCCTCAGATACTCTTATTCTTGTACTTTTTAATTATTTTTTCATTGCTACCATATAACTCAGTAAATAATGACAATAGATAAACAAATTTAGAGTATTCCTTATTTTGAACTTTAAAAACATGTAAAAATTATCTATTGTTGACACAATAGATTAATTAGAAAAATTAGAAAAAATCTCTGATTTTTAAGGATACTTATACCAAAAATGGTATACAGAAGTTTAAAAGAATCAAAAAACAAAGATCGTTTTTCCATTTCAAGTATTGAATGTGTGATTTAAAATAAAATATGAACAAAATAAGTACACCACTAAAGTTGTAATCATTATTATTATTATTTATTTATTTTCTGTTTTATTTTGAGACAGAGTCTCACTCCCTCTCCCGGCTGGAGTGCAGGGGCGCAATCTTGGCTCACTGCAACTTCCACTTCCCAGGTTCAAGCAATTTTCATGCCTCAGCCTCCCCGAGTAGCTGGGACTACAGGCGTGTGCCACCATGCCTGTCTAATTTTTTGTAGAGACAAGGTTTTACCATGTTGCCCAGGTTGCTCTTGATCTCCTGAGGTCAGGTGATCTGCCAGCCTCGGCCTCCCAAACTGTTGGGATTACAGACCATAACATATTATTTTATTTAGGATTTCAGTCTTGGAGAAGCATAAAAGCAATTTATATCACATAAAAGTTGCTTAAAAAATAAATAGTGGCCGAGTGCTGTGGCTCACGCCTGTAATCCCAGCACTTAATTAATTTTTTTTTATTTTAAGTGGTTCAGCATTAGAAATCAATACAATATTTAAATCTTAAAGAGCATTTTTATTATCCACATTTTTTAAAAAAACAAGTAATTTCTGAGTTGGAATTTCACCAAGAAGACCGCAGGAATGACATGCATGGGAACCATTCTGTAATGCATTGATAGGTACTGAAGAAAGTATACTTTCTTCTAATTAGGGTATGAGCAAAGAAATTGCAACTAACTGTGGAATTATAATAAGAATAGGATCAATATCAGTGGTGTTAAATTCTGCAATATTATAATATAGAGACTGAATAATGTCACTTGTGTATCAACTATTCTCATGAAATAGGTAGAAGACTGATATGGTTTGACTGTGTCCCCACCCAAATCTCAACTTTAATTGTATCTCCCAGAATTCCCACGTTGTAGGAGGGACTCAGGGGGATGTAATTGAATCATGGGGGCTGGTCTTTCCTGTGCTATTCTCATGATAGTGAATAAATCCCAGGAGATCTGATGAGTTTATCAGGGGTTTCTGCTTTTGCTTCTTATTTTTCTCTTGCCACCACCATGTAAGAAGCTCCTTTCGCCTCCTGCCATGATTCTGAGGCCTCCCCAGGCATGTAGAAGAGTAAGTTCAATTAAACCTCTTTTTCTTTCCAGTCTCGGGTATGTCTTTATCAGCAGTGTGAAAACAGACTAATTCAATAAATTGGTACCAGTATCGTGGGGTGTTGCTGAAAAGATACCCGAAAATGTGGAAGTGACTTTGGAACTGGGTAAGAGGCAGAGATTGGAACAGTTTGAAGGGCTCAGAAGACGACAAGAAAATGTGGGAAAATTTGGAACCACCTAAAGACTTGTTGAATGGCTTTGCCCAAAATGCTGATAGCAATATGGACCATAAAAACCAGGCTGAGGTGGTCTCAGATGGAGATGAGAAATTTGTTGGGAATTAGAGCAAAGGTGACTCTTGTTATGTTTTAGCAGACTGGTGGCATTTTGCCCCTGCCCTAGAGATTTGTGAAGCTTTGATCTTTAGAGAGATGATTTAGTGTATCTGGCAGAAGAAATTCCTAAGCACCAAAGCTTTCAAGAGGTGATTTGTGTGCTGCTAAAGGCATTCAGTTTTATAAGGGAAGCAGAGCATAAAAGTTTGGAAAATTTGCAGCCTGACTCTGCTATATAGAAGAAAAACTCATCTTGCAGGAGAAAATCAAGCCCACTGCAGACATTTGCATAAGTAGCAGGTAGCCTAATTTTTTGTTGTCGTGTTGTTTTGTTTGTCTTTTTTTGAGATGGAGTCTCGCTCTGTTGCCCAGGCTGGAGTGCAGTGGCGTGATCTCAGCTCACTGCAAGCTCCGCCTCCTGGGTTCACACCAGTCTCCTGCTTAAGCCTCCAGAATAGCTGGGACTACAGGCACCTGCCGCCATGCCCAGCTAATTTTTTGTATTTTCAGTAGAGACGGGGTTTCACCGTATTAGCCAGGATGGTCTGGATCTCCCAACCTCCTGATCCGCCCACCTTGGCCTCCCAAAGTACTGGGATTACAGGCATGAGCCACTGCACCCGGCCTAGGGAGCCTAATGTTAATCCCCAAGACCATGGGGAAAATGTCTTCAGGCCATGTCAGAGATCTTCATGGCAAACCCTCCCATCACAGGCCCTGAGGCCCAGGAGGAAAAAGTGGTTTTGTGGGCTGGTCCCAGGGTCCCTGTGCTGTGTGCAGCCTAGGGACTTGGTGCTCTGTTTCTCAGCTGCTCCAGCCACACTGAAAGGGGCCAACACAGAGTTTGGGCTGTGGCTTCAGAGGGTGGAAGCCCCAAGCCTTGGCACCTTGCACATGGTGTTGAGCCTGCAGGTGCACAGAAGTCAATAATTGAGGTTTGGGAATCTCCATCTACATTTCAGAAGATGTATGGAAATGCCTGGATGCCCAGGCAAAAGTTTGCTGCAGGGGCAGGGCCCTCAAGGAGAACCTCTGCTAGGACAGTGCAGAATAGAAATGTGTGGTCAGAGCCTCCACACAGAGTCCTTACTGGGGCACTGCCTAGTGGAGCTGTGAGAAGAGGGCCACCATCCTCCAGAGCCCAGAATGGTAGATCCACTCACAACTTGCACCATGTGCCTGGAAAAGCCACAGGCACTTAATGCCAGCCCATGAAAGCAGCCGGGGGGGAGGCTGTACCCTGGAAAGTCACAGGGATGGAGCTGCCCAAGACCATGGGAACCCACCTCTTGCATCAGTGTCACTTGTGTGTGAGACCTGGAGACAAAGAGATAATTTTGGAGCTTTAAAATTTGACTGCCTTGCTGGATTTCAGAATGGCATGGGCCCTGTAATCCCTTTGTTTTGGCCAATTTCTCCCATTTGGAATAGCTGTATTTACCCAATACCTGTACCCCCATTTTATCTAGAAAGTAACTAGCTTGCTTTTGATTTTACAGGCTCATAGGCAGAAGGGACTTGCCTTGTCTCAAATAAGACTTTGGATTGTGGACTTTTGGGTTAATGCTAAAATGAGTTAAGACATTGGGAGACTGTTGGGAAGGCATAATTGGTTTTGAAATATGAGGACATGAGAATTGGAGGAGGCGAGGGTGGAACAATATGGTTTGGCTGTGTCCCTACTGAAATCTCAAATTGAATTGTGTCTCCCAGAATTCCTACATGTTGTGGGAGGGACCCAGGGGGAGGTAATTGAATCATTGCGGCCAGTCTTTCCCGTGCTATTCTCATGATAGTACATAAGTCTCAGGAGATCTGATGGGTTTATCAGGGGTTTCCACTTCTGCTTCTTCCTAATTTTCTCTTGCTGCTGCCATGTAAGAAGTGCCTTTCTCCTCCGGCCACGATTCTGAGGCCTCCCCAGCCATGTCCAATTAAACCTCTTTTTCTTCCCAGTCTTGGGTAGTATTTATCAGCAGCATGTAAGTGGACTAATACAAGGACTAAGAAAAGGAAATATTTGAAACCTATAAATATAAGTGTATTTAAAAAATATCCTCATACATACTTGCATAGTAGATAATGAGAAGATCTCATTAAAAGTGAGCCAAACACGAAGTCTATCTGCAAACAAAATGAAGAAAGGAACTTAAAGGATGAATCAAGTTAAACCAGCAGTCCTAAATTTTGGCAACCTGTGCCGTTTTCTAGACACCTCTCCTATTTGCTGAGATGTTGGCGTCTTGTTAACTTTGCGGTCTTGATCTAGTCTGTCAGTTAACAGTTATTGAAAATACTGGCTAAACCATTGCTTTCCAAATTATTTGTAGTGGAGAGCAAATATCCTTAATTTTCAATTCCACAGAGGCTATTACTTGAGTACAATTTAATAAAAAATGAGAAACTCCAAAAAAAAAGAAAGGAAAAATCTATAAATATAAAAACCCAGACTCCATTTTTTTTTTGTTTTTTGAGACGGAGTCTCGCTCTGTTGCCCAGGCTGGAGTGCAGTGGTGCAGATCACACCACTGCCTCAGCCTCCCCAGTAGCTGGGACTACAGGCACCCTCCACCACGCCCGGCTAATTTTTTATATTTTTAGTAGAGATGGGGTTTCGCCGTGTTAGCCAGGATGGTCTCAATCTCCTGACCTTCTCATCCGCCCACCTCGGCCTCTCAAAGTGCTGGGATTACAGGTGTGAACCACCACGCCCGGCCTCCATTTTTTTTTTTTTTTTTTAATTATTGGATTCCATGGCCAAAATTACTCCATTAAATTGCAAAAAACCCATAATTTAACTATTTTTTCAAATTCTTCTTTACTGCTTTGACTTAAGGGTTTGTTATTTCAATAGAAATGCTTTTCTAATAAACGGGATGAGCAACAATTTAGTAAATTACACAGATTACCACATTCCTCATTATTACTGACAGCATATATTTTAAGTAATTAAAAATATTTCTCATTTCAGAATTGCACTTGGGAAAACGTCAAGAAAAGCAAATAAACATATATTCTTATATAAGTATGTAACTATGCTGGAATAACTGATTTTTAACTTTTCTGAGATCAATATACAGCATGTTGATTATCCTAGTAGTTGAGTAGTATACATTTAAATTTTACTAAGAAAGTAAATTTTAAATATTCTAATGAAAATTTTAATATCTGAGGTAAAGAGTATGTTAATTAACTTGATTTAATTATTCCACATTGTATTAAAAAATTTAACACCACTTTTTACCCCATAAATACAACGATCATTTGTCAATAAAAAAAGAAATTCTTCCATATACAAGTGACATAAAATGCAAATCAGAAAGAGTAGAGCAAGATGCTCAAATGGAAGTCTTCACTAGCTATCATCCCCAAAGAATCAGCAAATTTAACAACTATTTACACACACACACACAAAACCATCAGATGAACCAAAAATCAGGTGAGCAATCACAATACTTCATTTTAATTTTATATGCCTGAAAGAGGCACTGAGCAGGTCAGGAAAGACACTCTAGAATCATTGACACCACCCTTCCCACATCCCCTGGCAGTGGCCATGAGGTGCATTGTGGGTTTTGGGTGAGACTCTGAAATGTACTAGCTTCAGGTGAGATGAAGCAGATTCCCAGTTCTGGTGGCAATGGTGAAAGAATCCTTCTGCCTGAGAAAAGCAAAGGGAAAAGTAAAGGGAACTTTGGAGCCCACTGTCCTGCAGGGTGAGACCCAGGCCTGGCAGCATTTTCCACAACCAGATTGAAGATTGCTTGGGCCTTAAGTAAATATCAGTAGTAGTCTGACAGTGGTACACATAAGCCTTTAGTAGTGGTGGCCACAGGGAGAGGCTCCTCTGCCTGTAGAAATGGCAGCACAGAGTGGAAAGGACTTTATCTCATGCTTTGAGTGCTAGCTTAGTCACAGTAATATAGAGCACTCAGGAGATTTCCAAGTTTTGGACTTTGGTCCCTGGCTCCTGGATGGCATCTCTGGACCTGCTTGGGCCTGGGGCCTGGGGAAACTAACTGCTCTGAAGGAAAGGAAACAAGCCTGGCTGGCTTGGCCACATGCTGATTGTAGAGCCCCAGGGCTTTGAACAATCTTAGTGGTAGACAGGAAGTGGGCACAGCAGGCTTTGAGCTAGACCTAGTTCTGTGCTTCAAGTCTGACCCAGCACCATCCAAGTGGTGTTGGCCACAGGGGTGCTTGTGTTACCACACCCCTAGCTGCACATGGCTCATTAGAGAGAGAGAGAGAGAAAGAGAGAGAGAGAGAGAGAGAGAGGGACTCCATTTGCTTGGGAGAAAGTAAGAGAAAAGAACAAGAATGTGTACATTATAATCCAGATAATTATTTCAGATCTTATCCAAGACCACCACAGCAGTACCTCTACAAGTCTGCAAAAACTGCAGCAGAAGACTTGGGGTGCCCTTAAAAAGATATAGCTTATATCGTAACAACCAAGTCCCTTTGAATACCTGGAAAGACTTCCCAAGAAGGACAGGTACAAAGAAGCCCAGACTGCAAGGCTACAATAAATACCTAACTTTTCAATGCCCAGACATCAGTGAAGAGCTACAAACATCAAGACCATCCAGGAAAACATGACGTCACCAAATGAACTAAATAAGGCACCAGGATCCAGTCCTGAAGAAACAGAGAAATATGACCTTTCAGACGAACAGTCAAAATAGCTTTTTTGAGGAAACTCAGAGAAATTAAAGAAAACACAGAAAAGTAATTAAGATCAATTTCACAAAGAGATTGAAATACTTAAAAAGATTGAAGCAGAAATTCTGGAGCTGAAAAATGCAACTAATATACTGAAGAGTGCATGAGACTATTAATAGCAGAATTGATCAAACAGAAGAAAGAATTAGTGAGCTTGAAGACAGGTTATTTGAAAATACACAGTCAAGGGCACAAAAAATGAATCATGCTTACAGGATCTAAAAAAATTGCATCAAAAGGGCAAATATGAGTTACTGGCCTCAAAGAGGAGGTAGAGAAAAAGATAGGACTAGAAAGCTTATTCAAGGGAATAATAACAGAGATCTTCCCAAACCTAAAAAAAAAATCAATATTCAATCACAAGAAGGTTATAGAATGCCAAGTGGATTTAACCCAAAGAAGACCATATCAAGAGATTTAATAATCAAACTCCCAAAGGTCAAGGATAAAGAAAGGGTCATAAAAGCAGCAAGAGGTAAGAAACAACGTACAAGGGAGTGCCAATATGCCCTACAGCAGACTTTACAGGGGAATCTTACAGATCAGGAGAGCTTGGCATGGCATATTAAAAGTTCTGAAGAAAACAAAAATCCCTTTACCCTAGAATAGTAGCTCCATCAAAAATATCCTTCACACATAAAGCAGAAATAAAGACTTTCCCAAACAGAAGCTGAGGAATTTCATCAACACCAGACCTGTCCTACAATATGTGCTGAAAGGAGATCTTCAATTAGAAAGAAAAGGACATTAATGAGCAATAAAAAAATCATCCAAAGGTAGAAAACTCACTAGTAATAATATGTATATAGAGAATCACAGAATATTATAACACTGTAATTTTAATATGTTAACTACTCAAGCATAAAGACTAAAAGATGTACCTACCAAAAATAATAACTCCAACAACTTTTCAAGACATAGAGAGCTAAGAATGAGGAGAACTGTAAGTAAAATCAGTAGGAAAGAGCATGATAATGAGCAACTGAGTCTAGGACTCCTGGGGAAATGGAAACTTCAGAGAATGGAAAAAGAATAATAATAGAAATAAAAAAGAATTATAACTTGTATAATTAATAATCTTGGAACTACAGTAACAACAAAAATATTTGACTTCATTTCTATTATAAAACTTTCAGAGTTTTGTATATACTAATTTACTAATGACTTCCAAGAAACTTATGGAATGATTATTATTTTATCTGTGCTTTATTGATAAAGTAAGACAAAAATCAAACGAAATGATTTGCACAAATTCAGGAAGAAAAACAGTACAGTAATTAAACGAAACCCTACAAATCTGTGCATATATATACACATGGAGAAATTTGTTTTAATTGCTGAAATGTTTAGAATACTAACTAGACCCATGATTATAAACAAATATAAGAAACCATTTTAAAAAGTGTATATTATATAGCCATAGAAAATGATTTAAATAATATGGGTCCTACAAAATTGAAAATATACAAGTAGAAATCATATATAAATAATTTTAAAAATCCTCCTACATTTGAAGATTGACCAATGAGCACTCAAATGTATAAATCATTTAGACCTATATGTAGACATTCCTTTGTAAAATTTTAGAACACTAGGTCAAAAAAAAGTCAAAATATTCTTTCAAAGAATAAAAAAGCAGAAAAACAGTGGCAGAAAAAATGCTATTTCAAAAATACTTGAATGTGAAATCTGGCATTATTTGTAAGGCTAAGAACATTCTCTTTTGAGTAGTCTAAGATATCCAATACTATACTAATGTACCTTTAGCTATGTAGTGAATTATATATATAGTCATGATAATGCAAATTAATTTTAATTAAAAAATTTTGGTCAACGTGGTGGCTCACGCCTGTAATTCCAGCACTTTGGGAGGCCGAGGCAGGCGGATCACTTGAGGTCAGGAGTTCAAGATCAGCTTGGCCAACATGATGAAACCCCACCTACTAAAAATACAAAATACTAAAAATACAAAAATTAGCGGGTCATGATGACGGGCACCTGTAATTCAAGCTACTCAGGAAGCTGAGGCAGGAGAATAACTTAAACCCAGGAGGCGGAAGTTGCAGTAAGCCGAGATCACACCACTGCTCTACAGCCTGGGCAACACAGCGAGACTCCGTTTCCACACACACACACACACACACACACACACACACACACATACAAAACTGTATAAACGATAACCAATACCCAGAAAACAGCTATTGAGATAGAGCAGAATATAGCTATTAAATATAAAAACATAACATACACAAAGAGTGGAGGAAGTATGATTGTATTAGAATGAGAACTAATATCTTTACCCTTCCTAGAACAGGTCATTGTTGAAAATTCACAAGTACATATTGTATACTATTCTTATATAAATAATAAAGGCATGCAACAGAATAAATACATGTAATTATGTAAATATCAAACTTGGGGATGGAGTAGGAGAGAAGCAATGAAGATTTAAGTCAGTTGCATTCTTATCTCTCAAAACCAAAAGAAAATAGATACGTGTTAATCTGAATGAAATATTAAGAAATAGTCAAACTTATAGTTAAAATTATGGATGTAACAATCCTGACAGGGTTGTGGGCTGAGGGAGATGTTTTTCTTTCTGCTAATAAATACATATATATTCTCTTGATAAGATAAATGTTACTTTTTGGAATCATATATCTCAATCGTTTTCTGGATTCAAGTGAAAAATTGCAATCACAGGTCATGTCTTCTTGATTAAACATAAATTAAGAATGCTAAGCATGATAAGCTACTTGGTTTTTACTGTTGAAAACATTCAATGGTAGTGCTCACATAGCATTTTAAATTATTAGATTTCCATTTAGAAGTGAACACTTCTTTCACAAAATGTATGCTTTTAAAAATCAGTAGAATGCAATATTTTAAAATTAGAATATTACTTCTTGCAGTATTACTTTTTGAAAATTACTTGAGTTAGGATAATATATCTTGAACTTTTCATTTATTTATAAATTGTTATCCAAATATTCCAACTATTTAATATTTCAAGATCCATCCATTAGGTAGAACAATAATGTTTTACCAACCTACCTGTACAATAAGATTGATAGTCAAATTAGTTTATACTATCTGGAATATAGCATATTTAGTAACTATTTTTGAGTCTTTACTCATTCATTTGAAAACATTGTGTAAATGGAAAAAACCCTATACGATGTTAATTAATTACTTATGCCAGTTTAGTGAAATCCATCAAAATATTAGCATATTTATTCAAGAATGGCTAACATAGAAATAATGAAGCAATTTACCAAGTATGGATTCATAGCATTTCACTTAAGGTCCAATTGAACAATATACAACCTTGTAATTGTGAAAAAGTTGGAGATATAACTCAGTCTTCCAATTTTGGAATATCTTTAGGAAAGTTTTATATATAATTCGAATTATATAACTGAGGGCAAAAAATGTACTCAAACATGTTACAATGTAACACAGAGAAAACAGAATTATACAGGAATTACATGCCAGGTATCTACACTATATGAAGAGGTCACAGTTGTTTGTGTAGTCAAGATGCAATCAAAGAGAGACAAAGAGCTAATACCTTATGAATCATATACAGTGATGGTTTTCCTCAAGAAGTGAGAAACCAATATACTAATTCTACATAAGTCTGCCCTTAATTAGAACTGTAAAATATGGCTTAAATAACCACGTATGATTAATGCACAGTTTTAAATTAAATAATTAGGTGTTTCACAAATATTTAGTTTCATTGTCTCTAGAACCTAGATACATGCAAAATAACTTCAAGGCATTTGGAAATAAAAAATATATATATAGTGTGTGTTAAGAATGGAATACATTCTAAATAGTTTTGTATCTAAAACTACAATTTACTATTATAGCAACATCACAAAATAAATTGGATTATGGTCTGAACATTACAGTTGGGAAGGTAAGAGATTACATCAAATATCACTGTAACTGGTATTGACACTAGCCAGGCTGACTGCCTTCCAAAATGTGGAAGCTGAGACAATAATAAAAATAACTTGTATATCTGAGTATTTCACATACGTTGTCACATCTTATCCTAATACAATAATCAGTTACGTTGCAGTTTGTAAGCCAAAGGAATACTTACATTAGAGCTACATTATGTAGAGGAGAAATAATGTTAAAATAAACCCAATTGTTACTCTAAATACAAATAAGCCCTTTGTGAATTTCTATGTTTTCTGAATGAGCATTGGCTTATTAATGTCCTTTAAATCATAAAGCAAAACATCAGTTAAAATTTATTTTCTATTGGAGAGGCTTGTCATGTGCTCTGAGTCTTTGAAACAGAGAGCGGTTAACTCATAAGAATTTTGCATTTCAAAGTTACCATGCCCAAGGAAAAATAGCATTTATTTAAAAACAGTAAAAATGAACCATTTCAAAAGCAAATAGATTAGTGTGTTTTGTGACTTATGAAATATTGGTTTCTGTTAGAACAGATTTTATCCATTTCAAGTCATTTGTTCAGCCCTGAAAATATATGCATTTTGTGCCATTGTTTTCTAAAGGGCGGATCATGCCTTTTTATTTGGTATACTATTTTCAAAATGTCACAAAATGGCAAAGAGTAAAGAATTCTAGAGACCAAGAGAAACAAGTTTTGCATATTTAATTACAAAAGAGAGAGCAGAAAACTATTCCCAAGGCTTTTCAAGTAATTTTTATCTAAAATATGCATGAATATTTCATTTATGGATATAAAAATAGAAAAATAATTATCTCTTGATTACCTGTGCTCAGATATTGCTCTTAAGTATATTTATGACTGAAAACATTTAGAAATACTAACCTAAATGAAGGTGTGGTGAGAATGAGCATTGTTTGCAAGTCTTAAGATATATTATGATGACTGATTTGCTTAAAGTTATACTATGATTGAAATATTTGAAAATATTTTGTAAATTCTCTCCTCTTTTTGCTGAAAAATATCATTTTTTCTGTGATCTTAGTCATTATCATGCTTCCCAATATAGTTACGTAGCTTTGCTGATTATACCCAAATTTTAGGCCTTCTAATATCCAAACAGATATATTAAAACATCAGACATTATTACATTGTCATGTCACACGTAACACAAATCAAATATGGCCTGAACTAAAATCTTCATGTCTCCTGCATAGATCTTGCTTTTATCTTGAATTCAGTGACACATCTATGGTATAATCCATTACCTTCAAACTGGAGGCCTTGTAGACATCATTGATTTTTTTTTATTTTCATCATTTCTCTGTGTAATCAGTCTTAAATTTCTGTAGATTTTCTTCCAAATACACACTTTCTTCTCTAACTCTTCCGTACTAAGTACATTTTTCACCATCCCGATTAGAATTTTATGCTGTACTGTTAACAATCAATATTACATTTATTTTACTCATAGACCTTATTATCTATCATACTTCCCCCACACATCCCTATTGGAATCATTCTGTAAACAAACCCTGGATATGCCACAATAATAATTACCTGTCTTCTTTAATTTACTATTGTTCTTAGATTGAATTGCAAATAACTTAGCATGGCATAAAAGCTTTATCACAATTTGATCCCAACTAAGTTCTCAGTTTTCATTTTCTGCTTTACCCAACACTTCATCACTACCACAATATGGTCCTAGTAAATTACTCTCTGGCTGCTAGTTACATAATTTATTTTATTATTGTACTTTTCCACACATGTTTTACTTTGCCTGAAGTGGCCCTTCTGCATTCTTCACCCAACAAACTTCTCATGTTTTCACTTTCCTATACTATTCCATTGCATCTTCCTATTTCCTTTTCTTAGTATTCTTTGAAACAATGAAAAATGTATGGAGACTTTGCAAGCACAGTTGGCCCGGGAACAATGTGGAGTTTATGGACCCTGATGCCCTGCACTATTGAACACTCTTGTATAACTTTTGCCGCCCTAAAATCTTAACCACAAATAGCCTACTGTTGACCAGAAGCTTTACAGATAAACAGCCAATTAACACATTTCGTATGCTTTATGTATTATACATTGCATTTTTACAATAAAGTAAGCTACAGAAAAGAAGATGCTATTAAGAAAATCATAAGAAAGATAAAATATATTTAATATTCATTAAATGTGAATAAATGATTGTAAAGGTCTTCACTTTTGTCATCTTCTTGTTAGGTAGGCTGAGAAGGAGGAAGAAAAGGAGGGGCTGGTCCTGCTGTGTCAGAGGTGACAGAGGCTGAAGAGGTGAAGAAGGTGAAAGCAAAAGCAGAAGAAGCAGGCACACTCAGTGTAACTTTCCAGAAATGCATTGTAATTTCTGAGTTACTTTTCATTTCTCTAAAATTTTTTCCATATGGCACAAATCGTGCCATCATTTTTTATTTTTATTTTTTTAGTTTCAGCACCTGTGTCATAGCATGGCCTATGTCATAAAAGAAGTCAAATGAAGTCGTGAATAATTAGAATCTTTCTCTCAGATTGTCTAAAATCAACCTGCTTTTTGGCACTGCTTCTTCTACATTTTCTTCTTCATCTTGAGGCACTGGTTTGGAACCAATTATCTACATCAAGTCATCTTTTGTTAATTCCTCTGGTGTGGTGTTTATTAGTTCTTGAGTTTCTCCAAGATCTATATCTTGAAACCCTTTACCTCCTACCTTTTTTTTTGCTACAGCCACAACTATATGATTTCCTTGATTGGCTCTCTGGACACAGTTTTCTCAAGCAGGAATGTATTGTATCTGGCTTGATGGCTTTCATGGCTTTTTCTGTAACAATGGCATTTTCAATGCGGTAATCTTTCCAGACTTTCGTAATGTTCTATCAGAGTTCTCTTCTATAGCACTGGCAATTCTTTCCACAGAGTACCACGTGTAATGAACCCAAAAGTTCCTTATGACCCTCTAATCTAGAGGCTGAATTAGACACAGACTGTGTGTTTGCGGACACGTAGACTATGATGACATCTTCACTGTTGAACTCATGGAGTTCTAGGTGGCCAAGAGCATTGTCAACTATCAAAAAAACTTTAAAAGGTGGTGCTTTACTAACAAGGTACTTCCTGGCTTCAGGGACAAAGTATCTATGGGGTCAATACAGAAAAAAAATATATTTTTGTCAAGTCCTTGTTGTACAACTAAAAGATTGGCAGCTGGAATTAATATTTTATTAAAGATTTGAGGATAGAAGCTTTAAAGATAAGGGCAGCCCTGTTTATAAACCCAAACTGCTTTTGCACAAAACATTAGAGTTAGCCTATTCCTTGCTGCCTTAAGTCCTGGTGTATGCTTCTCTTTCTTGTTAATGAATATTCTTTGTAGCTTTTTTATTTTCCAGAATAGGACATTTTCATCTGCATTAAAATCTTGTAGATTCTCTTGAGATTACAATATTCACCTTTAACAAATCAATGTACACTCTCAAAGAGCATTATGCTACTTCATAAACCAGTGAGTGTAGTGCTTGCTTTTCATGCTTCTACTGTTATATATTCTGATTCTACATGTTATAAACCAAATAACATACTGTTTTTATCTTGCTTTAAACTACCAATAATTCCTTAAATAAAATAAAGGTAGATAGATGCATGGTAAAATGAATGTTTATGTATTCCCACACTTTTATTCGGCCTGGTATTTATTTTATCCTATACCGTCTGGTATAACATTTCCTTACCTGGATAACTTTCCTTAGCCTGTCTTATGTGGATATGCTGGAAACAAATTGTTGCAGCTTTACATCTGAATTTTTTTTACTTAATATTTGTTCACTAAGAAATTGTCTTGAATAAAAAATTTTGTATTCACAACTTTTTTCTTGATCATGCATTATTTTTGCATTTATTCTTTATTTAACGTTTTTATTTATCATAAATTGATTTTGCTTATTTCTTTATATCTGTGAGTTGTTCTTTTGGTCAGTTTGGAATCCACAAAGCTCTGAGGCTGTCACACTGAGAATGTGAGTCTTCTAAACATTAAGGTTGTTAGATTGTAGGACATATGATAGAACAGTTGGCTGCAAAATGATAAGATTGAGAGACTGTGATACCATGAGATATCAACATTGTGAATCTCTGATTACACTAAACTACAAGAACACAAGATCTCTTTCCATTTTTTATTTCTAACCTTAACCTCTACTTACTCAGAAAGTTATCATGAAAGAGATTACTTGTGCAAGAGAAATAACTTTGTGTTTGGTGTTCTTTCAGATTTAACTCTAACATGCTAGTCCAGAGTTGATTAAAAAATTGCTATTTTTCCATATGCTATTTTTTTCAACCTTAGCGATTAGTCCCATATATGAAAGTGTCTCCTGTCTCTTGTTCACTTATGAAGGGCTTCTCCCATGTTGACATTTGTTTGTGTCCACAGCTCCTTATAATGATTTTAAAGAAAAATATAATTTTTAAAAATTATATGATTTCTTATTGTTTCTATGAATGGTTTTCTATGATCTTCTATAACCTAATCATAAGTGGACATTTTTAATTCCTCCTTCTAAATGTTTTTTTGAGCTGGATTTTGTGATTCTCCTATGCAAATAGGATGAATATTACAATAGATTGTCTATTCCCTTTCTTATGAGACCATGTTGTTAATAACCATATATTCACTTACAGTATATGGGATCTAACGTACATTGTCATCTATCCATCCATTTTTGTTTGTTTGTTTGTTTGCTTGTTTGTTTTTGAGACAGAGTCTTGCTGTGTCACCCAGACTGGAGTGCAGTGGCGCGATCTTGGCTCACTGCAAGATCCACCTCCCAGGTTCATGCCATTCTCCTGCCTCAGCCTCCCAAGTAGCTGGGACTATAGGCGCCCGCCACCACACCCGGTTAATTTTTTTTGTATATTTAGTAGAGATGGGGTTTCACCGTGTTAGCCAGGATGGTCTCAATCTCCTGACTTTGTGATCAGCCTGCCTTGGCTTCCCAAAGTGCTCGGATTACAGGTGTGAGCCACCGCACCCGGCCTATCCATCAGTTTTTAATTGTCTAGCAACCTACCTTTATCTTTCTATATCAATCTATCCTATATAAGCAACTGTATCCTACACACACACACACACACACACACATATACACATATAGATGTTTATGGATAAAGTATTCTTAAAACCATAGACAATATTTTATTTTTGGTTAAAATCTAAGAATTATTTAATATAATTCTTAAAAATCTAGGCTAAGAAATAAAATGTATTATCAGAGAGGAGAGTTTAACATGAGTTATTGCCCTAAGATCCCATATTTTGCTTTTCAGGGCAAGTTATCTGTTGCAGACTCTAGTTCAACTTACTAATTTTACCCACTGATTCTGATCAGAACTCAGGAGAATGTGGATAGTTGTTTGTTTCATGACAAAGAAGGTTTTGCAATTTCAGGGTCTGTTTTCACTTACATGTATCTTTTCATCTAACTTATTTATGTAATCATTGACAGCCTTGCTTTGCCTTTGTATCTGGTACTTATATAACCCCTGACTCTTCAATACATGAATTCAGTCTAATGTATGAGTGGCATCAGGTTAGTGCTACTGAGATTAGTCAGGGTAATAAGCTTGGTAAGAAAAGTACCAGTGTATTCTAAGGTACCAATGAATCCTTACATATGAATAAATAACTTTAAGGCGAAATAAACTGTCAATGAGATGGCTTTCTAATTCTGGGGAAATTGTTGTTGATCATAAAGATGGATTGCATGGCAGGTCCCCAGAGCCCTGGCATTTGGTTGCCATTTTGCTTATCTCATGGTATTTCTAATTCATTTAGAACACAGTTATTTTACATAGAGTTATTTTGTGTCTTTCTACATCTATTATTCTATTCTGCCAGATCTTTGGTCACTTAAGATCAAGATCTCAAGTACCATAATAGAAGGAAAGTATCAGGTAAACATTCTGAGTCTAGCTAGGGCAGAGATCAAGTCTAGCTGAGACAGCTGAGGAGTTTTGGGAAAAAGAATCAGGCAGCCACACAGCATGAGGTACGTACGGTCAGTCACAGTGAGATATAGCGACATGCTGAGCAGGCCACACTAATCTGAGCACTGGTTTTAGGGCCAATATGGAAAAATACATTTTAAATTTAAACCCAATGTATGTTTGAGGCCTAAAGGAAATGTCTGCCGCTGATGAAGACCACCAGAGGGGCTGCTAATGTCAAACTTTATTTCTAACCTTTAATTTCATTCCGAGAGATAATACAGGCTTAAGGAGTGTGGTTTGTGGCTTTCATTTGCTGTGTTGCTTCCGTGTGCTAAGGCCTGGCTTTTTTTTGTAAAGTGAAATGCCAAAAAGTGCATATATATATATATATATATATATATATATATATATAGTTTTTTTAAAAAAACAAAAAAACTTCAAAAAATTTCTCAAAGGTGTAGTACATTTTGTTATTACAATTTCCAGATAGGCTTTGGAACATGTCGCTAGTGAGCATCAAAGTTTATAAAGGTTCTGCTAGGAAAAACATTGGTACTAGTTAGTCTTCAAAAGAGAAAGATCTGGATATCATTGTAGCTTTTTCCTTATACATATAGAGTTACTTAGTGGTAGCATCATTCTTCTCAGGTATTTTCTAGTTCTACCGGTGAAATGAAATGTGGAAAGCGTGTTATCACAGAAGAGTAGAGGAAAATTGGCTATGGAAGAAAAGTACTCTAGCAGTAAATGCCTTTAAAAACAGAATTAACTGATACATTTTCCCCCTTAAGAAAGAGACTCCATCTCAAAAAAAAAAAAAAAAAGAAGAAAGAAAGAAAGAAAGAGGCTCACATCGCAGAAGAGTTACAAGGAAGTTTCTCTGAGTGTTTGATTAGGTGATCGCAGAAGATGCTTTTAAGTTCTATAAGTGCAATTGTCAGAGTTGTGAAAAGAATAACTAATGAACCAGATGCAAAGAGAAAAACACAGTTTAATGCTACTAAAAAGGAATAATGCCCGTGCTAAATACATCCTAAGCTTCTTTAATTTCCCAACTTAGTATAAGTCCAAGTGATAAAAAATAGTACTTTAAAAAACTATATTTGGAACTTGCAAAAACAGGATTCTGAGATTCTTTTTTTTTTTTTTTTTTTTTTTTTTTTTTTGAGACAGATTCTTGCTCTGTCACCCAGGCTGGAGTGCAGTGGCGCAATCTCGGCTCACTGCAAGCTCTGCCTCTTGGGTTCACGCCATTCTCCTGCCTCAGCCTCCTGAGTAGCTGGGACTACAGCCGCCCGCCACTACGCCCGGCTAATTTTTTTGTATTTTTAATAGAGACGGGGTTTCACTATGTTAGCCATGATGGTCTCGATCTCCTGACCTCGTGATCCGCCCGCCTCGGCATCCCAAACTGCTGGGATTACAGGCTTGAGCCACCGCGCCTGGCCTCTGAGATTCTTTACTTTTCAATTTTGTCTTTACAAATAATTCTAATGTTGTATAAATTACAAAGAGGAGATTAAACATAAAATATTTTCATAATTGTTACATTTTATCAATTTGAACATCTGTCACTCAAAATAGTGTAACTAATATTTGAAATATAAAATCTTAACAGATTCAAATATATATGATTCATTAGGAAATGTAAAAAATGCATATTAGTTACATGTAATTGTTTATGTAAAATTGAAATACCAACAAAAATAAGGGGTTTTCAAAGGAAAAGAGAATCCAAAAAAACAAAGCGAAACTTTTTACCGAAAATTAAAATGTATTTTGCATTTCCCTAATAATTAGTGATGTTGAGCATTGTTTCATATGTTTTTTGGCCACTTGTATATCTTGTTTTGAGAATTATCTATTCATGTCCTTTAGTCCACTTTTTGATGCGATTTTTTTTCTTGCTAATTTGTTTGAGTTTCTTATAGATTCTGGATATTATAGTTTTTTGTCAGATGTATAGACTGTGGGATTTTCTCCCACTCTGTGGGTTGTCTGTTTACTCTGCTGACTGTTCCTTTTGCTGTGCAAGTCGTCAGTTTAAGTCTCACCTATTTATCTTTGTTTTTGTTGCATTTGCTGTTAGGTTCTTCATCATGAAGTCTTTGCCTAAGCCAATGTCTTGAAGGGTTTTTCTGACATTATCTTCCAGAATTTTTTAGTTTCAGGTCTTAGATTTAAGTCCCTCATCCATCTTCAGTTGGTTTTTGCGCAAGGTGAGAAATGATCCAGTTTCATTCACCTTCATGTGGTTTGCCAATTATCCCAGCACCATTCGTTAAATAGGGTGTCCTTTCTCCACTTTGCTTGTGTTTGCTTTGTCAAAGATCAATTGGCTATAAGTATTTGGGCCTATTTCTGGGTTCTCTATTCTGTTTCATTGGTCTCAGGATATCAGAGAGATACCTGCACCCCTGTATTCATTGCAGCACTGTTCACAGCAGTAAAGATATGGCATCAACCTAAGTGTCCATCAGTGGATAAATGGATAAAGAAAATATGGTATATAAACATGATGAAATACTATTCGGCCATAGGAAAGAATAAAATCCTGTCATTTGTAGGAACATGGATGAAACTAGAGTTTACTGTTAGGTGAAGTAAGGCAGATACAGAAAGACAAGTATCATCTCATGTTCTCACTCATATGTGGGAGATAAAAAAGTTGATCTCATGGAGGTATATAGAGTAGAATGATAGTTACTAGAGGCTGGGAAGTTTGGTTGAGAGGGATGAAAACAGTTTGGTTAATGAGTACAAACATATAGTTAGCTAGAAGGAACATGTTCTGTGTTTAGTAACACAGCAGAGTGACTATAGAGAACAAAAATGAATTGTATATTTCAAAATAGCTAGAAGATTTCAAATGTTTCCAACATAAAGAAATAAATTTTTGATGGGATGGATGTACAAAATACCCTAATTTAGTCATCACACATTGCACATATCAAAACATCACATGAACCCCATGAAAATGTACAATTATTATGTATCAATAATTTTTTAATGTGTAAAAAATGTAAAACAAATTAAAAAGTAAACAGGAATTTGCATAACACTATAAAAATGGCAACCAGATTTCAGGAAATATTTCTGCTTTACAAAACATGTTTACATTATTTTATTTTATTTATTTATTTACTTATTATACTTTAAGTTCTGGGGTACATGTGCAGAACGTGCAGATTTGTTACATAGGTATACATGTGCCATGATGGTTCGCTGCACCCATCAACCTGTCACCTACATTGGGTATTTCTCCTTATGTTATTCCTCCCCTACAACCCCACCCCCAAACAGGCCCTGGTGTGTGACGTTCCCCTCCCTATGTCCATGTGTTCTCATTGTTCCACTTCCACTTATGAGTGAGAACACGCTGTGTTTGGTTTTCTGTTCTTGCGATAGTTTGCTGAGAATGATGGTTTCCAGCTTCATCCATGTCCCTGCAAAGGACATGAACTCATCCTTTTTTATGGCTGCATAGTATTGCATGCAGTATATGTGCCATATTTTCTTTATCCAGTCTATTATTGATGAACATTTGGGTTGTTTCCAAGTCTTTGCTGTTGTGAATAGTGCCACAATATACATACATGTGCATGTGTCTTTATAGTGGAATGCTTTATAATCCTTTGGGTAATGGGATTGCTGGGTCAAATGGTATTTCTAGTTCTAGATTCCTGAGGAATCGCCACACTGACTTCCACAATGGTTGAACTAGTTTACAGTCCCACCAACAGTGTAAAAGTGTTCCTATTTCTCCACATCCTCTCTAGTATCTGTTGTTTCCTGACTTTTTAATGATTGCCATTCTAACTGGCATGAGACGGTATCTCATGGTGGTTTTGATTTGCATTTCTCTAACAACCAGTGATGATAAGCATTTTTTCATATGTCTGTTGGCTGCATAAATGTCTTCTTTTGAGAAGTGTCTGGTCATATCCTTTGCCCACTTTTTGATGGGGTTGTTTGTTGTTTTCCTTGTAAATTTGTTTAGGTTCTTTGTAGATTCTGGATATTAGCCCTTTGTGAAATGGATCGATTGTAAAAACTTTCTCCCATACTGTAGGTTGCCTGTTCACTCTGATGATAGCTTCCTTTGCCGTGCAGAAGCTCTGAGGAAGACTTATCACCATAGTTCTAAAGAATAATTACCATACTGTGGAGACTGGAAATACTTGATGACAGTTGAGAGCAAATGGGGCCCCAAGCCAAGTCATAGCTATGATATAAACCAACTTAGCTAAAGAGTACAAAGTTACTTATTTAATATTACCATTATTACTTTAATGAGAAAGATGTGGAAACTGGCATCAGAACTTATTTAACTATAGTTCTGTGTAGAGCAATGTTTAAAAGTACTGACCTTTAAGGCCAACTCCCTGTTTGAAACTCAGATCTACCCAGTTGTGTGATCTTACAAACGTTACTTACCTTCTTTTTTTTCTTTTTTTTTTTTGAGACAGAGTCTCCCTCTGTTGCCTAGGCTGGAGTACAGTGGCGCCATCTTGGCTCACTGCAACTTCCACCTCCCAGGTTCAAGCAATTCTCCTGCCTCAGCCCCCTGAGTAGCTAGGATTGCAGGCACACGCCACTATGCCCAGCTAATTTTTGTATTTTTAGTAGAGATGGGTTTTCACCATGTTGGTAAGCTGGTCTCGAACTCCTGACCTCATGATCTACTGGCCTTGGCCTCCCAAAGTGCTGGATTACAGGCATGAGCCACCGCGCCTGACCTACTTACCTTCTTTATTCCTCATAAATGCCTGTGCAACTGTGAATATTAAATAAATCATTGAATATGCTTAAAATAAAATTTAACACATTATGAATACTATTTACCGGTTATTCATATATAGCCAAATTTACTATTACACTAGTGTATTTACATAAAATAATTTATGCTATACTCCCAAACCATGTGGGGTAGGAATTATTATAATCACCTTTGATATCATAGTAATACACAGAAACTGAGTCATAGAGAGTTCATGTGACTAGCTCAACTCACATTGTTTGAAAGTGGCAAAGGTAGGATTTGGACTCAGAGCTTGACCAATTTGCTTTTTTAGATTTAAATACTTCATATATTGCCTGTTATTTTGACAATTATAAAAGTTATAAAGATATGTCTCTATGATAGACAGAGATAGACGTGGACTAAACCAGGTTGATAGAACAAGGGCATTTGAAGAAAATATAGCATTGTGGAATTCACACTAGCCTTGCAACTAGCAGTCTACCTATTTTTCTTTCCATAGACTTTTAAGACCTTACATACAAAAGCATATATTCACATTTGTAAAAATTATGAAGTGCTATATTTTTCTCTTTGTAGTCCTAACTAATAATTTTATTGCCTTTCCTGTACAGTTCATAGTGTGATTTTTTTTGTTGTAGTTATTTGGCTAAGAATAACTGGAAGTACACTGACATCGCCATTAAATTACTTGTGACAGAGGCTGTAGATTAATACAAATGTCTTTCCCCCAAGGACATGGTTCTGAAAATCCAACACTAAGAATTAAAAGCTAAGAGTTCTTTATGATCTCTAGAAGAAAGTACAAAAGATAACTACATGAACAGCCTTATTAAAAATGACATTAACGTTTCAATTCAGATAAGAATTTAACCCAATACGAATTTAGAAATGATTAAAAAGAATTGAAAATTTTCTTCCTTTGATTATCCTGAGATCTACCAATAGCTATGAATAAGCATAAAATTTTTCATTTATATTTCATATTTTTCGTTTATTAAAAACACTGTTTTGGAATCTTCTTTTAAAGAAAATAATTGCAAGAATGAATGAGTTAAAAAATGGTCAAACTATGCTGGGCACGGTGGCTCACGCCTGTAATCCCAGTACTTTGGGAGACCAAGGCAGGCGGATCACCTAAGGTCAGGAGTTCGAGACCAGCCTGGCCAATATGGTGACACCCCGTCTCTACCAAAGTTATAAAAATTAGCTGGGCGTGGTGGCAGGCGCTTGTAATCCCAGCTACTCAGGAGGCCGAGGCAGGAGAATCGCTTGAACCCGGGAGGCAGAGGTTGCAGTGAGCCGAGATCGTGCCACTGCATTCCGGTCTGGGCGACAGAGCGAGACTGTGTCTCAAAAAAAAAAAAAAAAAAAAAAATTCAAACTAGTGCTTAATTCCTATCAAATGATATTGAATGAATAAATGAATAAATGATTTAGTGTTCTTTTATATAATTTAATCTCAATTTCCTCCAATGAAATTTGAATTATCGTCATTCTCCAATTTAGAAAACATTTACATACTATGAAAGTTTATATTCAAGTGCATTATCTAAATGTGGTAAAGACAATTCCAAAATCAACTTAGCCACAGACCCAGTTTTGTTGTTTGTTTGTTTTGTTGTGGGTTTTTTGAGACTTTGTTCGATTTTAGAAAATTTCAAGTTTGTAGTTGTTTTGCTAAAACATTTAATAACAGAGCCCTTTTCACTCACAAAACTATATCAGTTTAGGCAATAAATGATATGGCCACTCTATTTTATCTATCTATCATCTATCTGTCTATCTCTCTGTCTCTCTATTATCTATCTATCTATATCTAATCTATCTTTCTATCATGTATCCACCTATTTTACACATTGATTATAGAAACAAATTGGCACTAACTTATAAAATAGGAAATTCACATAAAACAAGAGATTCAGCATGTCTCTAAAGAAATCTTAAATATATCTCCAAAGGAAATTGGTTCTCATTCATAAGAAACAGTTATAAGAACGCTTAAGAGAGAAATGTTCAGAATTGCTAAACAGTGAAAAAAACACAGTTACTCTTAAGAGGACTGTAGATGTTTAAACTGTAGTTTGTTTAAAGTATGTTATATTCCTGCCATACTACATTATATGTTACTTAAGATAAATAAATTATAGCAAAGTAATGTTTAAATTTCATCATAACGTGTGTATAAAATCATCTATTGTTTAGAAAGCTAAAATAATTTCAATAAGAAAAATGTACTTAACTATATATGTTAATGCTATAAATTATATTTTCAAAAAAACAAAGTAAAGATAATTATTAGCGTTGCCTTTTAGATAATAGTTTTATGAAAGATGGAGTAAAGTGAGGAAGCAAGGAATGAAATGGACGGAATGGGAATATCCATCCTTTCCACTCCATTCCCTAGGCCCCAATGCCTTAGCTTGTGTGTGTCTGTCTATGTGTGATGGCGGGTGGGGGAGCAGGTGGTGATTCTATAGGTTCTTATTATGTTACTAAAATGACTAACAAAAAAGCAGATTATGCATAGACTGAGGAGAATGTATTTTCAATCAAGAATTATGATAATTTTCTTCTCTGGAGAGGGGTCCAATCCTCCCCAACATACATACACGTACAGACCACAGACACGCAAACACACTCAATGCTAGGTAATACTAACAACACATTCAAAACAAACGTGAACCAATTGCACTAAATGTGATTTATTACAAGAACTGTTAGTATGATTAAGCGCAGAATATTTAAGAGTTCAATTTTAGAAATAAAAAGATATACTAAGGATTCACTTATCTAGCTCTATAACATAACTGTAATATTTCACGTTGCAACAAGCTCTACTTTTCTGACCTAACAGTAATCAGTGATTTTGTCACTAATGGATTTAATTGGCCTGCTTTAATATATACACAATTTCGAGTCTTTAAAAAAATATGAATTGAACTTAACAAATGCACCTTCATTTTTAAGGCATTTTGAATATATGCATCTCTCTCAAATAATTAGTACTCTCTCATTGGACTTTACATGGCCTTTCTTAGACATGCAATATGCAACTAGCTTCAAAAATATGTCGTTATAGGTTAGAGCACAATAAAGGGTACAAAAAATTTTCATATGTGGTATTACGCTCTTTAATTAACAGAAGACTCTATAAATTATCACACATCAGAAAAATAAATAAATAGATAACTAACTTAAATTGGTATCTGGAAATCAGGCTACTTTCAATTGAATTTCACGTTACTTATATTTATTCAACACTGACACTGAGTTTTTTGCGATTCGTTAATTAACTTATGTTTTAATTAATGAAAAATGAAAATAAGCAACCTGGTTTATTTTTACCTGATAGCAAAAAATAATGAAAAACAGAAAATAAGAAAATATGTTTTATGTTCCTGTATAAATTCACTTTTTTACTATTTTTTTGAATGTATATGGGACCACATTGTTTTCCACTTTAATCATGCTACTATATTCTTTTGCCAAATAATTTGATACTTACTTTAAAGTCCTTACTATATGAGCAACTTCTATAGAGTTAGTCAATAACATTCAAAATGTATCATTTAAAAAGGCAGTTAATGCAGATTTCTTCAAAATAAACAGAAAACAGTCTAGATTTGGTGGCTCACACTTGTAATCCCAGTACTTTGGGAGGCAAGGCACCAGATTGCTTGAGTCCAGGAGTTCAAGACCAGCCTGGGCAACATGGTGAAACCTCATCTCTACAAAATATAGCAAAGCACGGTGGTGTGTACCTATGATCCCACTACTCAGGAGGCTGAGATGGGAGGGTCGCTTGAGACCGGGAGGCAGAGGTTGCGGTGGGCTGAGATCGCACCACTGCACTTCCAGCCTGTGTGACAGAGTGAGACCCTGTGTCAATAGATAAATAAATAAATAAGTAAAAAATAATAGAGAACATTACAAATAGAGAACACTAAAATGTGCATGCATGTTTGAATACTTTTTTCAAATTATATAGTACTTTAGTAACAAATAGGAATATTGTATAATAGAAAGAACATTGTAAATAAAAGAATAACATACCAGAATATCTGAAAATAGGCTGAAAAATTCCCTTACAATGATTTCAGTTGTACACATTCTTGTGCATTCTAATAATTTCAGGAAATCCATATTTTAGGGAAATTGCATTTCAATGCTTCCTATAGTATGAATGTTTATGTCCCCCTCCCAAAATTCATATGTTGAAATCTGATCCCCGAGGTGATGGTATTTGGAAGCGGTGACTTCTGGAGTTGATTAGGTCATGATGGCAGGGCTCTCGTGAATGAGATTAGTGCCCTTATATAAGAGGCCCCAGGAAGCTCCTTTGGGAGCCTTGTGTCCTTTGTATCCTTTGTACCTTCTGAGTAAAAGATGGTTCTTTTTGAGCTGGGAAACAGGCCTCATCAGATATAAAATTTGCCAGACCATAATTTTGGACTTTCCAGGCTCTAGAACTGAGAAAAATAAATTTCTTTTATTTATAAGCCAACTAGTCTATGGTATTTTGCTTTAGCAAGCTGAGTGGACTAAGACCAAAATTGGTACTCAGAAGTAGGCTTGCTGAAGTAACAAATGCCAAAAAAATGTGAAAGTGGCTTTGGAACTGGGAAATGGTTAGGGTTCTAGAATATTCTTTTCTAAATATTTAATAATGGCAAGTTGAATAATTTTCTTTGATGCTGATTTTAACTATACTTTTTTCCTCTTTTTTAAAATTTTTATTTTTGGCAGGGGGCTATAGAGAGGTTTGATTATAGGCATTATCAATAAATTGAAGGAGTATAAATCAAATTTTTTAAAGAAACCTGTATCTGTGGATTTTTTCCCTTTTTTTCTAGAGCTGTATTAACACATCACACACTGCAGTTTCAGTTAACCCCACATCTATGACATGGTACTTAATCTTGGTTAAATTATGTTACAATTAACTTATAATTTCACAAGACTTAGTTTTCTTACTTTCCATTTATTATTATTATTTTGTTGATTATTATATTATATTTCAGGAAAGAGTCTTTTTGAGAATATATACGATGAAATTAATGGTAAAGCAAGAAGTTAAAATATTGCCATGGATTCCCTAACTCATCTCTGTTTAAAACAAATAAGTATTTTGTTATTCAAAATAGAGCTTCTTTGATCAAGACACTTCACCTCTAAGTCAACATCTGTGTTCTATCACTAAGAACACTCCTCCATTTATCATTTTGGATCACTTTTGCACCAACTTTTTAATACAAAGCCATTCTGAGTAGTTGTTTAAATGGCCCACTTTTTGTGCTAAATTTCATGTCTTACTACCAGTTTGCTATAGAGTTAATATAGTAACTACATATGTGTTCCTTATATCTTCATTTTATGCCTTTAAAATAAATGTTGCAACCTCTTCATAGATTTTAACATATAAGCATTGCTTACTCTGTTGCTCCATAAAGAATTGCCCTGAGAAGAGTCTCTCTATCATAAATTCATGCTTTAATTAGGAGGCCATCAGTCTCTTTTATATGTTTTGATGGATTTATGGTTCCCACTATGAAAGTGAACCCAACCATGCAAAGCTAATCTCCCTAGTAGGAATAAGCTTCTAGAACAGGACAAATGAAAGACACCTAAGTAATAGAGATTCCCTATGTTCTTCATCAAGTGTGTAGGGAAGTGTTTAATCAATGAGAAGTCCCAAGTAATATTAAACATAAGCACTCTTTTATGTACTGATAATGTTGCAAACTCCTACTTCTCATGGAAGTATGTATATAGAGAAGTTAGACATTGCAATTTAAACTTGGCATTAATGTTTAGTTAATTAATTTTCTCAGAATATGAGTGGTCACCATTTTTATAATGGTAATATAACTTTTTTCTAACTTGCATGAAATTGAAATAAAATGTCATAATAGCCTAGCAGAATTGCACGGTTTGTTACCATTTCATATTGATAAATCATGTTAAAGCATTCATAAACATTCTTTTCTCTTCCCCCACCTAATCCCTTTAACTACTCCTTAAAAGAGCATTGACAGACATTTAAAGAACAAAGAAGTAATTACCATGTTGATATGGTTTGGCTGTGTCCTCACCCAAATCTCAACTTGAGTTATATCTCCCAGAATTCCCGTGCATTGTGAGAGGGACCCAGTGGGAGGTAATTGAATCACAAGGGCTTTCCCGTGCTATTCTCCTGATAGTGAGTAAGTCTCATGAGATCTGATGGGTTTATCAGGGGTTTCCACTTTTGCTTCTTCCTCATATTCTCTTGCCGCCACCATATCAGAAGTACCTTTTGCCTCCCACCATGATTCTGAGGCCTCCCCAGCTAAGTGGAACTTTAAGTCCAATTGAACCTCTTTTTCTCCCAGTCTTGGGTATGTCTTTATCAGCAGTGTGAAAATGAACTAATACGCATGTGTTGGACAAGAGAGGCTCCCTAGCAAACATTTTATGACATTTAAAGAGTTGAAGGCTGAAGCATATTGGAAAACAATACTGGGGAGAAGATGTGTAAGTATGATACAAATGTTAGTGGTGTAGCTCTATGGATTATATTTCTTCTCTTTATTTATTCTTCTAGGCATCTGATATGATTTGGCTCTGTGTCCCTACCCAAGTCTCCCGTTGTCTTATGATCTTCAGTGTTGGAGAAAGAGCCTGTTGGGAAGCTATTGGATCACGGGGGCAGATTTTCCCCTTGCTGCCCTCATGATAGTGAGTTCTCAGTAGATCTGGTTGTTTTTGTTTAAAAGTTTGTAGCACTTCCCCCAATGCTCTCTCTCTCCTGCCACCATGTGAAGGCTTGCTTGGATACCCTTCATCTCCCATCATGATTGTTAAGTTTCCTGAGGTGTCCCCAGCCATGCCAGCTGTACAGCCTGAGGAACAGTGAATCAATTAAACCCTTTTTCTTTATAAATTACCCAGTCTCAGGTAGTTCTTTGCAGCAATGTAAGAATGGACTAATACAGCATCTTCTCCAAATTTAAGCACCTGCCTTCCCACAATTCATTTGAGAATTATCTAATATTTCACTCATATGCTCACAAATACTAAGGTTCGCTGTATAAGATCATTTTATATATTCCTTATTTTATTCATTCTGCAAAGTCCCTGATGTTTTTCTTAATTAAAGTCTCTATTATTTGCTTTTACACACAACATAATTAGTTTCAATGCTAAAGTAATATTCTTCAATTTTCATAAACAGATGGGTAGTTTGTCTACTTCTACATTTTTGTATCTTAAAGTTACCAGTACATTGACATGTCCTAACACAACAGTTGTGTATATTTTAGAAATGTATGCAATTGAAATCATATAGTCAGTGCTATTTAGTGCATAGCTTTTCTTGATCAATTTTATTTTTTGTAAGGTTTATCCCTTTATGTGCATGTATGTATGTGTGTGTCTTTTTATACTGTAATATGTTCCTCATTCTTTTTCATGTGTATTATTAAATGGAATGAATTTATGGCATTAAATAATTTTATTTATCTTAATTAATATTCACTAATTTTTTGTTGCCAGTTTTAATTTTTTCTATATTTTAAGAACTACAAACTTATAGAAAATTTGCAAGAATATTTGCATCAGTCTGCTACATATATGTCTCTCTTTTGCATATACGTACTTTATTTTATGACTTACCATATCAGTGTAAGTTGTGGATATTGTTACACTTTAACCCTAAAGTCTTTAGAGTGTTCTCATAAGGAAGAAAATAAATTATCCTATATAACCACAACAAAATCATCATATAAATTTAAAGCTGTTTCAGAACTCTTACCTAATTTAAAGCCTATGTCCAAATTTCTTCAATTATTCAGTATTATCATCTTTCTTTTATAGCTTTGTTGTTGTTATTGTTTTCTTTTCTGTCCTTTTTTTATAGCAGATAGATCCAATTTATACTACATTGTAATTAAATCTCAAAATTACACATCTCTGTCATATAGAACCTTTATCTCATATTTCTTTTATTATTAGCCTTCTGCATTTTGTGCTCCAACACATTTAATGAAAATAAAACAAAACGAGACAAAGCAAAAGGAAAATTACAGTGCTCTCTGAAAGCTAAGTTATTTTGTTTAAGAAAGACTTGTATGAAAACCCACACAATTCGTCACTCCTTAGTAGAGAATGTCACTACTAAAAAGGAGTCTTTAACCTCACTAAGAGTACATGAGGAAAAACACATGAAATTTGTTGCTAATCGACTTCTTCCGCCATTGTGAGAGCTGCTGAGTTAACCCCCTGAGTGTGCTTTGCATTCCTCACGCCAGGGTCCTCTGCCATGGTTCATGCTTTTTCTGCATCCTGTGAACTCTTCAGATGCAGTACCTTCAGGGAATGTTAGAAACCCCAGAAACCGCAGTATAAGTAGTCAGAAACTGAATGAGCAGAAATTCAATGAGTTTTTTTTTCCTTTAAGGATTTTAATATATTTAAAAAATAATCTAGAAACTATATATTCAACATGATCAATATTAAAACAATCAATGTAAAATGTAATCTTGTAATTATGTTTGCGTTTGTGTCATATTATATACTGTTCCAGAAAGAACTGACTCTACTCCTTCACAAAGAAAATGGGATCTTTTTCATTTTCTGATAATCTCTGATTTTTATATGAGAAAACAAGAGAATGCAGGGCATGTCTCAGTCACACTACTGTATCTATGATAGGCTTTTTCTTCATTATGTTTTTATTAGCATTTTTTAAGACATCATTTATTTTGTTTCTTCATAATAGTGTTATATTTGCATATAAGAATCTTTGTATATTTTTAATTCTGATTTCAAGCTAATGTTCCAGAGAGTAAAACAAATTTGAACCCTCTAATGAAAATTCGTGTGAGCAATTTGTCATAAGTAGAATAAACACAATGATATTATAGTTTTCCAGAGGGGGGAAAATTCACAGTAACATTGACTTCACTTTTTGATAGGGTGTGTTTGAGTTTTCTACAATTACTTTATGTAAACTTGGCTGTAAACTCTGTTTATTTTCCTGTCATTTGAATTACAGATTCTGTGTTCAGTCAAAATAGGAGATAGTTTGCTGTATAATGTTAAAATTCCTGTCTTCGTTGAATGATGCCCCAAATGTTGATATGAATTACATAGTGTGTCCTGCTGTGAGCATCAGAAGGTATGTAAAAGTTCAGGCAGGGAAGGAACTGAGCATTAAATGATAGTGACTGCCTTTTATGGACAAGTCAGTCATTTAACAAGTGCATAATATGGCTATTTTATATGACATGCATGTTATTAATTTAGGAGGAGGTCTTTCTTTTGTATTTTTAGGTAACTGAAATTAATTATTTCATAAAATAGTAGGAAGTGTGATGGTAATCTGTGGTTAAATAGCATTTGTTGTCTTGATATTGAAAGAAGATATTCTGTCAAAATGTTTATGGAAAGTCTGATTTAATATCAGGAATTTCAAAATAGTACCATGGAGGAGGAGGGGATGGTGGCAGAGAGGAAATAAGATTAACCTTGTCCTGAGGATTAGCGATGCTTGCATGGCAGGTACACTGGGGTTCATGGAAATTTTTTCTACTTTTGCATATATTTGAGACTTTCCATTTAAAAAAATGTTTTAAAGTTGAGGCAGGAATATTCCAGATGAGTTTGTTACCATTTGGGGGTAGCTTAGTAACTCCAGGTTAAAGAAGAGGTCTTTCCTCTAATGCAGAACTGTGCAAAACTCTCCTTGAATTTCTGACACCAGCTTCTGAGTAAATACATCTTTTTCAATGACAATGCAAAATATTCATGACAATTATTCTGAAATCGAGGGTTTTTTTGGCTTTAAATATAGCTGTCCAGTGTGGTCATCTGGTTAAAATGAAGAAAAGGAATGTATGCATTACAAAGAGCCTGTCCTATCCTATATGACAATAATACAGCAGCTTAGTCACTGAGAGCCCAGGAGAGAGTGGAACAGTAGCCAAAGAGCCAAGCACAGAGATTCGATAAAAGAAGCACTGGGGAAATAGAGAGAAGGAAAACAACTATTCAAAAAGTACAAAAATAAGGGAAAAAACGTAAGGTTGTTTAAACATTGACTTGTCTGTTTTTTTCAAGTAGCAAGCAACAACTGACTCTATTCTGCCTGCTTGGAAAAGATGAAAATAACACTTGTTGCACTATTGCCCAGAGTAGTCCTGTGGAAAAAAAAAATGAGAAAAGGGAGCTCAAACTGTTTGGTTAGAATTTTGCAAAAAAAAAAAAAACAAAAAAAAAAGTCATTCCCTTCTTAAAATATAATTTGTATCTATTTAAGGTTTAAATGAAATAAAACATCCTCTGTTTGCGGGAGACTGTTTAAAGATTTAGTCCCTAAAACTTAAAAAAGATTAGACTAAACAATAAGACTTTTATATGTAATGGTCTTTAACTCTCACTATCCACCCAATTTCATGCTGACCAGAGGGAACACAGCCGCCTTATTGACCCTCGGGCTTAAACTAGCTCTTGGCATATATTAGGGGCTGATTCTAGAAGAGGGTCTTGTCTATTTGAAAGCATACATGCTGTAACCATTAAACTGAAGGCTAACGTTCCGGTCTTTCCAAGACATCTGCTCACCTTATTAGAAATTCCTTTCTCCCTTGTCACGTTAATCACTGTGTCACTTCTGATCAGTATACACTGCAAGTCCAGCCTACTCAATTTACGTTTAGGCATCATGACTCCCATGGTAGTGCCCTGGCTGCCTTCCCAGAATGTGTTATTGGTGACCCTGTTGTTCTCTTCTTTAAACACAAAGTCAATTATAACTTGTTGGAACCTCTAATGATATCTGATGACTTTTGAGACATCATACACTCCCTCACTATGCTTCTAACAAATACAGCAGAGTCTATGAGAGAAAGTGTCCCTACAAAAATGCCAGATCAGACAAGGGCAAGCTGAATGGTCTCTTCTGATCAAGGGAGACTGCAGACAGTGTATTTGTGAGGACTCAGATCCTAGGGACTGGATTGACTCTGATGTTATTCCAAGAGAATGGAACACCTATAATCTCATGTCTAATTAGTATGTGCTAAATTAAACATGTACTGGAAACACAAAGCTGAGAAAAGAGGTTTCTATGACACTGTCTAATTTCCTTTTTAAAAGACTTGGATTTTCACAGACTGATGTAATAGCTCATCTTTAAGTTAGATTTATTTGTTAATTTAATTCAGTATGCATCTAGATGCATTAGATATCAGAACAATTTTAGGAAAAGCTATTACACATTATTTTCAGTTTAGATATCCATAAATATATATCAAAACATAATACATGTATTTAATCATAAAAATTTGTTTTCTTATAGATTATCAGTTGTAGAATACAACACACTAGTAAGCTTAACAGATTCGTATTTATGTGATATTCACAAGCACGTGAGTGATGAATTTTAGCAGGTTATATATCATCTCATTCAATGTTTCTCATAAGTATTCACGGTATTTGCTATTGATAAATGAAAATTTCTTGATATGGTACATCTTTCTTGTTGTAGAGTAAAAGTGGACTTTTTAAAAATAGAAATATGTCTTTAATTATTCGAAATATTCATAGGTAATGGAATACAGCTATTTTGTATTAAATGTATAAAAAGTAGAAAACTAAGCCGGGGGCGATTGTTCACACCTGTTATCCTAGCACTTTGGGAGGTCGAGGTGGGCAGATGACTTGAGTAATCAGCCTGGCCAGCAAGGAGAAATCCCATCTCTACTAAAAACACAAAAATTAGCCGGGCGTGGTTGCGTGCACCATAGTCCCAGCTACTCGGGAGGCTGAGGCAAGAGAATTGTTTGAACCTGGAAGGCGGAGATTGCAGTGAGTTGTGATCGTGCCATTGCACTCCATCCTCGGCAACAAAGTGAGACTCAAGTCTCAAAAAAAAAAAAAAGGAGAAAACCATTGTGGATCTTTACATTTTATTAAAAAGTAAGCCACATACAAATATATAAAAAGAAATATACTTTCATTCATTACAACCTGAAATATAAGTACATAAGCATGTACTATATAAGTATATAAAAGTATGTTTATCTTACATGCAATTCAATGATGAATCTGATGAGTCTGAATCAAGAATTTCATGGACAAAGAGTAAATATGTACATAGTTGTTATTTATTGTAATTGTGCTTTGTTACATGTATCATGATCTATAATTTTACTATATATTAGTGAGAAAATAGTTCATAAACCTTCTTCTCCAGAATATGGCATTTATTCTGAAAAAAACATATACACTTTGTATAAATGAGCTATGAAACATATGTGAAAGGAAAAATAATGCAAATAAGATGACTATATGATTATGCAATTAAGGAAGGTAAACAGGTTGATAACAGTTGAGAGAAAGAGGAAAGGAAAAGAGATATGTTTGAAAGACAACAAAATGTTGAGCTCTTAAGGCTATCACACACCCTTCTGTCACCA
Source organism: Homo sapiens (assembly GCF_000001405.40). Taxonomy (NCBI): domain Eukaryota; kingdom Metazoa; phylum Chordata; class Mammalia; order Primates; family Hominidae; genus Homo; species Homo sapiens. Next base: position 21,969,818 of record NC_000021.9, on the reverse strand, counting down.
ATTAACCTTTAGACTTCTATTTCAAGAAGTCACTTGTTGGAACAAAGATTCTACAGAAGCAATTGACAGATTTTGTTTTCCAGAAGTTACTAAGCAAAGCCAATTATAGCAGAGTGGCCCCAGAGACCCGCAGTATGTGATATTTACCTGTCAGTTGGCAACAAATCTTATTGCTGAGGGAAAGTAGGGTGGTATTAACCCAGGACCTACCATAGCATAATGAACCCAATACTATAATTTTTGAAGGACTGGGATGAGGCACAGGTAGAAGAGCAATGATTGTGTTATGCTGTACTTTCAGCACTTGAACAGAATGCAGGCAATAGTAATTACGAAGATTTAGTGGTTGACTGGCTTCTGTGTGCCTTGGAAGCCTTAAATAAAAAGGTTTCTGTGGGCCAAATAGCAACTCAAGACACGTCTTGGAAGCCAGAAGGCCTCTGTGGCAGAGTTTAATGAGACATTCAACTTTGGCAGCCATAGAGCAGAGTACTACAAATCAGGCTGCAGATTTAACCACAATGATAAAGAATCATAAATTTTTAAAAAATAGAGATTTGACAGATCTTCTAAAATGAAACTAGGGCCTGGTAGGGAATGGGGGACAGACTTGGATCACTGCGTGTGAGTCATTTGAATCCACAGATTCCCTGAAACTCTTAGTGCTGGTACAAGCAACACAGACCTCATTGCTGAAAGACAGAAGCCTCCTCTTGCCTGGAGGGCCTTAGACACACTTCCCTGATGCATATCTTATACAAAGTATACTCACCATGTTCTGTATTCACACCTGCACTAACCATTGTCCTCTGACAAATAGCTGGGTTTAGATCTCAGCAAGCACAAATAGAAAAATATGTTCCCTGCTGTGAGGTTAAGTAGCTTATTCACAGGAAAATATTACAGGATCTGACAGTTATGTACCAGCAGAAACAAGAGAAATGATTTTGAGGGTTGACCTTAACATTGTTGGACCGGGAGGAGGTGAAATATATGCCTGAATAACATTGAGTTTATGGATGTTTGATCACTTTCCTGTAAGTCAAGTTTTAACATCAGACAATGACACCTGGAACTAATCCTAATATACTTTAGGACAGTCAAATGATGCCTAGAGACAAAATTGGCCTTTTGTAAATGAAATTATAGAAATTTCAGACTTGTCAGAGTTTGGGTGAAAGGTAAGAAAACTAAGGAAAAAAACTTAAAAGAATAGATTTTTTATAACAGACTGAAAATCTCATCATCTGACAATGTTCTTCAGTATGGCCCAGAATACATGCTTACACAAAAGCAATAAATATTGCACCAGTGGAGAGGGCATTGGCATCATATGGTCAGTAGTAACTGTAGAAAAACTTGCTGTGGTCTTGGTCCCACATTTCAATGAGGATGACAGGATTCCACAATGGCAGAAACCACGTGTCTACACTTACCTATCGGAGAAGAGTTAGAGTAATATTCCAAAGAGAAACAATGCCGGGGTAGCAACCAAGGTGCCATGCTCCACAATGATCTGTAGTGATTACTAATACACTACAGTGCTCTGAGGGGTAAGATAGATGTTGATATGACACGTTATTGTTTAACTTACACAAGCAAAAGAAACTCAGTATCTGTTATTGCTGCTTCAATAGAAAAATCATGATCCCTACCATGTATCACTTGCAAAGGATTATTATTTCAAGAAACTCTTGTACAATAAATATTCCTCTAATGTGTTCTAGAAAATTGTGACTTGACGTCTACCTGACTACTGTCCATTAAAAAAAGAATAATACCTACTTTTTTTGATGTATGGACACAGATACCAAGGTCTCCAAAATGTTATCATACCACTCCTTGCTCCCGACCTGTTTGATTTAGGATTTAAGGAGGTCAGGTGATAAACAGATTCCTAGTTCTAGTATATCTCACAATGGGTTTAATGGGCCAGTGGTCCTACCCTCTGGCTATTTACCTTATTCTTAGATGTGTAACTGGTATCAGTCTACTTAGCAATTGGCTAAACTCTCACAAGGAACCCTAACTTGTGACAGTTATGTCCAGAAGAGATAAGTGAAGCAGTGCCTGACATTTCATTCTCCAGATGGAAGAGTAAATCAGAAGCATTACTGCACCCACAGAAGAATTCAGAGATCAGTGATACCCTTAAAGACTTATGATGATTATCCCCATTATATCAACACCGAATTCCCTAATTTCAGCTAGTTTCCCTACACACATGTGCTAAGAAGCCCTCAACTGAATAATTGAGTGAGACTCAACAGATCTCTGGAGTCTGTTTTCTGTAGAAATCTCTCCTCTCTAGTATCCCTCCTTGTGAATGCTAGTTAGCTGCCTTGACTTACCCAGGTTCACAGCTTGATCTACTTAGTTCACAGAGTGTTCAGGATTGTGCCTGGGTTCTGCTCCTTCCTGTCCCATATCCTGGAAATTTTCTGCAGCCAGTAAACTGTAGCAATCATAGGTCTCACCTCATCTCACTCCCATGGATCACTGCCCTTCATTGCCTGCTGTTGCTTCATATTCTGTCCATTTTTTTCTTGGTTCGTTTCAAGTAGAATCAGAAATATGGTCTCTGTTACTCTATCTTGACTGGAAGAGGAAGCTGGTGATAGAAATGATGTAGTGTGAGATATGAATGGCTGTGAGTGGTCCATGTGGTGTATGGCAGAATCTTTAGTGCCTTAACAATATACTCTCTGCCCAGGTCTCTAATCCCCTCTGCTGTGTTAGTGAGTTCCAGTGCAGGCTAAAGCACCTCACCTCAAGTTTCTGCCCATTCTCTTCACTGTTGTGTTTAAAGACTTTTTTTTTTCTGAAGTCACCTGGCCCACAAACGGGACTGTTGGGAAATACAAGGAAGTTATTGCCTTTCAGAGAGGGAAATTTATTCTCAATAATTGGAGAACAGGAGTTAGTGGGAAAATATGCTATTCTTTTATCCATGACAGAAAGACTTTAATGAAATCTACACTGGCAATGAGAGTGTCCATTGAGAGTGACTCCCATTTTCCACAGTAGCTTCTAGCTCAGTGACACACGTTTTGTTTTTCTTCTCCTCGGTCTCATTTTCCTAGAAGCCTTATCTTATTTCCTTAGAGCATGTCCCAAGCAAATTACTTACAGTCAAATCTTTGTCTTAACCTCTGCTTTTAGAGAGAATCCAAAATAAGATATCACATAATTTAGTATTTATGTTACATTGTATCAAAAAAGCCTTGAGACGTCACTAGAAAAGGAGTGAATGTCACTCCAAGATGTGTATTACGATATACAGAGCAATACATTTCCTTTTTGGAAGGAGAGAATGATCATAATTTTATTACAGAAAAGGGATCACATCCCGTAAAAGAGACAGGAATGATTTTATCACTGCTGTTACTCGAGAATTTTAAATTGGCAAAAGGGATGTGTATGAACCCTCAACTGATAAATGGGTGGGTTTTCTTATATTGTCTGTTGTCAATTCATCATTGCCTCTACCTCTCCCCTGAGATATCATCTGACTTTCATGGGTAAAGCTGAAAACTTCATTTCTCAGAGTCCTTTCTTATGTAGTTCTAGATAAAGTCAGTTTATGGGAGGCATTCACAAAAGATTTAGAAGTCAGAAGAGAGAGAAGATTTAGAAGTAAGAAGAGAAATAGAGGTCATCATCATTTGGAAGCAGTTGCAGAAGTGGGGTTCACTATGACTTCATATTAGACTTGACAAGAGCATTCATATTGATGCTCTAGATTGAGATATTTGGGAGCTCTGAAATTTAAGGTTTACAATAATTTCTGAGAACCACGAGAGCAACCATGTTGTTGTTGCAGACTGAAAACATGAGTGATGACTTTGCTCCTCTTTGTTCCAGCAATGATTGTGTAAACCTGTACTTCTTTCCATTTAAGCCCTTCATGAATGAACACATAGAGGAGCTTCTGATTTCTGGCTGATTGCTACAAGGGGCCATGCAGTAGTGCAAGTCTATCTGCTTCCACTCTTGCCACTCCCTAATGCCCACAGCAGTCAAAGATGTCTTCAATAGGATTTTGATCAGATCACAAACCTGATTTAAAAAACAAAAACAAAAACAAACAAAAAAACTCCTTAATGACACTCAACTTTTATAAAAATTTTTATTTTAGTTTCGGGGTACACGTTCAGGTTGATTCCATAGGTAATTGTATGCCATGTTAGTTTGGTGTACATATTTCATTGCCCAGGTACAGCAATCCCATTATTGGGTATATACCCAAAAGAATAATGACATTCAATTGATTTGAGAATAAAGTCTTGTAGGAATTTGCCTCTGATCACCTCTTAAAGCTGTAGTGAAGCACTGTTGTATGAATTTTCCTCTGATCACCTCTTCAAGCTGTAGTGAACCCCTGTCTTCAAGATCTTTACAATAAAGCTATCCCATTTTCTCTCAGTTTTAAAAATATACTAAACTCCTTTCATCCTTTCATCCACGAAACAACCAGCTTTCCTTTTTTTAACTTAATTTTTCTCACCTCCTGTTCTTTATGTCTAATACCTACTTGTTTTTCTTATCTCAACTAATAAATCACCTTCTTGGAGAAGTCTCTCTAACTCCCAAGAATATAATCCCTCCCTATTGTACTGTATAATCTCATTGTGTTTATCACAAATGTAATTAAGTCTTTGTATATATATTTCTACAGAAAATAATTAGTTACTTAAAGAGAGATATCATGTCAGTCTGGTTTATTATTTCATTTCTACCATATTACCATATTTTCTTTTTTAATTTTATTTTTAATTGACAAATAATAATTGTAAATATTTTAATGTGATGTTATAACACATGTATATATTGTGGAATGCTTAAATCTGGTTAATTACAATATTCATCATCATTATTTATTTGTTGGTAAAACATTTAAAATTGTTGGGAGAAAAGTTGAGTGTTGGGAGAGAAGCTGAGGCAGGGCTTGCATGTCTGCTAGACTTACTGGTTCCTTGCTTCTAGCACTCCCATTATCTCAAGTAGCCATATGTTTCTCATTCACTTGATACTCCATTTCCTTTCAACCCCCACATCCTCACCACCTGTTCTTTGTTTGATCACCAATAAATAGCGTGGGCTTCCAGAGCTCGGGGCCTTTGCAGCCTCCACACTCGCAATGGCCCCCTGGTCCCACTTTCTCTCTCAAATTGTCTTTTTCTCATTCCTTTGACTCCGCCAGACTTCGTCACCCCCACGACCTGGTGTTGGGTCTGATCACCTCCCAAAAAACCTACTTTTTTAGTAATTTTAAAGTATATACTATATTATTATTATTAAATATAATTACCATGCTGTACAGTAGATCACTAGAACTTTTTCCTCTTGTCAGTCTAACTAATACTTTGTACCCTCTGACTAGTATCTCCCCTTTCCTTACATACCCTCTTCCCTAACAGTTTCTGGAAGCTATTATTCTACTCTCTACTGGAGGACAATTCTTTAGGTGGCCTTGAATCCATCCAATTATTTATGATTTTATGATTATACTTCTAAGAATAACTGTAGAATGTGCTGGGAGTGCAATATTCTGAGAGGGGGTGGAACTGCCTGAAAGTACCAAGGTCTTATTCCTATGCCTCCTAAGAAATGTGACATCTTGAGTTAGAGAGGAACTGCCTGGGACAGCCCAGGCTTTGTCTTCACCTCAGTAACAGGATGCTCTTCGAGGCTTTTCCCAGTGAATCACAGGAAACAGTGATGAATAAAAGTGATTTATGGGTTAAGGTAATTTAGGGGAATGTGAGAACCATATATGAGGTAGCTCTGAAGGCTGCTGTGCCTGCCTTCCCACAGCTGAGAATTATTGCTTTACATATTCTCATTGCCAATACTACTAATAATAACACACAGATTGAACACTCTGTCCCTAGTATCTTAACATAAAGACTAGAATGGCAGTATATTAGTTGGCTCCAACTATTAAGTCTGAGCTCCCTTCCTCTTTCTAAACTTCATCTACCAAAATGCACTGAACCTAATGGGGAAAAGATAAATTAGCAAGTCTTCTTTTAACAATTTAAGTGAGTTTTCTATTCTAAAACACAACAAAATGCCATTGAATTTATGATCTTTTTCAACATTTTAACCTCTTTTTATCAGCTCTGATAAAGCTCAAATATTTTTTACAATGGATAGTTAATCTACATTTTAGTTTAATTTGTAATATTTACAAACTGCTATATTCAAAAACAAATACAAATCCTCCTTTGGAATAAAAGAATATGGTGTTTTCTTAAAGAAATATCTTTAAGGAAATTGGATGTCAAGACAGATAATGGGCAATATTAGTTTTACTTTTAGTAACTCTTTGTCAGTATGATTGCAAAGACATGATGAAAGAAAACTAACTGAATTATATAACTACATTCAGAAGGGATTAATGCTGAGAAGGAGCCCAGCAAATTGGATGTCGTAGGTGTGTCTCAAATCTCAAGTGGGGAGCAGGAAAGAAAGACTTCTAAGATAAAGTTAATGAAGAGGATAGTTGAAGGAGTGGGCTCAGTCTCAAACAGCAGTGAAAACCCAGTCATGAGGAAACAAGAGTAGATTAAAATCTCTTGACTCAAGTTATCTGTGTGTTCATTCAATAAGCATTATGATAATGTTATTGAAAATATGTTTGTATGTCACTTTTTTTTTTTTTTTTGAGATGGAGTCTCACTCTGTCACCAGTCTGGAGTGCAGTGGCACAATCTCAGCTCACTGCAACCTCTGCCTCTTGCATTCAAGTGATTCTCCTGCCTCAGCCTCCCGAGTAGCTGGGACTACCGGTGCGCCACCACTTCCAGCTAATTTTTGTATTATTAATAGAGACGGGGTTTCACCATGTTGGCCAGGATGGTGTCAATCTCTTGATTTCGCGATCCGCTCACCTTGGCCTCCGAAAGTGCTGGGATTACAGGCATGGACCACCACAAGTGGCCGGTAACTCACTTAATATGGAAGTAAAACAATGTTTTAGAACAAATGTGAAACATTTACCACTAAAAAGTACTGAAATTTTGCAAATTATCTCATTTATAAATTATGGAATTGAGCTCACATGGAAGATTCTTCTATTTAAAGAGGGAAAATATTTTTTAAAGTTACAAAAGATCCTTAGTATTCAATTTTCAGGGATGACATAATCCACCAATCATCCACTTTTATTCTACTCTTATCCACATCTGTGTTTAACTTTTTGCATATTTTTAAACTCATAGAGAAGTACTATTCATGTGTCAACGTAATCTAATAGATTAAATATATATTTAGAAAAAAATCCTGATGTTTTATAACTCACTGGGTAATCAGGATAATTATAAATAAAACTCCCTAATAGTTAAATCACCTCCTTATATTATATGCAGGCCAAACTATAATTTTCACTCCAATTTATTACTGGAAGTTCAAAATAATGCCCTCATACAGCAATAACCTACTCTTCTTAACATCTGCTCAGTATTAGAGGCTTTGACTTATTCCTCCAATTCCATGAATCACTATATGGTATGCATAGATTTTTGTCCTTGTATTACAAACTTCTTGAAAGTAGTGCACATGCGTGGTATTGTATCTTCAGGGTCTAATATATAAAACATGGTCAAAAAATGTTTGTTGACCTAAAAAATAAATCAGCAACCTAAATTAATTCTGAAAGCATGGATCAATAGTTTCCAAACATAGCTATTTTTCTTAAATTCTAGCATTTATTTTTATTAAACCTTTAGAAACATTTTTCCTTTTGCTTTTTCCTATTTACTATAAAATTTATTCCTTATTTATTGCATTACTCTGGAATATAGATTATAATAATAATGCATTTGCTAATGTGTTGACAATAATAGAATATATTTAAAAAATAATAGACGTGATATTTCTAAATATATTTTCAAAGTAAATTAAAATAAACTCAAATTACAATCCTCTTTAATTTCAAACCATTTATTCAACAATTTCCAAAGTAGAAAGCAAGAGTATTTGATAGTATTATATAATACTATACTATAAAAACCCTGGAAGACAACCGAGGCAATACCGTTCACGACATAGGCACAGCCAAAGATTTTATGACAAAGACACAAAAAGCAAGGACAACCAAAACAAAAATTGACAAATAGGACCTAATTAAACTAAACAGCTTTTACACAGCAAAAGAAACTATCAACATGACAAACAGGCAACTTATAAAATAGGAGAAAATATTTTCAAATTATGCATATGACAAATGTCTACTATCCAGAATTTATAAGGAACTTAAGCAAATTTACAAGTGAAAAACAATGCCATTAAAAAAAAATGGGCAAAGGACAAGACCAGACACTTTTCAAAAGAAGACATACACGTGGCCAACAACCATATGAAAAAAATAGTCGACATCACTAATCATTAGATAAATGCAAATTAAAACCACAATGAGATACCATGTCACACCAGTCAGAATGGCTATTACAAAAAAGTCAAAAAATAACAGATGCTGGTGAGATTGTGGAGAAAAGAGAATGCTTACATACTGCTGAAGGGAATGTAAATTAGTTCAGGTATCGTGTAAAGCAGTGTGGCAATTCCTCAAATAACTTAAAACAGAATTACTATTGACCCAGCAATCAAAGGAATGTATGTTGTTCTACCTACCATGAAGACACATGCATGCACCATTCATTGCGGCATTATTCACAATAGAAATAATGATCCTGGGAAATCTTTTACTCATATACAGAAGAAAGAAACTAGATCCCCGTATTTCACCATATGCAAAAATCACCTCAAAATGGATTGAAGACTTAAATGTAAGACCTGCAACTATGAAAATAATAGAAGAAAACACTGGAAAATGCTGCAAGACATCAATCTGAGCAAAGATGCTTGGGCAAGAACTCAAAAGCACAGGCAACAAAAGCAAAAAATAGACACATGGTATTACATCATGCTAAAAAGCTTCTACACAGCAAAGGAAACAACACAGTGCAGAGAAAATTTACAGAATAATAGAAAATATTTGTATACTATGCATCTGACAAGGGATTAACAACCAGAATATACAAGAAACTCAAGCAATTCAATAGCCAAAAAAGAGTAAACCCAAATAATCAAATTTTTAAAATGAGTAAAGGATCTGAAAAGACTCTTCTTAAAAGAAGACATGGAAATAACCAACATCATGTGAAAGAAAAATTATCAACATCACTAACCATCAGGGAAATGGAAATCCAATCCATAATGAAATATTATCTCATCAGGTTAGGGTAACTATTATCAAAAAGACAAAAAAAATGCTAGAAAGGATGTATGTGAAGAAAGAGGTACCCTTGTACCGTGTTGGTGGGAATGTAAATTGGCATAGCCACATTGGAAAGCAGTAGTATGGAGAATCTCAAAAATACTAAAAATACAACTACCAATGATTAAACAATCTCACTTTGGGGTATGTATCCAGAATAAAGGAAAACAGCTTTTAGAAAAGATATATGCAACTGTATTCACAATAGCCAAGGTTTGGTATCAACTGAGGTGTCCAATAGCAAATAAATGTGTAAAGAAAATGTAGTAAATATACAAAATAGAATACTATTCAGCTGTAAAAAGAATAAAATCCTGTCAATTGCAGCAGTGTGGATAAAACTGAAGGTCATTATGTTAGGTTAAATAAGCACAGCAATACTGCATGTCCTCACTCCTATTTGGGAGCTAATAAAATGGACCTCATGGAAGCAGAGTGGAATGGCGATCACCAGAGAGGGTTGAAGGGGAAGAGGATAGGGTGAAATTAAGAGAAGTTGGTTAATGGGTACAAAAATACAGTTAAATACCAGCAATAAGTTCTAATATTGATAGTACAGTAAGAAAATTATATTTACTAATGATATATAGTATATTTCAAGAAAGCTAGAAGACAAGAATTGTAATGGTCCCAAAATAAAGAAAAGATAAATTTTTCAGGTGAAAGATATCCCATTTACCCTAATTTGATCATTAAACATTCTATATATGCATGAAAATATCACATGCACCCCATAAATATGTACAACTTTGATATATCGATTAAAAAGTGGGGGTAAATAACAAACACGTACTCCATGTATCTAAAATAAAAGCTGAAATTTTAATTAATTAATTAATTTTTCATTTCAGTAGGATTTTGGGGAACGGGTGGTGTTTGGTTACATGAATAAGGTCTTTAGTGGTGATTTTGGAAATTTTGGTTTAACCAACACCCAAGCAGCATGTTATACCCAATGTGTAGCCTTTTATTCCTCACCACCCCACACCCTTTTCCCTGAGTCTCCAAATTCCAGTGTATCATTCTTATGCCTTTGCATCCTCATAGCTTAGCTCCCACATATGAGTGTGAACATAATGATGTTTTAGAAACACTGCCCATTGTTTTTATGCATTTTAGTGTGTTCGATGTGACCTTTATGTTCAACTCAGATGTCACATTAAAAAAGCTTCTAAGTACCATTTGTCAAGGCAATTTAATGTGTTTTGATGACTTTTTAAATGTCATATTAGCAATTTAATGAGCTGAGACATATAGCTTACACCTTGAAATATATTTTGTCTGAAATAGTTTATACATTAGTGCCATTTTCAAAAAAAAATTAGAACTGTACCCTCAACAACTTCACATTTCACTTGGAGTTGAACCTGTGTCCTAAAGCCTCCTCACTTTCCCACCATGCTTCAACCATCTTGATGCCCCTCTAAGTTCACTCCTGCTTTGTTTTTGCACTTGCTATTGTCTTTACAAGAAAGATTTTGCTCTCTGGTATTTGTGCTTTATTTCTCAACCTCCTTCAATTTTCTGCTCAAATTTCTCTTTCAGAAGGATCCTCTCTTACTACATTGTTTAAACTAGAACTTCTTCTTTCTGACCCATCAAAATTGTCACTCTTTAGGTCCTTATCTCATTTATTTTAATTAAGAACACTTTTCACCACCTGAAACATTATATACAATTTCCTTTTTTAATTTGTCTCACACAACAAAATACAAGCTAGCTATAGAAACACCAATATTATTTTGAATATCGAGTGTTTTCTCAATGCTCAGAATAGTATCTGACTTGTAGAAGGTGGTTAATATATGCGTAATGATTGAATGAAATTAATAGCATTTTATTTTTCAGCAAAATTTCTAATATTTAATTATTTTGTCCTTGTTCATGATGATATGCCAACACAATTTAATATTAGTTGTTTTAATGAATGTATTTTAAAGCTGTTACTGAAAAAAATGTATTTTCTGGCTAAAACAGTTTTTATTCTTTGAAATAAATAAATTATGACTTCCAATGGCCTCATCAAACTGCCAAAGTGAAATTGTGGTTACAAGAAAATAATGGAAGCTTGTTTAAAATTAAACATTGTGTATTTTTTAGATCTGGAGAGCCTCAATAAGTTCCCTATCCTTTGTACCACAATATAACACACAGGCATTTTCTAAATCAAAGCTTTTACTATTTAAGTGGTAAAATAAATCAAGCAATTTACCAATATAGCAAAAGTTATTAAATCTTTGTTGAAGAAAACGTCACATCAATTAGAAACTTCCTTTGTAAACATGGCACCATCAGGGCAACAATTTACTAACACCAAATAAAGATTTTCGGGAGTGTTGAGTGGATTTACAAATAGTGTTCCTCCAAAAGAAAATATCACTTTCTGAGCCTGACAACACTCAGCCAAGTGGCAGCTGTTCTATAACCCTAGTCATATGAAAATAATAGAATTGAGATGATGAGCTATCTAAGGTAGAAATAGTATTAATGTGACATTTTTATAAAGAGAGATACAACAAACTATCAGAATAAAGAGAATAGGCAACAACAAATCAAATTCTTCAGTCTTGACTGTAAGATGAATGTTGGTGAATCAATCTTTTTAAACTCTTTTGAAAAGAAATTACATTATCAGATGCATTTGTTACACTACATTGTGTTACACTGATGAACTATTAATATAGCATACACTGGATTCTTTCTTCACCTGAGCAACTTTAATTGCTGCTTCTTATTTTCCTACTGTGGCTGAAGCCCAGTATTTTGATCAAAGTGTTATCATATAAAAGGAATATTTTTATATAGAAATGACAAACTGCCCTAATATATCACAGCACAACTGCTCTACTCTAGAGTAGCAATAGTTAGGGCCATAAATAAAGTCTTGCTTCTGCTAAACAAAGGAATAACAGCAATGACATTAACTGTCTGGCTGGAAAACACCTAAGTGAATATTCTCAAAGGATATCTTAGATGATAGAAAAAAAAAAATAGAAAAGACCAGCCGCTTCTTGAAGTTTGTAGCATGAATTCAGAATGTACCTGCATAATTGTCAAGGGCAACACATTTTCCCCATGTAAGTTTATTGTTTAGATATTGCAAGTTGAGAATGAAAAGCATTTTTGCATGCTTTTTTAACCTATGAAATGTACTTCAGAGAGCCATATTTTCTAATCATGAAATCATATATATATATATATATATGTATATATATGTTAGTAGTTATTTTGTGTACATCTACTCATTTTTTTTTCATTCAAAGCCATTTGGCAAGGTGAAAATAAAGACTGTTGTTAATTATGCTACCACTCTTTATCCATCTCTATGATATTCTGAACCAGCAAGATATAGTGAGATCTAACAATGGTGAAATAAAATAAGTACTAAAATGATCACTGAATTTTTATTTTCCTTAATTTTTTTTGTTTTGTTTTACTTCATTGTGGTGTAAAATGTAGGAGTATGAAAATAAAGCTTTATATAATTGTATCTATACTTTACCTATTTGTAGGCTGTCATGTTGCACGTGATTTTTAGTACACTAAAATCAAGAGCAGTAACTGAAAAAAAAGGAGGAAAAAGGGTTATGAATAGCAAGAAAACGTCAGTGCAAAGAAATATATATATGTATGTATATGAAGTTAAGGATTAGGTAAAGACATAATTATGAGAATAAAGATTACATAATTGATTCAGTTAACCTTCAGTTTGAATCTTAGCTTTCTAAAAGCCAAAGAGAAATGGAAACAATCATTTTATAGTCAGTAAAAAGAAAGGAGTGCAGATACCTTAAGGAAAGCAAGTAATGAACCCATTACAAAGATCTCAAATAATATTACCGCATTATATCTCATATGTTTACAATGAGGAGCATATTGAGTAATATCATAAAAACTGTTGGTGTGCAAATCAGGAATATATTTTATATTATTTTTAATATGATTTTTGAGGACTTAAAAATATACTATTTTATTAGTCTGTGCTCACACTGCTAATAAAGACATACCTAAGACTGGGTAATTTATAAAGGAAAGAGATTTAATTGACTCACAATCTTGGTGGAAGGCAAATGAGGAGCAAAGGCATGTTTTGCATGGCGGCAGGCAAGAGCGTGTGGGCAGGGAAACTCCCATTTATAAAACCACTATTTCAAGAACAGCATGGGAAATACCTGCCCCATGACTCCATTACCTCCTACTGGGTCCCTCACCCTACACATGAGGATTATGGAAGCAACAATTCAATATGAGACTTGGGTGGGGACATAGCTAAACCGTATCAACTGTAATACTGTTTTGTATCATATTATTTTAGGAAATTGTTTTTTGGTGTGAAAAACCAGTTCTCTTTAGATAAAAGGGTATACTACTTCAAAAATTTATCTGTTAACACCGTATCTACATTTCTATTAATGCTTTTAAGAATCTAGATAGAAGACAGTTTTTGTCGTTGTTGTTGTTGTTTTTTGAGACTCTCACTCTGTCGCCCAGGCTGGAGTGCGGTGGTGCGATCTCGGCTCACTGCAAGCTCCGCCTCCCGGGTTCACGCCATTCTCCTGCCTCAGCCTCGCGAGTAGCTGGGACTACAGGCGCCCGCCACCACGCCCGGCTAATTTTTTGTATTTTTAGTAGAGAAGGGGTTTCACCGTGTTAGCCAGGATGGTCTTGATCTCGTGACCTCGTGATCCGCCCGCCTCGGCCTCCTAAAGTGTTGGGATTACAGGCGTGAGCCACCGGGACCCGCCGAAGACAGTTTTTAATAGTATTCTCTAATGATAACCTGGAGCTAAGGTACTCTTAGCTGTTGAGTGAGACCATAATGTATGAGTGATGGGAAACATCTCACTCAGAATTGAGTCCAAGGAGCACTAACCCCAAAGCTGTATGGGTTTGGATGAAGAAGTGCCTTCAGACAGAACAAGCCTTTTATTTTTTCTCATAAAAAACGTGGATCTAGTCTAGCACATGAAAGATTGATTACCTAGATATCTAAAATTATAAACCGTACAGCATGGTCAGGATCATTTCAGCTTGATGATTTCAAAATGCATGTCATTATCACTTGCTTGCAATAGCATATGGGTGGAAAAGATCTGTAATTCTTCTACGGAAGTTTAATATTATGCAATGTTGTGTCTTAATGATTCCTGGAAAAATTTGTTGCAAAATACACCCAATAAGTAAGTGAAACCTTTGGACTTCTATATCTGTCTGAATGGGGAAAACATAAAAAAGAAATCCATTTTGTATAGTTAATAATAAGAGTGTTTTGTATGATATTATGCTCATTACCTCTTTTAACTTACAGGTAACTTTATTTACTGCTAGTTAATGACTAGCACAATATACGGGGTTTATAGATCCTGGTTTTCTATAATGGACAGGACTATGTTTCTGAGAGTGGTGTACTGGTGATTACTGAAAGATGGGAGAGGTTGAGCAATGATTTGTACATCTGCAAATCCCATAGTGTAAATACACCCACCATATCCAATTTCAAGTTATGATGGGATGTCACTAAATGTGGAGTTGGGAAGAGGTGCTTAGTAGCACGTCATTATATAGTATTTTCAGAGTATAGATTTTACCATAAATATAGAAAACCCTTATTTAAATATTAATCATGCTCCCTCTACTATCCTGAATTAAAATTATATATGAAACTTAACACACATTTGAAAAATCAACATAATGCTATAATTGTAATACAAAGAAGAAATTATATAAGAAAGGTGGCTCCAATGCCAAGAGAAGCATATTGCTATTTAGGATAAGAGTTTCCAGGATGGTAAAATATTCTTGATAAAATTTTGAGTCATCCCTCGGTTAAAAGTGAATTTTAATTTGAGGAAAATTCTTTACAACTTGAAACTTCAAAAAATAGTTTATGTTGATATTTGTTTTAAATATATTCTAAGACAGATAATTATAAACATGTGTTTCATTTATCTGAATGTCCAGTCACCATTTGAACGTGAGTAGAATGAAAGTCAAGCCTGTCTGGCAGGCCTTCTATCTTTCTTATCCCTGGCACAGTAAAGGACAGAAGTATTCTCCAATCTTGTGACAACTAGAAAAATTGTATGCATGTGCCAGCTATTCCCTACCAGCGGTGTTATATCCACTGAAAACTACTAGTATTGGGGTCACTATGATGAAAATCAAAATACCTGGCCTCTGGTTCCTGGATTCTATTAAATAGCAATAAGTGTCTCACTTAATCTGTTACATGAAGGATATTTACTATTGTTAGTTATGATTTTTGATAATGTCCAATTAATAAACATCAGTATATCAACAAATTATAAAAAGATTCATTTCTATTTCATCTTAATTCTCAAATTTATTATACTGAAAATTTCTATATAAATATCATTCAACAAAACCTTAGTCTCACCAGCTGTGTATTGCTTTTATTAAAGAAAGGCATAATGCACTGTGGTGATTCTATTTCTACAATTTGTTGAGGTTATGTTCCATAAACCACTTAGAGCCAAAAAAGACATAGCTATTGATTTCTGTAAGTAAATCATTATTTCAGTGTAAAATGTTTGTCCACGCGATTGCTCACCCATTTAGCAAATGACATCTTACAGTATACTAATTGCTACGTCGTTTAATTCATCTCGATAGATATGCTGTTAACCACCAAAAGAAACCAAGAGAAGTGGATAACATAATTGCGTCTTAAAAATATAAGTATAACCTTCCGAATCATCCTAAGCCTCCTTTAAGACAACAAAATAAAACATATAATTTCCAATAGCTTTTAAAGCAATGGTGCTTCACAAATAGGCAGTTATATTCTAGTAATATTTTCAAAAGCTTTATATGAATTTTTAGACGTTATCTTCTTCATAGATGTATAAGTAATTTCCATTTCACAAGTCAAAACATTTTTAAACTGTGCAGTCTGATTGTTTTCACTGATCCATTTGAAACAAGCAGGCAAAACATGTTAGCATGTAGGTTCAACCTTAGATATTGTGCCACAATTATGCTGTATTGATCAGTGGATACTTACAGACAAATCTAGACATCATCCCTTTAATCAAGATCTCACAGTCTTATGGCTGAAACAGATTTATAAACAGGTAATTTGAATCCAAAATGTGTAATGTGCATAGAACATCATGGAGTCAAAAATTAGGGCACAGTGTAAGTTAAAGTAGCACCAGTGGCTATAAAATGTAAACATTGAAATATCCACGTGTTCAAATAATACGTTTATTTTTCATTCACATAAATATCAAAAATGGTGTTTCTGATTAGTGCCTGCAGGAGTCAGGGGTGGGAAAGCACTCTACTCTACTGAGTCACTCAAGAACTACAGCCTTCAACACTGTTTCCAGAGTCTTCTAGGTGATCATTTCAAGCTAACAAAAGTAGAGAGAGTGGGTAAAATGACATATCTGCTTCCTTAACAAGTATGGACTGGAAGTGACACCCTTGAATTATTTGGCTTTCTATGGTTAAAATCCAGTCAGTTGGCCATCTCTAATTGCAAGAGAGGCTGGAAAGTGAAATCTGGCTGAGATCTGAGAAAGAAAGGAAGGGGGAGAAAAGAGGGAAAGAGAAAAGGAGAGGGAAGAAGGGAGAAAGAGAGAGAGAGTTTATTTTCAGAGATTACATAGCACTCTGTCACTTTCCTCTGTGTTAAAACTAAAAGAAAAAGCACCACGCAGCTGTAAGCAATAGGAGATTTTAAAGGACTTTTAATCAGAGAAGTAACATGATCAGTTGCACATTTTGGATGGATGACTCTGGCACCTGTGCGTAGGAAGGAATTTGGGGGTGGCACATTTCTGGGAATTACATTTTTAGCCATTGATTAACAGCAAGTCTGAGCGAGAAGAAATAAATCATAGCATGAGTGTCTAGTCTAAATATGCTTCAACTGAAGAAATGGGGTGTATAATAAAAAATAGTTTTAATGGGGGTCAGAGATTTTCATAAAACTCTGCTGCTGACATTTTGTCTGTCAAGTACTAACTTTCTGAGCATTACATAAAAGAGAAAAGTTAGAGCAGGCAAGTTAGAAGAGCCCTTTCAAATCTACTATTCTAATGAGTCTTTGGAAGTATCAGACAGGATGAATTAGGGCAGTTCTAACATTGACCACCTGACTTCATGAGGAACATACAAACCAGTCAGTGTCGGTCTGAAATGGTAGTAAAATATATGAGTGTTACTAAAACCAGAGGTGGAGGATTGTTGAAATAAATATTCGATTGGATTATAAAATATATAAAAGTGAGGAGGAATAAAGATGTATTAGCTATATGAGCTTGAGCAAGTCATTTAACATAATTTTATGTCAGTTTCCTCCTTTGTAAGATGTAGATTGCAATAGTACTTACCAAAGAGAGCTATTTGATTAAATTAGATCATCCATGTAAAGCTATCATATTTTCTAGTATATAGTCAGTGGTTAGTAAGCTAATAACCAAAAAATGATAAAGAAGGTATGTCCCACCTCTTTGTTCACCAGACCCAAAAGTAGGGTGGATTCAACTTTGCTTTTCCTTGTAACTTCCAGACCATTCGTCCTAATTGTCCCTAAAATCCCCAGTTTTAGATCTCATGCCCTTATATTATAATCTTCAGTTTTAGATCTCATGCCATTTATTATATATTAATGCCATCTAAATGGCATTTAGATCTCATGCCATTATATTCCATCCAAGTTTTAGATCTCATGCCATTATATTATATTACTATATTCAGTTGTTTTCAATTTTAGAATATGTCACAATCATCTGGAAGACTTGTTAAAAGAGAGATTGCTGAGCCCTAACCAGAATTGTTGATCAAATTTGCATTTCTAACAAGAAATTTGCTTGGCAATTTGCATTTCTAGCAACAACCATTGAAAGTCACACTTTAAGAAACCATTTTTCTAATGCACGTACAATTACTCGGTGTTACAAACACTTATGGACTTCCACGTCTTTCCTCATTTCCCGAGGGTTTTACTTCTTGTCTCACTCTCACTCATTCCTAAAATACTTTGACATAATTCTTCGTAATATAAATAGCCACACAGGTGGCCTTTGCAACTCTCTGGCCTAGGAGGTGAGGCAACTGCACTCTTAGTATTTTTCCCACTGTACCCCAAACTTCCATTTGAATGACCCTACAAAGAACATGCTATCAGCAATAATTGCAACATCTGCATTACTTCAGTTTTGTACAACCCTCTCACAGACCAATACTTCTTATTTTTCCATGTTCTACTTACTAAGGCTCACACTCTAACAATCTTTTGGACCTAAATTCCACTGATGTCACCACCTTTTCACAGTCCTTCATCCTTGCCATATATTCAATAACTTCTTCTCCACCTTAAATTCTATGGTCAACTATTATTATATAAACTATCAACTTCTTGGTGTCAATTTCCTTTTATTGTACTTACCTAGAAAAATCCCAGACAAGATTAAATATAATCCCCCTCCTAATACATACCACATCTGCAGAGCTGTATACAGTTAGAGTAAAAACACAGAAGGCCGAACGCGGTGGCTCACGCCTGTAATCCCATCACTTTGGGAGGCCGAGGCGGGCAGATCACGAGGTCAGGAGATCGAGACCATCCTGGCTAACACGGTGAAACCCCGTCTCTTCTAAAACTACAAAAAATTAGCTGGGCGTGGTGGCGGGTGCCTGTAGTCCCAGCTACTCGAGAGGCTGAGGCAGGAGAATGGCGTGAACTCAGGAGGCAGAGCTTGCACAGTGAGCCAAGATTGCGCCAGTGCACTCCAGCCTGGGTGACAGAGCGAGATTCTGTCTCAAAAACAAGCAAACAACAAACAAACAAACAAACAAACAAAAAACAGAGACATACTGACTTTTGGCACTTTGAATTCATGATTAATAATCTGAAGTGTCTCCTTAATCTTGCCTGGAAATCATATGACTTAGTCAATTTGCTCTCCAAATGATAATTTCATACCCCCTACTCTCTCTTATAATCTCCCCTTCCTTCTCTCCATCTTCAGTCATGCTTCTAATTTGACTTGCAAATCATCAGAAGTTTCTAAGCTATAACCTACCTTTCTATGCACCTAGCATAGTCTACTTATACAATCTGACCCTTTCCAATGTTATGGTCCATGAACTGTAAGTTTCTCTCTACTCAAAGCCAGCTCTTCACTCATACGTTAGAACCCATCTACTTTCACCTATTCAAAGACAGTACTCTATAGCAATTTGCCCACATCTTTTCTGAAGGTTATTTCCTCTCTACTGGATTATTTATTTACTGTATGTGATAGTTATTGTGTATCAACCTGACTGGGTTGAAGGATACCCAGATAGCTGATACAACATGATTTCTGGGTGTGTCCATGAGGATGTTTTCAGAAGAGATTAACATTTGAATCAGCAGACCAAGTAAAGGAGACCACCCTCGCCAATGTAGGCAGGTATCACCCAATTCATTGAGGGCCCAGACAAAACAAAAAGGTGGAGGAAGTGAAAATTGCTCTCTCTCTGGAGATGGGACATGCATCCTCTCCGGCCTTTGGGTATCAGAGCTCCTGGTTCTCAGTCATTCAGACTCCAATATTTATTGCATCAGCGGGTCCCTTGATTCTTTGCCTGTCATCATCCGTTTCTGCAGCTCTAACCAAATACCTTAGAATGGATAATTCATAAAAAATAACAAATATATATCCTTTACGGTTCTAGAGTCTGGGAGGTCCAAGATCAAGGCCCTGGCATTTAGTGTCTGCAGAAGGCCTTCTTGCTGTACCCTCATGTGGTAGGAGAGCAGAAGGGCAGAAATGGTCCTAATTAGTTCCCTCCAGCCTTTTCCAACATGGCTAATCTCATTCATAAGGGTGGAGCCCCTATGGCCTAACCACCTCCTGAAGACCCCTTCTCTTAATGCTGTTACATTAGGTATGAAGTTTCAACATGATTATTTGAGGGGACATAACCTTCAACCATAGCACACATTTTTGCTATGGCGCTGAGAGATACAGTGTTGGCTCCTCTGGTTCTCAAGCCTTCAGAATCAGCCTAAATTACACCATCAGCTTTCCTGCTTCTCCAGCTTGAGACGGCAGACTGTGAGACTTCTCAGCCTCCATAATTGCATCAGGCAATTCCCATAATAAATCCCTTTTTTATATGTCTAGGTATGTACCCTATTCTGTTTCTCTAGAGAACACTGACTAATTGAGTATGTAAACATGTTTATATCCCTCCCATTTTAAATCAAACAAAAATATTGCTCTTATGACTATTTTTCCCTTCCAACGACTGCTCCTTTTATATACAAGTTCATTTGAAGTGTTATTTGTGCTATCCTCTTCACTGACTTTGTCTAAACTAGTTTCAATTAGACTTTTACCCACACCATCCTACCAAATCTGCTGTCAACAAGGGCAAATCTGCTCTCAACAAGACCCCTTTATTATGCAATGGTCAATTGCATAATGTCCAGTTCTCATCTAAGATTTCCTATCATGAACATATAAAATGTTAACCAAAATTTCTCTAGGCTTACGGAATATCATACCTAATTGGTTTTAATGCTACTTATCTGGCAGCTATTTCCCATTCCTTTTGGTAGTTTTGCCTCACCTAACGTCTAAATGTCTGTTTCATTCTGTTATATCACTTAACCTAAAATAAAAAAGTAGAACATAGTTAGTGATCAAAATTACATCTGTTGAAATAATTATTTTATCTGGCAGAGGATCACTGTATGGTTCAGATTCTAAAGTCTGGCTACCAATGTTTAGACCCTGACTATATTCATCAACAGCCACTTGATTGAAGCTACTTAATTTTTCTGTACTATAGTTTCTTATTTGTAAATGTCTATGGCACATAAGATCATTTAATAATATTAAATTAAATAGGATAATATAGGAAAATTACATGGTATATACTCAATAAATATTAGTTATCATTTTATCAAGTTTATTTTATTATTATCATCCCTCATAAAGAATGTATTGGGTAGATATCATTGCCCCTATTTTTCAGATGAAGGAATTTGAACTCTGAAAGTGTCTTTACAAACTTAACAGTAGTAATGGACAGTTTATATTTACATTCAAATTTTTGTGATTTCAAAGCTTATTGTCTTGCCACATGTAATAATAATAGCTAACACTGTATCAGCACTTCATGTATGTTAGGTACTTGAATTAATTATTTCTTGCTGCAAAGCAGTGATGCCACAAACTTAACAGCTTACTAACACACAGGTACTGTGGGTCAGCAGTTAGGGTAGAACGTCACTGGATTTTCCAAATCAAGAGCTCCTATTACAAGTCTGCAACCAAAGTGTTGGCCAACACTAGAGTCTTATCTGAGGCCTGTCTGGAAAAGGATCTGCTTCTAATCTTGTGGGGTTATTGGCAGCATTTAGTTCCTTGTAGACTGTCAAACTGAGAGCTTCAGTTTATTGCTAGCTGGCACCAAAAAGCCATCCTTATTTTCTTGCCCTGTAGGCCTTCCCAACATTCCCTTTTGCTTCCTCAAAGTCAACAAGGGAAAGAGAGTCTCGGTGTAAGAAGGGGATTGCAATTGCCTATAAATTAGTGAGGTAATCAAATAATAACATACACATAATCCTATACCTACTATTAACTTTGCTGTCTTCTACTCGTTAGAAGCCACGCGCAGGCTCCACAAACACTCAAGGGAAGGAGATTACATAAGAACTTGAGTATCAGAAGGCTGGATAATGGGGCTTCCTTAGGATTTGTCTGCTATAGTGATATTCTAAGAAATTCAATTACATTAACTAGAGTTCGAGTTTGTCTGTTTGTTTAGAAACAGGGTCTCATATACACCATGGAATACTATGCAGCCATAAAAAATGAATGAGTTCATGTCCTTTGTAGGGACATGGATGAAACTGGAAACCACCGTTCTCAGCAAACTATCGCAAGGACAAAAAACCAAACACTGCATGTTCTCACTCATAGGTGGGAATTGAAAAATGAGAACACATGGACACAGGAAGGGGAACATCACACACAGGGGACTGTTGTGGAGTGGGGGGATGGGGGAGGGATAGCATTAGGAGATATACCTAATACTAAATGACGAGTTAATGGGTGCAGCACACCAACATGGCACATGTATACATATGTAACAAACCTGCACATTGTGCACATGTACCCTAAAACTTAAAGTATAATAATAATAAATTTTTTTTTAAAAAAGATACTTATGTAAAAAAAAAAAAAAGAAAGAAACAGGGTCTCACTCTGTTGCCCAGGTTGCAGTGCAGTAGCATGATAATAGTCCACTGCAGCCTCAAACTTCTGGGCTCAGGTGATCTTCCTCCCTCAGCCTTCTGAGCAGGTGGCACCACAGGTTCTTGCCACCTCACCTAGTTACTTTTTCTAAAAAAAATTGTAGAGACAGGATTTTGCTATATTGTCAAGGCTGGTCTTGAAATGCTGCCTCAAGCAATTCTCCCGTCTTGGCCTCCCAAAATGCTGTGATTACAGGCATGAGCCACGGCACCTAGCTTATTTCCTGAATCACCACACTGTACTAGATGAAACATTTTATGAGTAAAGATTGACCTATTCTGAAGTATTAATGATTTAATTTTATAAACAACTTCAAGACAAATATAAATCAAGGGAAAATAGACTGAAACTTTGGTTAAACATTAAATTCATGTGAAAACTATTTTTTTAATTCAATTCAAATCATATAAGAAAAAGATTACAGAGAATATTAAGAATGTAAATTAAACCAAATTTGGTCGATTCAATGTATGAGTTTAATATCTATATACACATTTCTATTAGTATCATTATTTTAGGCTTTAGAAATTGTCTAAAAAATTACTTGATTTTTAAGTACTTCTGTTTCCAATATTTCCAATATTGTAAAAACTTTTGATTTTTGTTTCACACCTGGGTACCAAAATAAATTACGTTACCCAGCCTTTCTCAAAGTTAGCTGTGTGGCCTTGGACTTATTTGTGGTTTGGGAGACACATAAATCACTTAATATAAATTCTATGAAGTGTCTGAAAAAGAGAGAGGGTATAGGCTTTTCCTCCCTCCTGTTAGTTGGAATGCTGAAATTACAGCTTCAGTAAGAACAAACATATTGCATCACGAGGTGGAAGCTGCATTCTGTGGATGGCACATCAGAAAGAAAATGGGAGCCAGAGACCCTGATATTCATGGAAGTGACACACCACACCTGGATGCTGCTTATGACAGAAATAAGCTTTAATTTTATTGAAGTCACTATTAAGTCTCCGTTAGTCAAGGCCAAACCAAGTTCATACTAATACAATAAAATGAAAATAATAACTGATATCCAGCACTGTCCTTATGCTCACAGAACTGTTAGTCCTCATCTATATTTTAAAATCTTGATTTTTTAAAACTGTAAACGAGGTACCTTGCCCACTTTATAAAAATGAAGTTCTATTTTGTTTAAACTTCCAAATAATGCTTGGACCTTTCAAAGGAAGATAAATCCTATTCGACAGAAATTCCTGTTATGAGACCTGTTTATTTTTTAATATTAATCATTATGTAAATAAAATTTTATATTTAGCTGAAATATTGTCATACAATATATTTTTCAAATAATATTGACACTACTTCTCAGAGTATCTTATTAGAATATCATGTGACTTATTGATAAATGTTATTAAATATTTTATTATTATATAATAAAATGTAGACCAGTCCTATAAACTATTCAAGCAAATAGCCAAATTTTAAAAGCTATTGAAAATATAAATTTATGCTAGTAGTTTTTATCTGTAAATACAGCACAAACTTAATTCTATGTCAGTAAATTAAGGTTTCCAACAAGTTATACAATGCATAGAACCATGTAATCATCCTGCTCTTTTAATATGCTTTCTTTAAAATAAAGGTAATGAAGATAGCTAAAGAAGAAATGCAAAAAAGTCACGTTTTCTGTTCAATAAATTGTACATTTTAGGCAGTTGGCTTGAAAATTAGCCCATCATATTTTCTGTAGTAGTCAATCTTAGTATTTGAAGAAAGCAAGTCCCGATGAATGATCAGTTCATTGCCACTTGCCAAAATACAGTGAGGATTTAGTCTTTGTCCTGAGCAATTTAGTATTTATACAACTTGTGTGGTGACATTTTAATACAAAATGCCAATGTTCCATTTACAATGTGGATATCATGCTCTTTCATAGTTTTATACAGTGAAGTTATTGGCATTTTGGATAAAGTTAAAACATTAAATAATTGCAATGGTGTTATAACTGAAATATATAAAAGGTTTTAAAATTAAAAAGGGAACTTATGATTATTAAATAATTATAACATTTCTGATGTGTCTACACGAAAACTGGTGAAACAATTTAAAAGGCAAATATATTTGTTTCAAGGCAAATAAAATGTTTCATGTATGCTATGTGTAAGGATAAATGGTGAATCCATTTTCTAAACATTCTCCCTTGTCTTCTCACTGAGTTCTATTGCCCGGCTATTCATGATCTAATCAGGTTTCAATATTTAAACAGATATGGCTTATTCTTTCAAGCAGGTGGATTTTTTTTCAAACTATTTTAGTGGATGACCTTCTGAACTTGTAAGTCAGAAAATAGATTCCTCATTCTAAATCTCACTTTTCAAGACAGGACATTTTAAAAATGAAATTCAGAAGATACTGAGATTCTTCACCTTTGTGGGAAAGGTGGGGAAAGGAGGTTATATTGTAGAGGCATGGGCCATATATTTATAGGCAATGTATTTTGTTAACAAGTGAAAGGGGATATACATCTTAAAATATATTTAAAATATGTTTGACAATAAAAGTTTTTATAACATTGAATAACATATAGAAATTCCACCTCTGCCGAGCGTGGTGGCTCACACCTCTAATCCCAGCACTTTGGGAGGCCAAGGCGGGTGGATCACGAGGTCAGGAGATCGAGACCATCCTGGCTAACATGGTGAAACTCTGTTACATCTCTACCAAAAATATAAAAACATTAGCCAGATGTGGTGGCGGGCGCCTGTAGTCCCAGCTACTTGGGAGGCTGAGGCAGAAGAATGGCGCGAACCTGGGAGGCGGAGCTTGCAGTGAGCTGAGATTGCACCACTGCACTCCACTGCACTTTTTTTGAGACTCTGTCTCAAAAAAAAAAAAAAAAAAGAAAAAGAAAGAAATTCCACCTCAACTTTACATAGATCATAGATCAAATTCTAAAGCTGGTCATGTGTATGCTGACCAGTACAGCATCCAATATAGATTTTTATTTCTGTATTCCTCCCAATGGTCTTTATCTCTCTCTTCCTTCTTCCCCTACAGGTTATTATATCTGTATGCTATCTAGGTAATCATAAGTCATGACTTTTTTTAAAGAAAATGTGAAATAGTTAAGTAAATTCTTCCATATGATATTTGTCATGCTGTTTCTATCCCATAGGTCTGTTTGTTATTGACACATTGCTGCCATCTGCCTTGTGGATGTTTCTCAGGACATCTGCTGCCTATCAGATTCTTTGTTCTGGGTCTTTTGTTTTTGTTTTTTCCTCCCATTGTGTAAGAAATCATGAAAATCTATTTTATAACTCCACTAAAAATACAGATTCAAAGTGCTCAATGTTCTTGGCCAGAGGACATCCAGCATCTTCGTCTCTATCTTTGCCTCACAGATGTGAGGCTACTTGGTTTCAGTATTGTTGATCTCTCAAGTGAGTTAATCAACAAAGACTTTTTGATGGAATCATGGTCTAGCTTTATTCTTAGAGCCCATTGACTTCAGTTTTTTTCTTTTAATTTTATTTTAAATATAGACAGTAAAATTTGACTTTTTTTTTCCTTTTATTCCTAGTGTGACCATACAAACTGTTTTGCCTGGGGCATGCTAGGTTTATCCATGTTTTCCCAATGTCTTTTCCAATTTAGCTACTGAGTAAGATTTTTCATTTTTAATGAAATCAGCTTCCTAATAGTTGTGTTAAAATTAGTCACGCTGGGTTTTGTTGAACTACAAGTTCTTCCAGATCTTCTTTATCAGTGATCGAGATGTATGTGCAATGAATAGACTTATCAATTGAACATGTATTATACCTGAAATCTGTGTAGTGATATGCATCTCTCTTTTTTCAAAGTTTTCCAAATTTAAAGTAACTAACACTTCTCATTCAAGCATACCATGCATGATGCTCACTGGAAAAACAAGCAGCTCTCACTCACAAATAGCAAAACACGTCCAAGCTCTGGCGTGACCCCATCTCCCGGGTTCATGCCATTCTCTTGCCTCAGCCTCCAGAGTAGCTGGTACTACAGGCGCTCACCACCACGCCTGGCTAATTTTTTGTATTTTTAGTAGAGATGGGTTTCACTGTGTTAGCCAGGATGGTCTCGATGACCCCATCTCCCGGGTTCATGCCATTCTCTTGCCTCAGCCTCCAGAGTAGCTGGGACTACAGGCGCTCACCACCACGCCTGGCTAATTTTTTGTATTTTTAGTAGAGACAGGGTTTCACCGTGTTAGCCAGGATGGTCTCGATCTCCTGACCTCGTGATCCGCCCACCTCAGCCTCCTAAAGTGCTGGGATTACGGGTGTGAGCCACTGAGCCCGGCCCTATACTGGTACTATTAACCACATAAAAGCAGAAAAAAAAAATGGATGTCTATCCCGTTTCTACTTTAAAGTCGGTATTTTAAAAAAGTTTATGCCCACAAGGGACAATAGAAAGAAATTCTAGCCATGGAGATACGTTTGCATATCATCTTGTGAAGCAAGAATTTTTATTTAGATCAAATTACAAATCTTCTAAATTAATTATATCATTATTTAATTCTAATATTCTCTTGTGCATGAAGAAATGAACCAATACCTCCTAATATGGTAGCTTCTTTAGCAGAACTTCCAAACAGTAAAATGAAGACTTCTTCAGCATTATAAAGTGCTTCAAATAGGAAATCGATTAAGTAAACTCCAATAATAGATTGATATTTTTAAATTCAATTAAGTGAGTGAAAGTACAAGTTTAGAATTTATTCTATCAAAGATGAACCATCTGACATGTTGAATGTTATTGTAAATTGTAAACAATTTTATAATTTCAGGATTGAAGATAAAATTATTAGTTCTTGAATTAATAGTACAAATACTAGAGTAAGAAATCAATGCAAGAGGCCAGGCGTGGTGGCTTATGCCTGTAATCCCAGCACTTTGGGAGGCGGAGGTGGGTGGATCACCTGAGGTCAGGAGTTCGAGACCAGCCTAACATGGTAAAACCCTGTCTCTACTAAAAATACAAAAATTAGCCAGGTGTGGTGGCTCATGCCTGTAATCCCAGCTACTTGGGAGGCTGAGACAGAAGAATCGCTTGAACCCGGGAGGCGGAGGTTGCAGTGAGCCAAGATGACGCCTCTGCACTCCAGCCTGGACAACAAGAGCAAAACTCTGTCTCAAAACAAAACAAAACAAAAACAAAGCAAAACAAAAAAGCAGAAAGAAAAGAAATCAGTGCAAGAAAATTGAACTTAAAATTGAGGATGATGGACACCTAACTTATATTGTGCCCAAGCACGCATCAATATTTTGCCAATTAAAATAAAAGCTGTGCTTGTCAAAGTGCATATAATTAAAAAAAATAGACATTCGTGGTACTGAGCCACAATATTTTGATAACGCTGATATTAAATGCAAAATAGTCTTCAGCATTGCAAATAGCTTTCTTTCTTTGATGTTCATTAAAAAGCAGACATTAGAAAATCTGAAGAATTACTTTAAAATCAACCCAAATGTCCCACTAATGGTTTTGAGTATTATTGCAAATGAGTCCTTTAATTTAAATTTCATTTTATTTTTCTAAATTAGTTGTACATCTTTAATCAAAGTGTTCACTAACTGCAATGTCACAAAATTTCCACTTTCAAAACTGTTAGAATAATTCAGTCACTATAAAAAGGGATTGCAAACAAGAAAACTGGAACTATAAAAACAAACTAAAAGATAATATATTTGTGGCAAGAATCTTTGTCTAGAGCTTCTATTTTTTTATCTGGATTAATTTATGTACTGTTTGGGAGAAAATAAAATCGACAATAATTTTAATACCTTTTTTTGTAATATATTCAAATAATAGAGATTATTTGATAAGCTTTAACTTGAAAAACTTTCTTGGAAAATGATAGTATCAGTAATGGCAAGATAGCCTATATAACAATATTTTGATGGAAATATTAATGTTGTAAAATGAAAAAAGTAGAACAGGGAATATCCTCTGGCAGCATTTTCTCTTAGTTTATCGGGTCTCTCAAAGTCTCTACAGAATGATTTCTCAGTGAAATTTGTTTTGTTATAGAGAGTAGAATCAATTACATGCAATGATTTTAAACGTATTAACCATAAAAATGCAGAATGTCAGGACTGAAGATAAAATTATTAGAAGATAAGAATAATTATTTAAACCTGATTACAGGAAATTATAGAAAAATAAAATAAAAAATACACAATAATTTTTAAAAATATGCTTTAAGAAACACAGAAGACATAACATTATAGAAAAAATATAGTTAAAAACTGATTACGATATATAGAAATGGATGAAGAATAATTATTTTGCTTATATTATGTTTCAATGTTCAGTTAATCAATATACATATTTTTTAATTTTAGTTTTACATATACAGATTTTTATATTTATTTAAAAGGAATTTTTACTTAGTATTTTAAATAGAAATATATGGACACTAATCAAATAATAGCAATTTGTTACTTAATAAATATTTCAGTGTGTTACTTTAATTATTTTAGCGTCCTGTTTTATGCTTTAAAGCTGCATCTATATGGAGTTAAGAAATTTCTGCATTAGGGAATCATGCTGGCGCAGTTCTTAGTTTCTGACCATTTCTATCTCTGATGGCCCGTATCCCCAAGCCACAGTACTCTTTTACCTTGATATCTGCAGTAGTTTCCTAACATGTCTTCCATTATTTACGCTTGTCCTCCTAAACTCTATTCTCCATTATAGCAGCTAGAGTGAGAATTTTTTGAATGTAAACCGGTTCAAAAGTTTGTAAATGCTCCTTATTTCAATCACAGTAAATAGCCAAAGTCCTCATTATGATCGTCAGTTCTCTACAATAGCCCACCTGTTACCTCTTTGACTTTATCTGTTATAATCCCACCCTTGCACGCTCGATTTTGGTCACCGTGACCTTCCTGCTATTCCTCAGATATGATAGTCAACTTCTCTACATAAGAGCTTTGTTCCAGCTGTTCTGCCTCCAAAAACTGAATTTCTAACTTTATTCAGATCTTGATTCAAATCTTACCCACCCAATGAGCTCTACCATCTCTCCCCAACATGCATACACACACACACACACCCCACAACCACCACCACCACCACCACCACCACCCACTACATGCCAACCATTCTTTCTAGGGCCAAAGAACTTCTCCTTTACCTCCCCACCCCTTTCCCTATCACTCTCTTCATCCTTCTGTGTGCCACATACTTATATGCATAGTTATGGACTCTTTCATCTTCCAGAATTCCTCAAGGTCAGGACCTTTGTTTTCTCTTCAGTGTTAAGTCCCAAATACGTAGAGCCATGCCTGTCACATTGTATGTTCTCAGGAAATATTTTTATCAGATTTACATTTTAAAAACACTAATAATCAGAATTTATTATGACATATAGTATAACTATTTTGGGAAATATATACAATCCCGTACCATGTAATGATGATGTTTCAGGTCAACAATGGATGGCATATGACAGTGTAATGCAGTATTTTTATTGTGCCTTTTCTACACTTAGATGCACAAATACTTACCATTATGTTACAATTGTCTACAATATTCACTACAATAACATCTTGTTGAGGTTTGTAGCCCAGGAGCAATAGGCTATGCCTTATAATCTAGGTATGTAGTAGGCTACACTATCTAGGTTGTGTAAGTACATTCTGTGATGCTTGCACAATGACAAAATCACCAAAACTACTTATTTCTCAGAACCCATCCCCATCATTAAGCGACGCATGGCTGTATATACTACCAAGGCCATTCTTTTTGTCACCAAATTACAATCTTCAGTCAAGAAAAATTGATTAGAGAAAAATTTGGAAAATATTATAGAGGAGGAAAAATATTTTCTTTCTATCCTTTTAGGTTCTCAGCTGAAGCCCCAGTAACAAAATACATATTATCAATAGAAAATCATAAAAAATTTTTTAATACAAATTTTACATGACATGGGGGCCTTGATGAGGAAATGGAGACCAAAATGAACTGTCAAACTGAGTGTTTGTATACCAAGTTTGATGAAAAGTGGAATCATGGGAAAACATAAGAAGACAACAGGATTTGAGCTAAGTGTAGTAAACTAGTGGAAACTTGACAATACCTGTTCATTCAGATTCTTCTTGGTGTCCTTCCACCTTCACAGATAAGGTCACTTCTTTCCCATGGTGTAAAGAGGACATTTCTCACATGAGGATCTTATGATCTGCTTCAGTGCAAGGTAGGAAAATTCTTCCTGCACTTGCCATTTCTCAAATTTATTCAGCTTACAATATCCAATATGCCAAAGTATTATATTTTTGGGTAGCATATCCTAAATCTAGTAAATATAAAAATATTTTCTCCTATTTGCAAAAGCTCAAAATTCACCACTAGCAATGTGTAGTATTATAATAATTTAAAAGCACAATATTCTTCCTCCTTGATAAAAAATATGCCATATGCCTTTGACATCCAAGATAGCTCAGTTTTGTTGTTGTTTGCTTTTGTTGTTATATTTTAACATCTTTGAGAAAGCTTAGGATATTTGACTCAGTAATTGAAATATTTAACATACACTGTAAAAATCAGAAATAGAGTCTAGAGAACATAATTGCTCAAGTTATAAACTTCATATTGAATATTCATTCTCCTATTCATAAACACATCAAAACCAAAAATGAAAACAAGGAACCATAAGTTAACACAATTGTGATGCAGAAGGTGGAGAATAGGACATTCGCCAATTTTAGGACTTACTATTATCTGTCAAAGAGTTTAAAGTCTACGTTTTTTAAAACATTTTTAGAATATTTACTGTATGCAATGCTGGATGTAACTTTTTGTCATCTCTCCCAAATTATAATTCAGAAAACATTTAAATATTTTAAATATCTGCATACTTCTTTCTCATTGAATGAAGGATCACTAACATGAGAAACAGACACTATTGGTTTTGGTTATTAAAGGAAAAAACATATTTTAATCTTATCTACTTTAATGTATGCCACAACACCTAATCTGCTTTTATTTAAACTTTTCTTCAGTAAACAGAATATTTTCTTGATTTAAAATAATTGAATTACAGAAAACTTAGGATCCTGAAAAGTTCATTTGGACATTTTCTCCTCATCAAAATAATCTTCCTCAGAATTAAACATAACCCATCTACAAAGCATTTGAATATGGTGATATATCCAAAGTTGTAAGAATGTATTTTTGCCTAAGTTTTTTTCCTTCTGCCAAGATAATTACCAAAGTATGGAGAAATTTAACATTATATTTAATGTTAAATATGATTGTCAATTATAATATTAAAATGAATGAATTGTGGAGCATTGTTAATATGATTTATAAATATGTTCAGTTAAATGTAAAAATTAGACATTTGCATATTCATTTATAGGATATAAAGACAACAATTTCAGAATTACTCAAAATATAAAAAAGAACAGTGAACTAGCATGCTGAGGTGATTTTAGCTCTAAAACCAGATATACCTGATCAGTTAAGTTGGGGTCTTTGAGTAGAAAAAAACTTTTCACTCCAAAATCAGATGAAGAGAGTGGACTTCCATTCTGTATTGGAGCTAATGGTCACACCTCATTGAGCAAACACTTCAGGTCACTCCTCACAAATAGGGGTAAAATCTTTGCTCAAACCATCCCAAGATCCAGAAGTTTCCCTGGCCACTTTCATTCTGCTATATTAGGAGACGCCTAGTGTCTACCTTCCTCCAAGTTCAGGATAACTGATAAAATTCTGTCACTACTATCCTTGACCCAGTCCTCTGTCTGTATTCCCTTGTGAACCCAAAAATAACCTCAGAGCAAAGTGTCTATTACAGCAGGAGATAAATTGTATTAAGGATTAAAATTCAAACCCAATATAACTTGCTAAAACTCTTCACAATCTGCAAGTAAACAAAGCTCACTATTAGGAAGAAATTTTTCATTCTCTATTAAAATTTATTTTAATTTTAGGTAAAATGTAGTCATATGTAAAAAGGTGTAACCACAAGCCTGGTAGCAGAAATAAAACTAGCCAGTTTAGATATGTAGTGCAAAAGCAGAGGAAAAAATCAGTCCCTCAACAGTGATTGTCCTGCTAAGCATATGGAAAAAAAGCTGGGCATTACACCATGAATTAGGTAAAGACTGAGTGAGGATAATATTAAGGAATAATAGCCTCTAAACATATATACATATGATTGAGCAAAAGTTGCACTCAGTTGGCAAATACATGTCTGACATTGTTCTTATTATCAATATCAAACTTCACAAATAGGAATAATATTCATCTCAACATATTTGGGGATGTCTATGTCCCTTAGAGTAGATATAATTTTCTTCTATAAAAAGTCAAATAAGAAGAAGTAGTACAGTAATATTAATTTTGTCTATTTCACAGTGTAGTTCATTTAACATAATTGCAAAAAATAGTCAAAACTTTATAAACATGTTTGTTTTGGCAGGTGTATCAGTTCCTAGGGCTGCTGTGACAAAATATCACAAATTATCTTGCTTAAAACAGTATAAATTTATCCCCTCACTCTTAAAAGGCGAAAAGTCTGAAATCAAGGTCTCGGCAAGTCAAAGCTTTCTTTGAAGTCTCTAAGAAAGGAAACTTCTTTGCCTCTTCCTAGATTCTAGTGATCACCAGCAACCCTTTGTATTTGTTGGTTTGTAGACACATCATTACAATCTCCACCTCCATCTCTCATGGTCTTCTCCTGTTTGAGTTTCTCTGTGCAAATTTTTCTCTTTTTATAAGGACACTAGGCATTAGATTAGGGATCACTCTAATCCTGTGTATATATAAGGAATAACTTGATTATATCTGTGAAGATCCTATTTGCTTTTTATTTTTTTAATAGAGATGGGGTCTCACTTTGCTGCCCAGGCTGGTGTTGAACTCTTGGCTTCAAGTAATCCTTCTGCTCTGGCCTCTCAAAGTAGTGGGATTACAGGTCTGCCCCCTATTAAAAAATAAGGTCATATTCAGAGATGTTAGAATTTAGAACTTGTATTATATATATATTTTTAATTTTGTATGTGTATACGGAATACAAGTACAGTTGTATTAAATGGATATATTGCATACTGGTGAAGTCTGGGCTTTTAGGATAACCATCACCCAAATAGTGTACATTATATGCATAAGTAGTTTCTCATTCCTTATCGCCTTCTATCCTCCCACCTTTCTGAGTCTCCAATGTTTATTAATTTGCACTCTATATTTGTACACATTATTTAGCTTCCACTTATAAGTGAGAACATGTGGTGTTTGACTTCCTGTTTCTAAGTTATTTCACTTAAGTTAATGGCCTCCAGTTCCAATCATGTTGCTGCAAAAGACAAGGTGTCATTCTTTTGTTATGGCTATATAATATTCCATTGCATATATGTCACATTTTCTTTATCCAGTGTCGATGAACTTGTACAAACATTTTCTGTGTCCAATCATCCATTGATAGACAGAGGTTGATTCTATACTTTTGCTATTCTGAATAGTTCTGCAATAAACATAAAAGTGCAGGTGTTTTTTAATATAATGATTTATTTTTTGGAAGGTAGATACGCAGTAGTGAGATTGCTGAATCTATTCTATTTTTAGTTATTTGAGAAATCTTCATACTGTTTTCTACAAAGGATATACTAGTTTAAATTCCCATCAAGAGTGTAAAAGCATTCCCTTTTCTCCAAATCCTTGACAACATCTGTTATTTTTTGCCTATTTAATATTAGACATTCTGACTGGTATAAGGTAATATCTTATGGTATTAACTTGCATTTCTATTTGTTCCTGGTTCAATCTTGGGAGGTTGAATGTTTTCAGGAATTTATCAGTTTTCTTCTAGGTTTTCTAGTTTTTGAGTGTATGGTTGTTGATAGTGATCTCTGCTGATGCTATATATTTCTGTAGTATCAGTTGTAATGTCTCCTTTTTCATTGCTGATTTTGTTTATGTGGATCTTCGCTCTTTTTTTCTTGCTTAGTTTGGCTAGCAGTCTGTCAAATTTGTTTATCTTTTCAAAGAACCATCTTTTATCCTGATCTTTTATACTGTTCTTTTGTTCTCAATTTCATTTCCTTCTGTTTGCATATATATTATTTATTTTATTCTGCTAGCTTTGGCTTTAGTTTGTTGAATTATCTCTTTGAGGGATTATAATTAACTCAGAACAAAAGGTGAGAAAGAAAAGAAGCATGAGTAAAACAGAGAAAAATACTAAAAAGTGCATTTTAGGAAGTGCTGAGAGTACACAGAGGAAGAGACTGAAAAAGTAGAAAAGTAATGGATATGCCAGGAAAGTGATTGAATAAAATCATATATGAGGTGAAGCAAATGAGAATCGAGAATCAAAAGATTATATATATATATATATATATATATATATATATATATATAATTCCAGAAAACATTAAAAACTCATATTTAGTTAAACCCAGCAACCAAAATAGAAAAGTCATTAAGAAGGCAGCTCTGTTCGTGCCTTTGTCCAGGCTTATGTTCCCATTCCTAGTGACTACAACCTTAGGACGCTGACTTTTCTAATCAAAACTATAGTCAAATGGTTCTTGCTTCTTAAAATCTACTTGATTAATGGGAATTACCCCAGAAGACCCAGGGAGTTTTTGTTGAAATTTAGTTGTGCCTCTTGAATTGAAATATGTGTAAGAAACCATATATGATATCATGACTCATATTTTTTTCCATCCAGCTTTGTTATTTCAGTCCCGTATAAAGATGGCCAATAACAAGGCAGTGATGTTTGTATATGATAAATCCTTTATTCTTTTGCATCTTTTGTAAAAGCACAAGTGTCAGTCTCAATCAAAGAACTTAGGAAATATTCAGCTACAAATTCAAATTTCTAATATAATAGGTAGTGTATGAGCTTACTGGAACTCAGTGCAAATTTAAAGCAAACTTTATTCAGAAAAAGCCTTCAATTTTACTATCAATGTGACACATAAAATATGTTGTACATCCTTAATACACTAATTTATGTATACCTATAGACTTATAGAATTCAATGCTTTAGTCAGTTCAGCCTGCTGGAATAAAATACCATAAAATGAGTAGCTTAAAATCAACAGAAATTTATTTTTCACATTCTGGAGACTGGGAAGTCTAATATCAAGATGGCAACAGATTTGATGTCTGGTGAGGTCTCACTTTTTGTCTCATAGATGCTGTCTTCTCACCATGTTCTTAAATAACAGAAGCACAAGGAAGCTCTCTGTGAGGCCTCTTTTATAAGGACACTGATCCCACTCATGAGGGCTCCATCTTAATGACCTAACTTCCCAAAAGCCCATCTCCTAAGAGCATCACATTGGAAATCAGTTTTCAACATATATATTTGGTGGGAAACAAACATTCATACCATGACACTCAGTGAAATTCCCCTTTTCAGATTTTACTAGGGTTAGAAAATAAAATATCATTATTCAAAATTCCTTTTAAAATTCTGTAGATTCATATATAGTTTACATATTTATATCTGTTAAATTTTAAGTGAGTCATTTTAATGAACCTTTCTAATACATCAGAGAACTAATGTCAAATTAATAAAATGACAATTCCTATATCTCTTTGTATTAGTCTGTTCTCACATTGTTAGAAAGAAAGACCTGAGACTGGGTAACTTATAAAGAAAAGAGGTTTAATTCGCTCATGATTCTGCAGGCTATATAGGAACCATGATGCTGGCACCTGCTCAGATTCTGGGAAGGCCTCAGGAAACTTACAATCATGGCAGAAGGCAAAGAAAAGGAAGGCAAGTCTTACGTGGCTGGAGAAGGAGGAAGAGGGAAA
Organism: Homo sapiens; assembly: GCF_000001405.40. Taxonomy (NCBI): domain Eukaryota; kingdom Metazoa; phylum Chordata; class Mammalia; order Primates; family Hominidae; genus Homo; species Homo sapiens. Next base: position 21,933,470 of record NC_000021.9, on the reverse strand, counting down.
GAGAAGAGGTACTACAGATTTTTAAACAACCAGATCTGTGAGAACTCCATCATGAGAATAGCACCAAAGGGATGGTGCCAAGCCATTCATGAAGGATTCATCCCCATAATCCAATTACCTTCTAGAAGGTTCCACCCCCAACACCGGGGATTATGATTTGACATGAGATTTGAGTGGAGAAACAGATCCAAACCACATCACCCTTAATGAAAACAAAATCAAATAAAAATGTACATAACGTACATACAGAAACATATGTGTTTATATTTTAGAAGATTTTTATCTATATTATATATGAATTTGTGTATATATGTGTATATGTCTCTAAGTATTTGCACATGTTAACAGATATTGAACTTCTTTCTTTCAGAATTTTGCTTGCCCATAGAGAAGGGGTGTTTTGCTTTGCTATTTTGCTATGCAGTAAAGCACTTGCTTGAGAGGAGGCAGAGGAAACTCTTTCTTGCCCAGTTGGACCTGTGACAAGATTTCTGGGTGATCAGTTTAAGTCAGGAAGATATTAATCAGCAAATTCATTGGCCCCATATTTAAATTTGAATTTTAATTATAATAGTCCTCCCTTACGTGCAGTTTGGCTTTCCATGGTTTTAGTTACTCATGATCAACCGTACTCCAAAAATACATGAAAACGGTATGAGAAAATATTTTGAGAGAGCGACCACATTCATATAACTTTTATTACAGTATATTGTTATAATTGTTATATTTTAATTGTTAGTTATCTTGTTAATCTCTTACAGTGCTTAATATATAAATTTAATTTTGTCATAGGTAAATATATATAGGAGAAAACAAATCATATAGGATCTGGTACTGTCTGCAATTTCAGGCATCCACTAGTGGTCTTGAAATGTATTCCTACAGATATGGTGGGACTACTCTAGTAATAAAAATGACATTTGATTTCCATCTTTCTGACTCCTCAGTCATTATCACAGTGGATTGTTAACTTTTAAAATAAAGAAGAGAATGATTTATTATTACAGGATTTCAATAGGAAACACATATTTAATACCAATCCAGATATATTGACTTATCTAAATCAAAAATCTGATAGCTATTCTAGAATATTTTCATCTTCAAATTCATGAAACTCATTATTCATTCACCCATTTGAATAAACCTCCAAATTAGATTTTTTTTTCAATTTTGTCACATTTTCTTTATTCTCACTGCCATTATTTTGTCTTGGTTCTCATCATTCATTAGACTACACTGAATAACACAGGCTTCTGGCAAGACAAAAAAGAGCACAATATTGCCATTTAAGGGTGGTTCTGGTTCAATTCCTGCTGAGAGTTTAACTTGGTCAATGCTTTGATTTTAGTAGGATTATTTCTTTTCTGGCCTCTGAAAAATCAAATTTAGTTGAATTGAAAACTTAGGGAAAACTCTTCTTATTTGTGTACCTTTACGGATGCAGAGGAAAGAATAAAGTACAGATTAAGTAAATATTTTATTTTATTTTAGGTACTCTATTCCAAACTCTAGACTAGTGGCAATTATAGATGGCTAGAGTGAAGGAGAGTTGAAAAAACATGTATCTAAAGTGCTTTCATTTTGCAGATGAAGAAAATTAAATCCAGAGAAAGCCCTTAATGTGCCCTCTGTTATTGAGATTTTAGAAGAGGAAAATCAATATGAATCAGTGGGTTTGAATTCTGAAGATTTCCACTGATCCTTAAAATGGGACATATCTTTTATTATGCTGAACTGGCACTGTGGGGGTATAGTGCAAGAACAAAAGCCAGCAATAGGTGAGGATCCTCAGTTACATATGGAGCACAATGGTTGCAAACCCTTTGGATAATGCTGCTACACATACATCTGAAACAACATAATTGCTTGAAGAAGGGTAAGGAGGTTAGCTCTCTCTCTCTCTCTCTCTCTCTCTCTATATATATATATACTATATAATATATGTTACATTATTATATATAATATATATGTTTTATTTTATTTTATTTTTTGAGACACAGTCTCACTCTGTCACCCAGGCTGGAGTGCAGTGGCACAATCTCGGCCCACTGCAACCTCCGCCTCCCAGGTTCAAGTGATTCTCCTGCCTCAAGCTCCTGAGTAGCTGGGATTACAGGCACACGCCACCATGCCCGGCTAATTTTTGCATTTTTTTTTTTTTTTTTTTTTTTAGTAGAGACCGGTTTTCACCATGTTGGTCAGGCTGGTCTCGAACTCCTGACCTTGTCATCCACCCACCTAACCCTCCCAAAGTGCTGGGATTACAGGCGTGAGCCACTGCGCCTGGCCGGTTCACTCTATGTTTTAAATACATACATGTGTGCACACACACACATGAATAATCCAATAGCTCCTAAACAGATTGAATAACTCCCTTTAAATACCTGTTAAGATATTCACAGATATAATAAAGCCATTTTTACATGAGTGTATCTTCAAGAATTATTCTTACTAAAAATATAAACTTTAGATCTCTGATATTTATCACCTTACTAATTTCATGACAAGTTTGCAGTAGATGTCAGTTTCCACTGTGACATGCATTACAATAAATCACAAGAGTTCCATTAAACTTCTCTCCAATTCCCATGCACAGATACACACACACACACACACACACACACACACACGAAATCCCAATTTTTCCTTCAAATTTCTATTATCTCTTCAAATTGCATGAACCATTTTAACACCTCTCACAGCTCTTTCTTTTCCCTTTCTGGGTCACCAGAACTACTTAGAATCCTTTCAGAGCAAAATATCTGTTTTAAAGAATTCTGTATAGCAAATGCTAACTGGTACCTTTATAACAGCTACAGCATTGTGTTCTCATTAGAAGACAATTTCCGTTTTCCCAAGAGCATAGTAATCTCAAGGAGGTCTATCACTTGTCCTCTGGCATGAAAAAAAATTCTCTTAATGATACCAATTAAGAGGTGTGAATGTCATTTCTACATCTTTGTTCTGTTTCAGCTCAGCAAGTCCAGGGCTCAAAACAAAGTCATAACAACCTTGTTGAAGCTTGTAGACTTTTGTAGAATTAGATTGCAAAGGCAGGTATTTCAAAATAACTGTAAATGTCTTACGATATTCTCAATAAGAGATTACAGATTACATTATCCTCTATTTTTATTTATGTTTGTGTTCTTTCTGTAAAACACAATAAAAAATGTAGGGAAAGTGTCTGTAATATTGTTTGACATTCTCTTGTCTAGTTAGTACTGTTTGTGAATTTCACAATAAGGCATTATTTTTTCTTAAATCCCTTTAAACAAATAATGCAATATTTATATAACATTCCTTTGATTACTCTTTTAAAGAATGACAAAAACAGCCACTCCTTTGTACTTTTCTGTTGACCTCCCATCCAAAAATGTTGATTTCTTCCTCCTTAATGTTAACATGTGCCCATGCAGCAGTAATTCGTCACCTCTGTCTGGATCAGCTTGTGACCAAGCGCCATTCAAAATCAGTTCTGCTCAATGAGGCGGTAAAGATCTATGGCTTCAGGAGTGCTCTGGATGAAAGTTCCAAAGTGAAGTATGGAGGAAAGAAGGAAGGGTCATTTTGTAGGAGGCGTTTTAGTCCTGCAGATGCAGTAATAGCTGTGTCCTTCTGCAGTAAAACACTATGGTTCCCTTGCACATAAAATAAATATTTTCTATATTTGAACACAAATATTAATAGTGTAATATTTAAAAACTAGTATGATTTATTTAATTAGCATTACATAAGTTAATTTTATAGTACATCGTTAGGCTTAGTTATAAAAATTAGTACAAATTTGCATAGCATTGAAATTGTTCAGTTATTTTCTTCATTGTAAGTACACAATAAACCTACAACAAAAATGCATTTGGATTCCTGTATCCTGTAGGTAATATTAGTATCAGCAGTACCAATTGTGCTAAGTGTGACAACTCAAAAAAATTTATAAAGAATTCCAGCTGTCAACTTTACTTTCTCTGCTCAGTTGAACTATGTAGTCAGTTTTGTAAAGCAGTTTTAAAATTCAGTAGTTTACACAATAAACCTTGCAACACTTTAGAGTACTTTGGACTATTGTTTCTATTTTACATACAAGCAATCTGAAAACCATAAAAGTTACATGATTTTCCAAGATCACTAAGGAGTAAGTAAACAATCTTGAGGCCCAGTGAACAGTCAGAGGTACGATTATATTCATTTTCTTGTTTGACTCAAATGTTTGACTCAAAATATTATGAAATCCTTTTCTGAATATTAATTCCAGGGAATAGGTGAAATGTAATCAAATTCTTCAATATTCTTCCAAGAAGCCATTTTAATCAGGTCAAATAAAATTTCAGAGAGAAAGTCATAATCAATATTTTTAGCAGATCTATTTAACAAGTTTACTTGCATTTCCTAATTTCTTCAGCTTCTTTTTCATTGTTAAAATCATTTATCTTACAAAGAGTAAAGCATAAACATAGTGAAGAGGTATATTTTAAAGTATAAATAAGTTTTCTGTTTACCACAAAGATATCAGATTCACTCCTTGAGAAATGAACAGGCCTAAAAAATTATTTTGTGTCTTTATATGATTATATATACAGAGAAATATACTCATCAGTGTGTGTGTGTGTGTGTGTGTGTATAACCACACAAACAAAAGCAGATAATATATCATATATATATATATATATATATATATATATATATATATAAATATGGTGTTTGTATATTTACACATGTACTTTTTTTCAGGTAATCATGTATCTTCAAAATCTTTCCCCATGGGCATATATAGTTTTATCTTACTTATTCTGATGATAATATGATATTCTATTGTCTTTAAGACATTATATAAAGTAATTATTTACTTATCTCCTAGTGACTTATTTAGATGTCACCCTCACATGCATATAACTCTGTATTACATGTCTATAATATAGAGTATTCAGTAGAATCTAAATTAATGTCTAGGCATATTTTATGTTTTCATGGATGTTATTAAATTGTCCAATATAAGGTTTGTACTAATTTACACTATTATCAGTACTGTGAAAAAGCGACTGTTTCATTGTACCCTTGCCAACACTTAGCATTATCAAATATCATGTCTTTATAATTTGAGATTTCATACATGATATATAAAGCTGATCCTTAAACAATGCAGAGATTAGAAGCACCGAACCCAACCCCCCCACACACACACTTGAAAATCCACGTGTAACTTTGATTCCCTGAAAACTTAACTGCTAATAGCCTACTGTATATTGCTAATAGCCTACTGTTATTGCTATATACTATATACTGTTATATAGTATACTGCTAATAGCCTACTGTATATTGCTACTTACCGATAGCATAAAGTATCAATTAACACATCTTGTGTATGTTGTATGTATTATATACTGTGTTGTTATAATAAAGTTAGCTAAAAAGAGAAACTTTTTTAAGAAAATCATAAGGAATAGACAACATTCACTATTTATTAAATGGAAGTGATTACCATAAAGGTCTTCATCCTCAATATCTTCACATTGAGTAGGCTGAGGAGGAGGATAAAGAGGAGGTGTTGGTCTTTGCAGTATCACGGGTCGCAGAGGTGGGAAAAAACTACATGTAGAAGAGGATCTACGTAGTTCAAACCTGTGTTGTGCAAGGGCCAACTGTATATTCACATTCTGTAAACTACCAGATCAGTAGTTTGCTTTTCATTTCTTCAATGATGAACAGATTTTATAATAATTCATGAATTCCCTGTTCATGTTTGTGGCCCATATTTCGGTAATGTTTCTAATGCTTTGGGGTGATTAGATCATTGGCAATTTTTGCAATTCATTTCTTTGTCCTTGACCTGTTTGGAAATACCTTGCTGCTCCTTTGTTGTCATAGATGCTCCATCAATAACTAAGTACTATTCAATTCTTTGCATTTTTTATTCCTTCTTTTGCTTCAAAGCATTTCCACATGCAGAGACCCAGGAGAATGTCAATGCTAGGAGAAGCCTTCTTGCCTGACTTCAGACTTCACCTTTCAGAGCTCTTTCAAAAAGTGATTTTGGGAGCTTTCAAACTAGTTTAGATGTCTCTACTCTATCTCATCATTTATCACTTGTTATTAATGTTTTCTGTTTTACAAGTTTTAATAAGAAAGGCAGGAAATGCTTTTTTATCCCCAGCACATAGCACAATGCCTGGGCTCAGTATATAGTTATTATCTCTGCAAAATCTTCATTGAGTTAAAAACATTCTAAAGTTATTAAATATATATTGAATAATTTTAAAAGAACAATTATGTTGAGATTAAATTATATTATTTGTTCATTTAATTATTTATGCCTGTATTTATTCTATAAATATAACTAATCACCTACTATAAATTTGACATTAAGAATGGAAATAAATAACAACATTAACTATTGAGCAAGTGTTTTTTCTGTACTAAGAACATTGCATACACTTTGTATTAATTGTTACAAAATCTTTTAATGAGTGAAACACTTATAGAGATTTTACAAATAAAAGTGAAATTAAGAGAGTATGATGTCAATATTACAAACCTCCTAAACAACAGCATCTGGATAACAGAATTCTAGGTTTCATTAATTCTAACACATAAATATTTAAAGATCTCCATTAAAAAGACAATAATTCTATTTTTGAATAAACAACAGACAACCTGTTCCATGTAAGATAACTGTTAAAATAGTTCCCATTATGTCCCTTTCATCTTCAAAACTGTATGTGTCTTTGTGATGTTTTCCCTTCTCTGCATCCACTGAAACAATATTGCATTTTTTTTCAATTCTGCTAATGTATTAAATACAGAGGTTGATGTTAGAATGCTGAAAATTGAATTCCTGAAATAAAACTTTCTTAGTATGAATTTATTAAATTTTTCATATGTTTTTCAGTTTGGTTTGCTAGCATTTTGTTGAGGTTTTCTCCATTTGTGTTTAAAGGATATTTTTAACTTTTGTTTTTAGATTTATTTGTTGTGTTTGTTATTAGAATTATGCTGGCTTTGTAAAAATGAGTAAACAAGCAGTTCTTCCTCTTCAATTTCTGGAAAGAATTTGTGAAGTTTTAGTATTGTTTCCTTTTTAAATGTTGTAAAAATATAAACATAAAACTATGGTTTAGAAAAGATGTTATAGACTCATTTCTCCCTGCTCATCCCTGCCAAGTACAGCAATACACTCTGGAAATAACGCAATAGACAACAAATGGAGAACTGTGAACAGAGAAAAGTGAATGTTAGAGACTACAAGGACTGGAGGAATAGCATAATATTAGGATGTCTTGTGAAGCCTCAGCCAACACAAAAATGTGTCTCAGCCTGATGTTGCCCAACCTCCAAGTTAGCAAGAAAATATAGTCAGCTTGGTTCACCACTCACCTAGATCAAACAGGAGTCCTGCCAGCAATATCAGTTGAACCTAGTAGTACTGGAAAGAGGGACTGATCAAAACCCCACTGACAAAAATCAAATGGAAAAGTGCTACCTTTCCGCACAGGGCCTGCGACTCCTCTCCTCATGACAGATATAGCAGGTATCTAGTGTCATTAGCAAGCGAGATTTCACCAAACCAAGCACCAGGCCAGGGCAGAACTCTCTGGCCCCTGCCGGCAAGGGATCCCACCACAGGGAATTGAGCACAGAAAGACTATTTTGGTCCCTATGGGCCTAAGTCTTTCCTCCCTCACATAGAAATACTGAATAGCCAGTAGGCACCCACAAAGGGGATCTGCTCACATGAGTGGTCCTGCTTAGGAAGTGTTTTTCATTCTCCCAGGCCAAATCCTCACTTTCCCACCATGGCCCAGCCTCGTAAACACCTTCTGTCCTCTCAGGCACCACCGATAGTGACCACCGCAATTTAAATGGTCATGGGATGCACAGCTGAACAATATAGACCAGAACCTGTGTGGTAAACCTGAACAGAGTGAATACCTACTACAATAAAATATTAACTGGGACCCTGACTTTCCTAACATAACCAAAATATTCAAGATTTAAAGCAAAAAAAAATCACCCATCATCCCAAGAGTCATGAAAATAACAACTTGGAGAAAAGGCATTCACATAACATCAATGTCGAAATTCATCAAGTATTAGAATTATCTGTCTAGTATTTTAAAGCAGCAGTAATAAAAAAAAGCTTCAACAATTAGACATTCTCTTGAAACAAATTTAAAAATATAGCAAAAGGTAGACAATATAAAAAAGAGCAAATGGAAGCTACAGAAATTATATATATATATAAAACAGTGAAATAAAACTTGATGGAAGGGCTCAAGAGTACAGTGGAGATAATAATTGAACTAGAGGACAGATCAGTAGAATTTACCCAATCTGAAAAATGGAGAGATAAAACATTGGAAGGAAAATGAAGAGCCCTTCAAGGACTTGGACTTGTGGGAAAATAATTTAAGATTCAATATTTCTGAACTGATGCCAGTTCAACTAGGAGAGGTTAATATAGTGCTTGGCAGCATAAGTCCCATGATTAGCCTTTTTAACAAATGGTTGTACTTGGATCCTGCCTCTGGAGCATGCTGTCTGAATAAGTAGAGAATTTTTCAAATCGCCAAATGCTTGCTCCTTTTAGCTTGGCTGTTTCTTCTTCAACATATCTGTTTCTTCTCACATTTTACTATAAACAGCAAGGAGAAACCATGTTGCACCTTCCACACTTTGCTAGGAAATCTCACCTAAATATCTAAGTTTATCACTTACAAATTCTACTTTCTACCCAACAACAGTACATAATTCAGCCACATTTCCTGCCACTTTTTAGCGTGGATTCCTTCAATGTCCAATAACACATTCTTCATTGCTTTCTAAAGGCATTACCAGAAGCACCTTTAACATTCATATTTTTACCAACAATCTGTTCGTGACAATATATGCGTTCTCAATGATGTGAGAACATTCTCTGTAGCTGTACCCATTTCTTTTGGAGTCTTCACTAGATCACTTTTAACATCTGTATTTCTGCCAGCAGTTCCTTTAAGAGAATCTAGGCTTTTTCTGTCAAGCACCTCAAAACTTTTGTATCCTCTATCCATTTTCCAATTCCAAAGCCACTTCCACATTTTTTGATATTTATAACAGCCGCATCGTACTTATCTGTGCAAAACTTTGTATTTGTTTTTTAGGGCTGCTGTAATAAAGTACCGTGGAATGGGTGGCATAAAACAACAAAAACGTATTCTCTCACAGAGAGAAGGAGGTTAGAAGCCATAAATTAATATGTCAGCAGTGCTATGTTCTCTCTTATCGTTCCTTGCCTCTTCTGGTGGTTGCTGGCAAACCTTGGGATTCCTTGGCATGTAGGTGTATCACTCCAGTCTCCATCTCCATAGCCACATGGCACTCTCCCTGTGTCTGTGTCTCTGTGTTTCTGTTTTCAATTCTTTTGAAAATAATCAATTATCACATTAGAGCCCATTCTAACCCAACATGACCTCATTATTACTTAAAATTAGTTATATCAGCAAAGACTAAATTTCCAAATATGACCACATTCTGTGGTTTTTGGTTTCTGAGAGACACTATTGAACTCAGTATATCATTCTCCCCATGAGTTTTATAACATTTTATTATTAAAAGAGAAATTATAATACTATCCTATACTCAAGACAATGTTATTTAAAAGTAGTAAAAGTACAGGAAACTGAAGGGAGGTAAGTTTTCTACACTGCACTCCAAGTGCTAAATGTTATAAAGAAGTACTTTTTGAAACCCTCTCTGTTTGGAATATATACGTATTTGTATATATTTGAGATGGTTTTGATCATTAACTCAATATTCTTAACAGATATATGTCATTTTAGATTCTATGTTTGTTCTTTAATTTTGTAGAGTCGAGTTTTTCAAGAAATATGTCAATTTCATCCAAGTACTCAAAGTTATTATAAAGTTTTCTTTTAACCTTTTAATATCTGAATGATCAATTTTTGATATCCTGGTTTTTATTTCTTATTTTGGTAATTTTCTCTTTAAAATATTTCTTTATTAATCTCACTATATGTTTATCATCTTTATTAAACCTTCAACAGAACTACGTTACTTTGCTTTATTTTTGTTTTTGTTACTCTTGTCTTTTATTTCATTGACTTCTGTTTTTATTTTTATTATTTACTGCCCATTATTTTTAATTTAATTTGTTCTTATTGAGCTTATTGGGTAGGAGCTCCTACAATTGTTTTCAAAATTTATTCCTCTTAAATTATAGGCATTTAAATCTACAATCTTGCTTCTAAGAACTATTTAGGCAGTATCTTATATATTTAAATATTTTGAGTTTTCCTTTTTTTATAATATTTTAAAAATAATTTGGGGATGTTTGCTTTTACCTATGGGCTGCTTAGAAATGTGTCATAGAATTCTCAAATATTGGGGAATTTTCTGTTTCTTGTTTTATTGATTTTGAATTTAATACAGTTTGAGTCAGGCTAAACACTGTATTTTTTTATAATTTGAAATGCATTGAACGTTGTTTTATGGACCGAAATATGTTTTTTTCTGTGTGTATTTCTAAAGCCTGTAGAGTTGTAATTGTTGGACATACCTTTCTGTAAATCTTCATTAGGTCAAGTAGGTTGATAGTGTTGTTATGATCTCCTATATGCATGCTGTATTTTTTCTACTTATTCTATTAATTACTGACAGAAGAAATGTTAAGTCCTCAAATTTTAGAATTTGTCTGTTAGTTTTGTTTCATGCATTTTTCAAGTTCTGTTTTTAGGTGTATACATATTTAGAAAATAATGTCTTTCTAATGAATTGTTCCTTTATTATTATGATGAAATGTCTTTATTTCTTGACTCATTCTTTTTTTATAAAGTCTACTTGTATCGTAATAAGATAGTCACTAGGATTTTTATGCTTATTATTTTACTTCTAACCTAATGGTGTCTCTCATTTTAATACGTATGATTTGGGCATTGTTTCTACTCTAAACTCTTAGCATTTCCATGGTCTCTGACTTGATGACCTGAGATTGAGAGATGATTAACGATCTCTTTCCCTTTTACCTGAGCTAGACCTCTGATGTCCCTGTAGCACTGTCTGACCTCTCTTATTTCTGTTGCTTTGTTCTACATTTGGCTGAAACTGCTCCACTGTAAGCTTCATGCGCTCTTGCTCCGCACATTCTGTCAAGCCGTTCATCACAGGAAGCCCTCATAAAGATTTCTGCCTCCTCCTTACCAACCGTTTGACACTACCTCCTTTCCAGTGTCTTGCCCTGTAGATCCAAGATTGCTGATCTGAACTCTGATTTTTGCTCTTGGGTCCAGTAGTAACACCATGCCCTGCTAAGAATGCAGCTTGCTCTGCCACTTTTAAGGATACTTTCACCAGGAGCCAGGGTGATTTTGAGGTTTGCCTTCCGATTTTCCCTTCCCTCAGTGATCAGTCTTTTGTTGCCTCTTTTCTTTTGACTAATAACATTAGTCTCAAATACCCCGTCTAGCTTTAAAGTTGTTTATTGTGGGATGGCAAATTCAGTACCAGTTATTCTATCATATAATCAGAACCCCCTATTTTTTGTTATTGTTTCCTTTCATCTTTCATCTTTTCAACTTTATATTGCTTGTGGGAAACTAGCTTTGACTCTGTCACTTAGTAAATTCTGTGACATACTAATATCCTCCAGGGGGAGCCAAAACATTAGCGTGCAGGTATAATGCACCTGGATCTCTGAGGTTCCACTGACCATGAAGGTATTTCAGATGAAATCTTAGTAAGAAATGCCTTGATTTTTTTTTTTAATCGCAGCAGATACCTCTGTTTTAATTAGGACACACACTAGTTAAAGGAAAATTTCCTCACAAAGATGGTCATCAGATCAAAGTCATATCTGTGAAGATGATCTATAGCTTCAGTGGAGATTCAAGGCCTCAGGGCTTTAGACGGAATGTTGAGTCTTTGAAGATAAATAATGTCAAATCCATTATTTGATAAGGTCTTGCAATCAAACTGTGGCAGTGATTTTAATGGTTTCATTTGAATGTTTGCTGTAATAAAAGGATAAGAATGTTACAAATATGGTGAGTGTGTAGGGCGGGTTCTTTAACTTCAGAGAGTTTGCTCATAATCCTTTTTGGCTTTAATTTATTTTCATTGACTGAATTTCCCTTTGAATTTTTAAAACTCCAAGCCACTTTGCATATTCTCTTTTTAACTCTGACCTTTCCATTTATTTATATATTTATATGCTTGTTGCTCTGTTTCAGTTTTTTTTTAGTTCTTAATCTCACTGCCAAACACTGGCCCTTGAGTTCTGTTTATTATAGTTGAATTTAATTGTGACTTGATGTAAAATTACAAATGGGTAACAAATTGTGAATTTGTGATAAAAATGGAAAGCTATTCAAAGGAAGAGTCACCTATTTGGTTTCCTAGAGTCATCTCCCAGTTGGCCTCTCAAATGCTAATTTCACTTTCTTTTAATCTATCCTCCATATTTTGCCCATGTGTTCTTTCTAAATACAATTCTATTTTGGTTTCTCTTTGCATCAAATATACCAGCAACTGACCATGACATAAAATTCAAAGATAAATTTATTAGTGAGGCAAGATGGAGGTCATGCATATCCATTAAACTCATCACTAACCCTCTCTTCTCTGCACACTCTGTGTTCCAGGCATTCTATGAAGTATGTTAAACTCTCCAGTGATATGTTTTCTCTTAATGTCAAGTCTTTATTAATTCTGTTCCTCAGCCTAAAATTTCACCTCCAAACACATCCATCTGTAAAGTGCTTGCTTCTTTTATCTTTTTTTCAAGTGTTGCATTTTCTTTTTAAGAATTTATTGACACCCTTTCCTCCCTCAAGCAGGTCCTTCCTTCTCTTTCATGGTTTTCAACTTCATTCTCTAGGTATTTCTACTGTAATAAAGTGTTGAAATTGTCTAATTTATGTCTATATTTCCCTATATAGTTTGTGGTTCTTACCTTCTTATGGACTGAGTCCCACATTATTCTAAAATTCTCAATGTCTACAACTTTATTTATATTTGTCCCCAACATCATTCAAAGTAAACTCACACATAGCAAAAGACTTTGAACTGATAAATAAATAAGTGTGTAAATAAATAAATAAAAGGTGGAAAGAGCCCTGTTTTTTACATAAACACGCCAACTGAGGTCAAGTACAATATGGAAGTTCTTTTTAGCCTACTAAAAATAAATCGAAACTCAAACAGAATATGTCATTTTTTTAAACCTTGACTTTTTTTTCCTGGCTATAGTAAAAATGTGGGAGAAATATAGTTATATGATGAGAAAGCAATTGTAATAACCCTGGAATATGATTTCCTAGCCAGGTCGGAAGCTGAGCAGAGACATGGCTCCACTAGAGTAAGTGTTCTGCAGAGAGACGACACCTCTGGCTGATCTGTGTGTTCCTGCCACGCAAAGCTGCTCTCTAGGCCCTCTGTGAATAGACATGATACTCACTATGCATATTTCCTAGATATGTTCCTGAGCCTAGGAATTCCTTGATATATTTTCTGGTTTCTTGGAAAAAAATAGGTGTTACCTAGGACCTCTCGGCTTATGCTAGAGATAGCAACATAGGATGGGAACAGAGCCTGCTCTCTTTGTTGAGGTATTCTCACTCCTACTAGTCCAAACATACTCTTTTTAGCTGGTGAATTAGTACATTTCCACACTGCTATAAAGACATACCCGAGACTGAATAATTTATAAAGAAAAGAGGTTTAATTGACTCACAGCTGGGGAAGACTCAGGAAACTTACAATCATGGCAGAAGGGGAAGCAGGCACATCTTACATGGCAGCATGCAAGAGAGGAGAGTGAAGGAGGAATTTCCACACACTTATAAAACCATCAGATCTCATGAGAGCTCACTCACTATCATGAGAACAGCATGAGGAAAACCAACACCATGATTCAACCACCTCCCTTCCTCCACACACGGGGATTATAATTCGAGATGAGATTTGGGTGGGGATACAGAGCCAAACTATATCTGTTGTGATCTCAGTGAAACTGCATAAAGAACAACTATGTCCAACATAAGGCTGTAGAATAATAAGGAAAAGCATGCACTGTGCTACATCCCTTCTTGATTTATCCCCAATAAATTTTATCTAGTATCATGAGGCATTAGTAGTGTGTTTCAGTAACTCCCTTAGATGATACTAGAAACCCAAGATAAGCTGTGTTTTACTCATCCTGGTACCCTGTTTCATTTTTAATTTTGCTTTTTGGAGATAATTCTAGTGAGCCATCTCATCACCTAGGGATAATGACAGGTGACAAGGAGGCACAGACCCACAGGAGTTAGTCCCCGTCCTCCCACAGAGACTGGGTGAAAGAACAAGTTATCTCCCTGAATGTTTGCATTTCAGAGATAGCTCTCAGGTCCTTGAAGAAACAGTTTAGAGTGTTAGCTTCACGTCCATTACAAGAGATTAAAAAAAAAAGATACATAATTGCAAGCTGCCTATGGAGTGAACATTTGTGTACTTCTAAAATTTATTTGTTGAGACCTCTTTCCCACTATGATGGTGTTAAGAAGTGAGGTCTTTGAAGTTAATGAGATTATTAGGGTAGAGTCCTCATAAATGGGATTACAACCCTTACAAAGGAAACACCTGAAAACCTCCTTATCCCTTTCACCATGTGAGGATACAATGAAAAGACCGCAGCCTGCAACCTGGAAGAGGGCTCTCAACAGGCACCACTGTGATCACAGACTTCCAGCCTCCAGCATGGTGAGAAATACATTTGTGTTTCTTAAAAGCCACACGGTCGATGGTATTTGTTATAGCAGCCTGAATGGAGCAGTCTTTTGAAGTAGCTTCTCCAAGATGGTTTTCCACAGCCTATCTGCTTATCAGCAGGTTTTTGATGGAACAAATAGTAAATTCATTTGGCAACATTGAGCTTTCTCAGGCCGACATTATAAGGGGAAAGGGGAGGATGTAGAGTAGGGGGAGAGCTGGGGTCATCCCAGGAACACAGCCTTATACTGCTATTATAGAAGCCATTCTAGAGTTTGGTCATCTCTTAGTGCAGGGGTTTGGATGGAATCGCTGAGTCGTTATATGTCGAGAGGTCTACCGGTCTCACTTCAATTGATATAATTTTCACGCCTGAACTATTCCTCCTGACCCTCTTCTGGTGCCATTCCTGGGGAGGACACGGAACAGGGGAAATGGTGATTTCTCCAGGTTAGCCTCTTGCTTGTATTATGGCAATAAGTGATGGGAGGCTTGACTGTTTCTCGTTTTGGCTTGTTGTCTTCATTGGCTACTCCCACACCTGGCAGTGTGGCTTCCTCCGACTCAGCTGAGCCTCCTGCCATACTCCACTCCTTTACCAAATAGAGTCCTTCTCTTCCTTATTTGAGAAGGAATTGTATAGTTCATTTCTCTTCTGAATAATATAGTTCTGTTTTTTTTCTGTGTGTATGTCAAATCTGATTTTTGAGGAACCTCCATACTCTTCTCCATGCAGATATACTAATTTACGTTCCCACCAAGTTTATGAGAGTTCTCATTTCTTCATATTCTCACCAGCATTTGTTATTGCTAGTCTTCTGGATAAAAGCCATTTTAACTGGGGTGCAATATATGTCATTGTAGTTTTGATTGTGAGAATTGTGACTCTTTCTAAGCCATTACATATTCATTCATCTGCAATGTCTGAAAATGGATAAAAGTTTTATCCAGTGGGTGTTTTGATCTAAGGGGATGGATAGACAGATCGTATGCTCCTATCAAGGGTACCTGGAGCAAATGTAAACTTGTGTTTCAGCTGGTTTTCAGACCACCCTCCTCTGCCCCCAGAGGTCACTTAGGATGACACCAACAACTAAACAAAGAAATTATCACTTCAGAAAACTGATCAATCAACTGCCTCATTCTCAAGTGGTCATGACAGACTTAAGTTCCTGTGAGCATATACTTGCTCAAACCTGGGAAATGACAGGGGAGTGGGTTGAGAGTAAATAATTATCTTTTTCTCCAAATATTTTATAACAAGCAATCTTAGTGATGACTCATAAGGCAAATTCCTCAGAAAGTGGGATCAATCCTTTTGCATCTAATCCAGTTTTTTGTGGTTTCCTTAATATCGTTCAAATGGTGTTCCTGGCTATCAAGCATACCAGGCTACACTTGGAAAACTACACTATTCTCAGACAGTACTGTGGAACCCATTAAGATGTAGCATCAATCAGAACTAATTGTGAAGCTTATATTTAATGATACCCCAAGCACCAAAGGGTGGGCTGATGAGGAACCAATTTGGGCGGCCTGGAGGCTCACTTCCTTCCCCTTCCTGTTGTTTTGCTCAAAGCTGGCTCATCATGACTGATTAGTCTGCAGAGGGACAGAAAATTATTTGATGTCAGCATTCCTGGCTTGCAAGACTGTTCCTTTGATGTATTTCTTGTTGCTTACAGAAACTAAGTGTTCTTTTTCCTCTTAGGCTAACCCGAAGACACAAAAACCTGGTGAAGAGGCAGGGATGACATATGGAGTAGCTTTTTCTTTGCATGTTCAGGTTGTTGGTTGAGGCAAGCATCTCTGTGGTGCACACAGAACATCTATATCCAGCCTAGGCTGTAGAACAATCAGAGTTTGGGAGACAGTGTTCATTATGCTACTGCTCTTCTAGTCCATGTCCCCAGTAAACCCTGGGTCATATCCGTATTACTTGGATCTAGTTGTCTTTATACCTGACCCACCTCAAGTCCCCACAACTAATAGGCAAACAAATTTGTATAAGGTTTGGAAGACATTACTTTCCATTTAATATATATGAACATGTGTGGAAAAAAATTAGTCAATGCCCTATATTTACACAATGTTTGCAAATCTTTGGGTCAAATGAGAAACTCATTCAAATTTAGAATAATATGACATGGCAGATAATTAATTTTAACGTATCACCTATCCTTAAGTTAACTGCCTAGAAAAGTATATGCATTTCCACATTTTAATTTGACTAAAGTGAGAAAATTACACAGCAAATTATTCAGACACATGACCTGACAGTGTGCGATTAGTTAACAAGTGTTATTTATCGATGATGCTATTCAAGCTTTGGAAAATGTCCAAAAAGAGAGCCAGTTGGTGAGTTCTGAATGATACTGTGCAGTACGGTAATTACAAAGTAAAATATTTAAATAATTTTTGTGGCTATTCAGTGAGAAAAATTAACCCTGACAGCAAATCTCTGTAGTATACCGGTAATTTCCTCTGATAAAACACTTTGTGACCTTGACAACTCTTAGTTATTCCAAGTTTTTCGAAGTCACATATTTCAATTGCTAGAATCAATAAACTTGAACTAACTTTACCAGAAGGGGAAAATTATGTTTTGTTGGAAGTGAGATAGAGAGATTTCCTCAGAGGTGTCTCAGGATCAAATTGCAGTTAGAACAGTCCTTGACAGAGCATAACCGTGTAATAATATTGTACATATTGGAATGATGTCATTTGATGAGATCCAAGGGGACTTGTGGTAAATAAATTTGGGGCAGTTCCTGGTTATAGGAAATTGCATAATCCAGTATCAAGTCTCACTGCTCTTATTGTATAGTTAGATTACTTTGTAACTGCCCTGACTATACATATTTATATTTGTAATTAATCATTCTCATCAACCTTTTAACATTAATTCACTATATTTAACATAATTTATTGCTTCAATATAACTCATTATATTAAATACATGTTTTATGAATTCAAGATTTTGTTTATGTTAAGAAACAAACATGATAAATGTATTCAAGAGAGAAGTAGTTATTTTGTTCTTCAGAAATAGCCTCAATCTAACTGTAAATCTAAAACATCTATGACCTCCTTTTCTACATGCAGGTTGAAACAAGCAATTACATTTGTCTCTAAGCAATACTTGTCCATCAAGTCCTTGGCAGCCAAAGCCACATCATTATTGTCTCTACTGCTGCTTAAACTCTTCCATTCTCCCTTTTGAAAATAATGGTACACATATAGAGTCTCCATCTAAATCCAGACCAAGAAATTTCAGAGTATTTATAAAATACACTATGCAAAATTGTGAAAATATAAAATCATAAGGGTGAGATATGCACCAAAATAATATAGTTTTGTTAAAAAGAGCTTTTCTTTTTCAATACAGCCAATTTTTTTCTTTTAGTTTCTCTTGTAGTTTTTTTGTTTGTTTGTTTTTTGTTTTGAGACAGAGTCTTGCTCTGTCTCCCAGACTGGAGTGCAGTGGCACGATCTTGGCTCACTGCAAGCTCCGTCTCCTGGGTTCCGGCCATTCTCCAGCCTCAGCCTCCCGAGTAGCTGGGACTATAGGAACCCGCCACCTCGCCCAGCTAGTTTTTTTGTATTTTTAGTAGAGACGGGGTTTCACCGTGTTAGCCAGGATGGTCTTGATCTCCTGACCTCGTGATCTGCCTGTCTTGGCCTCCCAAAGTGATGGGATTACAGGTGTGAGCCACCGCGCCCGGCCTCTCTTATAGTTTTTAAACTCCCATTAAGCTCAAATACAACAAGAGGCATTATGCCAGCAGGTATAAGGTGGTCTCACCATGCTTACTAGACAGAAAGGCACCCACACTACATGCCGGTTACCACTGGATTTACTACCTGTCAGCAGATGCTCACTGAAATGAAAATGTTCCCTGAACTCATGTCGTGCCAGACTTCGCTACTCCCCGTGCCTTTCCTCCTGGGAGAATGACAGGGATAACTATCTCTCTCTCTTATAACTAACATTTAAAATCTTACAGAGGAGTGCGTCTTTGCCCCTCTCTGGGGAGTCATTTACCTCCCCTGAAGGACATATTTTGTTTAAAAGAGTAAAGTTTGGGTGCACAGAACCCATTCAGTTATCAGGGTCAAATGCAGTTGTTTCTGGCTTCCAGGGTGTTAGGGTGAAATGCAATTGTTTCTGATATCCAGGGTGTATGCTCCCCATATGATGAGTGGTTTATAAATGCTATACTCTGTGATTTCTGGCTTTGCTACCTATCCACTTAAGGAAAACTCTTATTCCTTCCAATGCACACTGCATGCATCATAAAAACCCAGTGAAAAATATTTTTACTAACAATATCTCAATGAGATGAACTGGAAAATAAGTTAGTTGTAGAGGAAATGGAGTAGAATAGGAAAATTTTGTAACAGGCTCCTGATCTGGTATTGGATTCAGAACTTGCCTGTTCAATCTTTGATATCTGTTTGATTTTTCCTTACCCTTCTCTCTCTCTTATCCTTTGGCCCATTCCCTCTTCACTGATGTATCTGTGGATTGGATGTGTGGTGGCTCACACCTGTAATCCCAGCACTTTGGGAGGCTGAGGTGGATGGGTCAACCTGAGATCAGGAGTTCCAGACCAGCCTGGTCAACATAGTGAAACCCTATCTCTACTAAAAATACAAAAAATTAGCTGGGCCTGGTGGCAGGCGCCTGTAATCCCAGATACAAGAGAGGCTGAGGCAGGAGACTCGCTTCAACCCAGGGGGCAGAGGTTGCAGTGAGCTGAGATCGCGCCATTGCACTCCACCCTGGGCAACAAGAACAAAACTCTGTCTCAAAAAAAAAAAAAAAAAAAATAGAAGTGGATTAACTTGATAAAAGGCTTAGTTATTTAAAATAGATCTTGCCCAAAGTTACATTAGTGACACTTCTACTTAATTCTATTACTACTACTACCACTACTAA
This sequence comes from Homo sapiens, assembly GCF_000001405.40. Lineage (NCBI taxonomy): Eukaryota > Metazoa > Chordata > Mammalia > Primates > Hominidae > Homo > Homo sapiens. Next base: position 21,913,795 of record NC_000021.9, on the reverse strand, counting down.
CAGCAACAACATCAACAAAAATACTTGATATTTACAACAATTCTGTGGGGCAGGCAGAAAGTACAGGCATTCTTATCTCTGTTTTACTGGGGAGAAAAGCAAAGCTAAAATACTAAGTGAATAGCACAGGGTTGGAAAGAAGCAGAAATCAGATTTGACATATTCCTTTTTCATCAGAAGATTTTAAAAGCTTTCCTCTTTGAAAACACTTACATTGACACACATTCTAGAGTGGTCATAAATGTGTCTTTTGCCTTACACACTGAAGTGTTTATCATGTTTTTTTTTTGTACTCCCAATTCTACCGTTGTATGGAGATTCAAAGGAAAGGATCCTATCCATAAAATTCATTAGGCATAATACTTAGAAGAGTGCCTGATTCATGGTGGGTACCAAATGCACACTTGTTGAGCAAGTACATCAAAGGCAGCCATTGTGCCAAATTTATCTTGAAAAATATTTATGGCCCACATGGTGATGTGGAGACTTTCATACAAAAGATTAGTGATTGAGATCGGTTGGCTAATTAAATATTGACAATCCCCAAAATATGTGCAGTGTTGCTGAAAATAAAAAGAAGGAAAAAAAAAAAGAAAACTCTGAGCAGGTAAGTTCCTTTCATATATGATATTTTTTCCATAAAATGTGTTCTAAATTGCAGTTAATTTATTAGGCTAGAAAAATATTGACTTTAAACAAAAAACATATATTATGATATATCCACTACTCTTCCAACTTGGGTATGTGTCTAGGCTAATATATATTTATTATGAGAGTTGTGTATGATGAACAAAAAATTATTCAATGATACTTGTTAAAGCATGGTAAGAAAGACTTTATTCAGGACCACTGTGATAGGTATTGGGGCTGTTGCAATGGGATTTTGCTGTGAGGGGGAGAGATTGGGCTCACCTCCAGGATAAGTGGGGATTTATAGCCAAGGAGTAGTGTGAGGGTGAGTGGATACAGAATTACTAAGAGAAAACATCAGAGGTAAGGGGTATTCTGGCTAAACAGACCTAACTGGATTCTTGCCGAAGGCAGGCATCACCTGGAAGTAGAAGATAAGGAACCAAATCAGATATCGAGGGTGATCAGTTCTCAATATTGTGGGTTTTTGCTAAACCAACTCAGCTAGGTTCTTATTAAAATTGTATTTATAAGGAACTGCACAGATGGACCTAGAAGAAGGTTCAGAAAACTGTCTAAAGTTTGGTCAAGCAAAGAAATTTTGTCATGTGGGAGTATATATGTGTGTGTGTGTGTGTGTGTGTGTGTGTGTGTGTGTGTGTGTGATATTTTCCATTTCTTAAGTCTCTATTGTAGGTAAACTGTTAAAACATATTCCAATTGATTGAGACTGATCAAACAATTGATCAGTCTCCAGATCAGTTGAACAAAGGGAATGTGAGAGCGGTTGTCAGTGTATTTGGATTTATGGTGAATATATGTTAGGATTTGGAATGCTCCAACTATAGTTAATGCATAGGTTGAAACAATAACATTGTTTTAGTGTGAGCATCACTGGAATGTCCCATTTCCTGGAGAAGGAACACTATAATGTCCTCTTTTGCTTTTCTATTCAAGCATTTGTATTTTTTTTTCAGGAGAATCTCCATACTTGTATTCAGTAATGCCGATTTGATTACAACAACCTCTTCAACCAAATATATAACTAGCATAACAGCATTTGGAGTACCATGGTTAACAGTGTTTTAGCAAAGGCTTCACTTGAATTCCCAAAGCAGAAAAAAAGATAAATAGCTATACCCAACACTGAAGATTTATCCAGTCCCTATGTACTTGTGGACATGTGTGGTATAGTTATGATTCTGAGAAAGTTCTATCGAATGAGGCTGTTCTCAATGACTTGTGTTATTTTGAATGTGAGACCTAATTTCTCAGTACAGCTACCAATTCCTATTGATGTCCCTCTCACATTCACATGCCTGTGTCCAATCAGTCTTAGCATGATTTTATTTTAAATAGTCTTTGTTCTCAAAGCAATTTAGGTTGTCAGAGAAGCTCATAGAGCTCAGGTACAGCTTGAAGAGCTGCAAATGAGAATATGAAAGGCCATAAATCATGTGGCTTTCAGTTGACTAAAATATATATGGAAACAATCTGCCTTTTCTTCTTCTGTTCTAGAAATATTTTGTAGAACCAGCTCCCTCCCAAACTTACTAGCCTGAGAGAAAGAATTCTTGCAATGTGATAGATAAGGATTTAAAAATTATAAACAAACTGTTACAAATGTGAAAACAAACACTCCCATATGGCTATTTCTTAATTCACCAATGAGTTTTTGGCCAAAGGAATAATAGACAGGCACATCAGCTGCATATATTGTCTGAAAATGTTAAAGATCACAAATTTGATCTTTCTGTTCATTTTTTTTTTTGTGTCAGAGATCGTTGCCAAAATAATAGAATTAGTGGAACATAAAGCATCTCCTAAGATCACATAATTAATGTATGTATCTGTATGTATATCTAAATCAACAGCAATAAAGCTGTTCTTTGCAAATGTTTGTATTTTCAAACTGTATAGTATTCTATGTGGTCTTCATATTCTTAAAAAAGTAAATTATATAGAAGCATAATCAATCTTATTCTTTTTTCTTTCTTTTTTTTTTTTTTTTTGAGACAGGGTCTCACTCTGTCGGAGTGCAGTGGTGTGATTAGTATGAACAGGAGACAGGGAAATACAGAGTAAAAGAGGGCAGTTCCCCCGCAAAGGCCCCGCTCCCAAGCCTGCAAACCATAGAAACCCGTTAACCTAAATGGGAACAGGCATTCCTGTTTTCGTGCCCAAAAGTTGCCTTCTGGCCTGCCAAGCCCCCTATCCTGTACCCATAAAAACCCCAAACCCCCAGCTCCAGAAGGAGACGAGAGGATACTAGCGGATGAACAGAAGAGCAGAAGAGAGGCAGAGAAGGAGGGAAGAGAAGGAGCGTCAGGAGGAGTTCAGCTGGGGACAGTTGGAGAATTGTCCGCTGACCAAACTCCAGGGGAAGATTGTCTTCCCACTCTGTCCGCTTCCCAGCTACCATCCATCCTGCTGACAGCCACCTTCACCACTCAATAAAACCCTTTCATAGGCCATCCTTCAAGTACACGTGACCCAATTCTTCTGCAATGCTGGACAAGACCTCAGGATATAGAAAGCAATCACATTGGCCCCCTGCCCTTGCAAAAAGGCAGAGGGTCCATTGAACACTTAAGCCATCAGCAACTAAAGGAGTCACCGTAACACACGCCCATTTGGGCTCTGGAAGTCACAGGCTCTGTGGTGCTGGTGCCCAGGGGTGTTCACTCTGGTTCCTGCACCTGCCCATCTATGTGCTCCCCATCCTGTAATGGGTTTGAGTAGCAGTGATGACCTAAAAGAGGAGTCACACTCCTATCACACATCCTGTGTGTGTGTGTTGTGGGGTGGTGGGGTGGTGTCAGGGAACTCTCCCGTTTCAGAATCATAGCTCACTATAACCTCAAACTTCTGGGCTCAAAGTGAGAGGTGACACCAGCTGGGCTTCTGGCTCAGGTAGGGACTTGGATAACTTTTCTGTTTAGCTAAAGGATTGTAAATGTACCAATTAGTGCTCTGTGTCTAGCTAAAGGATTGTAAATGCACCAGTCAGCACTCTGTGTCTAGCTAAAGGATTGTAAATGCACCAATCAGCACTCTGTAAAACGCACCAATCAGCACTCTGTAAAACGGACCAATCGGCTCTCTGTAAAACGGACCAATCAGTGCTCTGTAAAATGGACCAATCAGCAGAATGTGGGTGGGGCCAAATAAGGGAATAAAAGGGGGCCACCCAAGCCAGCAGTGGCAACCTGGTGGGGTCTGCCTCCATGCTGTGGAAGCCTCCTTGTTTTGCTCTTCGCAATAAATCCTGCTGCTGCTGACTCTTTGGGTCCGAGTGGCCTTTATGAGCTGTAACACTCACTGTGAACCTCAGCAGATTCAGTCCTGATATCAGAGAGACCACGAACCCACCAGGAGGAGTGAACAACTCTGGATGCGCTGCCTCCTGAAGTCAGCGAGACCATGAACCCACCAAGAGGAATGAACAACTCTAGATGCGCTGCCTTTAAGAGTTGTAACGTTCACTGCAAAGGTCTGCAGCTTCACTCATGAAGTCAGCCAGACCATGAACCCACCAGAAGGAAGAAACTCTGGACATGTCCAAACATCAGAAGGAGCAAAGTCTGGACACGCCATCTTTAAGAAGTGTAGCACTCTGTGAGAATCCAGGGCCTCATTCTTGAAGTTAGTGAGACCAAGAACCCACCAACTCCGGACACAAAAGCATCTTCCAACCCCAGCTGCTGCATAGCTGCAGATACAGGTATACAGCACCATACCCAGCTAATTTGTTAATTTCTTTTTTGTTTTGGTAGAGATTCACTAGGTTTTTAGGGGTGGTCTTGAACGTCTGGCCTCAAGCAATCCTCCTGCCTTGTTCTCCCCATGTGCTGGGATTACAGGAGTGAGCCACTGCACCCTGCCCAATCTTATTCTTTTTCCTACCTTCATCTTCTATCACCTGTACTTTGTCTGAAACACCAATGTATTTTGTTATTGTTAACCTACCCCAAATTTTTCTACCACGTCTTCTCTGATTCTAGTGTAATGTGATCCCTTAAGTGGTGGCTCCCAATAGAAACCGTGTGTGTGTGTGTGTGTGTGTGTTTACTTCGTGCCATTTAGATAAGTCTGTGTGTGGGTGTGTGTAGGATAAATAAATTCATCTCAAATTAAACTTTGTTTTGCAGATGCAACCTAAGGTTTTAATGTTCTCACTTAGTCTAAGTAAATTACTAATACACAATGTCAGTGGAAAACAGAAGGAACCCTTTTGAGAAAGAAAAGGGAGAAAAAGATAAAAAAAAAAGGATGTTAACTGAATTAGCTGAGACGCCTCAGAAAAAGTGTATAACACCTTACTGAATTGATGTAGTTTTAAAATCTCCCTGTGACTTCTTTTGCTTTTTAATATTAAAGAGGAGGCCAACGTCAAGGAAAAAGAATGAAGCATTGTGTTAACTAAAGACAATCTTATTTGCCTTGCCACTTTCACAAAATAAGAATTCTTAAAGACTTTTGTAAGTTAGTAATACATTATAAAATGTATTTACTTCCACACTGCATGAATTGATGACAACTCAACTTTGAAATCCAATCTTTTTTTCTGTAAAATCAATACAAAATGTGATTAAAACTTTCTACTCCAATGTTATGATAAAGTTTCATTCTCTTTTGTCTCACTTTGTTTCCTTTAATGACCTCAGTTGATCAAGGTTAGTTTATTGCAATATCTTTATAATTGGCTTCAATACCCTCAAAACTTCATCCCCAGATTCTTCAATATTAATTGTCTATTGGTATACAACACTGATAACAGAAGGCTTGTTTACTGACTTGAAATTATTAGACTTTAACTCTTTCTAGTCTTCAAAGTAAGCTTTTTTTTTAAGACTCACTTTTATGTTTTTTACATTCTACCTAGCAGAATGTATGAGAAAATTATAGTAATTTTTTCTATTTTATTTTTTATTCTCCCTTTTTTTTAACCAAAACACAAAAGGTTCAGTCTAGGTCCTCCTGCTCACACAAAGCCAATCACTGAAAGCCAATCTCTGAGACAATTATGGATTATGGCCAAGAAAGGAGGCTTTAATGGTGTGCAGCCAAGGAAATGGGAGATCAGTCTCAAATTCATCTCCCTAACCAACTAAAATTAGGGGTTTATATATCAGAGAAGAAATGTAACTATATGTAATAAAACGGGAACTGGGGAGGCCTAAGTAAGCAATCATGATGAATGAGGGGACTGGTATGTCATTGTCTGGATGGGAGGATCTGGTGAGTTTCAGTTGTTTGATACTTTTTGAGAGGTCTGGTTTTCTGAGGAAGGAACTCAGATAAGTAAATGTAAGTTTCAAGCTTTGAAACCAGAAGAGTCAATTTCTATATTTATCCAAAAAACTATCTATGGGAGTATTGGGTTAGTTTCACTTCGGTGATTCCTTCCTTACATTGACTACTTTAAAAGCATAAAAGTTTACTACATAGTTTTGGATAAAGAATTATAATTTTTTGTGGATTTTCATGCCCTTAAAATTTATAATCTAATAATTAAATTGATTATGTTTGAAAATATTTAGGTTAAATTATAGAATGATTGTGTCAATACATATCTTTTTAAATAGCCCACCCTATGTGGAAGCTGAATAGGGAATTGTTGGACAGGAAATGGAGCCTGGCCAAGGTCACACAGCACGAAGCCATCACAGCATGATACTAGATTCTGGTTTTCAGAAAGCAATGTAGCTTTTTCTGTGTGCCATTCCCAAGTCTTTCCCCACCCACATCCCACAGCTATTAGAGGCAGCTTGTTTCCATGTCTACAGTTTGCTTTCTCTTAGGAAAGTTACGTCAAAGACACATTAAAAACATTTTAAAAAGTCATTTCTACCTCAAAGTGTAGTCTCAGACCTGCGGCTTCTGTATCACTCAGGAACTGTTTAAAGAAAAATTCTCAAGCACCACTGATTTATCAAATTAGAAATTCTGGGAACGGGATTCAGTAATCTGTTTTTAACAAGCTTTCTTAGTAATTCTTATACACACTAAAATCTGAGAATCACTGCTTTCAATGATGGAATTCTACTCCAGGCTGACTTGCAAGTCTCATCTCTAAATAGTTTGCTCATTTTGCTCTCTATATTCTATCCAGGGCTTCAGCTCTTACACCTTCAGGATAAGAAATATTACTGTTAAAAAAAACTGTATGTAGTCCTACAATTGCACTATGTTCACTTGCCAGAAAATGGAGTATTAGCTGGTTGTATCATTTTTCAGCTTCATCTATATTTCATTGAATCAGGTTGCCATTTCAGAATGTGTGGGATGATGATGGGAACTTGTCTAGTTTTACTGTAGATGAAGTTTTCGTGTCTATTTTATTGTGATTTATGTAACTTTTAATGACTGTCAAACAATTTGCGAAATGTGTACCAACTCTCTGTCTTTCTAGGAAGTCTCTCAGTGCACTGCATATTTATTAGACACTAACATCTAATGAAATGTAACTTCTTAGCTTTAAAATATAAACTCCCTTGCAATGTCATGGTTTCAGGTACACCCGAGAGCTATTTCAGTGCATCGTCATCTCCACTGAAATGGAAAAGGTATCTAGGGGTTATTTCTCTCTAATAGCAGAGAGGTATACCAATCATGCTGGAAAGTATAGTAGGTTGTCCCCAAGTGTTGACTGAAAAGCAAGTGGTATTTTTAAGAAGCATAGTCCCACTGCACATTAGAAAGCTCTGAAGAACTACATTTGTTTAGCTATCTGGTTAAGAATTCGGATCACATATTGGCTTCTCACTGGTGCTCTTAATAAAAATAATGTGCCAAAGAGGAACTGGAGAAAGAAACTGACTACTGTGATTAGGGGGAAAGAGTTGTGCATAAACCAATTGTTTATTTAAAAGAAACACCTGCTGTAGCAGGCGGAACCTAGAGTGATAGCTACCCTAAATGCTGCATCTCAAAGGAAAAAAAATAACTCAAGAGGTCTGCAGCCACCCACCCTTGCTTCCTTCCCTTGACTTTGTTGTTCTTTACCAAGAAACTCTCTGGTTTTCTCTTATAGGCGGGGCTGTCAATTCACTTTCACTGCTTCTTATTTATCCCTCTATTAAAACCTTTATAGGCCCTGAGTTCATTAAAAGTAACAGTGCCCCCATAAATCACAGGACTGTTTCTTTAATTTAAAAAAATCCTGCAGAAAAGTATTGAAAATTTCTCAACCTTTTCCAAAACTTGTACTCAGTAACTAACATCTTTGACTATAGTTAAAATGATATAAATAAATATAAACATAAACTAAAAGGTAAAATAGGTTGTGAACTTGAACTTATGTGCAAGGAGTGCAAGTAAAAGTTACGTACAAGTACCTGTTATTTTGGAGCTGTAACTATACTGATACATGAAAGTGACAGGAAGTACAACTAAATTCCCACATTTCTCATAATGTCACATTGATGTTTACTAGGATATTAAATACAAAATTTTCCAGACAATTATGTCTCTGCATATTTACACCACCGATTGTATAATCAAGTAATGGCCATGAGTGATAATTTTGCTCTTCAGTTCCCAATTTGCAAATATACCAGCTAATGGAAAAATTGACCTATCTATGAAAACAAGAAGTGTCATTCAGGAAACCCTAAGCGCCTTGTACAGAAAATACATGTTGGAGTTAAAGTTCACTTTAAATATGGGGAGATGGGGCAGTAAGAGGCAAGGCAAAGCACCAGAATGAGGAATGACAGACCAGAAAACTGGTTTTATTTTAAATGTACTTGAGGAAATGGACTTATGTATTATGAATAACATGAATAAGATTGAACACACTAATCTATTTCACATATTATTTTACTATATATAAACAATTAATTGATATGTTGAATTCTTTCTTGCTCCCTCTCTATGTGTTATATACATAAACAATATCTCATATTGTTAATAATTTTTTACAAATTTAAAAATAAAATAACTGACAATTACTACATATAGAACACCACATTCTCTTAGTTTATCAGGACCGTATTTTTGAAATATGTAGTATTTTCATATCATTTTATATCTATAGCAAAAAACTTTTAAAAAACACTTAAATACAAGACATTTTGGGTACAAATAAAAATACTATTTGTAAAAATTAACTCCTAATACACAACAATTTGACTTCTTTCTGACAGTGAGCTAGACTGTTAGTCAACATAATGTAAATAAATTACATGTACATTAAGGTTAACTAATTATAAAAGATAAGGTGAAAAATACAAACTTGTAAGCTTTAGTATTCTTTAAATCTTAGAATAATGCCTGAATATTGAAATACGTTAAGAAAGTGTCATAATAAAATAATTTTTATACTTCTTCAAGTATATTTTATTTTGAAAGCCCCATCCTTCGTAATGATTAGGATATACTATAACCTAATCTGAAATTTCCATTTTAATGATATAACAAGATAAATGTGTTTTACAATCCAGCGGAAATGCTCTTATAGTTCAGCAGTGTATTTTTATCATATGGTTTTGTACAATCATCTTTTCTGAGGCTCTGTAGTTTCATACAGATACCAAATTCTGTATGTGTGTGTGTGCGTGTGTAAAGATTAACTTACATAAATTTCTGAAAGCACATGAAACAAAGTGTCTTCAGCTGGCTTCATATCCCTATTTATAAATTTAAAGATTAAAAAAATAAGTCACATGATGATAAAATTGTTTTCTTACCTTTTATTTACCCAGGTAAAATAGCACTTTTGGCCTGTACTAGTCTCATGAATCTCTCAAATTTCCAATATGATTTATGTACATAGACAAGGCCTATATAGAAATGTACTAGGGTCCTCATTTGTCATTTTTGTATTGAATACAAAGCAGCAAGTTCGTAAAATAATTGGTGCCATACACAATAGATGCACTTGCTAAACTTTTTCACTTGAGTAGATCTATTTATTTTTCATCTGTTTTTAGGTAGTGCTCTGCTTACATACCTATGCCCTGGGGAAACAAGAGTTATCTATTTGTACCTAGAGAATAATTAGACTTTGATAAATGAAAAGAGACAGAATTCATGTACCACAGACTTCATATATCACTTTTTATAAGAGATCAGTTTTTGGTGTCTGTAATATGTTACATCAGCAAAGGTTTTGGTTTATTTTTATTGCTTACCATATTTAGCATATTGTTAAATAGTGTCAGTTATTGTGTACAAGTTTTGAAAAAGGCAAAGAAATTTTCAATAGAAAAAATTTTAGTAGCAAGATTTTTTTTCTCCCTCCCTCCCTCCCCTCCCTTCCCTCCCTCCCTCCCCTTCCCTCCCCTCCCTCCATCCCTTCTTTCCTTCCCTCCTTCCCTTCCTTCCCTCCCTTCCCTCCTTCCCTTCCTTCCTTCCTTCCCTTCCTTCTTTCTGTGTCTGGAATTGGTGGGTTCTTGGTCTCACTGACTTCAAGAACTAAGCCGCGGACCCTCGCGGTGAGTGCTACAGCTCTTAAGGTGGCGCGTCTGGAGTTTGTTCCTTCTGATGTTCGGATGTGTTCGGAATTTCTTCCTTCTGGTGGGTTCGTGGTCTCGCTGGCTCAGGAGTGAAGCTGCAGACCTTCGCGGTGAGTGTTACGGCTCTTAAGGTGGCGCTTCTGGAGTCGTTCGTTCCTCCCGGTGGGCTCATGGTCTCGTTGGGCTCAGGAGTGAAGCTGCAGATCTTCGCGGTGAGTGTTACAGCTCATAAAAGCAGCGTGGACCCAAAGAGTGAGCAGTAGCAAGATTTATTGCAAAGAGCGAAAGTACAAAGTTTCCACAGTGTGGAAGGGGACTCTACCGGGTTGCCACTGCTGGCTCGGGCAGCCTGCTTTTATTCTCTTATCTGGCCCCACCCACATCCTGCTGATAGGAGAGCCAAGTGGTCTGTTTTGACAGGGTGCTGATTGGTGCGTTTACAATCACTGAGCTAGACACAAAGGTTCTCCACGTCCCCATCAGATTAGTTAGATACCGAGTATGGACACACAGGTTCTCCAAGGCCCCACCAGAGCAGCTAGATACAGAGTGTCGATTGGTGCATTCACAAACCTTGAGCTAAACACAGGGTGCTGATTGGTGTGTTTACAAACCTTGAGCTAGATACAGAGTGCCGATTGGTGTATTTACAATCGCTGAGCTAGACATAAAGGTTCTCCAAGGTCCCACCAGAGCAGCTAGATACAGAGTGTCGATTGGTGCACTCACAAACCTTGAGCTAAACACAGGGTGCTGATTGGTGTGTTTACAATCCCTGAGCTAAACATAAAGACTCTCCACGATCCCACCAGACTCAGGAGCCCAGCTGGCTTCACCTAGTGGATCCCACACGGGGGCTGCAGGTGGAGCTGCCTGCCAGTCCTGCATGGTGCACCTGCACTGCTCAGCCCTTGGGTGGTCCATGGGACTGGGCCCCGTGGAGCAGGGTGTGGCACTCGTCGGGGAGGCTCCGGCCGCACAGGAGCCCACGGAGAGGGTGGGAGGCTCAGGCACGGTGGGCTGCAGGTCCCGAGCCCTGCCCAGCGGGAAGGCAGCTAAGGCCCGGTGAGAAATCGAGCGCAGCGTCAGTGGGCTGGCACTGCTGGGGGACCCAGTACACCCTCCGCAGCCACTGGCCCAGGGGCGCTAAGTCCCTCATTGCCCGGGGCAGGCAGGGCTGACCGGCTGGCCTTCTCCGAGTGCGGGGCCCGCCAAACCCACGCCCACCCGGAACTCCAGCTGGCCCGCAAGCGCCGCACGCAGCCCCGGTTCCTGCTTGCGCCTCTCCCTCCACACCTCCCTGCAAGCTGAGGGAGTGGGCTCCAGCCTTGGCCAGCCCAGAAAGGGGCTCCCACAGTGCAGCGGTGGGCTGAAGGGCTCCTCAAGTGCCGCCAAAGTGGGAGCCCAGGCAGGGGAGGTACCGAGAGCAAGCAAGGGCTCTGAGGACTGTCAGCACGCTGTCACCTCTCATTTCTCTCTCTCTTTCTCTTTTTTTTGTGACAGGGTCTGGCTCTGTTGCCCAGGCTGGAGTACAGAACCTCCACCTCCTGAGCTGAAGCAATCTATCTTCCAACCTCAGCCTCCTGAGTAGCTGAAAATGCAGGTGCATGCTACCACACCTGGCTATTATTTATATATACATAAATAATATATATACACATTTATATATTATAAACTATAATATATAAAAAAATATATATATATAGTAGAGATGAAGTTTTGCCATGTTGTCCAGGCTGGTCTCAAACTCCTGGGCTCAAGCGATATATACCTTGGCCCTCGATAGAGATGAGAGTACAGGCATGAGCCGTGGTGCCCAGCCAATAACTTCTCTAATTGAATGAATAGAGAAAATGATTACAATTTAACAACAGTATGGTGAACAAAAAGTATTAAACAAATCATTATAATCTACCTATTTTTACTGCAAAAATCCTGACCCAGTCTCTCGAGTAGCTGGGACTACAACATACACCACTGCATGCAGCTGAAACAACTTTTAAAAGGAGAATTAAGTTGTGAGATAACATATTTTTAAATGACATTTTGAAATGAATTACTGATTGGCTAAAGAAAGTAAAGTATCTGTTGAGGTCATTTTTAAAATAAAGTCAGGATTCCTACAGCACAAGCAACTCCAAAGTTAATGAACTTTAAAAGTCAAAGATCAGAAATCACAAAACAATAAGGAGACTAAACTTGCCAGTCACACTAAAAGGAAGATCTTCAGAAAGTAATAAAAGAAAATTCATTTATTATTTGTTTTGTTTATTTTAATTTTAATTTTTGGAGACGGAGTCTCGCTCTGTAGCATCAGCCTGGAATGTAGAGACGCTATCTTGGTTCAAAGCAACCTCTGCCTCCAGGTTCAAGCAATTTTGTCCCTCAGCTTCCCAAGTACCTTAGACTACAGGCGCCGGCCAGCACACCTGGTTAATTATTTGTATTTTAGTAGAGACAGGGTTTCAGCATGTTATGCAGGCTGGTCTTGAACTCTTGAGCTCAGGCAATCCACCTACATTGGCTTCCCAAAGTGCTAGGATTATAAGAGTGAGCCACCGTGCCTGGCTGAAAATTTAGCTAAGCCTGTGTGGGAAAGCATTGCAAAGTCAAAGGAATTTAAAACATATTTAAAAAAGTACAACTATCCTCACTTCCAGATATTCGTTAACATCAGACTTCATATCTTTAATATATCAGAATGTCAGGTCTTAATTTGTACGCAAGAACAACCTAATATCCTCTCCGAAAATTCTCCTATAGGTAACAATCAAGGAATCTTGATATTCAGGCAGGAAAAGTGAGAATTCTGGGTGCTCACAGCATTGTCAGATCTTTTTTTATTTAAAATTTAAAAATTTTGATATGCCATTTGCTATAGTTTGGATGTGTTTGTCCCTGTCATAACTCATGTTAAAAAAAGCCAATATAGGCTGGGCACTTTGGGAGGCTGAGGAGGGTGGATCACCTGAGCTCAAGGGTTCAAGACCAGCCTGGCCAACATAGTGAAACCCCGTCTCTACTAAAAATACAAAAAATTAGCAGGGAGTGATGGCACATGCCTGTAATCCTAGCTACTTGGGAAGCTGGGGCAGGAGAATCGCTTAAACCCGGGAGGCGGAGAGTGCAGTGAGCCAAGATCTGGCCATTGCACTCGGCCCAGGAGACAGTGTGAGACTCCGGCTCAAAAAAAAAAAAAAAAAAAAAGTAAGGAAAAAAGTCAATGTAATGCTACTGAGTGAGAGGTCATGGGATCGTTAAGAGGCATTTGGGTTATGAGGGATTCACCCTTAATGAAAGAGCTGATGTAGTCTCACAGGACTGAGTTCTCTTCTCACGGAGCTCTATTAGTTACTGTGAGAGCAGATTATTATTAAGAGAGGTTACCCCTCATGGTTTGCCTCTTTGTACGTGCTTGCTTGCCCTTTTGTTTTTACTTCCCCACCATGTTATGACTCAGCAAAAGGCCCTCACCAGAAGCCTAGTAAATGCTAACACTATGCTTCTGGGACACCCCAGCCTCCAGAATTATGAGCCAAATACACTTTTTTCCTTTCTTTCTTTCTTTTTTTTTTTTTCTTTGAGATGGAGTCTCGCTCTGTTGCCCAGGCTGGAGTGCAGTGGTGCGATCTCAGCTCACTGCAAGCTCTGCCTCCCGGGTTCACACCATTCTCCTGCCTCAGCCTCCAGAGTAGCTGGGACCACAGGCGCCCGCCACCACACCTGGCTAATTTTTTGTATTTTTAGTAGAGACGAGGTTTCACTGAGTTAGACCAGGATGGTCTCGATCTCCTGACCTTGTGATCTGCCCGCCTCAGCCTCCCAAAGTGCTGGGATTACAGGTGTGAGCCACAGCGCCCGGCCTTTTTATATTTTTTTTCTTAAACGGAGTCTCACTCTGTCGCCCAGGCTGCAGTGCCATGGCACAATCTTGGCTTACTGCAACCCCTGCCTGCCGGGTTCAAGCAATTTTCCTGCCTCAGGCTCTGGAGTATCTGGGACTACAGGCACCCACCACCACACCTGGCTAGTTTTTTTTTTTTTGTTTTTTTTTTGTATTTTTAGTAGAGACAGGGTTTCACCATATTGGCCAGGATGGTCTCCATCTCCTGACCTTGTGATCCGCCCACCTTAGCCTCCCAAAGTGCTGGAATTACAGGCGTGAGCCACTGCGCCTGGCCAAACTTTCTTTTCTGTATAAATTATTGTGAATTATCCCATCTCGGAATTTTGCTATAGCAACACAAAATGCACTAGGGCATTTGTATCAATTCTGATGTTTAAACATATATGGCATTAAATATTTATCCAGTTAAAACAGTTTATTTTTTTTCATGTTTTCTAAGACTTTCATCCTCATTCTATTCCTTGCTTCACATTCCTTCTAGTCCTACTTATGAACGCTGCAGATTAACTACTCCTTCCTTCTAGGTTAAAGCTACCACACAGTAGTGGTGACATATATGTGCATTTCAAAGCTGCACAGTCTCAGATAATATCATTGATATGCTGAGGAGTTAAATTTATTTTGGGTGATGGTGGATGTAATATGGTTTTGTTATATGTTTCTCCTAACTCAAGGTCATGGGGCAAGGCAGACTTATAATATAATGTGAGTGTCCAGAAAATTCTATTGCAATATACATGTTAGAGGTTCACAAGAGAACTTCCTAGGGCCTGAACAACTCATCGGCAAGGTATTTATTTTTAAATTCCTTTACATATATTCAGTCCTGAAGCTATAACATTAGACCCTATGGGAGTCCAGTGTTAACATATTGTATTTTTAACATATTGTATTAGTCAGGGTTCTCCTAACAGACAAAACCAATTAGATAGATATAGATAGACAGATAGATAGATAATAGACAGACAGACAGATGATAGACAGAGAGATAGATAGATAGATAGATAGATAGATAGATAGATAGATAGAGGATTTATTCGGGAAATTGGCTCATGTGATTATGGAAACTGATGATTCCCATGATAGGTCCTCTGCAAGCTAGAGACCCCTGAAAATTGGTAATGTGTCTCAGTTCAAGTACAAATGCCTCAGAACCAGGGAAGCTGATCGTGTAGCTTTCAATCCAAGGTCAAAAGCTTATGAAACTAGGGGGCCACTGGTGCAAACCCCAGAGTCCAAAGACCAGATCTGGAGTTCTGATGCCAAAGGACAAGAGAAGCAGTGTGTCACAGCTCCAGAACAGAGAGCATATTCACTTTGCCTGTTTTTTTCTACCTGGGCCCTCACATAATTGAATGGTACCTGCCCACATTGAGGGAAGACCTTCCTTAACTCATCCACCAATGCAAATGGCAATCTCTTCAGAAAAACACTCTCACAGACATCCTCAGAAATAATGCTTTACCAGCTATGGACGTATGCCTTAATCCAGTAAAGTTGACTCCTAAAATTAACCATTATACCTATCAAACAGGAAATACAATAAAAGTATTTTGATATTTTATGTATCCTTGAGAATAAAATATAAAATTAAAGTGCAAGTAGCAAGCTTCCAACCTCTGTTTTACTCTGTATGTATTTGCTGTTTTCTTCATCTTACAAGTAGCACAAGTAAGTCAGCATAAACCATAAAACTTTCTATTGATTATGAAAGTCACTCTATTACATTACGTAAAGGAGTCACATTAAACACAAAGATGAAGAAAAGTTAAGTATAAGAGAGTAAAATAGTTTTAACGAGTAAAAACCAATCTAAAAGAAAGGAGAAAAAAGAAAAAATATTACTTGTCTCGAAGCAAGTCATTTTATAATAAAATATTGCTAATTCCCAAGTATATAATAGAATATGTCTGCCTATAAAAACGTAAAATGCTGTATAATTTCTCTGTTGCAATAAAATCTTTGAATGACAAACAACACACACATGCCAACACACACACATATAGAGCACACAATGTCAGGAGTATTAAAAAAACGTATTTACTCATGAGTCTGCAGGTCAACTGTCTAGGCTTGGATTGACAATCTAGTTTTTCTGGCTCACATAGTTTTACTCATATAACTGGTCATTAGCTAGCTGCCAGCTAGTTTGAATCATCTTGGCTGGATATCTGCAAAAGACAAGCCAGGGCATGAACTTATTGTGATCAGCAGATGGCAAGAAACAAGCACAATTGATCAAGCACTGTTCAAGCTCATGCCATGTTTTTGCTAAAGACAAAGATTAGAGTCAAATGGAAAAGCACTAGAAGGTTAAACAAAGGGTGTGGATTCAGGGAGAGGTGAAGAATCAAGGTTACAAATGCAAGCAATGTGCCATAATTACATAAAGCCAAATCAAATAACTGCAAGGGAAAATCAATAAAGTCCACATTGTGTGTGGATATTTTAACTCACCTCTTTCAGTAATTGATAGATCCAGCAAAAAGAAAGAAATGAAATATGTGCATAACAAAATTATTATGTTTGGACATTGTAGAATACAGAAACATAACATAGGCTGGGCGTGGTGGCTCATGCCTGTAATCCCAGCACTTTGGGAGGCCAAGGCGGGTGGATCATGAGATCGGGAGATCGAGACCATCTTGGCTAACACAGTGAAACCCCGTCTCTCCTAAAAATACGAAAAAATTAGCCGGGTGTGGTGGCAGGTGCCTGTAGTCCCGGCTACTCGGGAGGCTGAGGCAGGAGAATGGTGTGAACACGGGAGGCAGAGCTTGCAGTGAGCGGAGATCGCACCACTGCACTCCAGCCTGGGTGACAGAGCGAGACTCTGTCTCAAAAAAAAAAAAAAAAGAAAGAAACATAACATAAATATTCTTCTGCTGTGAACATGGAACATTTACCAACCATACATATGTGCAAAGCCATGAAGCAAATCTAAACAAAATTTTGAATAATCACTATAATTAGTTATCTACCATAAATTTTAATTAAATTAAAATCTAATTAAAATTAAAAATTTACAAAAATATAACCATACCAAAATAAGTTAAATACTTTTAAAAATCTTAATTCAACATATTTATGTTTTGAATAAAAATGTATACTGGAAATTAGACATTATTTAGAATTAGCATTAAGCCATTAAAAGAATGAAATAGGAACCTATGAAATGGGAAAAATATTTTCAAATCACTTATCTAAGATGTTAATATTCAAAATACATAAGAAACTCCTACAACTCAATAAAAACAAATAACCTGTTTAAAAAGTACTTGAATAGACATTTCTCCAAAGAAGACATACAAATGGCCAACAGGTATGTAAATGATGCTCAACATCAGTAATCATTAGGGAAATGCCAAGTGAAACCGCAGTTTCACCTTGTGCTGTGAAGCAGGTTCATTATGCACTGGTTAAAACTTGTCTGAGTCTAATGAGACAGAACTTGTTGCACTTATATACAACAAGTTACATGAAGTTGATTTATTATTTAGAGATAGTAAGGTACAACAGAAGCCTAAGATTCATTGGGAACTAGTCCCCCAAGCTCAGGGAAGCTGCCCAGGGCAGATGAAGTTCCAATTGTGTGTGCTCCACTTGCACCACAGCTGAAGGGCTCTGGACAGCAGCCTGGCCTGGATTATATGACCTTGGAGAAACATGACATGCTGTGGTCATTCATTAAAGGACATCCTGAGGCCTGGCACGGTGGCTCACGCCTGTAATTCCAGCACTTTGGGAGGCCGAGGCGGGTAGATCACGAGGTCAGGAGATCGAGACCATCCTGGCTAACATGGTGAAACCCCATCTCTACTAAAAATACAAAAAATTAGCCAGGCTTGGTGGCGGGCACCTGTAGTCCCAGCTACTCAGGAGGCTGAGGCAAGAGAATGGCGTGAACCCGGGAGGCAGAGTTTGCAGTGAACCAAGATTGTGCCACTGCACTCCAGCCTGGGCAACAGAGAGAGACTCCATCTGAAAAAAAAAAAAAAAAAAAAAAAGGACATCCTGTTCTAGCAAGTTCTTCCCTATCTCAGGGCTGCATTTCTTGCACATTCTACTGTAATTCTTGAGAATTACTAAGAGAAAGCAGCAGAAGAAGATCAGTCCAAGCTCATCAATAGAACTGTCTCACACACAGTTAAGGTGATGTATTATCAAAAGAACAAAACAGCAAGTGTTGGTGAGGATGTGGGGAAACTGGAACCCTTATGCACTGTTTGTGAGAATGGAATAGGCAAAATGTCACCGTCAAAAACAGTATAGACATTTCTCAATAGCTCAAAATAATACTACCATGTGATCCAGGTATCCCACTTCTGAGTATTTATCCAAAAGAATTGAAATCAGAATCTTGAATAGATATTTGCACTCCCATGTTTATCATAGAACTATTCACAATGGCAAAAATAGGAAAAAAATAGGAACTTCTCAGGAACTGGAACAATTGTGACTCTTTCTATGCTTTAGCAAAGAGACTGGTGGCATTTTTGCCCCTGCTTTAGAGACCTGTGGAACTTTGAACTTAAGAGAGATGATTTTGGGTTTCTGGTAGAAGAAATTACTAAGCAGCAAAACATTCAAAAGGAAGTAGAGCATAAAAGTTTGGAAAATTTGTAACCTGATGATGCCATAGAAAAGAAAAACCCATTTTCTGGGTAAAAATTCAAGAGGGCTACAGAAATTTGCATAATTAATGAAGAGCTGAATGTTAATCAGCAAGACAATGGGGAGAGTGTCTCCAGGGCATGTCAGAGAGCTTCACGGGAGCCCCTCCCATCACAGATCCAGAAGCCTAAGAGGGAAAAATGGTTTTCTGGGCCAGGCCCAGGGCCCTCCTCTGTGAAGCCTCAGGACATGATGCCCAGCATCCCAGCTGCTTCAGCTCCAGTAGTGGCTAAAAGGGGCCAAGGTACAGCTTGGGCCATTGCTTCAGAGGATGCAAGCCCCAAGCTTTGGCAGATTCCATGTGGTGTTGAGCCTATGGATACACAGAAGTCAAGAATTGAGTTTGTGGAACCTCTGCCTAGATTTCAGAGGATGTATGGAAACACCTGGATGTCCAGGTAGAAGTTTGCTGCAGTAAGGGAACCCTCATAGCCAGCCTCTGCTAGGGCAGATCAGAAGAGAAATGTGGGGTCAGAGCCCCCACACAGAGTCCCCACTGGGGCATAACATAGTAGAGCTGTGAGAAGAGGGCTACCATCCTCCATATCCACCTACAGCTTCACTATGCATCTGGAAAAGCCACATCACTCAGTGCTAGGCCATGAAAGCAGCCAGAAAGGGGGCTGTACCCTGAAAATCCACCCTGCTTAGCAGTTCAAGGCTGTGGGAGCCCACTGCTTGCATCAATTTGACCTGTTTGTGAGACATAGAGTCAAAGGAGATCATTTTCGAACTTTAAGGTTTAATGACTGCTGTATTGGATTTTGGACTTGCATGAGGGCTGTAGCCTTTTTGTTTTGGTCAGTTTCTCCCATTTGGAACCAGTGTATTTACCCAATGACTGTGCCCTCATTCTATCTAGGAAGTAACTAACTTGCTTTTGATTTAACAGGCTCATAGGTGGAAGGCTTTTGCACTGTCTCAGATGAGACTGTAGATCTGGACTTCTGGGTTAATGCTGCAATGAGTTAAGATTTGGGGGGACTATTGGAAGGGCATGATTGTGTTTAGAAGTGTGAGGACAAGAGAATTGAGAGGGGGCAGGAGTTGAATGACATGACTAGGCTGTGTCCCCTCCAAAATCTCATCTTGAATTGTACTTTTCATAACCCCCACATGTTCTCGTAGGGAACTGGTAGGAAGTGATTAGATCATGGAGGTGGTTTCCCCAATGCTGTATTCATGATAGCAAGTGAGTTCTCATGAGATCTGATGGCTTTATAAGAATCTGGCATTTTCCCTGCTGGCACTCACATTGTCTTGCCCCCTTATGAAGAAGGTTCCTGCTTCTCCTTTGCCTTCTGCCATGATTGTAAGTTTCCTAAGGCCTCCCGGGCAGTTTGGAACTGTGAGTCAATTAAACCTTTTTCTTGTATAAATTATCCAGTCTTTGTCCTTTCTTTATAGCATCATGAGAATGGACAAACACAGATAGATACTGTAAAAAAGAATCAAAGATCTGGAACTGAAGAAATTATTGAATAAAATAAAAAATACATTAAAAACTTCAACAGAAGACTAGATATAGCAGAAGATACATTCTTCTGACCTTGAAGAGAGTGTTTTGAAATAACCCAGACAGAAAATAATAAAGGAAAGAAACAGATAAAAAGAATAATCAATGCTTATTTGACATGTGAGACAATAAAAAGTGACCAAATACTTGAATTTTCAATGTTCCAGAAGGTGAAGACAAAAATGAAAGGTATAGAAAACCTATTCAACAAAATAATATATGACTTCTCAAGTCTAGAAAGAGATTTAGACATACAGATACAGGAAGTTCAGAGATTCTGAAAAAGATACAATTTAAAAGGGTCTTCTTTATGGCACATTATAGTCAACTGTCAAATGTCAAAGACAAAGAGAAAATCCTAAAAACAGCAAGAGAAAAGTATATAGTCACTCATAAGAAACCCCTAGGAGACCAATAGTGGATTTCTCAGAAGAAACCTTACAGGCCAGGAGAGAATAGAATGATATATTCAAACTTCCCAAAACAAACAAACAAAAAGCAGTCAAAAATATTGTACCCAGCAAAGTTACTCTTCATAAAATAAAGGAAAAACAAAGTATTTCCCAGAGAAACAAAAGCTAAGGGACTGGACCTCCAAAAAAATGCTTAATAGAGTCAAATGCCTGGGAGCAAAAGATGATATCTTTTATCATGAAGACACATCGAACTGTAAAATTCACCAGTAAAGCAAACACACAAGTAATGAAGAGAAAACATTCAAATGGTACCACAACAGAAAACTACCAATTCACAATGATAAACAAAAAGGGGAAATAAAGGAACAAAGGATATACAAAAAACCCAGAAAGCAGTTGATAAAATGACAGGAAAAAGTAAATACATATCAATAATTACCTCAATTGTAAATGAATTAAACTTTCCACTTAAAAGGTATAGACTGGCTTAATGGATTTAAAAAAAGAAACAAATATGACCCTACTAAGCTGACTATAAGAAATTATTCTCTCATCTCATCATACACATATAGATAAAAGTAAAGAGATGGAAAAAAGATATTCCACATCAACAGAAATTTTTAAAAAAACAAGTGGGAATAGCTGTATTTATATAACATAAAACAGTAAGTCAAAAAATAGTAAAAAGAGACAACTGCATCATTATAAAAGATATGAAGTCAACATGAGGCTACAAGAATTCTAATCATATATGCACCTGATAATGAAGTACCTAGATATACAAAACACATATTATTAAATTAAAGGAAGAGCTAGACTCTAATATGGTAACAGTCAGAGACTACAAATCTCCACCTTTCAGCATTAAACAGATCATCTAGGCAGCAAATTAATAGACACAGTGCATCTAAACTGCACTTTAGATTAAATGAACCCGATATTTACAAAATATTATATCCAGTAACTAAAGAATATACACTCTTTTCATTAGCACATGGAACGTTCTCCAGATAGACCATATATTTTTATGTTAATCAAGTCTTAACAAATTTTAAAATATCAAAAGTATATTAAGTATCTCCTAAGACCAAGATGGAACAAAACTAGAAATCATTAACAAGAGGAACACTGAAAACTGTACAAATACATGGAAATTAAACAATATGTTTCTGTAAAACGCTGTTACTGATGAAATTAAGGATAAGTTCAAACATTTATTGAAATAAATGACAAATGAAATATAATATACCAAAATCTATGAGATACAGCAAAAGTACTGCTAATAGGGAATTTTATAACAATGAATGTATGCATCAAAAAAGTAGAAATATTTCAAATAAACAATCTAACAATGTACCTAAAGGACCTACTAAAGCAAGAACAAGCTGAACCCAAAACTAGTAGAAGAAATAAAAATCGGAGAAGAACTAAACAAAATAGAGACAAAACAATAAAAAGTCTTGATGAAATGAAAAGTTGTTTTTTGAAAGATAAACAAAATTGATAGACTACTAACTAGACTAGCAATAAATGACAGAAGACCTAAATAAACAAAATTAGAAATGAAAAAGAAGACATTAAAACTGATAGCATAGAAATACAAAAGACCAACAGAGAGAATAAGAACATCTATACACTAACAAATAGGAAATTCTAGAAAAGTAGAAACATTTTTGGACAAGTACAACCTATGAAGGTTGAGTCGGAAAAAAATAGAAATTTGAACAAATCTATAAAGTGTAATGAGATTGAATTAGTAATAAAAATATCTTCCAACAAATAAGTACTCAGGACTGGATGGCTTCATTGCCAAACTCTGCCAAATTTACAGGAAAAAACAAAAAACAAAACAAACAAACAAAAAAAACAGCAGTGCTCTTCAAATTATTCTCAAAAAATGAAAAGGAGAGAATTCTCACTAATTCATTCTACAAGGTCAACATTACCATGATATCAGAACCAGACAAGGTCATAACCACCACACAAGAAAAACTATGGACTCATATCCCTGATGAATATAGATGCAAAAATCTTCAACGAAATACCAACGAACTGAATCCCACAACACATCACAAAGAGAATACACACTGATCAAGTGGGATTTATCACTGGGGTGCAAAAGTAGTTCAACATACATGAATCAATAAATTTGATACATCATATCAACAGAATGAAGGGCAAAAAACCAATGATCATTTTAATAGATGCAGAAAAAGCATTTGATAAATTTCACCATCCCTTCCTGATAAAAACTATCAAAAAACTAGATATGGAAGGGATATACCTTAACCCAATAAGGCCATACAGAAAAAAAAAAGCTACAGCTAACATCTTACTGAATCGGGAAAAGCTGAAATCCTTTCTGCTAAGAACTGGAACAAGATGGTTGCTCATTTTCACAACTCCTATTTCAAATGGTATTGTAATTGTTATCTAGAGGAATCAGCAAGAGAAAAAATGAAAGCATTCAAACTGGAAAAGAGGAAGTCAAATTGTCCCTGTTTGCAGATGACATGATCTTATATCTAGAAAAACCTAAAGACTCCACAAAAACTCTTAGATCTGATAAATAAATTCCGTAAAGTTTTAGGATAAAAATCAACACAAAAAATCAGTAGTATTTCTGTTCATTAATAATGAACTAGCTAAGAAACAATGAAGAAGGCAATCAGTTTTACAATGGCTACAAAACATTAAAATACTAAGAAAAACTTAACCATGGAGTTGAAAGACTTCTATGAGTAAAAGTAAAAAACATTGATGAAAGAAAGTGAAAAGGACACAAAAAATGGAAAGAGGGTTCATGCTCATGTATCAGAAGAATTCATACCATTAAAATGATCACACTACTCAAAGCAATCTACAAATTCAATGCAATCTCTATACAATACCAATGTCTTTTTTCAAAGAAATAGAAAAAATAATCCTAAATTATTTATTTAACCATAAAAGACTCATAATAGCAAGAGCATTCCTGACCAAGAAGAACAAAGCTGGAGACATCCCATTACCTGACTTCAAAATATAATACCACAGTAACAAAAACAACATGACTTGGGAGGCTGAGGCAGGAGAATGACGTGAACCCAGGAGGCAGAGCTTGCAGTGAGCTGAGATCGTGCCATTGCAGTCCAGCCTGGGCCACAGAGCAAGACTCCATTTCAAAAAAAAAAAACAAAACAAACAACAACAACAACAACATGATATTGGCATAAAAATATACACATTAAGAGAACATAATAGAAAACCCATAAATAAATGTATCTACTTACAGTAAACTAATTTTTGATAAAGGTACCAAGAATTTACATTGGTGAAAGGACAGTCTCTTGAATCAATGGTGCTGAAAAACTGGATATCTATCAAGGTCAGGAGTTCCAGACCAGCCTGACCAACATGGTGAAACCCCTTCTCTACTAAAAATACAAACATTAGCCGGGAGTGGTGGCATGCGCCTGTAATCCCAGCTACTACATCAGGTAAACTCAGGAGCCTGAGGCAGGAGAATCACTTGAACCCGGGAGGTGGAGGTTGCAGTGAGCCGAGATTGGACCACTGCACTCCAGCCTGGGCGACGGAGCAAGACTCAGTCTCAAAAAAAAAAAAAAAAAAAACAACTCCAGATGTAATCAAAGACTTAAAAACAAGATCCAAAATTATAAAACGACTAAAACAATTATAGAAGAAAAACTATGGACATTGCTCTGGGCAAAGATTTTATGGCTATGATTTCAAAAGCATAGACAACAAAAACAGAAAAGGATAAATGGGACTATATTAAACTGAAAAGCTTCCACTCAACAAAGGAAACAAACAACAGAGTGTGGGACAACCTGTTAATTGGAATAAAATATCTTCAAACTATTCATCCAACAAGGACGTAATATCCAGAATAAACAAGGAACTCAAATAACTCAACAGTAAGAAGAAAAACACACACAAAAAAACAAATAATTTCATTAAAAAGTCAGCAAAGGACATAACTAGACATGTCTCAAAAAAGATATGCAAATGACCAACAGGTATATGGAAAAATCTTCAATATCACTAATCATCAGGTAAATGAAAATCCAAACCACTGTGAAATGTCATCTTAACCCAGTCAGAATGGCTCTTATTAAAATGACAAAAAAACAACTGATGCTGGTGACGAGGCAGAGAAAAGGGAATGCTCACACACAAATGCTTGCTTATACACTTATACTCTACTAATTTACATTTCAACCAACAGTGTATATTCTAAACTGCACCCTATTTAAATGGCATAGCACATTTGGTAATTTATAATCTTTTAATGGTTATTGCTAATAATTGAGTTTGAACAATAGTAGTTTTATTTTATTCATTTCTACAGAGATGTCCTAATGTGAGTAGACTTTGATAAAGTAAATAAGGCTATTTTTAACATTTCATTGATCATATTAACTTAGTCATTATAATTCTATTTAAATAATCAAATATCATCTAAATTTTCAAAGTGATCATACTCTACCTAATACATTTTGTTAATACAGCTTTTATCCATCTTAAATAAGTCAAGGTTGGCACTGAGATCATGGTTACTTAACGGAGAGAAAAGTGAAGCTATTGTATTGATTAGCTGACAATCAATAGGAGATTATAAGCACTAAAGTGAATTGGAGGTGAAGGTGGTGCTAAATTGTCTGGTTACGGGTATTGATCAAGTTAATAACATAATTGCAGAGTCCTTACTTCCCTCTCTAACATATATATTCAATTCTAAACATTTTAGCTGATTTGCTACTTCAAGAAATGTACTAAGATTTATGATGATCATTTTCTCTTCAAAAAAACTCTGTCATTTTTATGTATCTCTATTTGTTAACAGAGGCATTTAACTTTATTTTTCTCCTCTGTTTTCTCCTTCATTATTGACTCATTGTTTATTACTTTGCTCCTATTTTCCCAATTTTGGTTTATTTCTCTCCCGTATTTGGATTTCTTACCTTCTTTATCCTGATTTTTGTTCATCTTGTCCTTACTGTTTTCCCTTCATTCTGAGGTGATCTTCATTTTCGGATATTTACAGTTTGGTGAGATTTCATCACAAAGAAAATGAAGGAGTATGTTTGGATATTTTTGTTACTACTAACACCTGTCACGTCATTTGAGTGTCAGTTAATGCTCACGCTAGTTGTTTCCGGAAAATGGTGGTCTCTGCACTCTTTTTGCTATGTTCTTCATTTGTAACATGTTACATCAGAAATCCCCCCAAACTTGATTAAAATGGAACTTAAAATCCTAGTCAAAACAAAACTTCAATGTGACTTATGAAAGAGTAATCTCCTTAATGCCTGAGTCTTGCTGTATTATACTCTACCTCTGCTCCAGATCTTTGCATCCTGGTACGAAAAGCAATATATTAGAGCTTATCTGAACAAACCTTACAGCTTAACAAGATATTATATTTTCCTTGAGAGAGAAAGCATGTATGTGTAAAACTGAATCTTCTTGAGTTCATTTTTTTCTTTCTATCTTGAAGATGTTATCTTTTTTTGTGGATTCCATTATAATTCATACATAAATTCATGAGGTTTCCTAAATCCCTACTGATAGCTCTGTTCTGTGCGGTACAGGTTCTCACTGCATTACAAACCGGAATCACAAAACCGTATCCCTTGGTCTATCAAAAACCTTGCCCAAAATAGGCTATTGATGCATTGGCTAAAATTGTCATCTAAACCCATTACCATCTAACCATAGAAGTAAATGATTTTGTTATTCATTCCCCAAATTGGTAGTCTCTGGTGACCAATGCTGTTACTGAACCATTTCAACTGAATTCATGGACAACTGCTGATATTTCTTTCTATGAACCTTTAGGGATATTTTCTTTCACTTCACGACTAGGTAAAGCACAGGCTTAAAATCAAACATGCATTGATTTAAATACCAGTGTTTCTATTTATTAGCTGTGGTAGTATGACAAGTTGCTTATTTTCTTTATCTGTAAAATGAGGATAATAGTATAATATCATTAAAATCTATAATTATTGATGACCCATTCCACTGCATAGTAACCTTGTTCATGCTATGCCTTTTTTGGTTAATATTCTCTCTGACATCTGTAAAACTCTCTCAGTTTTACAAATTTGGATATTCTTCAGGAATAAATATAATCAACTTGATGACAAAAATTGTGACATCCTAATTTTATTCTTTCATTTATAGAAAGGTGTTACACATGGCCCAAGACTTATCAATATAAATAAAGTGTGTTCATGAAGAACGCCTTTAAAAAATATTATGTGACATCAACGATCTTATATTTTGATATCAGGATATTTCTTAGAAAATTTGGGACACATTATGTACCTTTATGAGTTCTTATATCTTGATCTAAGTACATTTTTATTGTATTTATAAGATTCCAATTCTGCACACCTTTGTTGATTAGGTAGATACATTTATAAACAACAAAAACTAAGCACAATGTTTAACTAGAGAGACTGCCCTCCTACAAAGAAAATCTAGTTTTCTGAAACTGTTTGACATCAGGCAAGTTATTTCTTCTCTTTCAGCCTCAGATTCTACTTAAGTAAAATAGAGATAAAAATATTACTGATTGCAATAAGATTTTGTGAGACTTAAAGTACTTAGCTGATAAATAGCAAAAGTAACGATTTTAGAAAGGATAGCTATAATATTATTATTATATGAGCTCTGTTTTTATCATTAAAAAAACATGGAATGGTTTTACAAAACCCCTGTGTTCTTCCCTTGAATAATTTGTGCATGTCTGTAATAATTTTAAATCATGTACCAGAGCTGAGAAATTAGTTTCTTTTAAAAATACTCCATTGATAACCAGCATCTTTGCTAAAGAGGACGTATTGCTTCCAACATCTCCTTTGTCTAATTTAGATTTATTCATTAATGTATGGTTTAAACAACATTAATACGAATATCATATAACTTTAATGTCTCAAATTTTTTGTTACCTCACGGCCATGCTTTAAACTCCTTGGCAGAAAAACACGAATAAATCTCAAAAAAAAAAAAAAACAACAACAATGTCCCTGTAAACGTAACATGAAGATATACACCCTTTGGCCAAGTTGCTTTTCAGCTGATTGCTTCCAAAGAAATTTGCGTTGCTTACTCTATTTGCAGGAGAGACTGGGGATCATCCCTTCCCACCTCTTACTGTAAAGCAGAATAAGCTGAGTTCCCTTTCTGCAGATAATTGGTGTTGGTAGTTTCAGGAGCACAGTCATTCTACACACGGGAAAATCAGCACTGTTTTAGAAATTTAGAAAATAAATTCTTCTGAACATTTGTTAACAATATAACTTGGGCACTTTTAATCAAAGAGAAGATACAATTTCATAGTTTGCACGTTGTGTTTAAACTTGTAAACATTCTTTATATGTGATAGTACTGTAAGATAAAATCATAAATGCTGCATAATATGATATCAATTTTATGAATATTCAATTACTGAAAGCTATTTTTCCCTGTATTTATTTTTGATACTACAGTAATTGGCATTTTTGTGCATGTAATTTTTACTTTCTTAGAATTTCCTTAGGCTAAAAATCTCTGGAACATATTTACTAGGGTAGTAGAATTTTTACTACCTTTATTAAAAATATTTTTTCAAACGATGAAAATTTAAGTCACATATTTTGTTGTTTACCACTTTCTTTGAAAATGTTGCCAAGGCCCAGAGTATACACAACGATATCATTTTATTTCATTTGAACCAAAAAAGAAGTTTATACTATTTAATAGTATTTTAATTGCATTTAATAGATGGAATGTAATTATAAAAAATAGTATTTGGTAAAATCACACGTAAGTCCGAAGGAAATATACAATTAAAAAAAGAAAATGCAGCTGGGTGTGGTGGCTCATGCCTGTAATTCCAGCACTTTGGGGGGCCAAGGCTGGTGGATCACGAGATTAGGCGTTCGAGACCAGCCTTGTCAACATAGTAAAACCCCGTATCTACTAAAAATACAAAAAAATACCCGGGCGTGGTGGCAGGCACCTGAAATCCCAGGTGCTCGGGAGGCTGAGGCAGGAGAATGACTTGAACCTGGAAGTTGGAGGTTGCAGTGAGTCGAGCTCTCACCACTGCACTCCCGCCCGGGTGACAGTGCAAGACTCCGTCTCAAAAAAAAAAAAAAAAAAAAAAAAAATGCAAAAACAAATAAACGAAAGGTTAAAAAAAATTAAACATTTTAAGACAAAATTCAAAAAGAAAGATTTTATATCTAATTTACAGAATAATAACATTAATTTTAATCAAATTAAATGTAATCGAATTCCCACAATATACTACATACTAGACTAAGACTAAGGTAATATTTTCAACACTTATTTCATTGTGTCTAAAGAAATGTAGCAATTTAGTTTAAGCATTGTATAAATTAACCAACTTACTTGTTTGATTTATAAAGGCATATCCACAAGGGTGCTGTATGTACATCATTTGCACTCTATAATGCTGATTGATGGTAGAAAACCAGGAAAGGGGAAGTTGGGAGACAATTAATTATAGTATTTAAGAATATATTATAATGGGAGGTATGTATGTATCCAAAGTGGGCTTGACTAAAGAAGGAATTTTATCTAAACCTTAAAGGTGTCATTCTATAACATCGAGAGTTTGAAAAAGGGAAAAAAAATAGAAGTGACAGCAGGAACAAAGCCTTAGAATTTGGGTAACAAAAGCTCTTGTGTGGGCGATTCAACGTTGCTTTAAAAATGAGCATGCTTGGGATTAAATTTTCACACATCCGGGGATAGGGAGACATAATCTTGTAAGTAACAACCAAAAAATGAGTAATAGAAAATATTTATGTTTTAAGTTCATACTGTGTAACATGTACTACCCAAAATAGTTAGCATGAATTATGTCATATAATTCTACAACAACCCTTTGGGTGTGACATTTTCAAGCCCATTTTATAAACGAGCAAACTGAAGCTCAGGCGGATGAACTAATTATGCATGGGATTAAATTATGGGAAAATGGCAGGGCTGTACTTTGAATGTACTTTTCTTAGTACTAGAGTTGGCAGTCTTAGGGCTATGAACTGGAGAGGAGCAATCTTCTCAGATGTGCAGATGCTTGAGGGATTGATTTACCTGTGAATGTTATAAGGAATTCCATTTTGATCTAGAGAAGAAACACATTGAAAGCTGTGGGAATGGAAACTCCCTTTATACATTGCAGGAAATTCTGTGAAAATGTGGACTTAATACAATTGAATGTATCATCTCTTTAAATACATGCTCATCTTTCTAAGTTGCTATATTGTTAAACTCTCCAGAGCAATTCATCATTTTACGTGATGGAATGATATGGAATTTTGGTTGTGTTCATTTTTTTGCTATAATTTTTGGAAGTTAAAGTTATAATAAAGAAAAAATATAAGCAGGGCACGATAGTCTAGGCATGACCAAATTATAATTAAACACATTTATCCTGCTTTATGTTTTCCCTAAGGAGTTAAATCCTTTAGGAATATTACCTAATTATTTAAGCAATGATTTTCTCTTTACAAGTAAGAAAATTAAACCAATGCCATGTACAGTGGCAGAGCTGTTATGCTCAAAAAGACTGAACAGTCCATCCCCCACCCCAAAACCCTAAACAGAAACAAAAAACAGATTTGACCTTCTCTTGTTACACAGACAGATAGAATCACGTTTTAACTTTATTCTCCACTGAATTTTGTGTAGCAAAGTCACAGTAATGACTCCACTATGTTCAAGTGAAAAGGTCTTTATGGTTCAAATAAGTCACAGAAATTAATAGGCACACTTGAACTTGGTTAGAAATTGACTTGCACTTTCTGGTTTGGTTTTCAAAATTACTACTTAAAAGCTTCTCTCAGGTTGTAATATATGAGGTATTTATGATGTGGCAAATAGAGCATGAAGGTTGGACCACATGAACAATTAGAGGCTTGGGAAATACAGTTTTTGAATTTCTTGTCTTATAATGTAAAGTTGAAATATAAAATCATAAATTCTCCAAGTAGGAAATTTGTGATGAATACCATCAGACCACAGATAAAAACAAACCTTTTCAGGGATCTGACTTCCTTAGTTGCAAGTCTAAGCAATAGACCTTACCTTAAGTTTTGAGAATTGTGGTTTGAAATTGATGCAATACATTGTATCTATAATAGCCTGTTAAAAAGCCTGGTTATTTTATCAAATGTATTTGCTATTGAGACTTAAAATTTTGTATTAAAAAGTCAGTAACTTTGAGAGTGTTTTAGTCAGTGAGGTTATGAAAACCTAAAAGTGTGAAAGATTATATACCACAGGGAAAACTGGAGTGTTTCATATTATATAATACTGCATAAAAGATTTTAGTAGAGTAATAAAGCTAGAGTTTTACAAACCAACACTAATGGTAGTGGTAAAAATGATATCTACATGACTTAGTAATACTGTAACTTTTAATTTATATTAAGTTAATGAATATCAATAAGGAAATGCAATCTCTTACTTTACTAGAACATACGATATTTATGATTCTGAATTAAATGATATATTTATATTTTATTTGTATGAAGGAAGATGTTTAGTAAAACAATGTAAACTTGAAGGAAAAATGTATCTGTTATACCACCAGTATTGTAATTCTGCATCTTATGGTTTTATGAAATGTTAGAAGGGCTATGCAAGTATCTCAATTCTGTACTTTCACAATCATCTTGATTTTGAACTGTTCCATCTCTGAGTAGAAGTCTGTAGAACACAGTTTTACTAAAGATGTTTTAAACTACCTTAAAAATGAACAGTTATTTTATAATGTAGTGGTTATGAATTTTTACTTCATTTCTTCCAGCTTTTATTTGCATTAACTGAAAAACACACTAAATCTGAAATATAGTGAATTCAATTATTTATTTAAATTTGTAACCAACTTATTTATTGGCGATTGGTATATGATTAACTCTAGTCATGTCTACATGCATTGGAAACTCTTTTTCACCTCTGATAAAATTTATTTAGTTATTTTGCAGTTTCTTCTTTTACAAAAATAGATACAGCTATATCCATAATTAACAATTAATTATTTTTCCATTTACCTGTATACATTTTTTCACCTGATAAGGAGCAACCCTGTGTAGGGGGAAGAGCATGGGGCTTGGGCACAGAAAATCTCATTTTATCACTAAGTAGCTGTGTAATTTTATGCAAATCTTTAAACAAAACACATTTGATGTTTCAAATATCAAATGAGAAGACATAGATGAATATACTTTACAAAATACAAAGTCACTATAAAATTGTTCACTATTACATTCAGAAAGAAATGAAATTATTTTTGTAGTATTGTGAAAAACTAAGCTTATTAAAATAGCTTAACACTGATAATTAATTTGAATTTTCCAGAAATCTGTTGTATTGGATTTCATAGAACCTGGCTCTGATAAACATTGTCTTTGCTTATATGTATTCAGCAATTGAACTTTCATCTTTTAGTATTACTCAATTGAAAACTCTGCCATATTTATGTAGGGTGATTTTTAGTGTGAATTTTTTACATTTGTGAATTTGTTGCCTTCCAGTATCTGTGTTGAAACCTACAGATCCAATTCTGTATAAACATTTGTTATCTAGTACAAAGGTTAACATACTTTCTGTCAAGGGCCAAATAGTAAATATCTTAGTAGCATATGGTTTCTGTTGCATATTCTTCTTATTATTTGTTTGCTTATTTATTTTTTTCACAACCTTTTAACATTTTTTTTAAAAATTAGCATGAGGGCAGTACAAAAACATACTGTGAACTGGATTTGGCCCATGGGTCATAGTTAGCCAGTTGCTGGTCCGATGTCATCTAGAGCTGCATCACCTTAATTTAACAGGTGATAAATTAGATTACACTTGAAGGAGGTTGACCAGCTGATCCAAGAGCAGAATGTCATTTCAAAAACCACATCTAATATTCTTCTGTGGATGTACAGTTACTTTGAAAATTGATATTTCTGCTTTTTAAATTTGAACATTATATTGGATATAAAATAGTTCAGGAGCCAGTAAAGAAAATATAAAATTAATGTTAATTGTTGAACGCATGTTCCTTGATAGATTTCATGAGGCAATGATGTAGAATTTGTATAAGAATCAATTACCACCTTCTGGATGTATACCTAAGTGTTTTCTCATTTCGATTTTAAGTACTTTTAACAATATAAAACTGACAGAAGGCAGGTATTCTATTCCTGCATCTACATGGAAAAGAAGAACTAAAATGATTCCATGTAGTGTCAACAGAGAGAAAAACAGCAAAAGTTGCAATAGTACACACTGTTATATCCAGGTTATATCTGGATTTAACTGCCCGTAGATACTAATTTCAACTCCGTCCCATATGGTGGTTAAATTAATAAAATCCTTCATGTGTATTTTAGAACATCAGAAAAGCCATCTGGCTACTATCACCTTAAATTTTAGTGTCTTACTGTGTGAATTTTACCGTCCGATGTACCACTTTAATGCCAGGGAATGTTTTATCATCCATATTTAATTATTAAGTACCAAAAAGCACTGGCATTTTGAAACCAGATATGGTAGGGCAGATTAAGACCATGCCCATACATGCCAAATAGAGTACTGGAAAATTATTTGTAATCCAAGGCAAAAGACTATTGACCTGAAATAGGCAGGTATCTTAGGTGGAACTATTATTCAATTTGCGTACGTCTGTGAGAGGAACAATTCTCCAATTCCCTATGTGCATATAGACTCAGTTATAATATATTATCAAGTTGCTTTCATAAAAATTCATAAGCAAAAATTATTGTGTAGAAAGTATAATAGACTTATTCAGGGCAAAGAACTGAAAATAAATTCCTGACTTGAATACAAATTTGTGACTTGAGTGTAAATTATAGATAATGAAGAATTTAGCTGATGCTATTACTCTGCTTAAAAAAATTTAAGGATGGCGTATGTTTCAGAAATGAATTGAAATGTAAAGTCTGTGACTTCTATTTTGCGACTTCTCTCTTTATTCTAAAGGTGAGGCAAATATTTAGAATAAATACACACTGAGAAGTATGATTCTTTAATCAATGTCAATAAAGGAATATAGCAGTTTAAAATTTTAAGGAAATACTTTGAATTTCTATACTATTTATATAAAAATACAATTC
This sequence comes from Homo sapiens, assembly GCF_000001405.40. Classification (NCBI taxonomy): domain Eukaryota; kingdom Metazoa; phylum Chordata; class Mammalia; order Primates; family Hominidae; genus Homo; species Homo sapiens. The sequence continues at coordinate 21,880,040 of NC_000021.9, read as the reverse complement.
TCATGTATTTTACTGTTTTATAGGACTCAGATGATTTTATTGATTTATCACATAAAGAGAGCATATAAAAAAGCCACTTGATTAAAGTACTATATGCAAAAAAGTAAAGTCTGCTTTGCCATTTAGAGTTTAATGATTTCTACTTTAGGCATGCTATAAATAATTATGTAGGATTTATAAGACTGAGAACAAGATGATACACTGATGATCTGTTGGAGAGTCCAGAAGCAAGGCTGTATTTTCACAAACCTGTTTTAATCAGACACGTAATGTGTCTTTAGTGAAGGTTGTCCACATTGACTCTCTGTAGATTGTGTAGCAGTAAAGGTGGGGGCTGGAGCAGGCTAGAGTAGAAGCAATAGCAAAATCATCAGAACTATCAACTACTATTTACATTGATTTGCAATTTCCTTTCTTCCTCCTAATCAAATTAATAGTTTCTTCAGGGCTGGGATGGTGTCTGATTTGTCCCTATTTCCCCCACCCTTAGCACCACGTCCAGCACTATTGTAAATGCTTAATGATATTCGGTGAACTGAACTGACCTAGGAAGCTAAAATTACATTTGGCATCAAACGATCTATCAGAAGTTGTGTACTGTCAACAGAATCAAAGCTGTAACAATATAAAGCAGCCAATGCAGAAGAAATAATCAGAGGAGAGCTCCATCACAATTTGTGTTAGAATCAGGGGACCAAGACTCTTACAGGTAAAGTTGGATTTGGAGACCTTACCAGAATGTGGCCATTAGCAGACCCAGAAATGTGGGAAATGGAGAGCATGGAACGAGAGCAAGATGAAGTGCAAATGGTGACATTTGAAGCAGCTGCAGTGAAAAGCAAAAGAAGTTGTTTATGACCACCAGCAATGACACATAACCGTGGAGAATTCAACTGGAGTAGATTACAAGATGGTGGACCCTAAGTATACCTTAATCGACATTTGGTTGCTAGCGCCCAGAAATTGTAATTAGGAGAAAGTGAAGGAGGCATGGAACACAACTGCATCAGGACAAAACCTGATTAAAACAGTATAGAAAGACCCAGGATTACCTCAACTTGACCCAAATAGATGAGTATCCAAGGCAAAGGGAGAGTAATACGTAACATTTCTCTCCCAAGAGAAGATTAAACTCTGGGAAGTAACAGAAACCTCAAGGGCGGATTAAACTCTGGGAAGTAACAGAAACTTCAAGGACAGGAACAGGAGAAGTTTTCTGGCTCTAATTCATATTTATTATTTCAAGGCTGAATTCTAAATGTCAAGGGAAGAACTAAAAGTCCTGAAATATGGTTAGCAATTAAGCCGGGAGGTACAAAATTATTTTCTAGAAACATGTTTGTCCTCAAATGCAGAATTCTTTTTTTTTTTTGTATTTCTCCCTGCATGTCACAGATATACACCTTCTTCAGCTACACGATGCTAAATTGACTTCCTTAAAAAAATAGAAGGTACAACTTCTAAAGTAACATTTGTGAGATAGCTTTGATTGATTCAAAAGTGATGGACAGTAATCCGAGACTATCTATTTTTTTTCTTTTTTTGAGACGAAGTTTCGCTCTTTCGCCCAGGCTGGAGTGCAGTGGCGCGATCTTAGCTCACTGCAGCCTCTGCCTTCTGGTTTCAAGTGATTCTCCTGCCTCAGCCTCCTGAGTTTACCTGATGTAGTAGCTGGGATTACAGGTGCCTGGCACAATGCCTGGCTAATTTTTTTATTTTTAGTAGAGATGAGGTTTCACCATGTTGGCCAGGCTGGTCTTGAACCCCTGACCTCGTGATCTGCCCACCTCGGCCTTCCAAAATTCTGGGATTACAGGTGTGAGCCACCGCGCCCAGCCGACTGTGGCTTTATAATTACGAGTCTGCCCACACTATTTTTCTCTCCTTAATATTTTTAACAAGGAAAAGTATGCAATAATAACGTCAAAGGCATTATTAGCTTGGAGTTCTATTTAGTAAGCCGTAATGCTGTGAGTTGTGTATGGGTATATGTGTCTGTACATCATCAGAATACCTAGCTGAAATGAGAGTAACACAAAGAATTATGACTGACAAACAATATCATCAAGGATTCAAGTCAATCAGTTAATAATATTAACACGGTAGACATAGTTTTACAAGGCAAGATTAGGAATATACAACCAAGTTTCCTTGTTTTTAAAGATAAAATCTATTGCCTCCATTACTGAGAGTCTTGGTCCCTTTTTCCTACATAATTACTGAGAAAACAGCTAATGTCTATTTATTTCTGTTGTACTGGATTCTTCCTATTGATATTACCCTGATTCTGTTACTACATACCAGAGGATCTTTGCTAAAAATAGTTTAAGGATTTCTGACTGAGCCTTCTTTCATAATCACTGGATCCTCTCAATACAGTTATTTTGTTAGAAGAGTGAACTTTTAAAAAAATTATACATAATATAAAACTTGCAAATATGATGAAACTTGAAAGTAGCTCCTCCATATTGTGGTGGTGGCTGTAACATCCCCAATTAAAGCACTTAAGAATGTGACAGAGCAGGTAGCTGGAAGACCATTAAATTTTCTTAAGAAGTTAGTTAATATTACATGAAGCTTCACAGAGAAAATATAAATATCTATTTATAATGATATATTCACTGTGAATTGACTTCTTTATTGTAGTTGGAACACTTAGCGTGAGATCTACAGTCTTAACAAAAATTTAAATACACAATGCAGTAATATTAACTATAGGTGCTATGGTGAACAGAGGTTTAGAACTTACTCATCTTGCATAACTGAAGCTTTATACCTGTTGAACAGCAACTCCCCATTTCCCCCATCCCTCAGCACTTGACAAGCACCATTCTCGTTTCTGTTTCTATGAGTCTATTACAGATAATTCGTATAAGGGGAAAAGTGCAGTTTGTCCTTCTGTGACTGTCTTATTTCACCTAGCATAATGTACCCCAAATTCATCCATGTTGTCATATATGACAGAATTTTCTTATTTTTAAGGCCAAATAATATTTTATTGTATGTATATGCCACATTTGCTATATTTGCTTATCTATTGATGGACATTAGTTTCCATATCATGTGTATTGTAAATAATGCTGTAATAATCATGAAAATGCAGACATCTCTTGGAGATCTTGATTTCAATTGTTTTGGATAAAAACACAGAAGCGGGATTGTTGGATTATATGACAGACATTTTTCCAAAGAAGACATACACATTGCCAAAAGGTATATGAGAAATGCTTAACAACACTAACTGTTAGAGAATTGCAAATCAAAACCATAGTGAGATGTCATCTCATCTATTAGGATGGCTATTATAAAGGGAAACAAAAGGTAAGAGTTGGCAAATTCATTGGGAAGTAAAATGGTTCAGCTGCTGTGGAAAATTGTATGAAGCTTACTCAAAAATTTTGAATTTTTTCTCCCAGGATGCTTAGCTCTTTGTGTAACTTTTATTTTAAGTTCAGGGGTACATGTGCAGGTTTGTTATATAGGTAAATCTAAGTCATGGGGCTTTGTGGTACAGATTATTTGATCACCCAGGTATTAAGCCTAGTACCCATTAGTTATTTTCCCTGATCCTCTCCCTCCTCTCACACTCCACCATCCAGTAATCTCCAGTGTTCATTGTTTCCCTTTTTGTGTCCATGTGTTCTCATCATTTAGCTCCCGCTTATAAGAGATCATGTAGTATTTGCTTTTCTGTTACTGTGTTAGTTTGCTAAGAATTATGGTCTCCAGCTCCCCCTGCAAAGGACATGATCTCATTCTTTTTTTATGCCTGCATAGTATTTCATGGTGTATATGAATTAACTTTCGAGTGGAGAAAAGAACTGGTAGATTTGTGAGATTAACAAATATTTCCATAGATTCAAGTTCATTTTCCCAGGGTTTTCTGAGCCTAATAACCTCTGAAGTATCTAAAATATAGTTTTTCTTCCTTTCACAGAGCTATTTATGTTATATATGAACTACAACATAGAGTATTTAAAACTGAATAAATAGTGAAATTATGTCCTTTTCACAGTAATTTCTCATATGCTACTTCTCTAAAACAGTGTTTTGTGTTAAAGGAGGCAATCTATTTTGGTGGCTATTTTCTTTCCTCTAGCTTATTAAAATTTTTTTGCACAGATGTTAGCTGAAAAATTAGGAGGTAAATTATTCAAATGCACTCTAATAAATGTAAGCAAAGGAATAAGTCTGTAGAAATGTGATATTAGAGGTTGATTATAAATGTCAGCTTTCATCATGGGGAAGCATTTGCTGAGAAGACTTAATATATTAATGAAACCATTCAGAGTATCCTTCCATATAATTAGGATGTCAATGTAAGCTACAAAAGTATTTTTTGCTAATTCTATTTTATAGATTAAAATTCTGAGATCATATTGAAGATATTATTTACCAAGTTATCAAATAAATAAACACTTAGATAAAGTAAAGTAACCATCAGATATTAGATCAGAAATCAAAAACCCTAAACACAATGCATTACTTTGTATAACACAAACAAAATTTTACTGGATTAACTTCTGAAATTCTCTCTCTCAGACATACTCACATTTGTTTTGATTTGATATGACATATATGTTTGATTTTATTAAGCCTTGAAAATTTCTGTTTACTCTCAATAGACAATAAATCTACTAACCATAGTAGTAGAATAATTACAATAGGAACAGAATGAGACAGAAGGATAGAAAAGACACTCTACATTTTCAGTGTAATATTAATCTTAGGATATGTTAGAAAATGCTTATTCCTTAATAATAACTCACATGTATTATTTGTGACCCCTTCCCCCTCACAGTCATCTCCTCTTAACCCAAGCCATTCTTTCGGTCTCCAGTTTCAGTAACTGTCACACTGGCATAAGTACAGGAGTTTAGTAATACTTCATTTCACCTATCCCTTTCCAGACCATTGTGATTCTCATTGTCCAAATATAAATTGGTAGCTCCAATTTATATTGGACAAAGTATTTTTCCAACAAAGAAAAAATTTTTAGTGCCAATAGATAAAATAACTACACCTGTACCCAACTACATCAGTAGAATAAGTAACAAACATTTTGATTTCTCTCTGTCAAATAAATGTGTCAAAAGATCCCTTGTAAATCTAATATGATGTGTTAGGCTCAATGTGTGCTGGAAGACCTGGCTTTCTGAAAAAGGAAATGGAGAGCTCCTGTTGGTGTTTGCTAATATCCATCCTTTAAATAATCTCACCATTGCCAATATAAGTTGTGAATGTGACATCGAAGAGCTTACAAAATTCTTGAAAATTTAACAATTGCTCTGATAACCCAGTAGAAGCAAGGGCCAGCACAGGTCTGGGTGGGTTAAGTTCTGGAAATTTTGAGTGTCTGTTATGAGGCAATTAGATGAAGTAGGAAGAACAAAATAGATCCCAGTATCCTTTTATCAAAGATTTGTAAATGATCCCAGTTTCTTATAAAGCAAAAGTGAGGGCATGCACTATTGCTAACTCTGTCCCATCTTTGATGGCAAAATGCTAAGTATCAATATAATAAGTTATGACAAATAACTGAAAGTCAAGATTATAAACCTGTTTTGCCATGCCATGAAGGAAGCTTGCAAACGCAGTGATAAGCCAGTAGCTGCTGGTCATTGCATGCCAATCATGCGTCAATGGAAAACAACATTCCTATCATGTCTCTCCTTGTTCAGTAATTCTTAGACCCCAGAAAAAAGATGGCTATATGAAAAAAATGCATCCAAGAATGTTTCCTTTCATCCTTATTCTCTTGTTTACCAACAAAGAAACCTAGCACTCTATGGAGCTCTGTGTTTAAAAATTTCCTTTACTAGTAATGAGCTTACATCTGGGGAAGAACCTTAAATTTGAGTATTGTATCTGCTACATAAAAATAAATGCTCTTTGGTTTTATTTACTTATTTATTTTTATTTTTTATTTATTTATTTTTTTGAGATGGAGTCTTGCTGTATCGCCCAGGCTGGAGTGCAATGGCATGATCTCGGCTCACTGCAAGCTCTGCCCCCTGGGTTCACACCATTCTCCTGCCTCAGCCTCCAAAGCAGCTGGGACTACAGGTGCCCACCACCACGACCGGCTAATTTTTTGTATGTTTAGTAGAGACGAGATGTCACCGTGTTAGCCAGGACGGTCTCGATCTCCTGACCTCATGATCCGCCTGCCTCGGCCTCCCAAAGTGCTGGGATTACAGGCGCAAGCCACCGCACCAGGCCTACTATTTGGTTTTAAAAGATAGAGTGAGAGAACAAGATGGCTGAACAGAACCCTCCAGTAATTGTCCTCCCAACAGGAACATCGAAGTGAACAACTATCCACACAAGAAAGTGCCTTTATAAGAACCAAAAATCAAGTAACAATCACAGTGCCGAAATTTAACATGATATCAAGGAAAGAGGCACTAAAGAGTGTAGGAGAGACAGTCTTGAACTGCCTACCCCATCCCTCCCTCATCCGCCAGCAGTGGCCACGTGGTGCAGAAAGAGAATCTGTGTGCTTGGGGAAAAGACAGCATAGTGAGCGCGGGCCTCTGCATTGGAACTCAGTGCTGTTCTGTCACTGCGGAAAGCAACACAGGGCAAATTCGGTTGACACACAGGGAGTGAGCATTTAGACCAGCCCTAGCCAGAGGGTAATCATCCATCCTAGCATTTGGAACCTGAGTTACAGCTAGCCCAACCTTCATGAGCTGAAGTACCCTGGGGTCCTAAATAAACTTGAAAGATGCTCTAGGCCACAAGGACTGCAATTCCTGGGCAAGTCCTGGTGCTGTGCTGGGCTCAGAGCCAGCAGATGTGAGGTACACATGACCTAGTGAGACTTCAGCCAGAGTCCAGGGGAGTGCTTGTGCCACCCCTCCTCCAACCCCAGGCATTGGAACTCCTAGCTCCAGGAAAGACTCCTTTCATCTATGTGTGGAGAAAACAGGATAGAGTAAGAAGGACTTTGTCTTTCAAGTTATAGACCAGCTCAGACACAGTAGAATAGGGCACCTCATTCTAGGCCCTAGCTCCCAGATAACAATTGTAGACACACCCTGGCCCAGAAAGGAACCCACACCTTGAAGGGAAGGGCCCAGTCTTGACAGGATTCATCACCTACTGCCTAAAGAGCCCTTGGGCCTTGAATACACCTTAGTGGTAATCAGGTAGTATTCACTGTGGGCCTTGGGTGACACCCAGTATAGAACTGGATTTGGGGGTGACCCAGAGCATTTCCAGATGTGGTAGCCATGGGGAGAGACTCCTGCTTGAGGAAAGGAGAGGGAAGAGTAAATGAGACTTTGTCTTACAGCTTGAGTACAAGCTTGATGATAGAGTGATGGAGCAACGAGTGGGCTCTCCTAGGGACACCAATTTCAGGCCTTGGCCCCTCATCAGCATTTCTGGATCCACCTTGGGCCAGAGCGGAGGCTGCTGCATTAAATTGAAAGATCCAGGCCTGACGTCATTCACCACAAGATCACTCTTGGACCTTGAGTGAATATCAGTGGTAGCCAGGCAGTACTTGCCACAGGCCTGGGGTGTGATCCAGTGCTGTGCTGGATTTGAGTCTGACCTAGCACACTCCAAGTGGTGGTGGCAACAGGAGTACTTGTGTCACCCCTCCACCAGCTCCAGAGAGCTTAACACAGAAAGAAAGACTCTTATTTGTTTGGGGGAAAGAAAGGGAAGAGAACAAGACTCTTGCTGGTAATCCAGATAATTATTCTGGATTGTACCGAAGACCATTAAGGTGTTGCCTCTATGAGTCTGCAAACATCTGGCAGCCAACTTCTCAATGGAAGCTTACAGGCCAGGAGAGAGTAGCATAATATATTTAAAGTGCTGATGGAAAAAAACAAAAAACTTTTAACCTAGAATAGTATATCTCATGAAAATATCCTTCAAACATGAAGAAGAAATAAAGACTCCCAGACAAACAAAACCCGAGGAATTTTCCTCAATATCAGTCCTTTTCTACAAGAAATATTAAAAGGAATTCTTCAGTCTGAAAGAAAATAACTTCAAAGAGCAATAAGAAATCATCTTAAGGCCCCAAAGTCACTGATAATAGTAAGTATGCAGACAAACATAGAATATTATAACACTGTAATTGTGGTGGGTAAGGTACTTATATCTTAATTAGAAAGATAAAAGATTAACTATTAAAAATGACTACAACAATTTTTCAAGGCAGACATTATAACTAACAACAAAAAGTTAAAAATCAGGGGGATAAGGGTAAAGTGAAGAGTTTGTATTAGTTTTCCCTTTGCTTCTTTGTTTGTTTGTTTTTGCAATCAGAGTTAAGATGTCATCAGTTTAAAATAACAGATCATAAGATGTTATTTGCAAGCCTCATGGTACCCACAAGTCAGAAAGATACAACAGATATACAAAATATTTTTTAAAGTCTGGGCACAGTGGCTCATGCCTATAATCTCAACACTTTGGGAGGCCAAGGCAGGAGGACTGCTTAGACCCATAAGTTTCAGAACAGCCTGGGAAACATAGGGAGACCCTGTTTCTATGGAACATTTAAAAATTAGCTGGGCGTGGTGGTACTTGCCTGTAGTCCTAGCTATTTGGGAGGCTGAGGAGGGAGGATCCCTTGAACCCAGGAGGTCAAGGTTGCAGTGAGCCATGATTGTGCCACTGCACTCCAGCCTGGACAGCAGAGGAAAACCCTGTCTCAAAATAACTCAAATAATAATAATAATAATAATAATAATAATCAAAAATTGAAACATACCCCAAAGAAAATCATGTTTACTGATAGGAATACAGGAAGGAAAAAAGGAAGGAACAGAACACCACAAAACAACCAGAAAACAAATAACAAAATGGCAGTAGTGAGTTATTAGTTATTAATAATAACATTAAATGTAAATGGACTAAACTCGCCAATCTGAAGATATAGAGTAGCTTAATGGATAAAATAGCAAGATCCAAATCTTGCTATTTTTTGTTGCCTACAAAAAACACATTTTGCCTATACAGACACACACAGACTGAAAATAAAGGGAAGGAAAAGGATATTCCATGCAAATAGAAACCAAACAAGAGCAGGAGTAGCTGTATATTTATGTCAGACAAATACATTTCAAGACAGAGTTAGTAAAAGAAAAGAAATAATGAAGAACAGAACAGTAATAAAGAAATTGAAATAAAATATACACAAGATAAATGAAATGAAAATTTGGCTTTTTGAAAAGATAAACTATGTTGACAAACCTTTAGCCAAATTAAAAATCAGAAAGAAGATCCAAATAAATAAAATCATACATGAAAAAGGAGACATTACAGTCGATACTACAGAAATTCAAAGAATCTTTGGAGTACTAGGAGGCACTATATGCCAATAAATTGGAAAATCTAGAAGAAATGGATAAATTCCTAGACATGGATAAGATTGAATCATGAAGAAATCCAAAACCTGAACAGACCAAAAAAACTAAAGAGATTGAAGCCATAATAAAAAGTTTTTTGATAAAAAAAGCCCAGGACCTGATGGCTTCACTGCTGAATTTTAGCAAACATTTAAATGAAAACTAATACCAACCCTACTCAAACTATTTTGAAAAATAAAGGAGGAGGGAGTACTTCCAAAATCAAGCTATGAGGCCAGTATTATTCTGATACCAAAACCAAACAAAGACATATCAAAAAAAAAAAAAAAAAACCCCAAAACAACAACAAAATAACTAAAGGCCAATATTCCTCATGAACACTGACGCAAAAATCCTCCACAAAATACTAGCAAACTGAATTCAACAACACAGTAAAAAGACTAGTCATTATGACTAAGTGGAATTCATCCTAGGGATGCAAGGATGATTCCATATCCACAAATAAATCAATGTGATACAGTGTATCAACAGAATGAAGGAAAATAACCATATGATTATTTCAACTGACACTAAAAAAGCATTTGATATTATTCAGTATCCTTTTATCATAAAAACCTTCAAAAACCTGGGTATAGAAGGAACATACCTCAACAATATAAAGGCCATGTACAACAGACACAGCTCATATCATACTGAATGAGGGAAAACAGAAAGCCTTTGCTCTAATATCCGGAATATGACAAGGATGCCCACGTTCACCACGATTTTTCAAAATAGCAATGGAAGTCCTAGCTACAGCAATCAGCCAAAAGAAAAAAATAAAAGGCATCCAAATTGGGAAGGAAGAAGTAAAACTGTCCTTGTTTGAAGATTATATGATTCTATATTAGAAAAACCTAAAGATTCCACAAAAAAAATCTATTAGAACTGATAAACATATTCATGTTTATTGGCATGTGAAATTATACTTATTTCAATAAGAAGTTAGAACTGGAAAAGAAAAAGGGAGTGTGGGAAGGAATTAATGGATGGCTACTTTGATAGATAAGGTTGACGTGGTCAAAGTAGTAAATGTTACGTGCAAGAGATTGCTGGGCCTTGTGTGTGATGTACACTGTACCCCGCTTTCCTTTTTTTTTTTAACACAAGTATTTTACCTTAGAGGTGGTTTTAGGTTTTAGGTTTGTGGTTTTAGGACAAACAATCAACATACAAAAATCAGTAGCATCTCTATATGCCAATAGCGAACATTCTGAAAAGTAATCAAGAAAGTAATCTCATTTACAAACACTGCAGATAAAATAAAATACCTAGGAATTAACCAAAGAAGTACAAGATCTCTGCAATAAGAGCTATAAAACATTGATACAAAAAGTTGAAGAGGACACACAAAAAAATAAAAGATATTTCATTTTCATGGATTAGAAGAATGAATTATTGCTAAAATGTCCATACTACCCAAAGCAAGCTACAGATTTAATGCAATCCTTATCAAAATACCAATGACATTCTCACAAAAATTAAAAAAAAAATCTTAAAATTTACGTGGAAATTTTAAGACCCAAAAAAGACCCAAAATAGCAAAAGCCATCCTCAGCAAAAAGAACAAGACAGGAGGAATCACATTACCTGGTTTCATATTATGCTGTAGACCTATTGTAAGTAAACAGTGTAGTAGTGGCATAAAAACAGACACATAGACCAACAGAAAAAAATAGAAAACTCAGAACTAAATCCATACATCTACAGTGAACTTGTTTCTTATGAAGCTGTCAAGAATATAGTTTGTGTAAAGAACAGTCTCTTCAATAAATGGCGCTGGAAAAACTGAATATCCATATGCAGAAGAATGAAACTAGACCCTATCTCTCACCATATGCAAAAACTAAATCCAGATCAAAGATTTAAATCTAAGCCCTCAAACTATGAAACTATTAAAATAAAACACTAGGTAAACCCTCGAGGACATTAGTCTCGGCAAAGATTTATTGAGTATTACTCCAACAGCACAGGAAAACAAAGCAAAAATGAACAAATGGAATAACATCAAGTTAAAAAGTTTCTGCACAGCAAAGGAAACAAACAACAAAGTGAAGAGACAGCACACAGAATGGGAGAAGATATTTGCCAACTATCCATTTGACAAGGGATTAATAACCATAATATGTAAGGAGCTCAAAAACTCTATAGGAAAAACAAATCTAATAATCTGATTTAAAATGTGCAAAAGTTCTGAATTGACATTTCTCAAAAGAAGGCATACTGGCCGGGCACGGTGGCTCACACCTGTAATCCCAGCACTTTGGGAGGCAGAGGCTGGTGGATTACCTGAGGTCAAGAGTTCGAGAACAGCCTGGCCAACCTGGTGAAATCTTGTCTCTACTAAAAAGTACAAAAAATTAGCTGGACATGGTGGCGTGTGCCTATAATCCCAGCTACTGGGGAGGCTGAGGCAGGAGAATCGCTTGAACCTGGGAGACGGAGGTTGCAGTGAGCCAAGACAGATGATGTTCGCTGCACTCCAGCCTAGGCGACAGAGTGTGGCTCCGTCTCAAAAAAAAAAAAAGACATACAAATGGCAAACAAGTACATGAGTTGGTGCTCAAAATCATTGCTTATCAGATAAATGCAAATCAAAACTACAATGACATATACTGCACTCCAGTTAAAATGGCTTTTATCCAGAAGACTAGCAATAACAAATGCTGGTGAGAATATGAAGAAATGAGAACTCTCATAAACTTGGTGGGAACGTAAATTAGTATATCTGCATGGAGAAGAGTATGGAGGTTCCTCAGAAAAATAAAAATAGCACTATTTTGTAACCCGGAAGTCCCACCGCTAGGCATACACCCAAAAGAAAAGAAATCAGTGTATTGAAAAGATAACTGCTCTCCCGTGTTTATTGCAGCACTATTCACAATAGCCAAGATTTGGAATCAACCTGTGTCCATCAACAGACAAATGTACAAAGAAAACGTGGAACATATATACAATGAAATAGTATTCAGTCATAAAACAGAATGCAATCCTGTCATTTCCAACAACATGGATGGAAATGGAGGACATGATTTAAGTGAAATAAGCCAGGGACAGAAAGACAAACTTCACATGTTCTCACTCATCTGTGGGTGTTAAAATTAAAACAATTGAATTCGTGGAGGTAGAAAGTAGAATGATAGTTACCAGAGGCTGGGAGGGGTAGAGGGGAGTGAGGAATGGGGATGGTTAATGGGTACAAAAGTATAGTTGATAGAATTAACAAGATCCAGTATTTGATAGCACAACAGGATGACTGTAGTCAGAAATAATTTATTGTACATTTAAAAATAAAAGTGTATAATTAGAACATTTGTAGTACAAAGAAATGATACATGCTTGAGGTGATGGACACTCCACTTACACTGAGGTGATTATTACACATTGTATGCCTATATCATAATATCTCATATATCCCATAAGCATATACATCTACTATGTACCCATAAAAATTAATTTAAAAAAAAGTGACAAAATTGCTCTCCTAATCAAGCCTATGTCATGCATATGAGAAGCTAAACATCAGGCTTATGTGGATTGTTATGTTTTTATCAGACATAATTTACACCACTTTTATGAATATTGACAAGGTCAATTTTATAAATCACCAAGTGATGTTGAGGCTCTATAATAATAATGTGTAATTTACGACACCATTTTCCAATTTTTTGAAAATATTACCATGTTATCTGTAAAAGTAACTTGCATTAAGACTATCAGTGTTAAACAAATGTCTTAACAGAGAATTTAATTTGTTATTTATAAAAAGGAAAAGGAGTCAACATAATTTTCAAGTGTATAATTGTTTTTATTTGTTATGTGTTTGCCAGATTAACTGAATTATTATTGATTTGGCAGATGTCTTAAGTAATTTAGGGTGACATAATACATGTCATCAGGAGAATATATTCTTTATCATACGTCAAATTAGACTGTCTCCCATTGTTTTAAATAAAGCATTAACTAGAATGAATTATTGAAAATATCTATGAAAAATATGTAACAGTGTACACAGGATTAAATCTTTTAGTCAAATCGATAATGTGTGCTATATTATATTTTTCAATTAATTTGTGGTTTTCTTATTGTTGTAGATTTCCAAATTGGAAAATCTTTTACTGTGAAGATTTATAAATATGGGGCAGATTTTCCTTGTTTTACAGTGCAGATGACATTTATCACACTTTTTGGTGGTCCAAAAGGTTTATATATGTTTCCTATGTTTGTGAAACTGACCATATTGATAGTATGTGCCTCACCCAGGTAGAAACTCACCAGAAAATCATCTTCTGAGGCTTGCATCAGGCAATATTCAGACATGTGACATGAGCCTTGTTATAGACTGAATTGTGTCCCTCTAAGATTCATATGCCGAAGCCCTAACTGCCAATATGACTGTATTTGGATGTATGCCCCTTAAGGAGATAATTAAGGTTAAATAAGATCATGAAGGTTGGGCCTTCACTCCATAGGACTAGTGTCTTTGTAAGAAGAGTCACCAGAGCTCTCTTCCTTACTCAGCATACTCGTAGAAGAAAGGCCATGTGAGGACACAGAGAGAAGGTGGCCGCCTGCACGCCTGGAAGAGAGATCTCATCAGACTAGCCTTGCAGGCACCTGAATTTTTTACTTCCACCTCCTAAAACTGTGAAAAATTAAATATCTGTTGTATAAGTTGCTCAGTGTGTAGTATGTTGTTTTGGCAGCTGAAGCTAATACAAGCCCCAACGATCAGAAATATTGCTCGAGCCTTTATTCATAAACTTGAGATATCAAGAAATGGTGCCCTCCTATGTGTCTTCAGTGTCAGCAGAGCCAGATCTTTCAAAGGCAGCTTACAGTGTCCAGTGTCTGTGACACAAACAGCGGTTGTGCCCAGCAACAGCCATGAAGGGTCCTATGAACAGTTGTTCCATCGTATGGTTTGAGTGTAAGCTCTGGTTGTGTAAACTCCAAAACTGATTCTCTGGCCCTTCCTGAGATATCAAATATTAATTAATACATTTGTATTCTCTCTAAAGCAGTTTTTGTGTGTGTCTTTATTTATAACCAAAAGGTGAAACAAACGGTTTAAAACAGTGCTTTGCGAATTGGTGAGTCATAAAATATATTTACTATGTAATTTTAAAAAATTAAACAGAACAGAAATAACAGAGTAAAACATAGTAATTACAGTTTCATGAAATGTTTGTTTCATGCATGTAAGTATATATGACATATATGCATATGTATGTCACATGTGTATGACATGTATGTAAGCATCTTTGAATATGCACATACATTAATGTATGCATGTGTATGTGTACATACAGATACACATATCCAGAATATGTGTCCTGGATCTCAGATAAAACCTACTTTAAAGTGAACTTAGGGTTGGGGAGGCTGAGTAACCACTGGTTAAATGTATTTTGGATGGAGACTTTGATGGTATAACATGCTTCTTAAATAATTTTGAAATGAAGTAATATACAATTGGATTATATTAATTAATCACCAAGTACAATTTTCTTTACTCCCTCAAAAAATATCCCCGCCTAATTTTTGAGTAAATCTGGTTATACCTAAATTATAGAGCAAAGCAAAGTATTCTCAGCTTATCTTTCCTGATTTAACTTTGAAACAGAAAGAATTCCCTTCCTGCACATCCAAAAAATCAAGTTCTGCTTCTTGTTCCAATGACTTTTCCCCCTCACAGTAGTACCTTAAAAAAATGTAATCATGCTGACTTTAAAAGCATGGTTTCATTCCCTGGCATGATTTGTTTTTTTTCTTTATCTCAGAGATGAAAAGTTTTAGAATCTCTCTCAGAAGGGTGAGAAACTATTGTACACATCTATATAAAAAATCAAGAGATTTCTTCTGTGAGAAGTTCATATCCAATTTGTTTAACTTACTTTATGTTATAAACTTCAATAGCTTATTTGCTTTTTTGGATTCTGTGGCCCTTTCTGTTTGTGAAAAAACCTCTTGGCAACCAGGAATACATGACAGTATTCCTCAGCTGACAACGTGCCAAGGATCATCACATCTAGAAAAAGCGCTATCTGGCGGGACATAAATACAGGGTCATACCATAAAAACGACTAAAGCAACTGCTGAAGAATATAGAATGGATGTAAACCTCAGCTGACTCATTCAGTATAAATGGAATATGTGTGACTGAAATATAATTGCTTTTTAACTTATTCATTTGCATTTTAGACCAAGAGATAAATATGAATTGGATTTTATTCTCTCAACTGAATGTAAACAGACACATCATAAACCACATTCAAATTGGAACTTTAAGTGCACTGTATAGTTAGGATCCTTTCCTCATCCTTCTCCCCTTCCAGCTTCTGCCCTCAACTAGGACAGTACTTTGCTCAATATAGTAGCCGCTCCTTCATCCTGGTTCCTGGAAAGAGGGAGACACGAAAACTTTGGTCCAAGCCAGCCCCACAAAGCCCAGCTGCAGAATAAGCATTTCCTTCACTTAACATCAGGAAGCACGTGGTATATATATAATCTATTATACTTTGAAGGTTGTTTTTTGGAATCCAAAGCTTATTAATTATTAATATACAATTTAAAGTAGGGAAGATTTTATTGAATATATGTCTTATAGTATACAAAATAAATTTAAAAATATAACTCCCAAGGAAAAAAAATAATTAAAAGATCCGTGTCATTTGGGAGAAGTTGTTAAATCAGTGTCATGGTTCATATGAAAGTGAAATTTCTTAGCAAAAAGGGCAAATGACTTCTTTTGTTGTTGTTGTTGTTGTTGTTGTTGTTGTTGTTGTTGTGACGGAGTTTCACTCTGTCGCCCAGGCTGGAGTGCAGTGGCACGATCTCGGCTCACCGCAAGCTCCGCCTCCCGGGTTCACGCCATTCTCCTGCCTCAGCCTCCCGAGTAGCTGGGACTACAGGCGCCCGCCACCACGCCCGGCTAATTTTGTTTTGTATTTTTAGTAGAGACGGGGTTTCACCATGTTGGCCAGGATGGCCTGGATCTCCTGACCTCGTGATCCGCCTGCCTCGGCTTCCCAAAGTGCTGGGATTACAGGTGTGTGCCAAAATGACTTCTTAATATTACCATGGAATAGTCTTAATCTCATGAACCCCCTGAAAGCATCTTAGACACTCCTGGGGTCCCTGGACCATTTCAAAAACTGCTAGCTTAGCACAAGTCTTATTTCCTGGAAGGCATTCAATAAGTACTTGTTAAATAAATTAAGTCTAAAATGATTGATGGGGCTGGCACATCGCTGTGTTTGTAAATTCTGATGTGGTCATGCTACTTGTCCTCAGACCTCAAACCTGTGTCCACTTCTCCAGAGGGTAGGGTGTGTCTTGGCCTCTGTGCTCCTCTGCCCTTCCCATGAAAGTTGTTCTATGAATGAGTGGGTCAGAGCGTCTTCCAAAATCTAGAAGCTCCTAAGCACTCTGGAGAAGCCAAAACACCCTCCTCTGAAGAGGTTCTTTGTAGATGATTTTGAGGAATCAAGATAAGAGTTGTCTGACTTTGAGCTTTTGTATTTGTGTGAACAGGGTGTCATGAAGTCTGGGAAATCTGGAAACACAGACAAATGTATATCATACATCTTAGAAATGTAGAGGCACTTGGGGCCCAGACAAAGAAAAGATATCTCATTTAAGAGAAAAGCTAGAACATAAGTTGTGTTCTTTAAAAGACTTTTTGATCTTCAAAATGGCATGAGTTGCTCTAACTAGAACCTTGATTTTTAACCATTAATGTTCTCAGAAACATACAGTAAGTGATTTTATCTATTATCTAAAATGACAAAATAACTATAAAATTTAGTCTCCTTCTCCTAACTTGTTACATTGGGGAAATAATAGCCGTGGAATTCTTTTAGTTTTCAATCAAATGAGACAATGTACATGGTACAAGGCATTAGATTAGAATATGTACAATGACTGCTCTCTATTTTTGTTGCAATCCATATGTTGGAAATCAAACATTTGGTGGAAAAAAATTGAGGTGATGACTTATCTACTGACTTCCAGGTTCATGTATTTAACATCTTACCTGACACCTGTAGATACGACCATAATCCACATCTAAAAATTCATATGATCCCACCCCTCCTACTCTTAAGCCTGCTCCCGTAATCTTAACATCTCAGCTCCTGAGATTTTGCCCCCTTATTCTATTTGCTAAAGCCACAAAACTTGGTTTCCTTGACTCTTCTCTTTCTCACCCACATCTAGTTTCCAGTGAATAAGATTGACTTTACTTTCTAGATACATACCAAACTTGACTTCTCAACAACTGCATTGCCACCATCCTGGTACAAGTCACATTACCTCTTGCCAGGTAATTGCAAGAATCTAGTAACTGATTTCCATATTCCTGCCCTTGCCCTTTTCACAGTAGTTTTAGCACAGCAATCATAGTGACCAAAATAAGGCATAACAAACAAGTTTATTCCCATCCCTTGCTCAAAACCCTCCGGTGGCCTCTTATCTCCTTAGGGTAAAAATCCAAGAGTGCTTAGAACCCACAAGTCCTATGAGTGGCACATGGCACTTCTTGGTCCTCCCCACTTTACCTCTCTTTGCCGCCTTAACCCATTTCATTCTACTCTCTTGGCTGTGGATTCTGCATGCTTCTTAGACATCTAGGTGTGCTCTTGCTTCGTGGCCCTTTGAACAGGTTGATCACTTTTTCTGGAAATATTATCCCCTATCTCCTCTTTAGATCTCCAGTCAAATTCACTCTCTCAGGGAGACTTGCTCTGGAAATGCTGTTTAAAAGTTCAACTCCATCTACCAACACATACATACTTCATATTGCCTTTTCTACTTATTTTTCTTCCTTAGCAATTAGCATCATGTACATCATTATATATGTGAGTCTTTTAAAAAAGTTTTTAAGCCCAATGATGGCAGATTTTTTTCTTTTGTTCATTTTCAGTGGTCAGAATACTTCCTGGCAGTGAACAAATGCCCAGTGTTGCCTAAGGAATGAACTGATACAGGACTTGCAAATACATGCTACAAACCAGCGCTAGTACCCTTATCCCATCACCTCAGCAAAAGTTAGTAAGAATTAAGAGGTGAGGGGAGGTTGTTTGGGAGTAGGGGAGAGCTCTATGAGTTTGCTGTGCAAGCTGACTGTATTAGAAAGAATATTTATAGAAAGAGATTGTAATCCGTTTACCCCGAAAAAACAAAAACAGCTTTCTTACCAAGAGGCTATCTGTTGAACGTTCAGGGGATGGGACATCTGTGAAAGCCATAAAAGTGTATGTGAGAGAAAGAAACAGCTCTAATCACCCACCAGGCCAATGACAGATCCCACATATGCCTCCCGTGTGGTCATGAGGAATTTCTCTAATGTTACTTCCTTGGACCCAACCATGGAGAAATGGGACCAATTGTAAGTGTGTGTGTGTGTGTGTTTTGAGAGGTGAGAATATCTAAGTTAGAGATTAGAAGCTGATAATATCCACTATTCCATTTTCCCATTCCTAGGCTAAAACAGGACACCGTTAGAGGATGGGAAATGACCTAAAACCTCTGACTCATAGCAGGTTCTCAATTCTATTTTTAGAGTAGTTGGTAATAACAGTGCAAGTGTAAATTCTGTGGCAAAGTGAAAGTACAAACAACTTTACTATAGCTTAGGAAAAAAAACAGGTCTGCACTAGCTACAATGTGAGAGAGGTTAAATAGAGGATAGAGATAAAATTGTCACTGATACTCCGAATAGGAAGGAAGGTTTTGATTTCACAGAAGGGGACTGGGAATTGAGAAGACTCCACTGGTGACCCTAAAGAGTACATATATAAAAGGAAGAAGAATGTATTTGTGGTAGACAGAGAAGTTTGATGCATTTGCTCTTAATTTCTAGTGACTATGTTCAACTGCCTTGTAAATTAGAAATTTAAGGGTTTTTGACTGTCATACTTGAAATTTCTTAAAAAAGTAAATCAGTGATAAATTCACAACTCCTAAAATGTTAGTGGTTCTGATAAAAGTAGTTTATGTTGATTCATGAGTTGATCTGTGTGCCTGGGCTGTGTAATTGTTACAGGCATTTTATGTTAATCAGGCTTTTGATGTGTAAATAGCATGATTTAATCTCAATTTCATCACCAAGAAGCACTGACTTCAATGACCTTGTTTATGTTAAAACTCTTTTCTTATAAACTAGACTTTGAACTGGAACTATAAAAGGAATATCTGAACATCATTAACCTAGTGTTCGGTACCAAAGTTAATGACCATTTATATTATAATCATTAACAAAATAATAGAGTGATCAAGAATATTTTCCTACACCCGTGTGTGGCAACATACACCAGAGCGTAAATAATCTCTGTAAGTTTACTCAGGAAACATGTATCAGGTATATATAAAGAGAAAGATTAATCTACATCATAAGACATGAGAATAGTAAGTACACTAATTAAAAATAAATTAAATAATCCACTTGTATGTTTCCATTAAAACTCCTACATTATCTTTTAAAAATGAGTTTTAGACAAGCAGTTTTGCAGAACAATAAAAACAAAACTAGTGTCCTAACTTTATGAAGATTGCCTTAAATAAATTATTGATGTACCTTGAAATAAGTTTAACACCTTTATATGTTCATGGTAAAATGCACTTTTGTATTTTCACTTATCACTATGGGTTGTTAAGCCCGTATTGTGCATAAATAATCTTGATAAAAATTTTAAGAGAAAATCACATTGTGTGCTAGTGAATCAACAGAAAGGAGATTACTTTAGTCATGCCCTGTAATAACAACTTTATCTTTGTCAAGGGAGAAGCCTTGAAAGTTATTCTTCAGGAAATTGCTCTCGTATCTGTATGTTAATAACAAAAAGAAGAAACATAAAAATTGAATGTGGAAATATAAACCCCCAAAATTATAACAGAATTAAACATGAAGATATTATGCTTCATGCATATTTAAAATTAAACACTAGGTATGTGCTGTATTCTCAATTCTGCTGGCATATTTGCATATTAAATTCTTTTTAGAAACTGGTTCATGAAAACATCACAAGATGTGATACAGGAATTGCTGTATTACAACAAATCATATTACCATAGAACCTCTTGACAGAGTATTACTGTCATTCTAATTTTCTGTTTATTTGCATCTTTGATAATGATTGTGGTGATCTTGTTCTTCAGCAGTTAAACTGGTTTGATTACCAGTATGAACAATGGCATGTTATGAATTGTAAATGTTCCAACCCACTCTGCAGGTGCATCTCTGAGGAATACACATAAATTCTTAGGTTTATATCGAGGATGGTGAGTTATTTTCTTTACCCAACTCCTGTGGGTTCTGATGACCAGCAGGCAGATGATGCGGTTGAGTTGTGGAATCCAATTCCCAGTCAGAAAGCATGTTCCTTAGGTCATAAGTTTTCTTTCTTTTCTTTTCTTTCTTTCCCTTCCTTCCTTTCTCTCTTTATTTCTCTCTTCTCTTTTTCTTTCTTTCTCTTTTTCTTTCTTTCTTTTTCTTTCTTTTCTTTCTTTCCTTCCTTTTCTTTCCTTTCTTTCTTTCTTTTTCTTTCTCTTTCTTTCTTTTGCTTCTTTTTTTCTTCTTTTTTCGCTCTCTCTCTTTCTTTCTTTCTCTCTTTCTTCCTTTCTCTGCCTTCCTTCTTTCCTTCCTTCTTTTCTTCTCTCACAGTGAAGTTCTTCTGCTATTAGGTCATGCAGACAACAGAGATAACAACACAACTGAAATCATCTGAAGCCTCCACCAACTAACCATCATTAAAATAGATTCATTTGTGCTTATGAGATTCTATATCCTTTGAGAGTTTGCATTATTGCCCTCATTTCTGACAATTTAAATACAATCTTAAAATTTTGAATACCATTTATTAAAAAAATAGTAAAAATCAATTTGCTTGGAATGTTTGAAGAGAATATGCTGAATTGATCAGATGCTTAAAAGTAAGCTTAACAAATTTTTAGAAATTGCTGATGCTGATAATTATGCTCACGAGTTTTACTATATGAGACTGAAGAGTGTTAATTATTGCAAAATTACTTAGTTTTAAAATAAGATTTTGAAGTATTTGGAAAAGACTTCATGACAATATTAAACTAATGAATTTTTATGTAATGGTGAAAATGCAAAGGTGCCCAAATTTTGAAATACTAAAAAAGTTTATTACATAGCTATTATTGTTTCTAAAAATCCAAGACCAACTAAAAGAGTCTTCATTTTGTTTTACTTTAATTTAAAATGTTTAGTTACCACCTCTAAATATGCTGATACAGTCGGTCTAGTATGGTGTTCAAAAATCTGAATTTTATTATTTTTGCACATTTTTAAATAAAAGTCAGATAATTTTTTCACCTGGATTGTATGAAGCATTGATATATCAGCTCCTAGTTATGTTTGACTGGGGTTTTGAATGGATAAGGCAAATGCACTTGCAATATGAGTTGGACTTTTTAAATTCCCCCATACAATTTGAATATTTTTATAATATCATCATTTGCAGAGTATAATTTGGGGACTTTTACATGTTCCTGAACAGTAAAACCTGAATTTTCTCTAATAGTATAAGTCACGTAAGTCAAGCATGTACTTTTTTGGGAGTGAGGGTGGGAGTTAGCATCGCTGGTTACTGTGCAGGGAGAAGGGGAGATAACTGATGAAGGTAAGAATGATGAATTACACAAGATAAGTAATCAGGCTTTTTATTTTTAATATAATCTGTCTCAATCCAACTAGATCCCCCATTTGTCACTATTCTCTATATGCCGTCAATCTCAAAGGATATAAATCACCTGTTAATCATGTTGCTTTTTATCACCCCCTAATAGATCTGCATGCATTTCACAGCACAGTAGCCCAGCATGATAGGAATATAAAATCAAGGAACTTTAGGTTGTTATGCTTTCTCAGCTGGTACCTGTAATTGATGCTGTGGTTGCTAGGATGGAATTCATGTTTGCTCCTACCAACATAAGACAATTGGAACAGAAACTGAAGTAATACTACCGTCATAAATACACCTGTCATCTAAAAACCACACCTTTCTTTAAAATCTACACCTAGTTTAACACATTGTTAAGCCACATTGATTATGCAGCTCAGTGTGGTACACCAACATTCCTTTCCCTTGAAATGTACACATTGCCCATAATGATATAGAGTCTGCATATTCAGATTGACTAAGATAGGGTCAAAAACACATTGAGTTAATTTTATCAATTAGGAATTGAACTTAGCTAAGAGAAAACAGTGGTTTACATAATTGTTTTAACTTTTAAGTTCAGGTGTACAAGCACAGATTTGTTACATAGGTAAACATTTGTCATGGGGATTTGTTGTACAGATTATTTCATCACCCAAGTTTAAAGTCAGTACCCATTAGTTATTTTCCTGATCCTCTCCCTCCTCCCACCTTCCACCTGCCAATAGGCCCCTGTGTGTGTTTTTTCCCTCTACGTGTCCATGTGTTCTCATCATGTAGCTCCCACTTATAAGTGAGAACATGAGATATTTGGTTTTCTGTTCTTGCATTAGTCTGCAATGGATAATGGCCTCCATTTCCATCCATGTTTAAAAATTGTTTTATTTGTAGGAACTTCATTTTTTTTTTACTTTTATTTTAGGTTCAAGAATACATATGCAGATTTGTTATACAGGTAAATGCATGTTATGGGGGTTTGTTTTACAGATTATTTCATCACTTGAGTATTAAGCCTAGTATTTTTCTGATCCTCACCTTCCTCCCACTCTCTGTCCTCAAGTTGGCCTCAGTGGCTGTTGTTCCCTCTTTGTATCCAAGTGTTCTCATCATTTAGCTCCCACTTATAAGTGAAAACATGCATTATTTGGTTTCCTGTTTCCACATTAGTTTGCTAAGGATAATGACCTCCAGCTCCATCCATGTTCCTGCATAGGACATGATCTCCTTCTTTTCTATGGTTGTGAAGTAGTCCATGGTGCATATGTCCCACGTTTTCTTTATCCAATCAGCACTGATGGCATTAGGTTGATTCCACACCTTTGTTATTTTGAATAGTGCTGCAATGAACATATGCGTGTGTGTGTCTTTATGGAAGAATGATTTATATTCCTTTGGGTATATACTCAGTAATGGGATTGCTAGGTCGAATTTTCTGTTTTTAGCCCTTTGATTAATTGCCACACTGCTTTCCACAATGTTTGAACTTATGAAAACTCTCATCAACAGTGTACAAGTGTTCCCTTTTCTCTGTAACCTCGCCAGTATCTGTTCTTTTTAATAATAGCCATTGTGACTGGTATGAGATGGTATCTCACTGTGGTTTTGATTTGCATTTCTCTAATGATCAGTGATATTGAGCTTTTCTTCTGAAACTTAATGTTATCAGACTTCAAATTATACTACAGGGCTACAGTAACAAAAACAGCATTGTACTGGCACATAAACAGACACATAGAACAATGGAACAGAATACAGAGCCCGGAAATAAGGCTGCCCACCTACAACCATCTGCTCTTCAACAAAGCTGACAAAAACAAGCAATGCAGAAAAAAGTTTCTGTTGAAGAAATGGTGCTTGGGTGACTGGCTAGCCATATGCAGAAAATTGAAACTGGACCCTTCCTTACACCATATACAAAAATCAACTCAAGATGGATTAAAAACTATAACACCCAAAGCTATAAAAACGGTAGAAGACAACCTAAGCAATACAATTCAGGACATAGCAATGTGCAAAAATCTCATGATGAAGATGCCAAGAGCAATTGCAACAAAAGCAAAAATCAACAAATGGGTTCTAATTAAACTTAAGAGCTTCTGCACAGCAAAAGAAAACTATTGACAGAGTAAACAGACAACCTACAGCATGGGAGAAAATATTTGCAATCTTTGTATATAACAAAGTCTAGTGTCTAGCATTTATAAGGAACTTAAACAAATTTACAATAAAAAAATCCAAAATGGGCAAAGGACATGAACAGACGCTTTTCTAAAGGAAACATACATGTAACCAAAAAGCATATTTAGAAAAATTTTAAAAAGGAAATCTAGGATGGATGCTGTGGCATCAAGATACTTTCAAAGCAAATCAGTCCCTTTTACCATCATTTGCATCTGTTCATTTGTTATATCCTCATTTTTATATTTGAAAGGTGGCAGCCAGAAATCCAGCCATAAAGTTGATATTTCGTAAGAAAGATGGTAAAACACAAATGAGGCTCATGTCAAATCAATACATTCCCCTTAAAAGGCTCCCAGGAACATCTTCCTTTATCTTATTGGTAAAAAATTGTGTTACATGACACTAGCTGCTGCAAAGAAAGTTGCAGAAATTTTTGCGGGGGTGTAGGGGGAGGCTATTAATGCCAAAGGGAAAGCAAGTTCTATACTTAGGAGAGAAGAAAGAATGGATGTGGCAGTGGCCCTTGCTGTTTTGTTACATTTATTAGAGTGAGGAAAGCCAGCTTTTAACAACTTGTTTAACTGTGAAAAAAAAAAGGATGCCATAATTAGATGTAATAAATTTCAAAATCAGTAAGATTTTTGACTGGGATGCTGATAGCATCATAGCCAGAAAAGGGTAAAGAAGACTAAAATGTATCCTTACCCTCCTGTCCCTTTGGTTTCACTAGAATGTCATCCACTTCCACAGTTACAGCTAATTTTTTGTTTTTGTTTTTTTTTTTTGAGATGGAGTCTTGCGCTGTTGCCCAGGCTAGAGTGCAGTGGTGCGATCTCCTCTCATTATAGCCTCCGCCTCCCGGTTTCAAGCAATTCTCCTGCCTCAGCCTCCCGAGTAGCTGGGACTACAAGCGCATGCCACCACGCATGGCAAATTTTTGTATTTTTAGTAGAGACGGGGTTTCACCATGTTGGCCAGGCTGGTCTTGATCTCCTGACCTCGTGCTCTGCCCGCCTTGGGCTCCCAAAGTGCTGGGATTACAAGCGTGAACCACCGCACCTGGCCAACAGCTAAATTTTTTTTTATTGATAACTCTCAGATACATAAATGATATGTTTTTCTCCTCTCATTCATTATCATAGAAACATAGACACACTAAATATCCTAAAGCTGACCAATTTATATCAATATGTCCCAAACTGATTTTTTTCTGATTTGTTAATTTCTGTTCATGCCTTGCCCATTATCTCTCAAGCAAAATTAAAACCCACTTAATTAACTTTTATTCGGTGTTCTTCTTCATTTATCTCACCCAACTGGCACTCAATATTGTAGTTCTCCATTTCCAACATTTATTTCTAATAATCTTTTCATCTACTCTTACTACCACTATCCCCATTCATATCCTGGATGATTCAAGAGAAAGCTGTTTCCTCAACATTTTCTCTATCCTTTGTAGCATTCTTTTTACAAACAATGCACAGATCTTGTGAAAACCTTGTTACAATCACATCGGTCTCTTAATGAAAATCATTAAAGAATCACGATACCTAATAAAGTGGAAACACCTTAAGGAGATTTCCAGACTCTTAATCAAATATCACCCCATTTACTTTGTCAGTTGTATTTCTTTTTATTTTATTTTATTTTTGAGACAGAGTCTCACTCCGTCTCCCAGGCTGGAGTGCAGTGGCAACATCTTGGCTCACTGCAACCTCTGCCTCCCGGGTTCAAGCAATTATCCACCTCAGTCTCCCGAGTAGCTCGGATTACAGGTGCCTGCCACAGTGCCTGGCTAATTTTTGTATTTTTAGTAGAGACGGGGTTTCACCATCTTGGCCAGGCTGGTCTGGAACTCCTGACCTTGTGATCCACCCACCTCAGCCTCCCAAAGTGCTGGGATTACAGGCGTGAGCCACCGTGCCCGGCGTACCAGTCGAATTTCTTAACTTTCCATTGTGTAACATAGTTGAGCTAACAGACTACTTATTCACCCAAGGGAAAAAAAGCAAAACAAAAATACCTTTCCCTTACATCTGGACTTTTGCTTACACCCTAGGAAACACTTCTTAGGTATCTGTTGACATTGTATTTATCTTCAATTTCAAATTCAAATTAAGCTTTCTTAACAATTTTTGTCTAATTCAGCTGATTGTAATTTCTCTTTCTCTCTCTCTCTCTTTTGTTTTTTTTTGTGTGTGTATGTGTGTGTGTGTGTTTTTCTTCATGCAGGACAGGTTCCCAGATGGCCACAACCAGCCTAGCTCTTTCCCCTCCTTTCTTGTTTGTACTTCTCAGAATAATGTAGAGTGTTCTAGGAATGCGACATCCGGATGTACGGAGGAACTATTTGGAACAGCCTGGGCTCTGTTCTGTCCTTAGAACGGGATACAGCTCAACACTGTAGCTCAATGAATTCAGTGACCCCTGGGCATAAAACCCACAGCTCATTGCTTTTGGGGTCTCTTAGCTGTGGTACAACATGGAGCACATGCAGACAAGAGTCCATTTACCCTGGGAAGTTCTCCTGAGCCTTGCAGGATCAGCTTGCCATAAATCCTAGGCTTCCATTGCCACTTGTTACCTATCTGTGAGTAATAAAGTTGTTTCGCTTAACCTGGTGTGTGAACGTTCTGTCTTACCAGGCTGGTTCAAATAGTAAAAATTGCAAATCAATAACCAAGGCGTGGTAAGCTGGCTTAGCACACAGTAGTCCTTAATTTTTTTTTACCACTTTTAAACCACTTAATTTAGTAGCCCTGTTTTTCATGTAACTTGATATGGTTTTATATTCTCTTCTGGATTACGTAGTTAAGGGAATACTAATTATTAATGTGTCTCCTGATATGCTAATCACAGTATAGAAATGTGACCCAGTTATATGTCCAGGAAAAAATATGGGTATTTATATGTTGTGAATGAGATCTGCTCTGTGCCATCGTGCATAGGATGAAGGTTTAATATCAGAGGCCAATATTTATTTTCAAACCACTAAAAGATTACCTTTATGTAATTTACATCACTGCTATTCAAACTTTAATGTCTATATGAACCACTTAGGAGTCTTATTAAAAATTCAGATTCTAATGCAGTAGTTATTTGATAGAGCCCAATATTCTGCATTTCTTACAAGCTTCCCAGAGATGTAGATGCTATGGACCCTCAAACTAAACATAGAGAAGAAGGGAAATAAATAAAGGAACAGTTCAGGAGGACATTTAAAATATCTTTTTCTATGCCTAATCTATAAATAGAATACTAATAACAACAATATTTACTTTATGCTGTTGTAGATATTAAATGAGATTATAGGTAAGAAAGTGTTTTAGAAACATAAATGTGTAATTCCTTTAATCAATATATCTATGTAAAAGTAAATATTTTTTTTCTTGGGAAGACTGAATTACATATGTTGAAACATAAACATAGAACTTGTTGATAAACAAATCGCATATACCATTAACGTAACCATCTAATAATAATATTCCTGTTATTTTTAAGACTTTCTGAAGATACTTTCACTTTGAATTTCTGATCCTAATTTTTGCCCTCTGAAGTCCTTACAAAGATATGAACCAATTAGTTTACAGCCTGAACCTTAGACACTATTGTTCCTAAAACTATTCTAAATTACTCTGCAAATTTCTAATTTGTTTGGGCTTTGCAACAACTTTGAAAACTCACATTTTGTTTCTAAAACTATTCTAAATTACTATAAATTTCTGTTATTTGGGCTTTGGAACAACTCTGAAAACTCACACGCAATACAGAGCAAGATCTACAGAGCTAAAAAGAGAGTTTAAATACATGGATCATTGTCAGTTTGTCAAACCAGCCAAGCCATTTAGCAATTAGCAGCCGTAGTCACAAAATGCCAACTAAATCCAGAAGCATGTTCCTCTCATCAAACAGTCCAATTGTTTGTATTGATGCAATGCTTAGTCATAGACCAGGTGCTCTGTGCTTTAAATATGAATTCATTTTCTGAAATTAAGTCTGAAAACCTAATGAAAAAAGCTGGCTGTAATTGCCAGGATACATTACATCATGACAATAGTTATAAATGATTCAAACAGCAATTAAATATGCCTCTTACTTGTTTGACATGGGTTGTCGGAAGAAATTCCTTTAGTTCAGTTTACTTTTAGTATTTTACAGCTGCATTTCTCTGGAATATAGAGCCCATTTCCACAACTAAAAGGCCAATAGATTTTCTTTATGTAACACTCCAGTGCACTGCCTAACCTCAGTAGGGATAAGCATTTACCCTATTTAAAAAAAAGTTATTTCAAAAAACCCCTCTGACATTGCAATGAAAAGTGTAGTAATTGTTGGTAAAGATGATTTCTGTTTTTTCTTTTTCACTGTATTAAATGTTTCTCTGTAGCACAGCATGGTGACTTTTGTAACCTTTACAATGTTAAAATGAGCCATTCACTGTTTACTAGAGCATTTCTTTTGTAAGGTAAATGTATTCAATTGATTGAATTCTGGTAAGCAGTGAATTCATCCACAAAAGTAAGAAGTTTATTTGTTCAATTTTGCATTTCAAATAAATTTTATGCTTTGAACAACTATTCCTTTAACATATTTTTATGTTTATTTTAAATGAAGATACATAGAACATTAGGTTCTTTATTTAATGACATATTGGTTAGTCATTTGATGAATGAAAAAAATTATAATGTAGCACGAGTTCAAGTTGGTATGTATTATTAAGTGATAAAGATTTTTATCAAATTGTAATATAGTGTTCTGTTCTCATACTTTGGTATTCTTAAGAATAGTTGATTTATATTTTTAACATACACACGTACACACATAAATGTGCTTATTCAGTCATTCTCTTCTGATTTACTGGACATTTCAAGCAAAATTACAAAGTACTTTCTTTGCCATGTAAATTCTGGAATGTTAGAAAAAAATGATTATATTCAATAGGTTATTTTTGTTTCTGCTATTAAAACTAAAGTATACGTACACTTTAAAGTGATCATATTTATTATGATTTAACACCGTATGCATTTGAGCTCGTGATCAGCTGATATGGTCCTAAAATATTTAGTACTACGTCTTGAAGTTCAGCATTTAATTCCAAATTTATTACTATATAGGCTAAAGGACAGTTTGGCAGCTAGGATAAATTAGTTGTATTACCTAATTATTTTTCACTATTTTATAAGTTATTTCTGAAAGAAAAATGCTATGATTTTTTGTGATTATAAGGTACTAAAATAGAGTATTACATATTCTGTATGTATTTTTTTGTTTTTCAAATCACTAAGGGAGGGGGTTTAAACCTTTCATGGATATGCCATTAGTTTCATTGGATCTATAATGTGAGGGCAGTGGTGGCTGCTATTTCAGTGAATCAATAAAGTTAAACAACATGCTTCAAATGTCTTGATCTTATTATTTGTTAAACTTTTTATTAGATCAGTGTTTTGGAGTCTCAGTGACAGTCGTGCACATTATGTTATGTGTGTGAAAAAACAGAATCATGAGTAATAAAACATTGTTTTAGAAAAGTTGCCTCCATGATTCTACTTACTATTATACTGTTTGCTATAAAATCAATTTAATAAAAAGTATCTACACAGTGTTTACATTTTTGAACTCAGAAAAATAATAGTGAGAATTTGTACACTTAAGGTCAACTTACCACATGGACATCTGAAATTCTCTTGGGGAGTCTACAGGAAATAGAAAACAATAATAGTGCAACAATGACCTACGAGGATAGTAATTATATCAGCCTGCCTTAAGGAGCGCACTCAACTTCAACACTATCAGTCTGAAAGTTCCCTCCCGTTGGAACTCACAGTAATAAACGAGTCCATTTGTATTAAAACATTTAATTCCTGACACAATGGAAATAGGAACAGAGACATAAACATTAATTCAATTATTGACAGGATATTTTGGAAATGAAATAATAAAAATAATTGCAAGCTGCCAGATGAAGAATCAGATAAACAAATAGCAATATTTACTAAGCACTTCTTATGGGCCAGAAACCTTTATATGGTTGGAACAAGGCAATATGAGATATTACTTTGTTATCAGGAGACCTAGGGCAAGTAATGCATGGAAAACATCATAACAATGGAGTGTTTTTGAAGAATAGAGAAGATGGAAGCTAACAGATCATAAATCTTAATAGTTTTGATATGAAAAGAATATACGAGGCAGCCTGGACAGTACACATATTCTGAATTATTGAAGTTTGTTGTTCTGTTAATGTCTATCACTTTGTGGATAGAAGAACCTCATTTGCAGTTGTGGACTTCAGGGTCTGAATTAGACACCCAGCATTTTCATAAGGAGAGGATTAAAAGGATGTATTTTCAAGTCTGAAATCCCTTGTTTAGAATTTGGCTCTCCTCCCCATAGTTGATAATACTAGGTAAGTTGTTAACTCCTTTAAGACTTGCTTTACTCTGAAGTAAAATACACATAATAATACTTATGAGTTTTTTTTAGATTAAATGAATTGACTTATAAATCACTTTGATTGGTTAGGGGCTCAAAAAATAGTAGTCAAAAAACAAATTGATAATTTCTTTTCAAACACATAACATTGAGAAGGTTAGACATTCTTGTGGAATGAAACACTGATCCCATTAGGATCAAACAATATATATGCATTTTGAAACAGAAGGAGGTATAACATCACCAAGATGGCAGAGTAGGAGATACCAACCTTCAACCCCCTTAAATACACACACACACACACACACACACACACACACACGTACATACACACATAAACACACACAGAGCTATCCTCAAACCAAAATAACCTTGAGAGAGCTCAAAGTCCTATTAAAGAATCTTCTGTAACACACACAGTGGAGCAAATCACCAGAGAATATCTACATAGATATGATTTCTGGCTATATTGGCATACCTGAGATGCTAGAAAATGGATAGGAAGAAAGAAGAAAGTCAGAGGCTATTGGTGTCAGCCACACAGCAGGTACCACCATAGTTCTTGGCAGCCTGCTCTGCAAAAGACACCAGCATCTTCTGCCACTAAGTTAACCAACAGCTATTCCTGCCAAGGAACCTCAGGCATCTTTTCCAAACTCCCTAAGAAGCAGACACTGTTCAGCCTCACTTTGGGTAAGGAGCTGCCATCTCTCCCAGCCCCACTTGGGCCCAATCCCAAAGCCGTGGCTACCTCTTGAGTGCTTACACTCCAGACCTGGGCTCGGCAAACACCCACATTTCTGAAACCAGAGCCATCAATATGGTGAGGGAGCTAGTTATCAACCCAGGCCTGAAACCAAGGTCTCTCTGAGCATGCCTGTGCTCCAGGCACCAGCTCAGCTACTGTGAAGAACTAAAATCCACCCCAACACCAGAGTCACTGTAACTCTGCACATAACTATGCTCCTGCTCTTGGCTCCCTGGCTGCTTCATAAGCATATGCACATCACATATAGTTACGAACATGGCAGTGGGGCTGCGTGTACCCTGGACACCAGGGCTATTATCACTGCAGATCCGAGCCATAGTTTCCTCTACTTATACCATAGTTCAGACTGTAGCTGTGTGACCACTCCATACATGCTACTCATCACACACTGGTAACACCACTACTGCAAGTGGACTTGCACGCCGGACCTACTGCCAAGAGGGATCCCCTCAGCCACAACTACCTTGGTGGGAGAATAAGAGATCAGGAGGACCACAGCAGTCATCACCACTGAAGACTCTAACAACCTTTGCCACCACTGAGAACACAGGATGAGAATCAATTCAAAATAAATCAAAGACTTAAATGTAAACTGAAACTGTAACACTACTAGAATACTTAGGTGAAAAGCTCCATGACCTTGGGCTGGGCAATGATTTTATGGATAAATCCTCGAAAGCACAGGGAACAAAAGCCAAAAATACACACATGGGATTTTATTAAGCTAAAAAACTTCTGCATATTCAAGAAAACAATCAACAGAGTGAAGAGAAAAACCTATGGAATGGTAGGATATATTTTCAAATCATACATCTGAATAGGGGCAACTATCTAAGATATATATAAGGAACTCAAACATCTCAAAATCAAGCAAACAAAGAAGCTGATTTAAATACGGGCAAAGAGCTGGCCATGGTAGCTTATGCTAATCCCAGAACTTTAGAAGGCTGAGATGGGAGGATTGCTTGAGGGCAGGAGTTTGAGACCAATCTGGGCAACATAGCAAGACTCTGTCTCCACAAAAAATAATTTAAAAAAAGCTAAGTGTGGTGGTATGCTGTAGTCTTAGCTACTGAGGAGGACGTAGCAGGAGGATTGCTTGAGCCCAGGAGTTCAAGGCTAATATTTTAGAGGTTTATTTGGAGTACATCACAAGTTCAGTTAAGATTTAGTGATGCAATACATGAAAGTTATCTGACATTTCTGTCATTATATTCATATATGCTATTGAGATTCTTAGAGATGGCTTCTCTGCAGCCATCACAAAGTGGAATATTATTACTTAATTCACAATGTTTGTAAAAATGAAAAAATCAAATTTCTAAAGGTAAAAATACTAAGGACTGTGTTAAGTTTTTCAAAGAATATATATTAAGGTTATAAACAATGCTGCTTAATTATTACAATAAAAACCACAAAAGTGAATTTTATATATTATTTCTTAGTATGGCCCTCAAAATAATGTGTATGTGAGTAAAAATAATTCCAAAAGGACCCTAAGTCGATTGATAAGAGCATGTAGCTGTGTGGCTAAAAATTGAAGACCTATGGGTTACAGTCCTCTTCATTGTTTAGCCTGTTCACAAAGTTTAAAGTTAACTTCCAAAACTTGAATTCATAGGGCCTTTAAATTGATATCTAGGTTTTAATTTTTTTTCAAAAACAAAAGATAAGACAATATTTAGCCTTCATTCCCACTTAGCAAGTGGTTATCATTTCTAAACAACTGCTGCCTCTGTAGCTAAGATGTTAACAGTCCAGTTTCACTGTCTTATATTTCATTGTCTTACATTCTGCCTGTTCCTTGTAATCAAGATTTCTGTCTGAATCTTATACTGAAATTTCCTCACTTTAAGAAAAAACTTCGGCATTGTAAGACATAAATTTGACTTTACATTTTTCAAAATTGTTCTTTACACTTTGTTGAACTTTTGTATAACCTGAGGAAGTACATATTTAGAGGGTTTCTTTCAGTCAAATAACTTACTCATATGATCCAAATAAATTTATGGTCAAATGATCTCTATTCTGGATTGATATCATTTTCTGAATCAAAAGACGTGTGCCTTAACATAAAGCCGATTCATCACGTAGGCAAGTATGACCCTGTCAGGGAATTAGTATGGATACCAAAGACAGAGTAGTCCATGTCTTTATGTAGTTTAAATTTTGGTGGTGAGACCAAAAATGAGTAAGTTAAAAAAAGATGTTCTTCTAATTTAAAATAACAAATGCAATTTTAAAAAATTCAAGGTAGGAACATGAAATGATGATACATGGGAGATGTGTATTGCAGCAACAAATGCATGTGGAAAATGCTCTCAGATGACACAACTTGTAAGCCGTGATGTGTAGGGATGTCAGGGGCCAGCCTTGTGGCAGTACTGGAGGAGTAAGAGCATCACAGAAAAAGCTGTCAGGGTAACTTGATATTACCCAGCTGAAGAACCAGTCCTGCTATAAACAGTCTTGTTTTTGTTCCTTTCACTTGAAAGTCTTCTCCACAATTTGACACAACACATAAAAATCAATGACAGAAATAGGATGACTCATTCATGAATACTCTTCATACAGAATATGTAAAATTTCTCAAATTATTCATGGAAAAATACTGACATATTATTTTAGGTGAACAAGTTGAGTAATGGAATATAACAGTGAATAACTTAGGAGAGGATGTCACCATTTAACACTGGTTACATCACATTCTGCAATTACCAATAATTATTACCATCCAAACATAATGGCAGACATAAAACAGTAACCATTATGTGTCTGGAGTTGGTTCCGTCTGGTGGGTTATTGGTCTTGCTGACTTCGAGAACGAAGCCACCGACCCTCACAGAGTGTTACAGTTCCTAAAGATGGTGGGCCCGGAGTTTGTTCCTTCCAATGTTCACGTGTCCACAGTTTTTTCCTTCCCGTGGGTTCGTGGTCTCGCTTGACTTCAGGATTGAAGCCTCCGACCTTCACAGTGAGTGTTACACTTCTTAAAAGTAGCCCATCTGGAGTTCTTACTTCTTTCCCATGGGCTCGTGAGCTCGCTGACTTAAGAAGTGAAGCCACAGACCTTGCGGACCTTCGCAGTGACTGTTACAGCTCTTAAAGGTAGCACATCTGGAGTTGTTTAATCCTTCCGGTGGGGTTGTGGTCTCGTTGGCTTCAGGAGTAAAGCTGCAGACCTTTGCAGTGAGTGTTACAGCTCATAACGGTAGTGCAAACCCAAACAGTGAGCAGCAGCAAGATTTATTGTGAAGAGCAAAACAACAAAGCTTCCACAACATTGAACGCCACTGGCTTGCCGCTGCTAGCTCAGGTGGCCAGCTTTTATTCCCTTATTTGGCTCCGCCCATGTTCTGCTCATTGGTCCATTTTACAGAGCACTGATTGGTCCATTTTACAGAGTGCTGATTGGTCCGTTTTTACAGAGTGCTGATTGATGCATTTACAAACCTTTAGCTAGACACAGAGTGCTGATTGG
Organism: Homo sapiens; assembly: GCF_000001405.40. NCBI lineage: Eukaryota > Metazoa > Chordata > Mammalia > Primates > Hominidae > Homo > Homo sapiens. Next base: position 21,845,111 of record NC_000021.9, on the reverse strand, counting down.
TGCGTTTTTACAGAGTGCCCATTGGTGCATTTACAAACCTTTAGCTGGACACAGAGCACTGATTGGTGTGTTTACAATCCTTTAGGTAGACAGAAGAGTTCTCCAAGTCCCCACCCCACCCAGAAGCCCAGCCGGCTTCACCTCTCAGTTATGGATTATAATCTCAAATTATTTCACAGCATTGTCAAGTGGAAAATCCAGGTACCAAGATGATATTGTATGAAATCAGTGCTGTATTTCTTTATTGTTTTAATAGATGTTAATTGAGTGGCTATTACACGCAATGTTCCCAAATAATGGCCAGGAAGGGGCAAGAAGTGATAGGAATAATATCCAAGTTTCTGTTTTTGGTTAGTTGGTAGTGCCAGTCTACAAAATTCAGTAGAAAGAATAAATCTGAGGGGTGAGTAGTCAAGGGAGAGAGATGTAAACAAGTCTTAACTAGGCTTTTCTGGTTACTTTTTTCTGCCATTGACCTGGTGAAGGACAGAGTGACAGCATTCTTGTAAGGTAAGAGCTTACATAAACTGCAGATATTTTAATTAACGTTTCTTTATTAATGGATTATGGGAGGAGAATGTGAACCGGCAAAATGTTTTGGATAGCTATTTAACATAATAAATCTATCAGCCAAGTGGGATCGGACATTGGAGAAGGATGCTGGGTGTGAAGAATGCGGGGTACTGCAACATCTTAGCCTGACAACCTCAACAAACTCTGATGTTAAAACACCTTCAAGTATTTCTTTATAATTACACTAGATATTATAGAAATTAAAAGGTTGCACAATCTTTTTCTTATATTATCATTATTTTATTATTCAAGTCCATTTCAAAGCTCAAAGAAAATAACATATAACATTATGATAAACAGAATAAAGTTACAAACCACTTTAAACCTAAAAATGGAAAATTATGCTAAAGATTTCATAAAATTGATTTTTTAGTTTGTTGAAGTTGTCGATGATTATGGAATTCATAAATATTAAGAAGTTATGCCTAACACTAAAGCCTCTTCTCTTACCAGTAAATCAGGTATTAGACTTTTTTTTCGTTTTATGTCACTCATAAAAGGGCACAGTAGAATTTATGAAGAAATTATACATCTTCAAAAATTATAAAAGGGCACTGTTTATCAAACTTCATGTTTCGGTTTCTGTCCCTCTCTCTCTCGCTCCCATTGTACGTTTCTGAGAAACACAAATAAATTTTGACTAGTTGGATCAGTAGCATTGTATTTTAATATATTCAATTAATTCTGCAGCTGGGCTCTCAGGTTAGGCAGTTTTGGCAAAGATTCTCTAGCTTATCTCAAATTTCATTGCTGAAGCTGATATAAATGTGATGTTCTACAAATTCCTAACAAATTCCTGAAGGCCAGTTTTAAAATAAAGGTGTTAGCCAGGCACAGTGGCTCATGCCTATAATCCTAACACTTTGGGAGTCTGAGGCAGGCAGATTGCCTGAGGTTTGGAGTTTGAGATCAGCCTGGCTAAGATGATAAAACCACATCTCTACTAAAAATAACGAAAAAGAGCCAGCGTGTTGGCGCACACCTGTAGTCCCAGCTAGGAGGGAGGCTGAGGCAGGAGAATCACTTGAACTCAGGAGGCCAGAGGTTGCAATGAGCAGAGATTGCACCACTGCACTTCAGCCTGGGCGACAGAGCAAGGCTCTGTCTCAAAAAATTAAATAAATAAATAAATAAGGTGCTAAATATATGTTTCAAACTACTGTATTTTTCTGTTATATAACAAATAGATTATCAATAAAATTAAATAATATTTAGTAATATTACATTTGTGTTTCAGGCCATGAATGTTGAATGTATCAAACATCAAGAAAATGAGATGTATTTATCTGATTTGCTATCTGTCTTATCTTGGAAATGTACCCCAATCTTAGTTGTCACATTTACTTAGATTCTTCTTGGCTATTTCTCAGATTTTCCTTGTTTTCAATGACCTAGCAGTTTTGAGAAGTACATGTCTGGTATTTTGCAGACTGTCAACCAATTACTTTTGTCTGACATTTTTCTCATTAAACTGGGATTATGGGTTTGGAGAGGAAGATCTTAAAGGCAAATTTCAATTTCTATCACATCATTTCCAGAATACATGCTACCAACATGACTTATCACTGACCATGCTAATCTTGATCACCTAGCTGAGGTAGTTTTTGTCAGGCCTCTATACAGTGAAGTTACTCTATTTTAAAATAATACTCTAAAATAAAGTTCTATTTACTATTTTAGAGAATAGGATAATGAATATTAGCAGTAACATGCACATTAAATTTAACATTTGACCTATACTTCTATATATTCCTCAATACTGGAACTTATTTTTATAATAATTTATACTTGCATGACATAGAAATTATGCAATTTACTAGGGATGAGTATTCAAGTTCTTCTGTGAGTCTCTTGTCACTCTATGTAAAGGCTGAATAACCAAACATGTAATTTACTAAGTATTACATTCTGTTATTCTATGTTACTATATTCAACCAAGTGAAATTTATTTCATAACAAAAACTAAAATTTCAACTACCACACGATCCATTAATTCCACTACTAGGTAGATAGATACAGCACTATTCACAATAACCAATATTTGACATCAACCTAAGTGCTTATCAGTGGAACAATAGATAAAGTAAATGTTTTATATATTCACAATGGAATATTATTCAGCCATAAAAAGTATAATTCTGTCATTTTAAGCAACATGGATGGAACTGGAGGTCATAAGCTCATTAGGTTAAGTGAAATAAGCCAAGCACAGAAAAACAAATATCAGATGTTCTCACTCATATGTGGGAGCTAACAAAGTGGGTTTCATGAAAATGTTAGATTGGTGATTACCAGAAGCCAGGAAGGATAGAGGGGAGCAGAGGATCAAGAGAGGTCGATTAATGGGTACAAATATACAGTTAGAAGAAATGAGACCTATGTTCAATGGATCAGTAGGGTAACTATAGTTAACATTAACAATACATTTCAAATAACTGAAAGAGAATATTTTGAATGTTCCTAGAATAAATAAAAGATATATGTGTTGGGAATTCTTTAATTTCTTTAAAATGGCTTTGGATTCTTTATGTGTTGTGTAATCTTATTTTTCTTAAGTGTTTTTGGCTTGGGTACTGCCAAATTTTATCTGCCAAAAAGTAAAATCTAATGATTATGCCATTTCACTTTTATTCCCTGTGTCAAATGATAAGCAATTTCAAAGCCAACAGATATATTTTAAAAATTACAATTCAACAAATAAAATATAGAATTATAAGCCAAAAATAAAGTCATCTTAACAAAATAATGCATCTTAGATCATTTTATAAGGGAATTAGCTGCTCCCATTATCCTGAGTCTGACTTGTACAACAAAACGTGATCCTAAATTTATAATTATTACAAAGTTGTGCCTTTCCTATGTAAAGCAATCAGTTCACAAAAATACATAATTCGTCATACACAGACAAGAATAGTCAGCCTTATAACGAAAATTAAAAAAACAAAAAAACAAAACAAAAAAAAACAGGCCGGGCGTGGTGGCTCACGCCTGTAATCCCAGCACTTTGGGAGGATGAGGTGGGTGGATCATGAGGTTAAGAGATCGAGACCATCCTGGCCAACATAGTGAAACCCCCATCTCTACTAAAAATACAAAAATTAGCTGGGTGTGGTGGAGCACATCTGTATTCCCAGCTACTCGGGAGGCTGAGGCAGGAGAATGACTTGAACCAAGGAGGCGTAGGTTGCAGTGAGCCAAGATTGTGCCACTGCACTCCAGCCTGGTGACAGAGCAAGACTCTGTCTCAAAAAACAACAACAAAAAAACAAAATAAACAAAAAACAGAAAAATATAAAATATGTATGTATATTTATGTGTATTTGCATATATTAACATATACATATTTATATATTTGGTATTAAAAACAGTGAATTTGTTAAAGAGCTCATTAAATGAGGCTTAATTGAAAATTAGTGAACTGTAAGATTAAGCTAAAATTACATAGAATATCATGTGGATGCCTAAAAACATGAGAAGATAAAATAGAAGCTAAGAAATAGGAAATATTAAATGAAAATAAGATGCATTAGATTTGAATTTTGGTTGTATAATATATCCAGACATTGCGGATACGTGGCTGTATCTGCTTCATTCCACCTCATTAAGCATCAAGTTTATATACGATCCATCATTGCCTTTTTGCAGTCTTTGCTCAGAGCAAGAAAAGTATCCCAGACCTTGATTTCAAGAGGTCAGCAAGATCTCACATCATAGGTCAAACTTTTCATTCCTATTACTCACAGAGTTCTAATTTCTTTCTCCGCTTGTTTTTTGACTTTGAAACTAGCGATCTTGCATATTTAATTTAAACACACTTATTGCTTTGTGTTTATAGTCTTTCTAGTCTTAGAAGATGTTTTGAGGAAAACTTAGCAAAGGGCTCATGAGGAAATATATATTCACTCTCTGGGAATACATGAGTGTTTCAAAATAAAATTTTGTTAAAAATGAAAAAGAAGTAAATATATTTTTTCATATACAAATGCTGGAATAATTCAGTATTAACAAACACACACTACAAGAAATGTTAAAACAAGTGTAAGTGTCAAGCAGAAGAAATATGATACCAGATGAAAATATGAGATAACCCTTAAGGAATAAAAAGCACCAGAAATTATAACTACAGGGATAAATATATGAGTTGCATGCCTTAAATCTCTTTAAAAGGTAATTGACAGCTTAAAATATTGTGGAGTTTATAGCACATATATGTCAAATACATATATATATATATCTCTCACACACACACATATAATACACACACATACACATACACATACACATTCACACATCCAGTAGTTGATCCTTGAGCAACACAGGTTTAAACTACGTAGATCTACTTATACACAGGTTTTCTTCTGGCTCTTCCACCCCTGAAACAGTAAGAACAACTCCTCTTTTTCCTCCTCTTTAGCCTTCAAATTGAAGACAAAAAGAATGAAGATCTTTATGATGATCCACTTCCACTTAATGAATAGTAAATGCATTCTCTTTTTCTTCTAATTTTCTTCATAATGCTTTTCTTTCTCTAGTTTACTTTATTGTAAGACTACAGTAACATATAACATATAACATACACAATATGTGGTAATTGACTATGTTATTGGTCAGGCTTCCTGTCAACAGTAGGGTATTAGTAGTTAAGTTTTTAGAAAATCAAAAGTTATAAGGAGATTTTTAACTGCATGGGGATTGACACTCCTAATCTCTGTGTTTTTCAAGGATCAACTGTATATGTCAAATGTATAACAACATTTTCATAAAGACCTAGAAGGTAGAAAGGAAAGTACAGTAAATCCTCACCTAATCTCATTGATATGTTCTTGAAAAGTGAGTGTGTCTTTAACATAAACTATATATAAGGAAACCAACTTTTATCCTCATCAATATTGTAATGAAACTATACTGAATTAAATGACATTATTCAAGCATTTTCTGCATGTTGTTTCATATGAAGTCAGTTTTTTTAATTATTATTATACTTTAAGTTTTAGGGTACATGTGCACAATGTGCAGGTTAGTTACATATGTATACGTGTGCCATGCTGGTGTGCTGCACCCATTAACTCGTCATTTAGCATTAGGTATATTTCCTAATGCTAACCCTCCCCCGCTCCCCCCACCCCACAACAGTCCCCAGAGTGTGATGTTCCCCTTCTTGTGTCCATGTGTTCTCATTGTTCAATTCCCATCTATGAGTGAGACCATGCGGTGTTTGGTTTTTTGTCCTTGCGATAGTTTACTGAGAATGATGATTTCCAATTTCATCCATGTCCCTACAAAGGACATGAACTCATCATTTTTTATGGCTGCATAGGATTCCATGCTGTATATGTGCCACATTTTCTTAATCCAGTCTATCATTGTTGGACATTTGGGTTGGTTCCAAGTCTTTGCTATTGGGAATAGTGCCGCAATAAACATACGTGTGCATGTGTCTTTATAACAGCATGATTTATAGTCCTTTGGGTATATACTCAGTAATGGGATGGCTGGGTCAAATGGTATTTCTAGTTCTAGATCCCTGAGGAATCACCACACTGACTTCCACAATGGTTGAACTAGTTTACAGTCCCACCAACAGTGTAAAAGTGTTCCTATTTCTCCACATTCTCTCCAGCACCTGTTGTTTCCTGAGTTTTTAATGATCGCCATTCTAACTGGTGTGAGATGGTATCTCATTGTGGTTTTGATTTGCATTTCTCTGATGGCCAGTGATGATGAGCATTTTTTCATGTGTCTTTTGGCTGCATAAATGTCTTCTTTTGAGAAGTGTCTGTTCATATCCTTTGCCCAGTTTTTGATGGGTTTGTTTGTTTTTTTCTTGTAAATTTGTTTGAGTTCATTGTAGATTCTGGATATTAGCCCTTTGTCAGATGAGTAGGTTGCAAAAATTTTCTCCCATTTTGTAGGTTGCCTGTTCACTCTGATGGTAGTTTCTTTTGCTGTGCAGAAGCTCTTTAGTTCAGTTAGATCCCATTTGTCAATTTTGGCTTTTGTTGCCATTGCTTTTGGTGTTTTAGACATGAAGTCCTTGCCCATGCCTATGTCCTGAATGGTAATGCCTAGGTTTTCTTCTAGGGTTTTTATGGTTTTAGGTCTAACATTTAAGTCTTTAATCCATCTTGAATTAAACAAATGGAAGAACATTCCATGCTCATGGGTAGGAAGAATCAATATCGTGAAAATGGCCATACTGCCCAAGGTAATTTATAGATTCAGTGCCATCCCCATCAAGCTACCAACGACTTTCTTCACAGAACTGGAAAAAACTACTTTAAAGTTCATATGGAACCAAAAAAGAGCCCGCATCGCCAAGTCAATCCTAAGCCAAAAGAACAAAGCTGGAGGCATCACGTTACCTGACTTCAAACTATACTACAAGGCTACAGTAACCAAAACAGCATGGTGCTGGTACCAAAACAGAGATATAGATCAATGGAACAGAACAGAGCCCTCAGAAATAATGCCGCATATCTACAACTATCTGATCTTTGACAAACCTGAGAAAAACAAGCAATGGGGAAAGGATTCCCTATTTAATAAATGTGCTGGGAAAACTGGCTAGCCATATGTAGAAAGCTGAAACTGGATCCCTTCCTTACACTTTATACAAAAATTACTTCAAGATGGATTGAAGTCAGTTTTTAAGAATATATTGATGACATTAGGTGAGGACTCACTGTATATTATTCTATGATCTTGTGAACTGTGTAGAGTGGTATAATATCTCTTTCATCTGGACTGTGACAAGTTAAAGTAACCATTAAAATAACAAAATAAAGAGATATAACTAAATAAATTATAGAAGAGAAACAAATTGATTTATAGTAAAAGTAATAATGAATCTAAAATATGGCAGAAAGAGGGAAAATGAGAGAGAAAAGATAAAGCAAATAGAGTATAAATAGCATAATGAAAAACATAAGTCTGACTATACCACTAACACATCACATTTAATGGCCTAAATACTTCAATTAAAAGGCAGGGATTTTCAGATTGCATTTAAAAGCAAGCTCTAATCATATGCTGCTTGCAAGAAAAAAAACTTTAAGAACTATTAGCTTAAACCACAAATAGATTAAAAGTAAAAGAGGTTAAGAAGATAAATCATACAAATGCTTGTCAAAATTAAGATGAAGTGACTATACTAATATAAAAAATGTGATTCAGAGCAAAGAATATTACTGAGTATAAAGATTAATTTATAATGTTAATACTGTCAGGTTATCAGGAAGACATAGCTTTAAATTACATGAAACTAAAACTAATATACAAGAAAATTCACAATTGTAGTTAGAAATTTTAATTCTCCTCTTCTGACAATTGAGAGAACAAATAGAGTAAGAATGAATGAGGACATAGAATATTTACACAACACTACCAATCAACTTAACCTAATTAACAATTATAAACACTCCAATCAACAACAGCAAAACACATATTCTTCATATGTATGCATGAAATATTTACCAAGTTGGACCATAAATCAAGTCTCGAGTAATTAAAGAGGATTGTAATCCCTGGAAGTAACCTAGGAACTAAGTTAGAAGCAAATTAACAGACAGATCTACAAAAATGTCTCCATCATATGGAAAGAAAGAACACACTTCTAAATAATACATGTGCCAAATAATAGTGAAATTAGAAAGTATTTTGAACAGAATGGAAACAAAAGAACAACATATCAGAAGTCGTGTGATGTTGCTAAAGCAATACTAAGGGAGAAAGTCATGACATTAAAGAAGAAAAATCTAAAATCAATGCCCTTGTCATCGACTCCAAAACAATAAAACAAGAACTATAAATAAAACTCAAACTAAAGCAATAAGAAGAAAAATTAATAATCAGAATAGATATTAATGAAGTAAAAATCACAACACCAATGTAAAAACATCTACAAAAACAAAACTGGTCCTTTGAGAAAATCAATAAAATTGATAAATCTCTAGCCAGATTTATCAATAAAAAAGAGAAGAGTCACAAATAATCCATTTAAAAAATCAGAAAGTTAAAAAAAAACTCTAGGTGATTATACAATTAGAGAATAATGTGAAAATTGTCAGAATCAAAATGCAAGGGTGGAAAGTGGGTGAGGGATAAAAGACTACAAACTGAGTGCAGTGTGTACTGCTCAGGTTATGGGTTCACCAAAATCTCACAAATCACCAATAAGAACTTACTCATGTAATCAAACACCACCTGTTCACCAATAACCTATGAAAATAAAAAAAATTAAAAAAATGAAAGAAAGGAAAACGAAGACAGAGAGGAAGGAAGGGAAAGAAACCCTGACAAATAGAACCTGGGAAGCATATTAAAGTTCTCATGCTGTGTGCCTAATAACAAAAAATATCAAAAAAGACTGCGAAAACTGCAGACTTGCACAAAGGCCATCACAAACTTACACAAAAAATACTTCTCCAAAGACATCTGCCCAGCAATTGCCTGTTCATCCTAGAACTGACATCACGTTTGTTATTGATCTTATTGATCTTTGCAGCCAAGGATAATTATGTCCATACAATTATGTAATCTTCATGTTTCCTTTAAAAGCTTTGTCCTTTACCTCTCTAAATCCACACATAATTTAATACGGCGTGTGTATTCATATTGAAATACCCTGTTTCCCAATAAACATTATTCTCCTTTAGAAAAATGTATTTTAGTTGACTTTAGGAAGAACTTTACTCAATAAATTTATTAAGTTCAATATTTCAATTTCCTTGAATGACAAGACCAAATTTTATTCAGGTAGAAATAGGTGGCCTAGATATCTCATATCTATTGAAAACAGTAAAATTTTAGTTAAAAACTTTCTCACAAAGAATCCTCTTTATTACTAAATTTTTCACAAGAGAATGATAGCAAATATTTAAAGAAGAAATAATGGCAATTCTACAGAAACTCAGAAAATTGAAGAGAACGAAACTCATTCTATGAGAACCACATTATTCTAACATATTGTGAGAAACGCAAGTTATAGTTCAGTATGTTATATGAATATAGATGCAAAAAAACTTTAACGTTTAGCAAATAGAATCCAAAAATATATAAAAAGAATATTTCACCATAATTATTATCTTGGAAACACAAAGTTGTTTTACATTCAAAATAATAAAATATAATTAACCATGTTAACATTAACTGTTATTTGTGAAATATATATTTGATCTCAGTCCCTGTTTCTCTTTTTGTATGCTACTGAGTTTATTGGTGGCTGGGGGCCCTTAGACAGATTCAGGATGAGAGGTGGTCACCAGAAAGAATGAGGCATTATTAGAGGGTTAGAACTTTCAGCCCCACACTAAAACTCTGGGGAGAAGATTGGCACTGAAGATCGAGTTGATCACCAATGGTCAATGATTTAATCAATCATGCTTGTAATGAGACCTCCATAGAAAACAAAAAGGACTGGGTTTGGAGAGTTGCTGGATAGCAGAACACATCCTTCGTTCAGTTCCTGGAGGGGGATGTGCCTCAGGAGGGCATGGGAGCTTTGGGTCCTGATGACTCCTTGTTTTTTAACGCAATGAGAGTCATTTAGGACTTTTGATCTTCACAACTATAAGATAATACATTTGTACTGTTTTAAGTGAATAAGTGTGTGGTAGTTTGTTACAGGAGTAACAAGCAATTAATACATGAATGTATGCAAAATATACATCCAACATTAATAATTAATGGTGAAATTGATGCTAAATGCTGTCCAACTAAGATCAGGAACAATAGAGGGATATTCATTTCAACATGTACTGGATATTTTAGCCAATGAACAAAAGCAAGGAAAAGAAATAAATGGCATCTAGATTTATGCAAAAAGGAAAATTGTCTTACTGTCTTATTTGTGGAAAGCATAATTGTCTATAAAGAAAATCTGATGGAACTTGATAAAATCTTTAAAAGGAAATAAAAAGCAATGCTATTAGAACTAACCAGTGATTTTAGAAAGTTTACAGAACACAAGACCAATATACAATAATCCATTGTATTTCTAAATATTAGCAATGAATAATCAGAATTATTTTATTTAAAATTTATTTATTATAGCTTCAAAATGTTAAATGTTTAGGGATAAATTTGACTGAACATGTGCATTACCTGTCCAGTGAAAACTACAAAACGTTACTGAATGAAATTAAAGGAGGCCCAAAGAAATGGAAAGAGATACCTTGGTCATAGATCAAGAAGTCTCAATATTGTTAACATTCAATCCCCACCCCCACCCCCCAACTAGATTGGCTGATAAATTCAATGCAATCTCTAAACCCATCAAGGCTTTGTTGCTATTTAAGTTCTCAAGCTAATTCTAAACAAGTATTTGAAAATCTGAAAGACCTGGAGTGGCCAAAGCAACTTTGCACAAAAACCTGCACTAAAAGAAAAATCTTGGAAGTTAAGGGATAATTGAATAGATAAAAACCTCCAGAGAAATACAGAGTTATCTCTGGACAGACATGTTTACATTTCAAAGCGGGAAGAAACCTGGAACCATTTTTTTGTACAGTGTTCCCTATATATCCATGGGGGACTGGTTCCAGGAAACTTTGGGATACCCAAATCTAAAGATGCTCCAGTGCCTGACATAAAATGGCACAGTACTTCCATATAACTATGCACATCCTCCTATATTCTTTAAATCATCTCTAGATTACTTATAACACTTAACACATTGTAAAAGTTATGTGAATAGTTGTTGTATGGTATTGCTTTTATTTTTAATATTTTTAATTGTTGTATTATTTTTTATCGAGATTAAAAAATATTTTCCATCTGTCATTGGCTAAATCCACTGTGCCGAACGTGGCGATACAGAGGGCTGACTGCATGCCTTATCACTAAAGGACTATAAACTAGGAACATCCCACTCCTCTTCCCACAGATGACTTGCTTGTATTGGAGAAATGAGTTATCTCTGTCTCCTATCTCTTTATTATAGCCTCTTTCCCTCCACTACTTTGTTATAAATCTGGATTTTATTAATATAAAAAGGGGATTATGATCCAGGTCACCATATGTTATCTCTAATAAATGCATGAAGTATAGTCAACACATATGCTAAAATGAAAATTCCAGAGACAAATCTAATCCTATAGTCACAGCCAAAACATGATGGAAGCATCATCCATTCTTTCAACAAGTTTATACTGAGATTCCACTATATGTTCCTGCACTTTTCTTGGAACCAGGAACACACTGGTGAAAAAGAAATAGTACCTGCCAATCAACATTTTTAGAGTGAAATCATGGCTATAAGCTAAGACAGCCAAAAGAAACAAACAAAAACTTACAAGCGAATTGAAAGTGTGCTATATGCAATACCGGATACTGAACAGATGGTATATGCGCAGCAGAATAAAATTGCCAGGACAGAAATAACAAGGGTGCTCCTTCTTTTGGATGTAGATTTGTCCCCTCCAAAAACAGAAAGAAATTTTGTCCCCATGGATATTTTTGATTTAGGAGGGAAAAAGAGAGACGTTGGTTAACAAGAGAGAGAGAGAGAGAGGGAGGGGGAGACTAGAATTAGGAGCAAGATCATAACATAATGGGCAAACACCTGTAAATGGGTAAAATGAACTGAAATGAGTAATGTGTTTTTAATGAAGCTCACCAAATTAGAACAGGAATAGGAAATAACAGTGGAAAAACACAAACTGCTAGAGTGGTCTGAATAATTAGTATATTTCTGATGCTTTTTGTATTTTCCATAATATTGAAAAAACAAGGGCTACTATTACACTAGACCAATTTTTAATAACAAAAGTTAATTATCTGGTAAAAATCCAATGAAAATGAGATCACTATAACCTGAAATTAGTGACTTATGGGGACCAAAATTTTAGAATGATTTGAACAAGTATCCTAGATTTTAACTAGAAAAAAATGAAGTTATAAAAACAATGTCTGAATTTTAAATGTATCATTAAAATATCTTAAAGATCTTTAAAAACTAAACTCTGTAAATATAATTTTAAATGAGTTGGATGAGAGTGAAGATGTGAAATGATTTAATGATATTAATATGTCTAACATAAAGGTCCGTAATTAACACATTTAAGGGTTAAAAAATAGTTAATAACCAAAAGAAAATACAAATTTCAAAAATCTATAAAGTTAGTCTTAGGGGACTGTAATGTTAATTTTATAGAGCAACTTGACTTGGCCAATATGTGCCCAGGTATTTGGTGATACATATTCTGGGTATTGCTGTGGAGGTGTTTTTGGGTGACATTAACATTTAAGTCAGTAGACTGAGTAAAGCAGCTCACTTGCTCTCTCTGATGTGGGTGGGCCTCATTCAATCTGCTGAAGGTCTGAATGAAACCAAAAGGATGACCCTCCCTTAAACAAGAAGGAATTTATTCTGCCTGACTGCCTTCAAATTGGAACATCAGTGTTTTTCCCACCACAGATCCCACTGAAACATTGGATCTTAGATTTTGAGGCTGCTGGCCTTCAGGTTGAACATTAAATCATTGGCTTTCCTGGGACCTCAGCTTATCAACTCACCCTTGAGGTCAGCCTCCAAAATAGTGTGAACCAATTCTTTCTCTCATAAGAAATAAATTCCATGATAACTCTCTCTCTCTCTCTCCATATGTATGTGTGTGTGTGTGTGTGTGTGTGTGTGTGTAGTCATGTATCACTTAACAATAGGGATATGTTCTGAAAATTGTGTCCTTAGGTGATTTTGTCATTGTTTGAACATCACAGAGTGTACTTATACAAATCTAGTATATGTATAGGTATAGATAGTGTAGTCTACTGCACATCCAGGGTATATGGTATAGTTTTTGCTTTTAGGCTACAAACCTATTCAGCTTGTTACTGTACTGAATACTGTAGGCAACTATAACACAATTTTATCTGTATATTAAATATAGAAAAAGTACAGTAAAAATATGTTATAAAGATAAACATGACAGTATATAGGGCAGCACCATAATAATATCTCTCATCATATATGCAATATGTCACTGACAAAATGTCATTATGTAGTACATGACTGTGTATGTATATATATGTGTGTGTGTATATATATATATATATATATATATATATATATATATATATACACACACACACATATACCTAATATGTATAGCCTATGTGATAAAGGATATTATATTTCTCTGACCCCTTCACAGGACTCTCAATAAGGGTGTCTCATTTACCTAGACTGCAGTTTTCAACTCCTCGTGAAACTGGAGTGCATGAACGCTGGAAGCAGCCAGCTGTTTCAACGCCAGCAGGGCCGAACTCCACTCACTGGGACCTGCTGCACAGGTGAGCCATTGCAGGAGTCAGGGCAAGCATTTTTGGGCGGCGGCAGGAGCAAACTCCGTGCAGGCCCCGCGGTAGCATCTGGGGGAGGTGCCTGCAACCCCGGAAGCCCCAGAGGGAGTGTTACAGTGCTTTTTTTGCTCTGCCATCCGTGGACTGCTTAAATGTTAACAGCTCAATGGGCCCTCTGCCTTTTGTATCCATACTTGGGTCTCCCGAGCTCTTGTCCGGAGTCCAAGAGAAATTAGGTTGCATGAATTGAAGGATGGTAAATTCAGGTGATTTTATGGCTGATAAAAGTGGCTTTCAATGGGAAGGGGAGCTGAAAAGGGGATGGGGCAGGATGATCATCTTCCCCTGAATTCCGACCATCTCTGACCAGATTCTTCTCCGAAGTTATGCCACCAAGCTGTCTTTCTAGAGTCAAGCCGCTTCTCTCTGACATCCAACCGTAGGCTTCAATGTCCAGCTACCTTCCTCTCTGCCAGTTTTTACAGGCACAGGATGGGAGGAGGGGTCATGGATGGTTTAGGAAAAAGGCAACAGTAGAACAGTAAAGCAGAGGTGTAAGTTCTCACTTTGGGTCATGGTTTCAGACTTGAGGGTGGGGTTTTGTCGGGGACCCACCTTTTCTGCAGAGGAGAGGACCAGGTTAACTTGACTGTGTCTGGAGGAAGAAAATGAACAGAGACACCATAGATCTGGTCAAAAAACAAACTGAAAAATAAGAAAATAAGGTATTTAATTGTTATTTTGCTTCTATTTTCTCTGTAATTTGGAAATGAGATTGAAACCAATTGGTAAGAAGAAAAATTGATTAACACAATCAATCAAATGTATTGAGAAAAATTGTAAGAGAGCAACTAGCTTACTAAATGAGCTTGACTCATGGCTCAGACAAATTACATCTCAGGGCAATGAACAAACTTCAAAAAGAGTTAATTAAAGTTATGTCAAATATCTTTGAGAAATGATGGGAAGCCAAATGAAGATGAAAAAATATAGACTGAATATTTAAGAGGAGAAAGTTAAGTCTAGACCCCAGACTAGCTAAAGCTTCATATTGGCCACGTCCAAGATTGCAAACTCAGCATCAACTAGTTGAGTCTTGGGTACCTAGAAAAAATAAGTAATGAAAATCCTAAATGTTCCGAATTAGGGAAGGTTTGGAAAGGTCATGGTCGAGTTTAATAAATTACAGTGCATAAGGCAAAGAGGATAATAAGCACAATTTTTTCTGTGCTGATTATTTCCATCTGAAATATTACCTTAAGTTCTTGATGAAATACATTTAAGAAAATGATGATGTACTACATTACCTCTTCTCTAGAAGTATACGCAGAATAATGAAGACAAGAAAAGCCATAGTATTTAAGAAATTGTTGGGGGGCATGGATGATAGTAAATACAGAGAAAAGACATTTAACAGCAATAATTTGTGGTACATATTTGAAAACATGGCATTTTGTATAAAGATTTGGATGCTGTCTGGCATAGCTGTGATGAGAAAAATCGGAAGTCACAATTTGGAAAAGCTTTCTAATAATTATCCCCACCTCACCCCCATGGATCAGTTTGTCCCCTACTGTGGCATCATTTGATTTGAAAATGTGGATGCTCAAATTGAATTACCACATATTGGAAATGTTTTATGAAGGATGTCACGGTAATTGAGGCTGGTGTCTCAATCAATGGAGGCTTATTGAGCCTGTTTGATGGTCCATCTGGGAAAAATGTGAGTCACAGACACATTGGTGGCTGCTTTTTTCCAAAAGGATCCCAGGAGGTTTGGAATTTATACATTTTTCCTCAGAAAGGGATGTGAGGTGTATAGCTACATACTTCTGAGACTTTAGTTAATGCTCATTACATCTACATTTTGCAAGATAAGTTGAATGTTGGAAGAAAAAGGGAACAGAGAAAGCAGACATCTCAGAGAGGGGTGAAGGAATGATGAATCTCGTCTTTGTTCTATACCTGGAAAGATAAGATAGTAATTAACATGATCAGGGTGGAGTGTTTTGAAAGGACTGATTCTGGTTTATCCCTTAGGGAAGAACGCTTAATGGCAGTTAGCGAGGGAGTGGATGTAATGAGAAGTGTCCGAAGCCCCATCCTACCATGGCAGGGAACTCAGCTTGCAAAGTTTCTCTGGAGTCCCCTTAGTCAGGAGGGAGTTGAGGGGCTTAGAATTTCATTTTTCTTTTTCAGATGTGAGAAATTGTATTGGGGCTCAGGAAAATGACATCCCAAACTATAGTGCTTCGGCATGCTGAGTGCTTTAAGCTAAACGATAACCAAGATCTTGCTGACCTTTTCCTGCCCTCCTTTATTTGTCTCCCAAAGCATGGAGAGGAACTCTCTCTGAACTTCCTTTACCTACCTAAAGACTGATCTTTCAAAAGGGAATTCAATTTTCAAGAGCTTCCTTCTCAAGAATCTCATTAACCAGAGAAGATTAACTCAGAGGAGATACCACACACAGACACACTTTGTCACAGACTATCATCTATTCTTCTGATGGGCTCTCATGAGACCACTTATTACCTGGGAGACTTTCTATCTGCATAACAGACAAACTTTGTTTGTCCTGCATGTCACCATCAACACCCACAGAAGCTCCAGGCTCCCATTCCTTTCTATAGCTAAGGATGCTGTATAAACTTCAATCAGCTGACATTTCTTTGAGTCTCACATTTTGTGGAACTCTCATGCATGTTTTTTTTCTCCTGTTAATCTGTCTACTGTGTAAAGCAAACATAAAATTCTAAGGCCCTTCAACCATCTGAATGGAACCCTCCTCTTGGCCAAAGGCATTCCAAGGTTAACCTGAATCCAGTTTAAGCCATGATGGGAAGGGGGTTTAGACATGCCTTAGCACACCCACCTCCTTTTTGGAATTCAGGAAAAGCCAACCAGCACTGACGTCACCACATAAGTTAAACCTGGTAAGAAATATTTACATTCTCTGCTCTCTGAAGCCTAATACCTGGAGGCTTCTTCTGCATGATAAAACTTTGGTCTCCAGAACCCTTTATCATCATTACCCAGATATTCCTTTCTATTGATTCCAGATCTTTAGAAAATAACTTAACTGAATAAATTGCCTTTCAGAACATTTCTAAATCTATCTGTAACCTAGATGCCCCCGCTTTGAGTTGTCCCACCTCTCTGGATCAAACCAATGAGTATCTTACAGGTATTGATTGACATATTATGCCTCCCTGAAAAGCATAAAAGTAAGCTATACCCCAACCACCTTGGGCCATATGTCCTCAGGACCTCTTGAGGCTTTGTCACCTGTGTGTCCTTAACCTCAGCAAAATAAATTTTCTAAATTGATTGAAACCTGTCTCAGATGCTTTTGAGTTCACCACTGTCAATTTATTTTGTGGAATCAATTATCAAACCTTCAGAGAGGAGACATAAACCTTTCTCTTCCCTAGATATAGAAGGTGATCTTAAGACTGATCTTATGACATACTTCTAAATCTGATTGCATGCTGATAGTCATAACTATTTAGCTGATCTGTGCAACTTTATTTGTGTGTACTCATCCCTTCTTACACTGAAAGACAAAAATACAATCTGCATACTTCTATAATATTATTTGACTCACTGTGAGCACTATTAAATGAAAGAAGCTTTACTTTGGCTATGAAGTCATTTATGAAGAACTACAGCTTACATCATTTGCAACTTGCAAATGTTCTAAGAATATACTGTAGAGAACACCCTGCATGTCAAGGTGATGACCCAGGTGGCCCAGTTGGATTTACCCAGAGATAATTGCTTCAGCACTGTAAAAAAATTTCTGGCAGAATTAAAATATGTAGTGCATTACTTTAAATATTTATTATAGTCATTAAATTGCCAAATGCAATACATTCTCTCTAATTTAATCTGTACATCTCTGTAATTAACAACTTATTCATTATAAGAGCTATGTCTCATATATCATCTATATGCACAGGATTAAGTAGCAGAGTTGCCAAGAGTAAATGCTTCACCTATCTATAAAAGAAAACAAAGCAATACCCATTTTAATTATTAAATTATTTTCTCTCCATCAGTGAAACAACATATTCATTTCTTCATATCTATACGTATACATACAAATAATTATAAATGGGAACAAAAATATCAGTCATTAAACAATGAATCAAGGGTTATGATTTGAGATCCACCACCCTCTGCCCCACTCTAAGTGCATAATGATATTAGAAGAATCTAAGCTTACAACAGATGTCTTCTAGGACCAAAAAGAATATAAACACACAGCAATAAGCAGGTTTAAATATGCAGGCCTGCTAGTATCACAGTCAGAAAACAAGCAGAGGAAGAAGAAAATGAGTTATCTTTGGGTATAATAGCTATTAAAAGGTTTCCCTGAAATGGAGAACATTCCTGACTTTTTGAAATCAAGACGTGAGCCTGGTTTCTTACTTTGAAAGGAGACTGAAAAAAAAAAAAAGTTGTGATGGCTGTTTTGGCTGAGGTTATAGAGTTCACACCTAATGAAGTGGAATGAAGCAGATATAGCCATGCAGCTAATCATGTTGTTTATGTTATTTACCAATGTCACCATGGCACACGGATTCTGAACCAACTAAATTAGAACTTTCTGGTTCTGGTTAGAAGAAATTTATAACGCACAAAACCACATTATAGGAAGGGGTGAGTACACAAAGATAAAGAGAGAAAAACATAAAAATATAAACAACCCCCAACTTGGTACTAACTTGCAAACCAAAAGCTGGAAACTCAAATTGCTATTAATAAGGATAGCAAACTAAATCAATTGAAAGATGAATTTAGAGTAGATAAATTGAAAATAATAGAGGATTTTTTAGTCCTTTTAGGCTGCTATAGTAAAACATCGTAAAACAAGTAGTTTATAAATGACAGAAATGTATTTTCATAATGCTAGAGGCTGGGAAGTCCAAGATCAAGGTGCCAGCATATTTGGTGTTTGGCAAAGGCCCTTTTCTCGGTTTATGAAAACAATACCTTCTATATGTGTCCTCACATAGTGGAATGGGTGAAAGAGCTCCCTTGGGCCTATCTTATAAAGGGATGTTTCCCAGTCATGATAGCTGTGGGTTAGGATTTCACCATCTGAATATGGGTTGCGGGGGTGGGGAGGACAAGCATTCAGATCATAACAATGAAACGTAAAATGACTTTATTATAAATTTTTTAGATATCTCATAGGGATAAAACATGGAATCCCATTAATAAAAAGAAAAAAATTATAAAAAGGCATATATTAAATAAATTCATGTGGTTATAAGATTGACTTATCAGGAATATGAGAAAATGTAGTCATTGAATTAAAAAAATTAATGAGTGGAAGGAATTATAGGCCACATATAGTAAAGAAAGAATGAGTGCATCTAGAGACAGTTCTGAGGAATTTGCCCAGAAAGCAACACAAGAAAAGTAATTTGCCAAAAAATAAAAATAAGGAAGATTTAGGAACTGCGACACATATTTAGTAGGATTTTCACAGGATAATAGAGGAAATGTCAAAGAAACAGTATATGAAGATAAAAATTAATTATGTTTTTCTTAGCATTTTAAAATACTAAGAAGTCTCAGATTGACAGTGCCAAAATATAACTACAAAGAAAACCACTCTGAGGCCCTTTGCAGTAAAATGGAAGACCAGGTATAATTAAAAGGAAAATTATAGGAACTCCCAGATAAAAAGAAAAAGAAATTTTAGAGATGTTAATTAGATTGACAGTAAGTTTTTAATCATTAATGTATGGCAGGGTCACTGAAAAAAAGTTGGCCCAGCACAGTGGCTCACGCCTGTAATCCCAGCACTTTGGGAAACCAAGGCGGGTGAATCACGAGATGAGGAGTTCAAGATCAGCCTGGCCAACATGGTGAAACCCCGTCTCTACTAAAAATATAAAAATTAGCCAGGCATGGTGGCAGGCACCTGTAGTCCCAGCTACTCAGGAGGCTGAGGCAGGAGAATCGCTTGAACCCGGGCGGCAGAGGTTGCGATGAGCCGAGATTGCACCACTACACTGCAGCCTGGGCGACAGAGTGAGACTCCATCTCAAAACAACAACAAAAAAGTTTAAGAATTACATCAAAAAAGGTAAATGTCACCAAAAATTATCCATCCAGGTGCACCATCATTCATAATTGATGTGGATAAGTAACTATGAAGAAGACTCACATACCACACACCCCTCACTTTAAATCTGCAAGACATATTTTGGTAAATGGCAACCTATATGAATGCAGTATGCTGCCAAAAAAGATGACTACAATAAAAGACCAAAATATATTAGCAAGTTAACTGTCACGTGTGAAAACAATAATAGTGACCAAACCATTAGAATTTAATTTCTAAATAGAATCAATTAGGACAATGTGAAAAAGTGTTTCCTAAGTGGTTAAAATTTGCTAACAGTGTCTTATTTAACAGCCAGGGGCTAGAAGCAGTAATTATAAAAATACTTATTTAGATATATAAGTTAAAAGTAACAACTAAGAGAGTAGAAGAACTAGGTGTAACTTCTAAACCATCACAGGAAAAAAAAAGATTCTGAGTTTGGTAGGGTATAATGTGTTGGTATAAAGAGATAAAACATACAACAAGAGTTAAAGAATCAGCAAGATCATTCTAATTAAATTACATCAGTGAAAGAATATGGGCCTGAAGCAAGCCTTGCTATACAATTAATTGGTTCATATTTGATATATATAAATCCAAATACTTAGCAACGATCTTCCCAATCCTACAAATATAGTATTTCCCGTCCCCACCCACGCACCCCTAGTCTAGTGATATATCTCGAATCCTGTGTTCTCTGTCTAGGTTCATTTACTTCTTATAACCATCAACTCTTACCGTTGTTAAAACAAAAATCTAAAGGCAATTTTCTTAGTGTTTGTATGTTGGCTACCTATTGTGGCTACCTCTAGATCAGTGAACTGAAATACCGAGCTTGTGTCAAAACAAATGTGTTTCTCCCTTTGAATTTCTTTCCATGGGGATGTTTTGCTTGTTTTGCAGGGTACCTTTCCTTTGCTCCTTTAGATTCACTCTCCAGACTTTTCAACTCTGTTATCTACTACATGAAGCTGACCTCTAATATATGGATCAATGGGCTCCCTTGTGTCCTGCTGTTCTAGTTTGGCTCAGTCTACTAGATGCTGTGAGTTAGAGGAAAAAAGAGGGAAGATAGTAGGTCAGGGTATTCATTCCCCTGATTTCCTTTTCTGTGAGGTTGATTTGAACTGTGCAATTAATTCATTGTCACTGCTGCTCTCAAGGGAACCTCCATTCCATAATTTTCGTCTATCAGGTTATTATCACTGCTTCCTTTCCTCAAGGGTTGTGGTTTGGTGTCTCTCGACTGCTACCGAGCTCAGGTCACAGAACAGTCATATATGCCTTGTTTGCATCCAATAAACTGTGCCCAAACTTCAAATTTGACTATGCCATCTGGTTCTTATAGAAACCCTGTTAGGTACATTGTTTATTAAATATATAATTTTTAAGACCTGCCTTAGTATTCATATACTAAATGCATCATTAGGGATTTCATTGTTGCGCAAACATCACAGAGTGTACCAACACAAACCCATATGATACATCTTACTACACACCTAGGCTACATGGTATGAACTATTGCTCCTAGACTACAAACCTGCACATCATGTTACTGTATAGGGAAAGGACTCCCTATTCAATAGATGGTGCTGGAATAACTGGCTAGCAACATGCAGAAGATTGAAACTGGAACCCTAACTTTCACCATATGCAAAAATTAACTCAAGATGGGTTAAAGAATTAAATGTAAGACCTCAAACTACAAAAATTCATAAAAGAAAACCAAGGAAATGCCCACTTGACATCAGCTTTGATAAATAATTAATGGCCAAGTCCCCAAAAGCAATTGCAACGAAAACAAAATTGACAAAGAAGACCGAATTATACTAAGGAGCTTCTGCACAGCAAAATAAATTATCAACAGAGTAAACAGACAGTTTATGGTATGGGATAAAATATTTGCAAACTATGCATCCAACAAAAGTCTAATATCCAGAATCTGCAAGGAATTTAAACAAATCAACAAGCAAAAACCAAGTAACCAAATTCTAAAATGGGCAAAAGACATTTCTCAAAAGAAGATATATAGGCAGCCAATCAACATATGCAAAAATGCTCAACATTACTAATCATAAAAGAAATGCAATTCAAAACCACAGTGAGCTACCATCTCACACCAGTTAGAGTGGTGATTATTAAGAAGTCAAAAAATAACATGCTGGCCAGGCTGTGGAGAAAAGGGAACACTTATATACTGTTGATGGGAATGTAAATGAATTCAGCCACTGTAAAAGCAGTCTGGAGGCTTCACAAAGAACTTAAAACAGAACCACCATTTGCTCTAGCAATCCCATTATTGAGTATAAACCCAAAGAAAAATAGTTCTATCAAAAAGACACATGAACCCGTGTGTTCATCACAGCAGTATTCACAATAGCAAAGACGTAGAATCAACCTAGATACTCATCCAAGATGGATTGGATAAAGAAAATATGGCACATATACACTATGGAATACTAAACAGCCATAAAAAATGAAGTCGTGTCCTTTGCAGCAACATGGTTGCAGCTGGAGGCCATTATCCTAAGTGAATTAATGAAGGAATGGAAAACCAAATACCACATATTCTCACTTATAAATTGGAGCTAGACATTGAATACACATGGACAAAAAGATGGTAACAATAGACACTGGGATTTACTAGAAGGGAAAAGGAGGGAGGGGGTGTGGGCTGAAAACCTACCTATTAGATACTATGCTCACTTCCTGGGTGATGGAATTGTCTGTACACCAAACTTCATCTTTTGAGTATATAGGAAGGGAAGTTTCAGGGAATTTGTAAAAATGAGGAGTCATCATCTTCATTTGACATTTTCCCATTTATTTGACTATCTGAACTATAAAGGACTTTCTTACAGAAAAGTACACTAAAACATAGGAACAGATACTTGTCTCCCTAGCAGCCATTTGCCTTCTCATTTGTATTTTTCTTTCCAAAATCAACCTTCTGTAACAGAGACTGACAGAGGCTGAAGATTGTTGAAGTGTATCTTCTTACTATTTTGAATAGGAGTGACCAAAACGACTCAGTTCTCTTCCATGAGCTTTCAGGGAAGACTATTTGGAGTAGTGAGGGATTTGGAAAAATATTTCCACTTTAATAAATGAAGGTATTAAAAGAAGAAAACTTTGTTCTTCATTCTTTTCCTTCCTGCTTCAAATGCTGCCATAGTTGGATACAATTCTTAGAGACAAGACATTTCACTTTATACTATGAGGGAAGATATTGCCACTACAAGGAAGATAGAAGAATGGAGAGCAAGAACCTGGGTCCTCCAGGGCTTGCTGGGGCTCTGAACCAATCCAAAACAGCTCATAATTAGACTTCTGGTTATGTGAGATAACTGAATGTGGTTATTTTATGAGTCACAATTAGCTGTGCATTATGTTATAGCCAAAACAATATTTTATTGATATCGAAAAGAAGCTTCAAGCCACATAAATTCAACTTGAATCATTTAAATGAAAAATGCAGACTTTTTAATTTACATATTCAAAAATGACTCAAAAATACATCTCCATTGCAGACAGAAAGAAGGCAGGGAAGTCAAGGTAGGAGTTAAATTATTTTCCTTTATGACCTAACCCTTAAACTGTACATGTTACATTTTTAAAACATTGTATTTATTTATTTAATTGAAAATATTATACATATTTATCATGTACAACATTATGTTTTGAAAATGTATACATTGCAGAATGGCTAAATTAATCTAGTTAACAAATGCATTATCTCATACACTTATTTTTTGTGGTGAGAACACAAATTCTCCCTTAGTCATTTTCAAGCTGCAATATATTATTATTAACTAGAGTAATCATGTTGTATAATAGATCTCTTAAACTTATTCTTCGTATTAAGTGGAAATTTTGTATTATCTATGAACATCTCCCTAACCCACTCCATCCCCAGCCTCTCCTAACCACTCTTCTAACTCTGCTTCTATAAGTTCAACTTTTTAATCTTTCAAATGTAAGTGAGACCATACAAGATTTTTCTTTCTGTGCCTGGCTTATTTCACTTAACATAGTGTCCTCAGGTTCATCTACATTGTTTCAAATGGCAGGATTTCCTTCTTTTTAAAGGCTGAATACTATTCCATTATGCATATGCACCACATTTTCTAAATTCATTCATCCGTTGATGAACACTTTGCTTTCATATCTTAGCTGTTGTGAACAATGCTATAATAAACATGAGAATGTAGATATCTCTCCAAAATACTGATGTCATTTCTTTTGTATGTATATCCAGGAGAAGGGTTGTTGGATCACATGATAGTTTTATTTTCATTTTTTTTGAGAAATTTCTCTACTGTTTTTTGTGTGGCTGTAACAATTTACATTCCCACCAGCGTACATCTCTTATTGAAGAGAATTTCATTCCATGAACACACCTAATTCCTTAGAAGTGAAAAGAATGTGATTTTTTTTTTTTTCTGGGCAATACTGTGTGCAGAATAAAAGTTCTGTTACTGTGAAAGAACAGATGGTGACAATGTCCTTTATTTTTGCATTGATTTCTGTGGCCAAATATCCATGCGCTCGCTTCTCACAAATGATACAAACTCTTCCCATCTCCAGCAAAAAATAAACAAACAAAAACAAAACAAAGAACCCTTCCCTACTAAATTACAATGTCATTAAATGTTAATGAACAATGGATAATATACTGCAAGTTCCAATATGGACACTTAGTTTAGATAACTAAAAGACAAGTTTACACTCCCCATGTCAAAAACCATTGAATTTGGAATAGAATAACAATAAAAATCTGATTTGCAAAAGGCGGAAGAGGAAATGATAGGCCTTGTTCAAAGTATTTAACAAATGTCACTAAGCAGGACACCGCACCTCAGAATTAATTCCCTTATTCATGGTCCTGAGTGCATTTTGGCTGTCCCCCTGGGAAATTTTCCTTGTATAGTAATTTGCCCTGGTCAGAGTAAGAGGATATTGGAGAATATCTTCCTGGGGGGTGAATGTAGGTTTGGTGTCCTGGGAGTTGCTTATTAATTGTACAATCAAAGGCTCCGCATATCGAGCTGTTGGTGTCCTTGCTAATATAATTAACTTGAAAGACTTAAGGTCTCCACCCCTTAAAATGTTGGGCTGTGCCTAGTGACTTACCTCTAAAAGGCATGATATAAAAAAGAGGAAGAGAAAAGTAATGTTACAAGCACTCTCTCAGCCGGGTGATCAAGGATAGCATAAAAAAATGATATCATGTTGGTGGTATGATAAACATGGCACTTTACCTTTGTGATGTTTTTCTCAAAAATCCTAGTCTAATCATAAGAAGAACACCAGATGAATCTGAATTGATGGAGAGTTTACAAAATATCTGACTAGTACTCCTCAAAACTGTCAAGATCATCAAAAGCAAGGAATGTCTGAGACACACTCATCTTCTAGCGGTGCCTAAGGAGATAATGGTCATTAAATGAAGTATGGCAACCTGGACGGGATACTAGAACAGAAGAAAGAACGAGATTAAAAATGATAAACATGTGAACATAATATTGACTGAAAGAACAAGAGATTAAAAATGATAAACATGTGAACACAATATTGACTGTATTTAATGAGAAATTCAATAATGTTTGATTAATTGTGACAAATGATCTTACTAATGCACGATGTTAGTGGCAGTGGAGACTGGGAGCTCTCTCTACTCACCTTGCAGCCTTTCTGTATATCCAAAATTCTGTTAACATAAAGTTTATTAAAGAAGTCTTAGCAGGCATCTTGTCTAATTGCTTCAAATCAGTTTAATTGTGAATAAAAGTATCCAAATATTATTACTAGACATAATTTTAATTCTGAAGTGTATTGTCTTCAATTAAATGTTCTCTGCTCTATCTTGATCCCTCACCCCTCTTACCTTATAACAAAATAATGACAGATGTCTTGCTTTCCTACAGGCAGAGCTTGAAAGTGCATCTGCTTAGCATCTATGGGGATTAACCACATGTGATCATTGTAAATTAAATTCTAGGCTTAGGGTTTTATGCCGTACAAGTGCTGTCCCTTATGGCTCCAGAAACCTGTAAGGCAGGCTTGTGTCTAACCTCCCCTCTACCCAGAACAATTTTCCAATTTTAACTGGCAAACATGATTAAGTTACGAATCTTCCCTAATGTGAAGAATACTAAGCAATTCAATATCCTAAGATGTGTATCTACACATTCCTATAGTGTGTAGGACTCTGGTTCTAACAGTGAATAGGCTCACTTTGCCAGAATATGTGTTTCTTGCCAGAATGTACAGCTACATTTTTAATTTAAGAAAATAGTTTCTAACAATTCGACTTGAAGAACACCTGTCATATTTGAAATTATTAGATACAGCTAGGATTAGTCTCATGGCCACGTATTAGATACTTGTGTATCTAATAATCTTGCCAGCATTACAGAGGAAAAGTCACCAAGTTCCATAATTCTATACAATAATTTTTATGCAAGCCAGAGAAAGTATTTTACAGCTGCGATTATATTATTAGCTTCTCTGTCTTGGAAACCATTAGTGAGGACTCATTAACAGTGGATAAGAAACAGTAACAAAGATGAACTATTAAGACATTGTGTACAGGTTACAAAGGGTGGGCAGATTGTTGAGTAGATCATGAGAAAGGAAGAGTCATCCGGGGTTGGATCTTATGGATGCATTATTCTGACTACTCTACACATTTCATATATACTGTGATTTGCTGAAGCAAAAATCTGCATATCAGGTTACACCATTGTTAACATTTTTTCTACTGTTTTTTCTTTTCACTTTCTTCTAGGATGCATATCCTCCAAGTTGACAGTCCCTAAAGCAACCCAACTTTCCTTTTTCTATGTTCATTGCCTAATTTTTTAGGCTATTTCATAAGTATCCTTGTGAATTCACTATCAACATTCAGTATCAGTGTGACCTGCACTCCACTGCACTCCAGCCTGGACAACAAAGTGAGACCCTGTCTCTAAAAGAAAAAGAAAATTGGAATCCATATGAGTACTAGTTCTTTGTGAAATTAATATGGTGAGGAAAAATATCTTTCTCCCAAAAGGTAATTTTATACCAAATTATATGCAACTGTAGAGTAAAATATTTGTTTTGTTTCAAATTATATTCACAAATTTTTTGATGTATATTTGGTAAGTTTTAAAATTGACAATCACTCTTAACTCTGTATGAATGAGCTGCATGATTATATGATAATTAAACAGAAAAGTACAGCAAAGTTTCTAAATAATACTGACTAAAGAATTATGTTATTTTAATGATATGTAACACAATCAAATTATATCACACATTATATAATGAATATAAAATATATTATTTTCTCTAACATAGAGAAATCACATAATTTCTACCACCAATTATTTTACAAATGTAAGTACATTTTTTTCTTCAATCCATGTAAAGAAAATTGAAAATTGCTCATCACCAAATATAAGGATGACCTTTCCAGTATAACATAAGAGTTTTGTTTTTGCTTCTGTTCATTGTCAATCTTTACTTTGATTTTATTAAAAATACATTAAAATATTTTTTGGCCAATTTTACTAATGATAGTAAAGCCCATTGATATTTTTACCAATACAAATTACTTGCTTTATATGTTGCTTGCTCTACTTCCATTTCCTTTCAGGTTCTCACTCATTTTGTATTTCAAATGATTTTGTATCTCAGAATCCTAAGGATTTGTGTCTCAAATCCTAATTTACAGATAGTATCTTAATTATTTTGATTGCATGTCCTGATGAAATCCTGTGTGAATTCACTTCATGGATATATAAGTACTCCTCTCTTAATACTACATTAGTTATAAAATTTAATCTGCTTAGAAACATCTTCTTGTTACCCAAGAATAAAAATTTTCTTCAAAAATTACATATATCTTAATAATGGCATGGTTCTAGTATCAAAAGTCTTTAGCCTACAACATTGGCAAAATCTGAGACCATCTATTTCTTGAAACACAGTCCGGTGCATTCTATAATTTGGATACAGACCAGGTTTACATAATCATGCTGATGAAGCCATTCCAGAGAGACTAATGAATAAAACGAGAGTATGTTTTCCTTTCCAGATCAAGAGACAATTCTGCTGATAAAATCCTGGTAATTGTCAGATTGAATCAGATCCATTGTCTTCCAGACCAATGTCTCATATAATATTTTTCGCTGTAATTTCATTTGACATAAACTGTAACTGTTTGGGATGAGACTAAGATATGATAACCTGGGTTCAAATATCATATGGGTTTCATTGCTTCAAACGTCTTATCCACTATTAAAAAGTGTATGAAATAGTTTCTGTTAACTCTAATTTTGACAATGTAATGCTGCAAAGACTTGCTCTGTTAATTTTTATTCTTTGTTGTTTTATATTTTATTTATATACATTGTCATTGTTTACATTTTCTTCAGAACTCTTTAGACTTCCCCAAAAATGGCAGCATTCTTACCCTTGAATCAATTTTATCTCTTTTTTAAATACAATAATTTAATTGAATGTTTTTTGAGAATGAGAATTTTAACTTGAGACATAGGCAGATCAGTATATATATATAAACTTAGTAATGTATAAATATAATATGTATTGGTATCTATATAGTTATAGTGGTTATTTATTAGCTGAATTTTATTTATAGTGTCTTCACTTTTTCTATAGCTTCACTAAATTTGTCTACTTTTTCTGTCAATCGCTGTATAAGGTGTGCTAAAACCACCCAATAAGATGGTGGATTAGCCAATAATTCCTTGTATTTTCATCTTTCTTTACATATTTTGAAACTATAGTGTTAGATACATGAAATTTGGAATGTTTTTAAAATCTGGCATATTGAATTTTCAGTTCGAGATATTTTAATACTCTTTATACTAGTATTTTGTTTGCTTTCTTGCTATTTAGCTATTATTAACTGCCTGATAATTTTTTTTCTGTGTATATTCCATCTTTAATTTTTAAATTTTGGTTGTATTATCTTCTGGGTGTGTTGTTTGTCTCTACTGTGAATGACATATAAATACACCCTTTTAGATCACACACACACACACACACACACACACACGATAGCTAATGTAGCAAATTCAGCATCAGAAGACATGCACTACCACTATAATATATCGATAAAAACTAAAAGTTTCTTTGCTGGATACAGGGAATGAAATACCCACTCTCCAAACCCAGCTTCGAAGAAACCCTCAGTGACTGACTTTGCAAAGTGGTTGTCTGTGTACTCCAGCCCCCTCAGCCCTTTAGGAGCAAATTCTGATATGTATGTTTTGCATAGTTTCCCAAAGGTTTCCTTTAGAATTAACTTGACATCTATAAGAGCAATTAAATGCATCTTTTTATTGGCTTCTTTCTCATTCCATACTTTCCTACTTGTATTCATGCAAACACCAAATAAATTACATGTACTCAAATCCTTTTCTCATGGTCTGCTTCTGAGAAAACCCAACAGAAAATTCGAAAGTTCCAATGTTTTTGTTACCTAGGAAATATATTCATATTTATATGTATTGAGTTTTTGATATGATAGAATTTATTTTGACCATCTCATTTTGCCTTTTTTATGTTCTCTATATTTATAATTTTCTTTATAGCTTGGAGTACATACTGGGACGACATTTATTATTTCAGAACTTACTTTTATCTTTACTTCATTCTACCCAAAGGAAAGAAAAGGAAGCCTGAAGTTAATTTTAGAGAGAAAATGCATTTGCAATACAAAGAGGATAAAAAAATCTATATATGTTAAATACACTAGAGCAAGCATTTAAAAACAATTCTAGAGTATGATTTCAAATTACCTGTCCAAGAGACAGGAAAATAGTTGTAAATCACGGAGGAATATTTGATACTCAGGCATGTGCTTTGATCATTAAAAAAAGAGTTGCAATATCAGAATATTATTTATTTTGTAACTTTGAAAGGGGAACAAATTATAAAAATCTAGTAAGTATAACAACAGCAACTACCATTGATCAAGTGCTTACAATGGCAAAGGCATAGTGCTCAGAACTTTTCATGCATTCCCTCCTTCACTTTTCATCATAGCCCTGGGGAGTTGCACTGATATCTCTGTTTTGCAGATGAGGAATCTGAAGTTTCAATAGATTCAGTAAGTTGACCATGTGATAGAAAGTGCCCACATTACTCTGATATGAATTAAATAAATCGTAGAAATATTTAAGCATTCTGGAAGAGGATGAACTTGAAAATATTTTTTCTGAGGCAAACAGTTATGAATGTTTTGAAGTGTTTAATAATTCTCTTCTGCAGTGTATTGCTGTATGTCATATAATACTGTAATAAAGATCCTGTAATTTTAAAAATCATGTGCTATCTAAACTTTCTGAATAATATAAAATTTCAAAAAATATTTTCTCTTCATAGATATTTCCCTCAATTGAAGGTCCAGATCTGTTTTTCATACATACATGTATTTTTCACGTATGTATATATTTTACACATGTATGTGTAAAAATTTATTCTAATTATTAATGGAAACTTCATGAAATAAACAGAATCTTATCATTGTTTTGAGCGTGATAGGCATTTCTAATATCCTATTTTGGTTTATTCAAACAAAACTCTACTCACCTGTAGTAGACATGCTATAAAATAGAAATAAATATTAAAAAAAAGAAATAGGAATAATGTTTCAGAGCAAAGAGCAACACATTTACTCAGCAAAGCCATATAATATTTTGGGTTCTTGCCATTAATTTAGTGGTTTTCAGTCAGGACTGGTTAATATCTAAAGCCCTCATGTTTTTCCCCAGAAGCATAACACTGTCTCCATATTCTTCACACAGATGTTGTCAGGATCAAATAAAATGCTCTAAAAACTGTCAACTGCTATATAGTAGACAAATAAGGTATTATTGTTAATAAAGTAACCATTTACAGGAATTTTTCATTTATATTCTCCACTAATGTTTCTCTGATGGAATGTTTTGCCTTAGCCACTTAAACTATGTGCCCCATAGATAACCTTTAGCATCTTGAACTTTTCTGCTGCCAAATAATAAAATCTCTGCTCATTATCTTGTTGAATTAGAAGATAATAACCCAACAGAATGACTCTGCCTTTATTTCCCAGATGTTTGCTGTATAAAGATGTACCACTTGTTACACTATCCCCCCAATAGAATTTCTGCTAAAATTTGGTGATTTACTATTAACATGAAAGGTCTTTTTAGTCCCCTAACCTTAGAGTTCTGAGACTTCTTCACTTCCAATGATCTGGGCCTTCAGTTACTGACTCTCTGTTCATGCCCTAGTTGTTGTTATTTCCAGCGACTACATTTCTTCCTTAATATCAGCTCGAACCTTCACACTCTCCAGCCACCACTTCTAATTTTCCAAATTCTTTATTACTTGAGAATTCCAAGACCATTTTTTTCCTACCTGAACTTCCTTCAATCCTTTGACTTGCTGCTGATTGTCATTTCCATTATGTCTTCATTCTTCTCATTACCTGCTTTGGTTTCTATGAGCTATCATTATAATCATTCTGTTGCATGTATTTGCAATCCCCTTGTCCCTTGTCCTTCTGCATTTTGCAACCTTGAAAAAAACCCAAATTTAATTAAGTCAAGCTCTCTCCCTGTTTTATGCCTGCCTCTGAGCAACTCAAAGTAGTTGAAGAAAAACACACACACCCGCACTGACTCATCTTGCTTTTAACTTATGACTAGCAGCCTCCATTTACCTTCTGTTCAAAGATCCTACTCAATGTTCCTGGTATATTTACTGTATAGTTCTAATCTCAAGGACTATATCATACCTTAGTTCTTTTCTAAAACATTATCTTCGTAAACTTGAAAAGGACAATGAATCAGAAGTAAAATACAATACATTTTCAGGCGCTATCTACCTATCTCTGCAATTCTACTCGCTGGTTTTCCACCTGGTTTAGTTTGTCTTATGTGTATAACTATCTAACGCCAAAAACCAAATCCTAAACTTGTACAATGAAATTATCCTCTCTCAAATGATTTTTTTGTATACACTTTTGTACTTTCTATTATGAAATAACTCAGTGCAGAATGAATTTTAAAATATTTTTGGCTGCACAGTCTCTCTGCTATCACCAACAACATTGCTCTCCACACTTTGGAGTAAAACTCTCCTGAGTTGTCTGTATTGTTGAATCCAATTTTTCTTCTTCCATTCTCCCTTGAACTCCATCATGTCTGGTAATACAACAATTACAGTTAAAGCTTCCAATGAGATTTGTTTGTTAAATCTACTAGATATATTGTTTTTTTGCTTTCATCTCACTTGAGTTATATGAAGCAGTTGGCACAGATGATCACTCATTCATACAGAAACAGGTTTTACTTTTTGGTAGCCAAAACCCATGACTTAATAATTTTTCTGTCATTTCACCTTTCAGGCACTTTTGCTGATTCTTCTTCTAAAGTTTTCATGTCCAGAGCTGAGCCTTGAGTTATCTTTGCTGTACTTATAATGACTTTTTTGGTAATCCTACCCATTTCCATAGCCTTAAAAATCATATAAATGTTGAAAACTTCACTTCTTTGCTTCAGGCTGAATCTGTCACCTGAGATATTCCTATGAAAAGCATTCATTTTTATGTCTCTGAGTCATCACAGATTTAGCAGGTTTGATTCTTCACTTTGATTTTCAATCACTCCTGAATTTACTTCTTTTTCAGTTGTCCCCATTTCAGTAAAAAACAATCCCACTCTTCCTATATTGCTCACACCAAAACCTTGGGGTCTTCCTAGACTCATCTCTTTTTCTCTCCTCCCATAGTAATTGCAAAAGCTAACAGTGTTTACTATGTGTCAAATAGTGTTCTAGCTAGTACACAGACACGCACACAGAAAGGAGAAATTTTCACAACTAGATTAAGATAGGTAACACAGTAACCTGTTTTACACAGATAAGGTATCATAAAAAGTTTAAGTAGTACTCTGCTATGTGGCAAGAAACAGGCAATTTTGGGATTTAAACCAAAGTAGTCTGGTTCCAGATTGCATACTCCCAACAACTACTGTCATACTTTCAAGATATAGTCGGAATCTAATCAATTTTCATGGCCTTCAGTTACTGACTTGCTATAAGCCACCATTGTCTCACCTATAGTATTGCAAGTGCCATAGTCTTTATTTATAGGCCCTACTAGTACACCCTCCTGCTTGTCTTGCTTCCTCTCTTCCTTCTGGTCTCTTCAACTATCATCTTATTCAAGAAGCTATTCCTGGTCACCCTGCAGAAAATAACACTGGTCTTTTCTCTCTGCTACTTGACATTTTATCCTTTGTAACTGAGTACTCCCTTAGTTCAGGGTGAGTTTTCCTTTTTTCACCACTGTTCTAGTATTAGAAGAGTGCCAGATATTTATCAAATATTTTTAGAACAAATTAATATTCCATGCATACACTGAAAGCATTCTGAGTTATCCATATACTTAAGCTAAACTAAGCTGAAATAATACTTACCATGTTGTGAATAGTCTTCTTTTCAAAGGAAACTGACAAAATTGGTTGCTTATTTGAGTGGCATATATCATCAATTATTGGACAATTTGATGTGCAAAAGTCTGGAACAACTTTGTCATATTCTATTCATAGGTAGGGGTAGAACCTAATAAGTATTCTATGTCCATTGCAAGCCTGGAGTTAGACAACTTCCTAATTACCAAAATCTGATTTACTAGCTATACTCCTGAGATGGTTTGGAAGACTCCAGACACCATTCGTGTACCCCTTGTTTGCAGGGGCACAGTTGTCCTGTGTATTCCTGAAATTAGTTGTCTCCAAAGTGAGGTGTATGCATCAAGATGATCCACTGGGGTATAAGAAGAAAACATTACAATGGATAATATTTAAATGTCGAGAAATATTATTTTTATAATATTTAATATATGGATAAATACTGATGTTCTCACTTCATCTTAAGACAGATGGAGGGTTGTCCTACATTGTGTAAATATCCCCTAAAGAAAGAGAAGTGACAATCTTACTTTCTTTTTCCCCTAACAAGTTATCATGCATGCAACATTCCTATTTCAGGTTTAGTGAATTTCTGATAGTATTATTTTATTTTAACAAAAGTTAAGTTTTATAACATGAACAAGCAGCTGAAAAATATCCCTGCAAAGAGCCATTAGTTGACAATATTGGTCATAGTATAAACACAAGCAAACAAGCAATGGAGGAGCATATATGTTCTTAGTTAGAGCATATTAACTTTGTCAAGAACTACAGGATAAAGCAAATGCCAATTTAAGAAGATTTCAAGGGATGACAACAGAAATGGAAATAAAGTGAAACTAATTGGAAACATGTATTTAATGTCATGAGAGTGTGTGCTATGCCTTGAGATGCTTGTTAATAATACCATTTACCCATCATCATTAGCAAAACTGTTAAGAACTAAGCACTAAGTGTCAGTGATTGTTTCATTGACAGTAATAAGTATCAAAATTTATTTTATTGTGAATTTTTGTGAAAATAATGGATGATATGAAATATCAAATCATTTGACATTATTGTTTGTTAATTATCATTTTATTTTTATTTAGTTAATTTTAATTTCTCTTTTGTAGATTTTTGCAATATACATACATATCAGTATGGCAGTATAAGTTGTACAAGTATATAAACTATAAGCAAATCATACATATATTGGAGTATGTGCTCACAAATTTTAGAAATACAGGTGCATGAGTAAAATGGTTTGGC
The DNA here is from genome assembly GCF_000001405.40 of Homo sapiens. NCBI lineage: Eukaryota > Metazoa > Chordata > Mammalia > Primates > Hominidae > Homo > Homo sapiens. The sequence goes on along the minus strand of NC_000021.9, from coordinate 21,810,392 downwards.
AATGAAAGGCTCATAATCTACATACGGTATTCACATAAATCTCAAGCCGTTAATGGAATTTGTTTATTCAAGCAATTGATTAATTTGATAAATATTTAAAATCCATTACACAGACCAGTACCGTGCAGAAAAATAAAATGATTGCATTATTGCCAAAAGACCCATATTAAAAACAAAAATTTGGAGAATGTTTAGCTAGTTTTTCTTACAACATGAGGTAAAATTAGACTAATTTATCATATTGTACAAATATGAAAATAAAGCCCTCAAATATTATGTGAAGAACCAAATAACAAAAATAAAAACAATGTCTTCAGGTAGCAGTTAAATCATATTTATAAATAAATGAACTGATATGATTTTCAACTCTAAAAGCTTGTTTTTATATCATATTTAAATTGGTATATCTAACATAAAAACAGTACATAATTTGTACTATACATTATTAAATAGTGAATACTTTATGTACAAATTCTTACATCAATATGCATGCTATTGCTCCTGATTAATGAAAAATTGAAGCATTTTTAGAATAACACAATTATGTCTCTAAAGTATTAAAATATTGTTGTTGGAATATACAATATATAATTACAATTAAATAATATTGCATATTTTAAAATATTTGCACATGTTTATTCATATTTATGGTTTTAAAATATAAATGTTATAAGAAAATTAGCTAAGTTTTGTAGTCAACTTAAAATGCAGTATTTATAATTGACTTTATTATTTAAAAGTTAGTAATATATTGAGGAAAACCTAAGAAATAGCCACAAGAATAATAAATCATGCTGTCATATTTCATATTATATTCACCAAAGATTAACTCTTTAAACTTCCCACTTAGAGTTAATGTATTTATTGTTATTTTTGAATGAGAAGAGTAAAATTCTTAAATTTTCAATCAAAATTTTAAATTTATTTTTTAAATGAGAGGAATAAAACAGGGCTATATTGTACTTTAAAAATATTAAACCTTTTAGAAATGTTAGGAAAATACTGATATCATGCTAACATATATAATATTTAATACAAATTAATACAAATTGACTTTCTGTTAAAATGTTCGTACTATCTAATAATAAGGAGCAATTATAATGTAAATGGTTGTAAGAATTTGACCCTTAGAGAAAACTTCTTAACAGAAAGACAAGGCCATGATTTAGGTATTAGAACATGGCACCTCCTACATCTTAAGTCAACTAAGCCAGTGAGTTTTACCTCCAAAGCATCTGTCTCCATTAACTCATGTTTCTTTGTCATCTGCAATACACTGCTGACCCACATAGGTAAGATGATAATATCTCTCAACTTCTCCATTAAAACGTCTCCCTTACTCCCTTTTTTTTTTTTTTTTTTTTTTTTTGGGACGGAGTCTCCTTCTGTCGCCCAGGCTGGAGTGCAGTGGCGCGATCTTGGCTCACTGCAAGCTCCGCCTCCCGGGTTCACGCCATTCTCCTGCCTCAGCCTCCAGAGTAGCTGGGACTACAGGCGCCGGCCACCACGGCCGGCTAATTTTTTTTGTATTTTTTAGTAGAGACAGGGTTTCACCGTGTTAGCCAGGATGGTCTTGATCTCTTGACCTCATGATCCTCCCGCCTCGGCCTCCCAGAGTGCTGGGATCACAGGAGTGAGCCACCGCACCCGGTCCCCCTTAATCCTAATGTTGGACTCACACCAGCTTACCACTGAGACTACCTAACCTACAGTTCTTAAGCACATGTCACCTTGGCATCCCTGCTTTTCATAGTAAATAATAAGAAGAAGCGAAGAAGCAAACAAGCAAGCCCAAACAAATGTGTTAGCGACCTGTGCCTTCCAAACAAAGTTGTGATTCCACCTTCTGATCTTCCTGTGCCATGCACTATGCAATTTTCTTCCAGACTAACTGTTTACAATACATCACACTCAAAGCTCAACCTTCTCCCAAGTTCTTGCTACTATAACCGTTTTGATGGTTGCTCCTGGACACATATGACTTGTTTAATGCACTGGACCTTTATAGATTTAAAGGTTAAAGGAGCATGCAAGAAATAGTTTTTTTAGCACCGTACAAAAATTTTTCATAAATATATGTATGTATAGTACGGTGGTGGATTTAACTTATGTTCTCAAATACATTGATGTTCCTCTCTTATAGGTAGAGTTTAAGCTCCTTCCATTGACCCTAGATTACATACACAGTTTGTGGACAGGCAACTTATAGGAGTTTATAGAAAGGGGGTACAGAAAGTTTCGATACACAGGAAGTTTCTATGTAGTTGTAAAAAATGATAAAATCAGTCATCGTGAACTTTCTCGAGTCACTTAGAAATATCAATTTTAATTTTTTAGTAACTTCAGATTTTTCCATATAACTAAAACAGGTAAAAATCATAAAGTGAGTTATAAAATTTCTTAAAAATATGTTAAAAACTCTCTTGATTAATAATATATTTATAAGGAGTTGATTTTCACTTTTTGCAATAAGATAAAAACTAACAAAACAACTTACAGATCTTTTTTCTCTTTCCCTGCAAACTTAAATCACACTTTATGGGGAGGCTATTGACTTAAAAGAGCAGAGTTACAGTGTTTTCAATCATTTGTCAGAGCGCATCTATGAAATCAAATTAAGAAACTGTTGCAAATGTGTTTAAATCACACACCCATGAGTACATCTAGTCCTAAATCCCTAACCACATGAGTAGAGCAGTCAGCACAGACAGATGCTAATGGAGACTCAAGAGACAGTCCTGTGGGAACCTACACAAACATGGTAAATATAGAGCAGTAGCTGATTAGTAGTAGTGTTTAAACGGTGTTTTTTTTTTTTTAAACAAATCTAGAAATACAATTACTGCTTTATTAAAGTCAATTTCCTTTTGTTTAGTCCTGTGTGGACATAGAAAACTGCATTTCCCTCCTAATTACTCTATGTATGAGTCATTTCTATAATCAGATTGCCCTTGTCCTTCCTTTCTCTAAGCTAAACAAATCTAATTCATTTAATATTACTATTTACCCGAGGGTTAATTATCTTTGTTTCTCTTCTCTGACCATCTCCTTTTTCACCCTTTCTTAAATAAGGTCAGCATCTAAAACTAGACACAATTATAGAAACCTGATTGATGTAGAACAGCAGAAAGATTGCTTTCCATTTCTGCCATAATTATTTAGTACTTCTCAGTATCTTATTGGATTACATTTTATCATGACATTTCCCCATGGCCATAAATGCCAGTTTCAGTAATTATTATTTTTCAACCTTATGGATAGCATTTCCCCCAAAATGTTCTCTTTGCAATTCATTTCTACGTCAACAATTTGGGGTCTCTGACAGTATCATTTATCCTTGTCACACTCTCCTCCAATGCACTTATCTTCTACCATCAGACTAGTTTCGTAATGTAGCATCAGATACCTTCATCCAGTATGAAGCCAGTCCCTGTTAACTGTCACATGAAGTCAAAGCTCTTCTGGTTAGTTGCCAAGTGTTTCCCCTTTCATCCCTGGCCTGAAGGTGAGCTCTCTCTACTCCGCTGTATGCCGCTGAAGATTTCTCCTTTTTCAAAATCTTTGTAACACTTTTTTGTAAGTTTCTATTCAATTATTTTTCTTTCTGCCTTACTGTAATCTCATTAAGAACATAGACTATCTGATTTACTCTTTCACCTTTATAGCCTGGAATTTCGTGCTAGTGCTAACATAATATATCTTTTATAACAAAATACATACAAAAGTCAGTTAATATACAAATAATATTGTGAAAGTATTAATATATAGTAAATACTTTCATAATTCATGTTATTCTGTAGGCCATTAGTCATGTCCAAATGAGAACTTTTGTCTATCCTATAAAAGTGGGAAGGGTGAATATCTCTTGGAAAGAGGAGAAAAAGGCAAAGTGGTAGCCCCTATGAAATTAACTGTTTGTGCAGAGAGAAAGAAGGAGCAAGAGCACAGTCAGACTTGAGGTTTTTTAACTCTCATCTAGGTCATAACTTCATAGAGAAAGAGCCACAACACTATAAGATGTTCCCAGAGTAAGAAGGAGATTGGATCTAGCAGGACTTTTGCTTATTTGTTCATATAAAAATATTTTTGAAATCCATTTCCTACTTTATCGTAAACTAAAATTATTCAAAATAGAAAAAAGTATATGAAAGTGTATTTAAACCAAGAAGAATTATAAAAAACAAAGTTCTCCTTTGAAAATACCAAATATTGAGTAATTATTATAGTGCCAACTAATTGACTGTATTAGAGAATTGGGACCACCTTGAAGAAAGTCATACCTACATAATTTTAGAAGAGAAACAGTATTTGGTTTGTTTAAATTCAGAGAGGGACTTAAGAATTTGGGGGAAAATGCCACCTATACGTTTAAGCATCAAATCTTGAGTGTTGTGTAGACACAGTTTAGAACCGGTAGGTCTGTTTTGTACTGAGGGTAGGTGTTGATTCCATTACCAAGGCTACAGCTTAAAGAGTGTATTAGTCAGGGTTCTCTAGAGGGACAGAACTAATAAGAGAGATTTATAAATGAAAGGAGTTTATTAAAGAGAATTGACTCACACACTCACAAGGTAAAGCCTAATGATAGGCCATCTACAAGTTGAGGAGCAAAGAAGTCAGTGGTGGATCAGTCCGAGTCCTAAAATCTCAAAAGTAGGGAAGCCAGCAATGCAGCCTTCAGTCTGTGGTCAATGGCCTGACAGCCCCTGGCAAACCACTGGTGTAAGTCCAAGAGTCCAAAAGCTGAAGAACTTGGAGTCTGATGTTCTAGTCCATTTTCACAGTGCTGATAAAGACATATGCTAGACTGGGCAATTTACAAAAGAAAGAGATTTAATGGACTTACAGCTCCACATTGCTGGGGAGACCTCACAATCATGGTGAAAGGTGAAAAGCACGTCTCAAAATGGTGGCAGACAAGAGAAGAATGAGAGCAAAGCAAAAGGGGTTTCCCGACCATTAGATCTCATGAGACTTATTCACTACCATGAGAACAGTATAGAGGAAACTGACCGATAATTCAATTATCTCCCACTGGGTCCCTCCCACAACATAAGGGAATTATGGGAGCTACAATTCAAGATGAGATTTGGGTGGGGACACAGCCAAACCATATCAGGCAGGAAGCATGCAACACAAGAGAAAGATGAAGGCCGGAAGACTCAGCAAGTCTGCTCTCCATCTTCTCTTGCCTGCTTTATTCTAGTCACACAGGCAGCTGATTAGATGGCACCCACCCAGATTGACGATGGGTCTGCCTCTCCCAGTCCACTGACTCAAATGTTAATCTCCTTTGGCAACACCCTCACAGACACACCCAGGAACAAGACTTTGCGTCCTTCAATCCAATAAAGTTGACACTCAGTATTAACCATCACAAAGAGCCTAGGACAAATACTGAATGAAGGACATGTTTGAGTACTCAGGATTCAACAGGATCTGCAAGAGTCATGGTGGGGATGGACCCACTAGGAGGGCCCTGAAGTCTCTGATTGTGGCCACTTCTTGCAGCCTAGATGGCAGGAAGACACTTACTGCTAAGGAGTATTAATTCATGAGCCCGAGGACAGCACAAGGATCCAAATCAGAGCATAGGTCCATTGTCCCATTATGATGAGGACATATAAGAATCTTCTACATGTCAGCAATAATGAGGAGCAGAGGGCTTATTAGAAGACTTAGTGTTTCCCCCAAAGGAAACCATTTTAAAATTAAAACAAACTGAATTTCTTTTAACTTTAATTTTACAAACTTCCCCTGCCCATAGCAGAAATGGAAATTTGTAAGCCCAATGGAAAAAAATATATACATATATATATCCAGCAACAGATAAATAAAAGGATCATGTTCCTGATTAGTGCCAAGGCAGATGTATAGGATTTCTTTTTACCTCTTCACAAATTTTCTGTATCTATTTGAAACCTGCATTCAGAGTCAGAATGCAAAGCCTTCTCACAAAATCCAGTTCTATCATACTTGTCTAAGCCCATCACCCACTTGGCCTTAATAGCTATCTCCTCTCTACATAAATTTTCTATACTTATATTAATCTCTTCACTGTGTTGCATAGTTGCTCATTTTTGTCTTTCTTTATGAATTACCTCATCTTTCTTTTCATTTTTTTTCTAATCCTACTACGACTGATCTTTAAGATTTAAGTCAGCCTCTAACTTCTAGATACTAGCATACTTTTATCTCTCTCTATGCTACAATTTCCGAGCTTCACAGTTTACCTCTTCTTTTTTTCTTTTTTGAGACAGAGACACACTCTCTTGCCCAGGCTGGAGTTCAGTGTTATAATCATAGTTCACTTAAGCCTCGACCCCCTAGGCTCAAGTAGTCTTCCATCTCAGGCTCCTAAATAGCTGGGATGACAGATCTGTGCCACTAAACCTGGCTAATTTTCTTTCTTTTTAAAAATTTCTTGTAGAGACAGAGTCTTGATGTGTTGTCCAGGTTGGTCTGGAACTCCTGGTCTCAAGTGACCCTCCTGCCTCAGCCTCTCAAAGTGCTCAGATTATAAGTGTGAGCCACCACATGCATCCCAGGATTTAGCTTTTAATTAACTTCATACTGCTCGTTTTAATTTGTTAGACTTTCTTCAGCAGTTAGACTTCTTAAGGAAAATACACAATGTTTGCACTTATTAAATAAATCCCTCTATACCCAGCAGAAAGTTAGATTAGTGAGTATTTTACTTAAGCTTATGGCCAATTATAACCTTCCTAGATCTACTTCATCTGTAGTTTTGTGAGGTCATTTTATCATCATGCATTTTAGTCTCATATTAGTGATTAATTTCCTTTACAAATGTACTTTTCTTACTGACTGTATACCTTTTATAGTTGTTTAGATAAATGCATATTTTTAGTTTGTTTTTCAATTTGTTTTACTACGTGGCAACCTATTCAAAATATCCATGTCTCTTATTTCTAAATATCATTGTATTAGTCAGTTATTGTACCATATAAAGAAATACCTGAGACTGGGTAATTTATAAAGAAAAGAGGTTTAATTTGTTCATGGTTATGCAGGCTCTATAGGAAGCATGTCTGGGGAGACCTCAGGAAACTTACAATCATGGCAGAAGGCGAAGAGGAAGGAGGCATGCCCTACATGGCTGGAGCAGGAGGAAGAGCAAAGCAGGGAGCTGCTACACATTTTTAAACAATTAGATCTCGTGGGAACTCACTCACTATCACGAGAACAGAAAGAGGAAATCCACCCCCATGATCCAGTCACCTCCCACCAGGGCCCTCCTGTAATATTGGGAATCACAATTCAACATGAAATTTGGTTGGGGGCACAAATCCAAACCATATCAATCATCATGTTTAAAATATTGTAGAAAAAATAAAAGGCATGGAGTCAGAAGACCATTGAATAAGTCTCTTAATTTCTCTGAGCTTGTTAGCACCCTTTTTCAAATACTAAAAAAAATCCATTTCCTACTTTATCCTAAAGTATAATTATTTCTTTTTTTCTTGTTTTTATTTGTTTCTTTGTTTTGTTTTGTGCAGTGGCATGATCTCAGCTCACTGCAACCTCCACCTCCTGTGTTCAAACGATTCTCTGCCTCAGCTTCCCAAGTAGCTGGGACTAGAGGTGCACACCACCACACCCGGCTAATTTTTGTATTTTTTGTAGAAATAGGGTTTCATTATGTTGGCCAGGCTGGTCTCCAACTCCTGGCCTCAAGTGATCCACCTGCCTCAGTCTCCCAAAGTGCTGGGATTACAGGCATAAGCCACCATGCCCAGCCCTAAACTATAATTATTTCAACTGGAAAAACAGATAAAAGTGTTTTTAAACCACAAAGAACTGTGAATATTATAGTCTTCTTTGAAAAATATCAGATATTTAAAAATTATTGTCATGCCAACTAATTGACTATATGATAAAATTTTACTAAATAATTTAAAACAAAATGTTGATTTTGTATACTACTTTATATGTCAATAGTTTTTAAAATTGGTTTATCATTTTGTTATGTAATTAAAATATAATTGAAGTTACAATGCCTAATTTAGCAATGGCAACCCTAGTGATATATTTTAAATAATTATTATGAGAGGCAAATTTCCTAGATAGGCTATAACAAACGTGTCATTTACATAGGTCAAAATGCTAATCATACTCACCTCTTTGCTGCCACCAAATCTATGCTTCTCTATGAACTTCTTTGAAATAAAAGGACTGAGTGAGATAAAGAAGATGTTAAAAGATGCCAGATAATGATAGTGAAAGGGAAGTCCAGTTTAAATAACAATGTGGCCTGCATTCCGAGGGAAGGCACTTTTGAGTGGTGCAAAGAAGTAGCAAGGAGCCAGGACAGTGACCATTGCTTCCTGTTTGGGAATAAGAGAATGTGTGTACACAGATACAGGTGAATACACACACACAGACACATACACACACAATTTTATGGTTTCTTCTTTTTCCTTATATCCAATACACACTGTATTGGTTGTGTCATTAAAGTGTGAGCCTTCAGAGATCAGTTACTGTGCAGCATGTTCCTGATTGACAGCCTCCCCGACCTAACCATTGTTACCAGAAAAATCTTACCCTTAAAGTACCTGGCATCTCAAGCGTGATTTACATATTCTCATTTCATAAACATCCTCATAGAGTTAGATCAAGAATTAAGAAAATTTTATTACAATACATTCATTACGTAACTTTTTTTCCTTTTGGTTTTGTCATCTCTAAATTGTGTGCTTTTCATGACATGGCAGATTATTTTAATTATCATAAGACATTGTTATGCTGTTCATAGAATACAAAAAGAAAAACTCATTATTATGGGCAATTTCAATGTGTAAGTATCATTTCTATCTGGCTATTAAATCTCAGATCAATATGAAAGCAGCCAGGAAGCAGAGGAGGTAATCTACTCACTAATAAACTGTAAATGAAACTCTGTGATTTATTACATTTTTGGAATTTAATATACACATAAATATTTCAACTGGTTCATTTAAATGTATTCAGAAACATACTAATAGATACTTGGATAACACCAAAGTCATGAGGTCTGAAGTTGTAAAATTGAATTATTATTCTAATTGGAAATAACCAGTGGTAAAGAATTATTTTACTTATAAAGTTATCATACTTCATATTTTATTCATCTTTTACTCACATAAGCTTTCCGCAGGAATGTTCTTTCTTATTCTCTCCACTGGCCCGAATCCTGAAAATCCAGAATAAAGGACACCTTTGTGTCTATAATTTCCCATTGCACTTCATTTGTATCTTTTTTTGTAGCATGCCACTCTCTGAATTATACCACATATCTAGTTTTTCATATTAGATTATATTAAAGGTATTTGAGGATATAATATGTTTACCTCTTTATGTTCTACAGAACCAGGTACATTACCTTAAATACTGTAGATATTGAATAAATATTTCTTGAGTCAGTATATCTGTAACAGATTGTTAAAGGGAAGTTTCCTAACTCACTTTTATCTGAGACATAAAAATAATAGGTATTGCATTTCCAAGTAGCATTTCCAAGTAGCTTTGTCTGAGACAAAAAATAGTTTGTTGCATTTCCAACTAGGTAGGTGGTTAGGAACCAGTTCGAGAACTCACTTATATCTAACAGAAAAGGTATAATTAGAAAGACCTAAATTCGTATCTTCAACAAGGTGAAGAATGTGTGCCATTTGCTTAAAGTCTATGGGTGCAGTGCCACTTGAAAAGCTTAAATATTTGTTTCCGGCAGCTGGAGATTTGGGGAATTGATGTCTGACGCATGCCTGAGAAAGATGAAGGAGAGAGATTGACTAGAGCAGCCTGTGGTGGCTGAGACTTGGAATAAGGCAGTGAAGGAGAGGCATGGTCTGCATTGAGAGAGTTGTGGTTCAAGGAGCCCAACATGGGGCACGTGACAACAGAGAATAAAAACACACTCTTTTAAAGGATGCTTTAAAATAACACCTGTTCTGTAAAACCTTTTGCAACTGTGAAGATTTAAAGGATAAAACTGAATAATTTTGACACTGTGAAATACTCACCGCAATCAAAATAGTGAACATGTCAACATCCCCCAAAATTTCCTCATGCTTCTTGGTAATACCTGTCTCTCATCCATTCTACCGTACCGTTCCATCCCCAAACAATCATTGCCTGCTTTTTATCAATACAAGTTAGTCTCCCTTTTGTTGAGTTTTGTATAAATGGAATCATCTAATACATACTCTTTTTTGGGGAGGGGAAGGTCTTGGCTTCGCTTATTCAGGAACATTTTCAGGTTCATCCATGGTTGTTGATTTTATCAGCAGTTCCCCCATTTTTGTTGCTAATATTCCATTTGTTGGGTACATTATAATGTTATGTATTCACCTATTCATAGGCATTTAGGTTGATTTTGACTATTACAAGTATCTCTTATAATGATACATGATATACGGACATATATTTCCTTTTTATTCCTTTGGGTAAATATCTAGGAGTAGACTGGCTATACCATATGGCTGACATATGCTTAGCAAATGAAACAAGACAAGTTGTTGAGCTGTTTTTCTAAAGTGGTTGTGTCATTTTACATACACATAGTCAGAGTATCAGAGTTCCAGTTCCACCCTCTTCTCTGCAATACTTCAGGTAGCCTCTTTTAATATTAGCCATTTAAACAAGCGTGTCATAGTATCTCATTGTGGTTTTTAATTTGCATTTTATTAATAATTAATGATGTAAAGCATCTTTTAATGTGTGTACTTTCAATTTACATAACATTATAAATTACAGAAATTATGCAGTTTATATGACTTTAAGTGACTATAAGTCTGTCTGTATCTTGCTTTTACAACATACCAGCTATAACTGAATCGGCTATACAGTTTGTTATTTCAGTGAAAATCTCCTAACTCAATAACTCAGTAAATCCATAATATGTTGTTTAATTACATGTTAAATGTTACATGAAGTTATTAATGTAGCAGATTCTTTAAAAAACTACTTTTTAAGGAAACATTAGGGTAATTTTTGGACTATTATAACACAAGGCAAAGCATTTGTGAGGTTAGCATATTGACAAAAATAAATGGCAAACTGAAGAATGATGTAAAGAAGCTCCACTAGATATTTTTTAAATGTTTCAATACAGATTTCAAAAAACTGCTTCAGACTATAAGCACTACACTGAGTATCACCCAACTAATAAATAAAAATTAAATGTAAAATTAATAAAATATGACTACAAAGTTAATTTCAAATTATTTGGTTTCTATTAAATGCAAATATTATATAAGGCAAATGGTGATAAACAAGAGTCTCCATATCTACAGTATATGTGTTTTGAATAATACTGTATTTGTACAATTTTTATTCTAGCACAGAAAGGAATTTATATTTCATAATCTTGGACTTATTCTGTTTTGTTCTGGTTACCAATTATCCATACGTTTCCCCCAGTCTATTTTCTAACTTGGTTCATAAAATATCCTATAGGCATTCATTGGTTGAATAAAAATCCCTCAGTAATATTTTCTAAAAGCAGGGAAGGCATAACCCTAATGAACAGCCACAAGGTATTTCCAGTTTGATGAATGCAAGTCCTTTGACATTACATTAGACCTTTTGCATTATTGATCTAATGAGGAAGCGAAATATAAGAATGGTGATTTAATATTAACCCTCAAAACTAAGACTTTGACAGCATCCTGTGCTGTCTATTAGGATAATTGTAATAAGCTGAAAAGAAAACTCACCTTAATAATTTGACTCATAGTGAAAGACAAAATGATCACAAAAACAGTTTATTTTGCCAAAGTAGACATAGTCTGATAAATCTTAATTTTTGATATAAATTTTAAATAAATTTTACTTTGAAAAATGAAAACAATAGAAATTAAAAAAATAATTTCTACTAGTTATAGCATATTTTAAGAACTCTGTTTAATACTTTTTTTCAGCACCACTCAAAATGGAGGATAAAATGAATTATTTTTGGGGGGTAGAAATCTAAGAAATATTGTCCTCTAATTAGCTGTAATGTTTTCACGGAATATGATCTGTCAATTTGTATGATATTACATCAAACTTTTAAATACTTTATAATCATTTATCCCTGCAAATATTCATTTTCATAAGTTTTAAAACATAACATCATAAAAGCTGTTTCAAAGCAGGTAAAAATATGTGTGACTATGCCATGGAAAAATTAATAACAAGTAACTGGCGGATCTTGTACTTTGAGACCCAAATGAAACTGACCATATAGTGTACGGAAGAAGTCTTGAATAACTCCAGTTGTCTCAGAATTGATATTTAGAGCACTAGAATAGATAATATATTAATATATGTCTATAATATACACTGATCCATACATGTATACATATATCTATACATGTATGTATCTATTTAACTATTTCATAAGCTGATATTCCCAATTTAAATTCCACACTAGAAGATCTGTTCTATTCCCCAACTCCTTTTTATGTGGTTACTCCCTCTTCCAGCAGTGCAACAATTGTCCACAATACATAATCTCATTTGTCAGTCTTAGATTACATTGAAAGCAGTTCTAAAAGTACCAATCCATGCCAATACAAAAATATTGCTAATGAGGTTACAGAACCTTTCAGAAAGTCTTTTTTGTCTTTACACTGAAGGTATTATAGTCAAAATACTGTGCTAATGTATTTGCAAGTTATTTGGATTCCTTCTTTGCTCCAACCTTCAGTTTGGTTGCATTTTTCCAATACGTTGAATGGAAATACTGTTAGGTTCATTTGTTTGTTGGTTTGTTTTTCATTTTAAAGATGTTTCCCTCAAACTTCTTAATTTTATTTTATTAATTATGTAAAATATTAACATGGGTCCAAAAGTAAAACCTATACCAAAAAGGGGAGTCTGAGAAGCTCACTCTTTCTTTAACACCGTTTCTCCCCATTTCCATTTCTATGTATGAATAGATATATTAGTTTCCCAAGACTGCCATAAGAAAACAACAGAAGCAGCATGGCTTGAAACAAAGGAAATTTATTCTTTAATGGTTCTGCAGCCTAGAAGTCTGAAATTAAAGTGTCAGCAGGGCCATGCTCCCTTTGAAAGACCAATCCAGGGACGAATCCTTGCTTGTTTCTTCTAGCTCCTGGTGGTTTCCTCATTCTTGGGCTTGTGGCAGTACAACTCCAATCTTTGCCTTTGTCTTTCTATGGCCTTCTTCCCTCTGTGTGTCTGTGTCTCTAAGTCTTCTTCTCCTAAAAAAAAAGTAAACACACAAAAATAAAAGAACCTCTACTCTACTACTCTGCTACTACTCTATACTACTCTAAAAAGTTATAGCAAAAATAAGGACTTAAGGCCTACTCTAATCCAATATGACTTCATCTTAACGTGACCGTATGTACAAAGACCTTATTTTCAAATAAGATGACATTCATAGGTTTACAGTAGACATGAATTTTGGGGGACACTATTCAACCCACTAATATGGGCAATATCATTAGTTTTAGATGTATCATTCCTGGCTTTTGTTTTGCAAAAATAAGCAAATATATGTATATTTCCTATTACTCCTCTTTCTTTTACACATATGATAGCACACTATATATACTCTATAAGGTTTTTTTTCCACTTAACATTGTATTCCTGTTTCTCCACTATTGGCAAAACAGATCTCCCTCAGTTTTTGTTTTCTTCTTTTTTTTTGGAGACAGAGTCTCTCTTTGTCGCCCAGGCTGGAGTGCAGTGGCGCGATCTCGGCTCACTGCAAGCTCTCCCCTCCCGGGTTCACACCATTCTCCTGCCTCAGCCTCCCGAGTAGCTGGGACTACAGGTGCCTGCCACCATGGGTAATTTTTTGTATTTTTGGCAGAGAGGGGGTTTCACTGTATTAGCCAGGATGGTCTCAATCTCCTGACCTTGTGATCCACCTGCCTCGGCCTCCCAAAGTTTTCTTAAATCAGAAACATAGATTTCAGTGTGTAATTCTAATAGTGTATTCAGTCAATCTCTTATGTTTATGCATGCATCTTCACCAAACATCTTGCTATTAAAAACAATGAACAACCTGTTGCAGGTGCATTTTCATATTGTTGGAAATGTGTCTTTAAACTCCAAAAAATGAAATTGCTTAATTCAAATGTAAATACACATTTGTTTTAATATATACTGAAACATTTTCTTCCTTAACTTTTTAAAAGCTATACCAATTTACATTTCTATCAGCTATGTTTGAGTGTTCTTATTTCTTTCTCTGTAGCTCTTTCTTTCTCTCTCTGTATATATCTGTTTTATACATACAATATACAGGTTAATAAATTTATAAATTTTATTAAATTATATTCAGTATATATCACATTTATTATAATTTTTTTAATATTTTGACACTTCCAAGGATATTTTAATAAATACACCATTTTATATCTAATAAATCAGAGCCACAGAAAGATATGGACATATAACTATTTTAGGCAACTAATGATTTTCTCCATTGTACAGGTCCTATATGCCTAAGTATGAATTTTTTTATACATAGTAATGTAAGAATAATTTTTCATTTTCACAATTTTTAGTTTTTCTATCTTTTCCCATGTAATTAATTGGTCTCTGGAGCCAAGTCAACTTTATCCCATGTTAAAAACATGAAAACATGGTTTTTTACATGACTTGAGAAACTAAGAAATACTAAAAAAGCACTAAATATCATCTAGTAGATTTTCTAGATGTTCCTATTTTCAAACTAATGCAAGGAATGTTCTTACAACAAGAATCACATAGGCAAAAACCAATGCTATTTAAATAATTCAAATGTTTTCTATAGAAGCATGCTTCCCATATTGATTATTAGGGACAATTTGTTTATGTGTAATGAGCTTGAGATAAATACTGAATCTAACAGATTTTTTTAGCTTTCTTGTTTTGCAGGCTCTTGGAAGGATATAATAATAATAAGATTAAGTTGCCATTGGGGAATAGTAGTAATTTCTTTGTGTATTTGTTGGTTGTTTATTTTTTTCTATTGTTGTATTTTGTTTTGTATTTAGTCCAATAGCAAAAAGAGAATAAAAACACGATAGTTTTTAGGACAGAGTAATGATAATTGTTACTATTGATTGAGTGTTTATAACATGTTTGATCTCTTGCTAAGTGCAGCACCTACATTAATTTTTATTTCACACAAAACTCCCATTTTGTAGTAAATAAAACAGATTTAATGAAGATAAATCACTTATTACTTCCAAATCACTTAGCTAGTCATTGGTGATATCAAGCATATCACTCAGTGTTCAGAGAACCAGAAATAGATAAATCAATAGAGATTTGACCTCATGCAGTATTTTCAGAGGCTTGACCATACGCAAACTGGTTAAGTAGTATCTGTAAATCTTTTGTCTTTGTATTTGATGTTGGATCTTGAAGTACACAGGACACGGGCAGCAGGGAAGGAGGGATAGGTGTTAGGTGGGTGAGAGCAAGCAGTAAGTGAAACCCAAAAGCGCAAGCTGTAGCAAATGAGAACAGGCTAAACGCTAGGTCAGTTGTTACTGCCTCTGAACCTCATTGGTATGGGTGTTCTGCATAAGCCAGACCTAACACACACAACTGACATAGGAGTTTATGAAGCCAAAAGAGGAACAAAAAGAAGGTGGGACATTTGCAGGCTTGGCCACTGCCTCAAAGTAAGGAAACAAGCAAGTGAGTGACACAGTGGAGAGCTACAGAATGGCTGCCCCTTCACTTTCACCCTCTGAATCTCTCCCAACAGTCTCTTCTGTGATCCAATTAGCCAGAAACATACAGAAAAGGAAATAATAAAAAACGTATTTCAGTGTAGCTACATTGACACATTACAAAAGTACATGAAGATTCAGTCGCAGAGTTTTCTATTTTCAAAATCTGTGTTCTCAAGTCCAGTGCTCTGTGGTTATCTATCATCGCAGGAAGTTTAAAGGCTTTTCTCCATGATTTCTGACTGTAAGGGGAGGAGAAGCTGCCCATGTCCAGGCAATTGAAGAAAACACATTCTCAAAGAAATGATGCCTCACGGGAGTTAGCAAATCCTAACACTGTGCTTAGCACAATTGCTTGGAAAAAGTTAGGCACTCGGTAAGTTCATTTTAAATAGATGACCACTTCAAGAAAGGTGGAGAGAGGGGGCGGAAACACAAGTCGCAATGGCTACAAAAGCAGGGCCCAGGGTGCCAGAAACTTGGTGGGCCTGAGGAACCAAGAGAATGCCGGAAACCAAATCCCCTAAAATCACAGCTTAAAGTCTGGTAATTTAGCTACTGGGTTTTCACATGATACTTGTGATCTAGTAAATAGATGTTCTTTTTATTCTTTCCAGTTTTTTCCCCTAAATTTTTATATTAACAGGGCTATTTACCAAGTGTTCTGTGGATTTAGATTTTTCTACATTATTCACTAAAACATTTTATTATTTGTTTCCTACTATCATCCACATGCACAGATTTAAAAACTACTCAGATCTGTTAAGAAAGTACTTATATTCAGCCAGGTGTGGTGGCTCAGGCCTGTAATCCCAGCACTTTGGGAGGACAAGACGGGTGGATCACCTGAGGTCATGAGTTCGAGACCAGTCTGGCCAAATGGTGAAATACCATCTCTACTAAATATACAAAAATTAGCCAGGCGTGGTGGCGCACACCTGTGATCCCAGCTACTTGGGAAGCTGAGGCAGGAGAATCGCTGGAACCTGGGAGGCGGAGGTTGCAGTGAGCCGAGACTGAGCCATTGTACTCTAGCCTGGGCGACAAGAGCAAAACTCTGTCTCAACAAAAAAAAAAAAAAGAAAAAAAAGAAAGTACTTATATTCAGTAAACAGCCTGAATTCCAACAAGTGTCCTTTAAATCTATTGTTTTGATAGCAATGAAAGGTATATTCTGAAGAATTTGAATGAACTATTATCTTTGAAGAGTATGTTTTTTTTTTTTTTAATTTTAAGCATGTGTTAGTTTTTGTTTATCTTCTTTTATTGGCAAATAATAATTGTACATATTTCTGGGGTATTAGTGATGTTTCAATACGCATAATGTATAGTGAGAAGATAAGGATTAACTTACATATCTATCAGCTTAAACTTTTATCATTTATTTGTGTTAGGGATATTCAATATCCTCCTTCTAGCTATCTTAAAACTATATAATATATTTTTGTTAACTATAGTCATCCTGCAATGGTATACAGCAATAGAACTTATTCTTCCTATCTGGTTGTTAGAGATAATTTGTTTAATAAATTATTAAGACCATAATTTTCTGAACTATATTTTTGAGCAAGCACTTTTTAAAAATAGGACAAATATTATAGTTAATCCAAAGGGATTTTTAAGTGTAAAGGAAAAATGATAATTCGTACTTTTTTGTTTTTAATGTTAGATTAGTAGTAGATTAGATTAGATGGTAGTAATAAATTAGATTAGGGCAGAGGATATGATCAAAGACAATGAAGTGTTCTAACATAAAATCACAAAATACTGTTTTATTTAGGATTTCAGTCTTGATGAAGCATAAAAGCAATTTGCATCACATAAAAGTTATTTAAAAAATAAATAGTGATAAGTGGTGGGTGAAAATGGAAATCTATAAATTTGTGAGCAATAGAGTTATTAATGGAAGGAGCCTATATGATCAACAGAATATCATACGCCCCAGTTAGAGTTCATGCAGGTGAAATGTGAGAATTAGTTTTGCAAAAAGCACAAAGAAAATAAATGAAAAGCTAGTCATTTTTTTAAAACCTTAAATACTATAGAGCATTCTATTCATTAGCCTTTGAAGTTTCCTGTTTTTCCATTGATTATTCAGTATAATTATAACCATGCATTCTAACAAGGTCACCTAGGACATAGAGAGCTTGAGTTCAGTTTTGGAGCCTCACTCCAAAATGCAAATGAGTGCA
Source organism: Homo sapiens (assembly GCF_000001405.40). NCBI lineage: Eukaryota > Metazoa > Chordata > Mammalia > Primates > Hominidae > Homo > Homo sapiens. The sequence goes on along the minus strand of NC_000021.9, from coordinate 21,792,511 downwards.
GTTACTTAAGAAAATAATTCTTGAGCCAATTAACGTACTCCTATTCTTTCCTTTATGATGCAAATTGCCATTAAAAAGCAGTGCAAAATTTTACTGAACATCACTTAATGAATTGGGAAAGTTCATACCATCTAACTTTAAGATGTAGAGGGATTGCCGTTATAAATATTTCCAGCATTCTGAATTGTACCTTCAACATTTCTCAACAAATGAAACATATAAACCAGTTATAACTGCCAAGGTACCTCATTATATTTAATATGTAAACATTCTGTGATATAGAATAATGGCATGATTACTCATAAACACACATATGTGCACACACTACACAACATCTTTAGTTGCCAACCTTGTGGTACTACCTCTTCATTCACCAGGAACTTACAGATCTACTTTAAAGACTTTCTCACTTCAACTGTTGTCACTATTCTGATTAATATCAAACTCATGTGGGCTGCCTGCTTAATATTGGGGCTTTAACTTTATATAAGAAACTGAAACCCTTCCCATCCCTTAACTTTTATTATTTCCTGGAATATTTTATCCCCTGAAATCTCACTTTACTTTCACCACAGCCTAAACCATATATTCAATAATATGCGTGACTATCGCCACCATCATTGATTCTCTGGGTTGTTTTTATCTACCATCTACTCCCTAACTCACCCCCATCTTCTTTGAGATCATTTTCCTTTATCCTACATCTCCTTACCCAGTACACAATATTTGCTGGTGGAAAAAAAATAATACCAACACGGTAAACGTATTGTTGCCATTTCAAATACAATGTTGCCAAATACAAATCTAATTGTTTCATGTCTTTTACCTTATTTTATTTCTCAGCTGCATTCCACATGGTTAATCTTCTTTTTCTGGAAACATTTTCTTTTTCTCCATGGCAGATATTTTTTTGGTTTTTCTTGCTACTATACTGGATTTTACTCCTCAATCATCTTTGCGAACTCCTTCTCCACCACTTTGCCTCTAAACACAGAGGAGCTCTTTGGTCTTTTTCTGGATTTTCCTCTTTTTTTCTATCTCCATTCAGCTTTTTAATTTATTTATTCACTTGTCTATATAGCTTCAAATTCAATGATGTTGTGGGTGTTTTTGATACAGAAGAAAATATTGTCCCCAATTATTCACTGACCCTTCCTGTAAGAAGATGATGGCCCTCCCAAAACATCTGGATTATCAGGACTTGCTTTAACCAATGGAGGGTGATCAGACATGATATATGCCATGTTTAAATCATCTAAGTAGAAGTTTTAAACCATCTTGTGCTTTTGCAATTCTATTTTCTTTTTCTTTTCTCCTTTTCCATGAGAATGTCTTATCTCAGAGGGAAGCATTTCTGCAACCTGCATTCAAAACTAAAGAAGACAGGTGGCATAATTATAGTCGAACTTCAGCTGACAAGTAATTGAGCAAGAAAAAATTTTACATTTGGATGCCACAGAGATCTGGAGTTATAAGCACCCCTACTTATAATTTTCCAAAAGAATTACTCACACTTAGAATAAAATTCAAACTACTTACTTTTTCTAAAAAAAAAAAAAAAAAAAAAGTCCTGTATCATTTGATACTTGCCTGATTACCTAACCTCTTCTACTATTTTCCTTGCTTCTCTCAGGATGTTTAAGCATCTTGATTTTTTTTCTCACTTTCTCTATGGGTCATTGTACTGTCTATTACCTTATTACAGCTGTTTGGAATGATCTGTTCTGATTTTTGTATATCTTGCTCCTCTTTTTTTTCCTTTAGGTCTTGGAATAAATGACATTTGAGATAGACTGTTAAGAAAAAAAATTTTTTTAAACCCACTAATTTTTCACCTCCTTTTATACACTCTTTTTTATTTTTTGAGACAGAGTCTTGCTCTGTCGCCCAGGCTGGGGCGCAGTGGCGCGATCTCGGCTCACTGCAAGCTCAGCCTCCCGGTTTCACGCCTTTCTCCTGCCTCAGCCTCCCGAGTAGCTGGGACTACAGGTGCCTGCCACCACGCCCAGCTAATTTTTTGTATTTTTAGTAGAGAGGGGTTTCATCGTGTTAGCCAGGATGGTCTCGATCTCCTGACCTCGTGATCCACCCGTCTCGGCCTCCCAAAGGGCTGCGATTACAAGCGTCAGCCACTGGGCCCGGCCTTTTTTTTGTTTTGTTTTTTAGACGGAGTCTCGTTCTGTCATCAGGCTGAAGTGCAGTGGTGTAATCTTGGCTCACTGCAACCTCTGTCTCCCGGGTTCAAATGATTCTCCTGCCTCAGCCTCCTGAGTAGCTGAGACTACAGGTGCATACCACCACGCCCAGCTAATTTTTGTGTTTTTAGTAGAGATGGGGTTTCACCATGTTGGCCAGGATGGTCTCGATCTCTTGACCTCTTGATCTGCCCACCTCAGCCTCCCAAAGTGCTGGGATTACAGGTGTGAGCCAAAGTGCCCAGGTTTTACTTACTCTTGGCTCACTGCAACCTCCGCCTCCCGGGTTCAAATGATTCTCCTGCCTCAGCCTCCCGAGTAGCTGAGACTACAGGTGCATACCACCACGCCCAGCTAATTTTTGTGTTTTTCGTAGAGATGGGGTTTCACCATGTTGGCCAGGATGGTCTCGATCTCTTGACCTCTTGATCTGCCCACCTCAGCCTCCCAGAGTGCTGGGATTACAGGCGTGAGCCAAAGTGCCCAGGTTTTACTTACTCTGTTTGTGCAAGCAGAATCTTTAGAATCATGCCATTATCCTGGGCACAAATCTGCTACAAGCTTCAATTTCCTCTGAGTCTCAGTTTCAGTTATTCCCTTCCAGGCTTAGTCCCATGGGTAAAGCTCTGCTTAGGATTAAGTTTCCTTGTATAACCCTTTCATTTTTTCTATAACATTTCCGTTCCTTCTCTAGTCCAAGGTCAAGGTACATTCTCTTCTTATCATCTAAATCTTTGCAAATGCACATTAATTGGATTCAAATCACCATTCTTACTCTTAACCTGTATGTACATATCAAAGGTGAAAATGAAGGTCAAGTAAAGAAATTTTCCCTGATAGAATACTGTTAACCAATTCAGCCACTCCAAATATTAGGGCAGGCTTATCCCTTAACACATTACCCATTTTAACTAAATGTCTCCCACTACCAAGTCTTGCTGAAAACTTACAGTTATGTGTATTGGAAAACACAGCTACTCTCAGTATTTCTAAAAATACAATGTGTGACTCATCTGCGACAGAATCACCTGGATGCTTGCTAAGAATGCAAAGTCCTGATTCACATCTCAGAAGTACTTCATGAGAATCACAAAGATTAGGGAGAAGGAATTTGATTCTTATGTGCTTTAAAAATAAATACATTTAAGGTGTAATAAGAATAAGTGCTCAAATAGGTTTACATAATGCAACGAACCCACTGAAAATTACCCATCTATTTCTCTTTGTTTTCATGTGGTAGCAATAATCCTCTTCTCTCCTTCAGGATGGACCAATATCTTGTCCTATCAGAAATGCTATTCATTTGTTAAGAATGCAATAACCAAAGAGTATGGATATGTAGTAAATCTTTCCAGAAGTTAGCCAGACATTAGAGCATAATATCACATTGATGTTGTTCCAAGAAATTTGGAAATTTTAGACACTACTGGTTACATCTGAATAATTCAGTTTGGCTAATGTAAGAGTTCTTATTATTAGCCTACTTGGTTAGCTTCAAGAAACTGACCTTGGCTTACTTCCCAGGACTTTATGTTTTAGAAAGAGAATTAATTCATAAACTTATTCTGAACTAGCCTGTGTCTGAAGTAACCTTTAAAGTAGTTAAGCAACTATGCACTTTCTTAAACCATTAGGTTAATTAATCTATGAAGATTACTAAATGGTTAATATTTTAAAATACATTTTTTACAAAATTTCTGGACAATAATAAACTTTTAGGCATTATACACTAAGAAAAATATTTTTTTCATTTCATTTAATTAAATTCTAAGTATTTTATGCATCCCTGGTAAAAAAATAGTCCAAACATTGTTCAACAGTGCCACTAATCACAAGACATTACCAATACAATTATTTGTTAATGTCAGTTAGGAATAAATATATACATTTAAAAACACTCTGAAACAAAACATCATTTTATTTCTGAAACTGTCTTAAGCATGTGAAACTCAGATAAAAGACTTTGAGAAAAATAGACATCTTCACAATCTGAAAATGAATATCGAGTTTTGCAATATCAGAATCAATAAAGCTTCTAGTCAAAAGGCAAGTAACACAAGCAATTAAGCAATGGGTTCTGGATTCAGACTTTCTGGTTACAGACTTTAGCCATATCATAATATTTTCAAAAAGTTAAAGTCTCAATTTCCTAACATAGATGATTTGATAAGAAAATGAGTTATTAACATAAGATATAGTCAGTGCTCACTAGATGTTATCTATTAAAGCATAGAGCTTTTTCTTTATATATTCCAAAGTAGCTATATATATATTTTAAATATGGACTTTTCTAGATCTGACATTGTACGTATGTCACACACGTATCTGAGCTTAAGTTTCATTGACTATGTTCCTTTCTTTGATATAATAAGAAACCAAATTTGATGGAGCTATACATATTTTTCCAAGGACTGAAGACCATCTCAAATAAACCTGGAACATCTGAGTTTTTAAAAGACATGATATATTATTTTAATTAACATTTCAATTGGAATTATTTCTGTACTTTAAAACATGTCAACAAAACCCTGCTTCTGCTTGCTTTGGTTTCCATTTTATAAGTGAATGCCTTATGAAATAATTAGCATCTTTTACAAGCAAATTAAGATGAATAATCACAGCTGCGGTCACAGATCCAACAGACACAGTGGGCTGGCCCATTACCATATGATGTACATTCTCAGGTGAAAAAAAATCTGAAAGGTGAAGTTCATTTAGCTTCCAGTCTCAGGTGATGGGGTATCATAATAAAGAAGAGCATAGGAAGGAACTAGGGAATCTCGACCTTTTTATTAACTGCATTAAAGAAGGAGAATTACCATATCAGGTAACAAGGAAGAAAACTATGACAGGCTATAGGGCTTAAAATGTAGTAGTGTATATTATAATCTGAATAAAATAATTTTTTTTAAAAAAGCCTTAACAATGTAGATAATAATTTTGTAATCTGTGACTTAACGTAAAAGAAATTCTATTTTTCATTTCCTCAGGCTATTTCAACTAAGTTCTTCTAATTAAGCCTGATTGGTTTCCCAAATTCAAATGTCTGCCTATTCTAATAGAATCTATAGAGTAATGTAATTACATAATCCATCTATTATACACGATAAAGATAGTACAGTTAAAGTGTCAAATAGAATCAAGGCTATCTTAATGAGAAATATTTTCTATTGTAATTTTTTCTTTCCCCAAAGAGATATGAAGGTATAATTTCCTGCGTGTGTGAAATGTTTATATGAAGCTTCTAAAAAGAAAAGTCTCAAGAACCATTTCAAAGTAAAAAGTGCTTTATATTTGTGACCTTGTACAAATTTCCTAATTTTTCACGGCCTCAGTTTCCTTATCTGTAAAGTAAGAAATAGAAGCAAAATTGTCCCCTCACTATGTGAATAACCAAGGATTTTATGTGTCCCCCAAATCAATTTTTTAAAGTAAGAAAATGATATAGTGGCATTTAGCCACGTGCAGTGGCTCATGCCTCTAATCCCAGCACTTTGGGAGGCTGACTTGGGCAAATCACTTGAGGCCAGGAATTTGAGACCATGCTGGCCAACATAGCGTAACTCAGTTTCTACTAAAAATACAAAAAAATAGTTTGGCAAGGTGATGCATGCCTGTTGTCCCAGCTACTGAGGAGGCTGAGGTGGGAGAATCACTTGTACCCAGGAGATGGAGGTTGCAGTGAGCCGAGACCATGCCACTGCACTCCAGCCTGGGTGACAGAGTGATACTCTGTCTCAAAAGAACAAAAAAGAAAAGAAAAGAAAAAAATATGATATAGAGGCACTTAGAAATGTATTAGGATTGTAGCAATTATAATATCAGATTTATTGACACTGAAAGCTAAGCATTTAATTGAGAAGTGTTTTATAGGAAAAAAGGTAGAAACTGCAATTCAGTAAACTGACATTTCATCTTGACATACCTTGAACAACTCTTCTTTTGTCTGCCTCAGAAAGCATGCATTCCTGGAAAGGGATGTGTTTCAGAAGCAGGGAGAAAGCCAAAAGGAGAGATCCTGTCCGGAACACATTATAATTACTTTGTTAGAGTTTTTACTAGCATTATACTCACCTAGAATAGAGAATGGGAATGAGATAGAAAAATGAATCAACATTTTATCTGTAACACACATAACCCTTTGCACAGGAAGATAAATGTGGTCTTTCCATTGTCAGTGGATGCAAAGTTAAACAGTTTTCTGGAAACTCTAAATCATATAGACAATCTGAAGATAAGAACATAAATATTGAACAACATATATCCAACAAACATATTTGAGTGTTTAATATATCAGGCACTTGAGATATATCAGTGGAAAAAACATCAAAGATCCTAGCCTTGTAAGGACATGCATCCTGGTAAATAGTAGATGTAGTAGGTAAATGATGTAATATGTTAAAAGCAATAGGTGTTTTGGGAATATTTAAAAAGAGAATAAAAGAAGATTAGAAAAGGGGTTCAATTCAAATGCCTTAGAATTACCTGCTGGCACACTACTTTTCAGTCACATTCAGCTACATGCAATACAGGCATGAAATAGTCAGGGGGTGAAATTAATCAAGTGTTTCAAAATGAATGTTTGAAACCAAGAGACAAAGGAGATTTGAGAATGTAAGCAAGAGAATGACTGTCGTGACTAACTATACCATTAAATCTAGTAAGGAAGAGAGAAAAACCATCAAAATGTTGAAGAGGAGTTGAAAAAGAAAGTGGTATGTAGAATCAATGAAATGTGTGTTTGGTGGGTCATGGAATGGCATAAATAAGGGAATAAGAGGAGATACATTCATTCTAAACCTGGGTCCTTACATTGATCTGGTGGTAGAGTGGGTTGGATGAAATGAAAATTATGGGGAGGTTTTAGATATTGCTAATATATAAAGTAATAAACATTTTTGTCATGAAAGAGTAAAATTGTTGTCATTTCAAAGACATGAAACACAATTAAGGATTATATTATAATAAATCATTGAGTATTTCATTATGAAAAATAAAGACTGTTTCAATGATATCAAATTGAATTGAGGAAATGCTGTAAATTTTTGTATTTCATTTGAAAGTTAATATCCATCACTGAAATGGCATTGGAGATTTGCATTTGTTTCCCTTACTCATATTGGCTCAGCTCACTTGCTTGTCATGGAAAAACTGTCAATTAGATAGCCCAGTTCATATTTTGCTGATAAGAAAACAATGGCACAGATAAATGAAATGACTTCCTGGTATAGAGAAGTTCCAGGCCTCAAACTAAGCTACTCACTTTTGCCTGCCAGAATATTCCAGTAAAAACCACACCTCCTCCCTGGTAGGTAGACCCGTTGGGTCACATCTCTGCATCACTCTGTGAGTAGAACAATAGACACAGGAAAAATTAATTTTAATGACAAATAGAAAGAACTTTGGTATTCAAATTGTTTAAATTATTTACAATATTATTTTATATAACATAGTAATATGCAAAATGTAGCAATATACAAAAATAGTTAAAAAATTGACAACTTGCAGGAGTAAAGTTATGAAAATCCTTTTGTTTGTTATGTTGGAGAAAGGCGGAGAAACTTTCAAATGCCTTGAAATTGAATTTTGATTAATTACTATTTATCCATCTCCAAAAAAAAGTGCATTATTTCTTACAGTAAAGATGTCAATGGCTGTTTCCTAAAAGATGCAAGGGTGTCCAACTTCGCACAATCCTGATGCTTTCCCTGAATATAATGCAATATATCATTTTGTGATTTTACTATATGAATATCCTTCAATATCACTTTTACTGTTTGTAGTATACTAAATAGAGGTGAAACCACTTTATTTTCCAAGCTACTGTGAGTTTTCATTTAAAATAATAAAAATTAATATGAGACCTTTTGAACAAAATGCAATTTAACTTTAGTGTAGTATTTTGAAACATACCAAATTCTTCAGCTAGAATTGAAATAACTAAATATGATTATTCAGCCCAATAATTTTAAAAGGAAAAAAAAACAGTCTTTTTTAGTGCATCTCAAGAAAATGCTAAAATCATCAGTGACAAGGTTAACATTCCAGGGCATTCAATCTATCTTTTGAATATGCATTGTCAGACAAGCCCGAGATACCACCAAAACATGTTTCCCTAACAGTAAATCATCATCATGATTGCCATTATTGATCTGTAGAGTCAGTAACCGAATCTATCCATGAGATTCAACATCATCTATCTTGATACTATATAGCCCCATCCTCCTGCCTAAACTCATTAAGCTGTCATCTGTTGGTTTACATCATTTTTATTTGAGGGCCCTAGCGAAACTTTGCACTTTACTTGGTTTCTAAAACAGTTCTAAGACCAAATTGTCTCATCAGGAAAATTCCTTGTTTCCCGTTAACATCTGTTGATTCCTGTCACATCTGTTTCCAAAAATGAAGACCATAATAATTTTAAATGGGAGGATAGGTTGAGAATGAAGCAAGATGGCAGAATAGAAGGCTCCACCTATCATCCCCTGCAAGGACACTAATTTAACAACTATTTACACACAAAAAAGCACCTTCATAAGAACCAAAAAATCAGGTGACCATTCATAATCCTTGGCTTTTACTTTGTATCACTGAAAGAGGCACTGAAGAAGTAGAAAAAGGAGACTTGAATCACTGACACCACCCTTTCCCCACCCACCAGCAGCAGCAGCTTTCTTTAGAGAGAGATTTTGTGCCCTGAGAGGGAGACCCAGCAATTTTGAGCCATTGAACTCCATGCTGCCCTCCTTTATAGAAGAAAGCAAAACTAGATTAAACTCAGTTGATGCCTGTCCACTGAGGGTGCATTTAAACCAGCCCTAGCCAGAGGAGAATGACTGATCCCAGAGGTCAGAGTTTGAGTTGTCGTAAGGCTCTCCACTGCAGGCTAAAGTGGTCTGTGGCTCCAAATAAACCTGAAAGGGAGTCTAGGCCACAAGAATTGCCACACCCAGGCAAGTCATGTCCTAGGGCTCAGCTGGGCCTAGAGATAGTGGATTGGGGTGGCATGTGACCTACTGAGACTCCTCTGCCTGTGGAAAGGGGAGGGAAGAGTGGGAAGGACTATGTCTTGTGGTTTGAGTGCCAATTCAGCCGCAGCACAATAGAACCCAAGGACGATTTCTAAGGTCTTTGACTCTAGTATCTGGCTCCCTAACTGAACCTCTGGACCTTCCCAGGGGCCAGGGGAAAGAAATCACTGCTCTGAAGGAAAGGACATAGGTCTGGATGGCTACAACGCTTATTCTAGAGACCCAGCGCTTTGAGCGAACATAGGTGGTACAAGGGAGTGGTTACAGCAGACCTTGGGTAAGATCCAGTGCTGTACAGACTTCAGGTGTGACCCAGTACACACTTAGGGGTGGTGGCCACAGGGTTCTTGTGTCAATTCACCCCCAGCTCCAGGTGGCTTAGAGCGGAGAAAGAGGGAAACACACATATACTGAAAATAAAGGGATGGAGAAAGATATTCCATGCCAATGGAAACCAAAAAAGAGCAAGAGTAACTAGTCTTATCAGAAAAAGAATAGATTTCAAGACAAAAACTCTAAGAAGGAGCAAAGAAGGATATTATGTAATAATAAAGTGTTCAATTTATCAAGAGGATATAACAATTTTAAGTATATATGCACCAAACACTGGAGCACCCACATATATAAAAAAATATATTATTAGAGTTAAAGAGAGAGATAGGCCCCAATACAATAATAGCTAGATACTTCAACACCCCACTTTCAGCAATGGACAGATCTTCCAGACAAAAAACCAACAAAGAAACATTGGACTTAATCTGCATTATAGACCAAATGAATCTAATAAACATTTACATGGATCATTCTCGAGGATAGACCATATGTTAGTTCAAAAAAACAAGCCTTAAAACATTCAAAAAGATTGAAAAAATATCAAGCATCTTCTATAAACACAATGGAATAAAAGCAGAAATCAATTACAAGAGGAATTTTGGAAACTATACAAATACATGGAAATTAAACAGTATGCTGCTGAATGACCAGTGAGTCAGTAAATAAATTAAGAAGGAAATTGAAAAATTTCTTGAAATAAATGATAATGGAAACACAACCTACCAAATCCTATGGGATACAGCAAATGAAGTAATAAGAAAGAAGTTTATAGCTATAAGTGCTTACATCAAAAAAGAAGAAAAACTTCAAATAAACAACTTAATGATGCATGTAAAAGAACTAGATAAGCAAGAGCAAACCAAACCCAACATTAGTAGAAGAAAAGAAATAATAAATTTCAAAGCAGAAATAAATGAATTTGAAATGAAGAAAACAATACAAAAGATCAATGAAACAAAAAGGTGGTTTTTGAGAAGTTAAACAAAATAGACAAATTTTTAGCCAGGCTAAGGAAAAGAGATTATCCAAATAAAAAAAAAATCAAAGATAAAAAAGGAGACATTATGCCTGATACCACAGACATTGAAAGTATCATTAATAGCAACTATGAGCAACTATATACCAGTAAATTGAAAAATCTAGAAGAAATGGACACATTCTTAGACATGTATAACCTATCAAGATTGAACCAGTTGAACCAGAAAGAAATTCAAAACCTGAAAGGACCAATAACAAGTAATGAGATCAAAGTCGTAATAAAAATCTCCCAGTAAAGAAAAGCCTGGGGCTGGGTGCGGTGGCTCATGCCTGTGACCTCAGCACATTGGGAGGCCAAGGCAGGTGGATCACCTGAGGTTAGAAGTTCGAGACCAGCCTGACCAACATAGTGAAACTCCATGTCTACTAAAAATACAAAAACATTAGCCAGGCACTGGGGGTGCATCCCTGTAATCCCAGCTACTCAGGAGGCTGAGGCAGGAGAATTGTTTGAACCTGGGAGGCAGAGACTGCATGAGCTGAGACAGTGCCACAGTACTCCAGTTTGGATGACAGAGTGAGAGTCCATCTCAAAAAAAAAAAAAAAAAAAAAGAGCCCAGGACCCAGTGGTTTTACTGCTGAATTCTACCAAACTTTTAAAGAAGAACTAATACAGAGCCTATGCAATCAATTACAAAAAATATAGGAGAAGGGAATACTTCCAAACTCAGTTTAAGGCAAATATTATCCTGATACCAAAACCAGACAAAGGCATACTTAAAAAAAAGAAAGAAAGGAAACTACAGACAAAAATATCCCTGATAAATAGAGATCCAAAATTCCTTAACAAAATATAAGCAAACCAAATTCAACAATAAATTAAAAAATCATTCATCACGACCAAGTGGAATTTATCACTAGCATGCAAGGATGGTTCAAAATACACAAATCAATCAATGTGATACATCATATCAACAGAATGAAGGAAAAAACCCCACATGATCGTTTCAGCTGATGTTGAAAAAGCATTGATAAAATTCAACATCTCTTCATTATCAAAACCCTCAAAAAACTGAGTATAGAAGAAACATACCTCATCATAATTAAAGCCATATATATGAGACCCTCAGCTGTCATACAGAATAGTATCATACTGAATGAGGAAAAACATAAAAGCCTTTCCTCTAAAATCTGACAAGAATGCCCATTTTCACCACTGTTATTCAACATAGTACTGGAAGTCCTAGCTAGAGAAATCAGACATGAGAAAGAAATAAAGAGCATCCAAATTAAAATGAAAGAATTCAAATTATCCTTGTTTGCAATTAATACGATCTTATGTTTGGGCAAACCAAAGAGTCCACTAAAAAGCTATTAAAACTTGTAAACAGGTTCAGTAAAGTTGTAAGATACAAAATCAACATACAAAAATCAGAAGCATTTCTATATACCAACAGTGAACAATGTAAAAACGAAATAAAATATAATCCCATTTACAATAGCCACACATAAAATAAATATCTAGGAATTAATTTCAACAAAGAAAAGAATGATCTCTGTAATGAAAAGTATAAAACACTGATGAAAGAAATTGAGGAGGACACCAAAAAATGGAAAGGTATTTTATGTTCAGGGATTGAAATAATCAATATTATTAAAATGTCTATACCACCAAAAACAATCTACGGATTCAATGCAATCCCTATAAAATTATCAATGACATTCTTCACAAAAATAGAAAAAAAAACCTAAAATTGTTATGAAACCACAAAAGATCCACAATAGCCAAAACTATCCTAAGCAAAAAGAACAAAACTGGACAAATCATATAACCTCACTTCAAATTATATTACAGAGTTACAGTAACAAAACAGGATGGTACTGGCATAAAACACACACACACACAGACACACACACACACACACACACACACACACGGAACAGAATAGAGAACCCAGAAACAAATTGACCCACATACAGTGAACTCATTTTCAATGAAGGTGCCAAGAACATACACTGGGGAAAAGACAGTCTCTTCAATAAAAGAGGAAAACTGGGAAATTCATATGCAGAAGAGTGAAACTAGACCTCTATATCTCACCATCTATAAAAATTAAATAAAAATGTATTAGAGAATTGAATCTAAGCCCTCAAACTATGAAACTATGACAAGAAAACATTGGAAAAATTATCAAGTATATTGGTCTGCACGAATATTTCTTGAGTAAACACCCCACAAGCACAGGCAACCAAAGCATATATGGACAAATGGGGTCATATCAAGTTAAAAAGTTTCTGCACAGCAGAGAAACAATCCACGACGTGATGAGACAACCCACAGAAGAGGGAAAATATTTGCAAACTACCATCTGACAAGGTATTAATAACCAGAATATATAAGGAATTCAAACAACTCTGTAGGAAAAAGTCTAATAATCTGCTCAAAAGATGGACAAAAGATTTGCATGGACATTTCTCAAGAGAAGACTTCCAATTGGTAAATGGACATATGAAAAAGTGCTTAACATCATTGATCATCAGAGAAATTCAAATAAAAAAATACAATGAGATATCATCTCAGTTGAAGTGGCTTTTATCAAAAAGGCAATAACTAATGCTGGCAAGGATGTGGATAAAAGAGAACCCTCTTGTACATTGTTGGTAGGAATGCAAGTTAGTGCAATCACTATGGAGAAATGTTTGGAGGTTCCACTACCATATGATCCAGCAATCCCCTGCTGATTATATACCTGATATAGTTTGGCTATGTCCCCACCCAAATCTCATCTTGAATTGTAACTCCCACAATTTCCACATGTCTGGGAGGGACCCAGATGGAGGTAATTGAATGATGGGGGAAGGTCTTTCTCATGCTGTTCTTGTGATAGTGAATAAGTCTCATGAGATCTGATGGTTTTGTAAAGAGGAGTTCCCCTGCACAAGTTCTCTCTCTTTGCCTGCCGCCATCCATGTAAGACGTGACTTGCTCCTCCTTGCCTTCCACCTGATTGTGAGGTCTCCCCAGCCACGTGGAACTGTAAGTCCATTAAACCTTTTTTTCTTCCCAGTCTCTGGTATGTCTTTATCAGCAGCATGAAAACTGACTAATACAGTAAATTGGTACCAGTAGAGTGGGGCACCCAAAATGTGTAAGTGACTTTGGAACTGGGTAACAGGCAGAGATTGGAACAGTTTGGAGGACACAGAAGAAGACCGGAAAACGTGGGAAAGTTTGGAACTTCCTAGAGACTTGTTGAATGGCTTTGACAAAAATGTTGATCATGATATGAACAATAAGATTAAATCTGTGGTGGTCTCAGATAGAGATGAAAAACTTGTTAGGAACTGTATCAAAGGTGACTCTTGTTATGTTTTAGCAAAGAGTCTGGCAGCATTTTGCCCCTGCCCCAGAGATTTGTGAAACTTTGAACTTGAGAGAATGATTTAGGATATCTGGCAGAAGAAATTTCTAAGCAGCAAAGCTTTCAAGAGGTGACTTCAGTGCTGTTAAAGCATTCAGTTTTATAAGGGAAGCAGAGCATAACAGTTCAGAAAATTTGCAGCTGGACAATGCGATAGAAAAGAAAATCCCATTTTCTAAGGAGAAATTTAAGCTGGCTGCAATGACAATCCCCAAGACAATGGGGAAAATGTCTCCAGGGCATGTCAGAGAGGTCTTTACTGCAGCCCTTCTCATCACAGGTCCAGAGGCCTAGGACAAAAATATGGTTTTCTGGGCTGGCCCAGTGTCCCAGTGCTGTGTGCAGCCTAGGAACTTGGTGGCATGAGTCCCAGCCACTCCAGCCGTGACTAAACGGGGCCAAAGTAAAGCTCAGGCCGTGGCTTCAGAGGGTGCAAGCCTCAAGTCTTGGCAGCTTCCACATGGTGTTGAACCTGCAGGTGTACAGAAGTCAAGAATTGATGTTTGGGAACCCCCACTTAGATTTCAGAGGATATATGGAAATGCCTGGATGCCCAGGAAGAAGTTTGCTGCAGGGGTGAGTCCTTCATGGAGAACCTCTTCTAGGGCAGTGTGGAAGGGAAATGCAGGGTTGAAGCTCCCACATAGAGTCCCCACTGGGGCACTGCCTAGTGGAGCTGTGAGAGAAGGCCACTGTCCTCCAGACCCCAGAATGATAGATCCACTGACAGCTTGCACTGTGTGCCTGGAAAAGCCACAGACACTCAATACCAGCCCATGAAAACACCCAGGTGGGAAGCTGTACCCTGAAAAGTCACAGAGTCAGTGCTGCCCAATACTATAGGAACCCACCTCTTGCATCAGCATGACCTTGATGTGAGACATGGAGTCAAAGGAGATTATTTTGGACCTTTAAGATTTGACTACCCAGCTGGATTTTGGAGTTGCATGGACCCTGTAGCCCTTTTGTTTTGGCCAATTTCTCGCATTTGGAATCGCTGTATTTACCCAATACCTGTACCCCAATTGTATCTAGGAAGTAACTAGCTTGCTTTTGATTTCACAGGCTCATATGTGGAAGGGACATGCCTTGTCTCAGATAAGACTTTGGACTGTGGACTTTTGGGTTAATGCTGAAGTGAGTGAAGACTTTGCCAGACTGTTGGGAAGGCATGATTGGTTTTGAAATGTGGGGACATGAGATTTGAGAGAGATGAGGAGCAGAATGATATGGTTTGGCTATGCCCCCACCCAAATCTCTTGATGAATTGTAACTCCCACAATTCCCACGTCATGGGTGGGACTCAGTCGGAGGTAATTGAATCACAGGGGTGAGTCTTTCTTGTGTGGGTCTCAGCATTCTGAATAAGTCTCACAAGATCTGATGGTTTTATACAAAGGAGTTCCTCTGAACAAGCTCTCTCTCTTTGCCTGCCACCATTCATGTAAGACGTGACTTGCTCCTCCTTGCCTTCCACCATGATTGTGAGGCCTCCCCAGCCACATGGGACTGTAAGTCAGTACCCAATTGAATACAATACCCAAAAGAAAGGAGACCAACATATGCAAGAGATATGTCCAACCCCATGCTTGTTGCAGCTTTGTTTACAAAAGCCAAATCTTGGAAGCTGCCTCAGTGTCCATCAACAGATGAAGGGAAAAAAAAAAAAAACTGTGGTACATGGGCGGGCACAGTGGCTCACACCTATAATCCCAGCATTTGGGAGGCCAATGAAGGTGGATCACCTGAGGACAGGAGTTCAAGACCAGCCTGGCTAACATGGCAAAACCCTGTTTCTACTAAAAAATACAAAAATTAGCCAGGCGTGGTGGTGGGCACCTGTAATCCCAGCTACTCAGGAGGCTGAGGCAGGGATAATTGCTTGAACCCAGAGACGGAGTCCGCAGTGAGCAAAGATTGTGCCATTGCACTCCAGCTAGTGGAACAGAGCAAGACTCCATCTCAGCAAAACAAACAAACAAACAAAAAAAAATAGAAAAAGAAACTGTGGTATGTATAGACATGATGTGCTATTCAGTCATATAAAAGAATGAGGCCTTGTCATTTCCAACACCATAGAAGGAATTGTAGGTCATTATGTTAAGTAATATAAGCCTGGCACAAAAAGACAAACGTCATATGTTCTTATGTATTTATGGGATCTAAAAATCCAAACAACTGAACACATGCAGATAGAGAGTAGAAGGATGGCTACCAGAGGCTGAGAAAGGTAGTGGGGAGTTGGAAAAAGGCTTAGTAACAGGTACAAAAAATAGTCCAAATGAATGAATATGGCCTAGTGTTTGATAGCACAATAGGGTGCCTATAGTCAGTAAAAATTTAATTGTACATTTCAAAATAACTAAAACAGTATAACTGAATTGTGTGTAACACAAAGAATAGATATTGACAAGATGGATAACCCATCTTTCATAACGTGATTATTATGAATTCCATTCCTGTATCAAAATATCTCATGAACTCCATAAGTATATATGTCTACTATGTACCCACAACAACTTTTTAAAAAGAAATAAACCTCTTGCATTTAACACATCAAAAAAATGGGAAGACAGCTGTCATCACTGAACATAGCATGTCATATAGGTCGTGCATGTTTATTTTCATGTCTACACGTATACTTACAAGAATGTATAATAAAATAATAATTCAATAGCTATCAGAATATAGGAAACACTACATAATGATACCTGTTATGGTGTACATTCAGAATAAATTAAGAATTGTTGAATACTATTTAATACTGTTACCTGTATCGTTGAAATAATAAAGTGGTAATAAAGAAATAATTTAGTTAATACTATTTACCTAGAGTTAAGTTGAAGATGTTTTGGTTTAGGAACTTAAGTTCTTTCCTTACCTTCATTTCCAAAGACTTTCAATTAATGAATTGCAGTATGTGTGTGAATATCATGACAATGCACACTAAATATTGTATCTATGTTCATTTCTCTTAACCGATGAGAAAAAGATTAAGAGTTTTTAACAAATTATCAGGAAAGCCCATGATTTATAAAGTATTTAAAACTACAAGATACATAGAAAACATGATTTTTTAAATTCAACGAATAATTGTAATAGTTGATTTGCTGAAAATAAAGAAGTAGTATATTGTACTTAAGAGTTTACACTCAAAACATTGAAAGTAAACATTAAATATCAGCTCAATATCAAAATGAAACATGAAACATGTTTTATCTACAGGTTAAAATCTCATGTGTTAGGAGCTTTTAGAAAAAAGCAAACAGTTTATGCAACAGGGAGAAATATATTTACATATATATGTGTATATATATACACACACATATTTCTCCCTGTTGCATAAAGGAGAAATATACATATATACATATATTTCTCCCTGTTGCATAAACTTATATATATACACAAGTTGGTATAATATATATCCTTTTTGACTTTTGAGTACCTTATTATGCTCTTTCCTGTAATTTCTATATTCTGTAATTAACAATTAAATGTTATACTTAAGAAAGTATAATAATTGCTGTTACAATAAAATTTATAACTAGTTTATAGGTGATAAAATTTTGAATTTTTAAATCACAGAAGGTGTAGGCAATTGAACATATTCTTTCTAATCTCTAAAGTGTAAGGTAAAAAATTAAGGTACATCATATCTATATATACTTATATAGATATATGTATATATATGTATATGTGTATGTATCTATACATATGTGTGTGTGCATATAGATAGATAGATAGATAGATAGATAGATAGATAGATAGATAGATTCAATCATCTTGGTGCAAATATACTATGCACTAGACTCTTGGCAACAAAGGTGGAAATGATGTAATTTATTATCCCTATCTTCAAGGACTTTACGTTCTGGTGAACTATTTAATTACATTAGGTTGTTGCAAAAGTACTTGAGGTTTTTCCATTACTTTCAATGGCAAAAACCACAACTACTTTTGTACCAAACTCATAATACAACTCTAACACAATGAGGACACTACAATGATGGAGATACACACAAGGTTGGACTAGCAAATGCTGAAAATATTTTCTGGAGAAAGCGACAGGAGGACTGCAAATGCCTTCAGTGCCACCATTCTGTGAACTCCTTGGGTTTCCAGCCTATCATCTTGTGACATCAACTATGAACTCAGCACATAGCAAAAGTACACTGTGCACATTAGGGGTCTTTAAAATACTTTATACTGAATGTAGATTAAGTTATATACTCATTCACATTGTATCAATTCCACCCTACTTAGGACTAAGCTCTTTTTCTAAACCTGGATTTAGTTAAACATACAGGTTTTGAGGACAAAAGTAAAATAGTAGTGAAGATGTATATATCTCCATTTTTGAAGATTTCTAAGATTTTGTTCATTGACACTGTACTAGCCATGATGAATTTTGCAGTCATGAGCATAATTCTAGGCACAAAACTGCACTTGTGCACTTTCTTTCTCTCTTTTTTTCTCTCTCTCTTCGTATGTGTATGTGTGTGTGTATTACCTTTATATTATGTAAATTTCCCATAATTTGTGATGTATGCATGCATACATCCACACATATACACCCATTTTATTTTTTTAAAAAAACTTTGTATTATGAAAAATTTTAATCATGTGCAAAATTATATAATGGATCCCCACGGATCTCTCACACAGCTTTGATAAATGTCAACACAAAATTAATCTTGTTTCATTTATACCCTCATCCACTTATGCTCTAGCATATTATTTTAAAGCAAATCTCATAGGTTAGATCACGTCATCTCTAAATATTTTATTATTTTACTCAAAAAGAAAAGGAATATTTCTCCTTTCTAGGAACTCATTATTTATATACCTGTAAACACAGATACATAGAAAATGATAAGAAACAGGCAATAAAAATGAATAAAAATATAGGGAGATACAGAAAATTGGAAGGAATACTGTTATTTAGCACAGCCAGAATATAGCAAATAAGCTTTTCAAGATAGTAGGTGAGTCTTATATATTTAAAACATTTCTAAAGTCATTTTTGATGTTACTGATTTTCATGTTGAAATAACCTCTGAAAGTTTTTATACAAATCTAAATGTGTTTGATGTTCCCCTTCCTGTGTCCATGTGTTCTCATTGTTCAAATCCCACCTATGAGTGAGAACATGCGGTGTTTGGTTTTTTGTCCTTGCGATAGTTTGCTGAGAGTGATGGTTTCCAGCTTCATCCATGTCCCTGCAAAGGACATGAACTCATCATTTTTTATGGCTGCATAGTATTCCATGGGGCCTGTTGTGGGGTGGGGGGAGGGATAGCATTAGGAGATATACCTAATGTTAAATGACCAGTTAATAGGTGCAGCACACCAACATGGCACATGTATACATATGTAACAAACCTGCACATTGTCCACATGTACCCTAAAACTTCAAGTATAATAAAAAAAAAAGAATACCCTCAAAAAATCTAAATGTGTTTTGCTTGAACAGAATCCCATTTCATATTTTTTGAAACAAAAAGCATTTCTTGCACATGTGGTATACATATTCTTCATACTAAAGATTTAAAGCAGAATAGGAAATGATTCTAAATTTGTGGACCCAGATAAAAGTATTCTATGTGATATGAATCAAGAATTTCCTCAAATAGGAGTCTTTTCTGAGTCTTAAATTTGAAAAATAATTTTCTTAGCCCTGCCACAAAATTAGGAAGTTTCTTAGTAAATGAAAGCCAGCAGCCCATGCAAAGACTCATCGATATGAATGAACTTGGTGGGTTCTGGCAGACGGAAGGATTGTGCTTGGTAGGGGAGGGAGTAAGTGGAGATTTAGTGTAAGGAGTTGAGAAGTCAGGGGAGATACTGTGCTAAGGAGTTCAAAACTTTTTGCTCCAGGCAGAGGGAAGTGACTAGAAGATTTGTGAACAGATTTGTGTTTTTCAAAGTCTAGGTTCAGTGTAAGAAGTGGACTTAATGCAGGAGAGATTCAAGACAGCAACAGGAAGTTTTACAAGAGCTGATGAGACACCCACTAGCCGTCCTAATTCAGTCTTTCCTAGTTTCTCACAGTAAAACCAAGGGAAGGCTTATGGACCCTCATCCGATTGTATGCCAAGAGTAGATTAGTAGGAGGTAGTAGAATACTAGTAGTCTACTCTGGGTATAGGCAATAAGGGGGTATATTTTATGTGGAGAAATTTAAAACAATAATGAAACTGACTAAATGTCTGTTTCTTATTTTCATACTAGCTGACAATGCTAAAACATATCAGAAGATATATTTGTTAGCCTAAGTTATAAACAATTGCTGTGATTAATGTTGTTTTAATAATACATCTGTCAGTTACAACTTGGAAGTTTGTATTACTTATCATTTAATCAACATTATATTCTATGGGAAATTTAATTCAAAGAATCCCTAGTTATATAGTCAACCCCGAATGCAAGGAGATTCACCTACACATTTTCATCTTGAGAGGAAATTTGTAAGAATTCATAATTGTTTGACCTTCCTTAAATTCATCTTGTATCTTTAACCCCAAAATAATTGCATAATTCTGTGTGCAAGAACTGTATGCAATTTTTCTTTTATGAGTTATCTTTTTCCCCTAATGTAAAGATTTAAATGAGGTTAATGAGAAGCCAAATATATTTGCAAGTAGCCAGAATTAGTCTTGAAAAAAATATACAGTGGACCACTAAGCTGAAATCAATCTTTGAAAATTAGTACATGGAAACTGTGGAGTAGGACATTGTGCAGCCACAACATTAAGGGAATGGATCCTTCCAAAGAAAAGTAGAATCAAGTTGCTAAGAAGAAGACCAAGAGAACTGAAAAAGGTGCTCATCTTATATAGTCAAAGATTTTTAAAAGTGGGATGGTTTATTGCCTAGATTGTTCTCTTTAATAAATGGATACTCATTCTAAATTGATGAATTAATAATGCCAATATTTGTTATTATTCAGCTGTTTCTACAATTTTTATAAAAGACAAAAAAGTAACAATATTTTAATAAATATCATTAAAATTCATGGTGTATTTTCTGTTGAAGATGTTTTATGGGAAATTTTGTAAGAGCAAGAAAGAAAACAACATTATAATATGTATTTCAAATAGGATATTTATAAACTTCTGCAAAACTCATCTTTATATTGAAGACTTTTGTTAATAATTTGTGTTCCTTGTTTCTTCGTGTAATAGAACATTTTCAAAACTAAAATTAATAATAAGTATTCTTTCACCAACAAGGAGAGAAAGAAGAAGGATGAATCTGGTTATAATAGCTATAGGACATGAAGAAGATCAACTTTGATAAAGTGATTGATAAATTCACATAAGTTAAGGCTGAAAAAAAATGTAATATTTATAAATATAACAAATCCGTACATCATATATTTTTCCTTTTTAAAAAGATATTGCAATTAAAAACTATCCATTATTTTCCTTTCAGATTTTATATTTTTTTGAATTTTTCTTTCATAATTCTACATATATGAAATTCAGAAACATAAAATTCTCACCCTGCAAATTTTTTGCCATAATTCACACTTATTTCATCTTATTAATAGCCCAGAAAATAATGTTGTCCTATAGACAAGGAGGATGCTAAAAAATGATTCACCCCGGCTGTCAAACAAAACAGACATTGCCCTCATTAGAACTCTAAACATCTCGATTTAAATCACCTTGCACCAACCTCTGAAAAAACTTAAATTCTATCAAAAGTTTACTGTATAGATTGGATATTAAGGAATTATTATACATTTTTAGCTATGCATGATGATGACATTACATTTACATATGAAAAGTGGAAGGCCATAAAGTCTGAGATATTTTTGAGACATTTTATCACCAAAAGAAAAAAACATGTGAGGAAACAAAGAAGGTATTAAAAAGATATCAAACAAGTTTAGAAGACTGTTTATCATTTGAATGATGTATATTTGGAAGATTGTTATAATATTCTCTCTCTGTGCAGAATAATTCATTTTTTTCATAACAAAAAATAATCATGAAAGAGTTCAGCTTGATCAATGGATCTGGATTGATACATTACATCATTATGTTTTCTGAGAAAACCTGACCATCAGCAGGACTGAATAAAAAAAAAACATAAATTTTAGTACTTGTCTTAAAGACTCAAAGTCTACCTTAAAACTGTGTACTTATTCTTCCACAACAGAGATACTTATTTTGTAGGGAGGATATAATACTTTTTGTAGTCCATCTTGATATCTCGCTCCCTCTTTTTTCCCCTCATCAATATATCTTATTCTGCCTGCATTCAAAAATTGCAACTTGTAAAGTAAGCATGTCTGGAGATGGAAAACCTGTAGTAAATGCGGTAACACAAAAAGTTAAAAGATGAAAGGAATTCTTCTTGTTGCAATGTATCATGGGAATTATGAATTAGTTTATTAGGTTATGAATTATGAATGAGTTTATTCATTAGTTCATATGAATTATGGATTAGTTTATTCTTCAGTTCAGAAATCCACTGAAATACTCAGTGGGAATAAGAGAAGAATCCAACTCAGTGAAGTAATAGCCCACAAATAGCTTCACTTTATTACTTTTTATGTTCCAGCATCTCTGATAGTTGATACGCACATTTCCATTTTTAATTCAGGAAAATATTAAGTAAAGGCTCAGGAATCTAAAGAAAATAGGACAAAACAGGTAAGATAAATGTGCTAAGTAGAAGAATATTTGCAACAAGTGTGTCTACAAATGTGGGAAAGGAAAGAAAAGATCTTACAATAAGGAAGCTGAACCCACGCACCTAATCCATCACCTGTGGAAGCAGCAGGCCAGGAAGGACACTTAGTCCAAAATAGAAAATATATGAAGTTAAAGTTAATGAAGCCATTGGTCAGAGTCTTACAAAGACAAGGGCCACAGAAAGAGGAGGCAAACAAGGTGGGAGAACTTAAGTTCTGTTTCTGGAAAGGTAAAAAAAATAAGAAAAGACTATTTCTGCAGAGGCAGGAGCAGAGTATATAATCAGGAAGTCTGAAGGGCAAAGAATTAGGAAAGTCCCCAAGTAGTGTCGAGGGAAATTAAAAGGTACATAGTTAGAAAGATAAGGAAGATTTATCTTTCTTGTTGCAAAAGACTATTGCAACAGGAAAGAAAACAAAAGGCAGTCTGAACTGAATTCAGGAAGTCTGAAGCACCAAGAATTAGGAAAGTCCCCAGATAGTCTCAAGGAAAAATTAAACCTGACAAAATAAAAACGCTAAGGAAGATTTTATTCAAGACTATTGCAACAGGGAAGATAAAACAAAAGGCAGTATGGACTGAACTCTGCTGCAGCAAAAGCCTGGAGAGTTTTGAAGAGCTGGGGTGGTAGATTATAAGCCGTGTGTGTTTTCAAATTAGCCTCATTCAAAGGAAATATAATTTCAACTTTTATTTTAGATTCAGCAGGTACACGTGCAGGTTTGCTAGATGGGTATATTGTGTGATGCTGGGTTTTAGTATTGATGATCTCATCACCCAGCGGGTGAGCATAGTACCCCACAGGTAATTTTTCAGCCCATTCCTCTCTTCCTCCTTCCTCCCTCTAGTAGTCTGTAGGGTTCCATCTTTATGTCCACATGTATTTGGTGTTTAGCTCCCACTTATATGTAAGAACATGCTGTATCTGGCTTTCTGTTACTGCGTTGATTCACTTAGAATAATGGCTTATTATTTGCAGAATGTAAACTCTCTTTTTATGACTGAAGGAAAATTTACAACTTAGATTTAGGCTTCTGTGCTCAGATAGAGACTGGGAGATGGGGGCTCTATCTTCCTTAATGATTACATTTCAAAGGGAAGGCTCCCAGGTCCTTGAAAAAGACAGTCCTTTTGAAACAGCTTGAAATCTCAAAGAAGCAGAGGAAGAACTTGCAATTACATGTTGTCAAAACTATATGCTTTAAGAAATGAGAGTTTAGGGTCTTAGAATCAGAAAGAAGTCTGTCCAAGATTTAGTCAAGCTGAAAAGAACATTAAAACCATCTTGTTCAGCATGGTTGTTGCTAAAATGCAGAACTGAGGAACAGAGCTATCTCTATTTATTAGTTACCTTTGATTACCTTGTAAGAAGGTATTTCTGTACTTTAAAGGATCCAGTGATTAAGATTAGCCCTAATTTCCATAATACAATGTTCTTCTTCATTTTGACCCTTCTTTTATCAAGGCACATTTCCCTTCTAAGATTTAGGCAAAGGTATCAAATGGTCCTTCACCAAGGCCTTTGATAAACCCAGAAGGCTGATTGAAACTGAAGAAAATGAAAGTGTAATGGAAGAGCACATACATGTGCTCAGTACTACAGAGGACTTCAGTCATTGAGGTACAGGTCTTTCAGTCAAGGAGCTCCTCTATATTTCCAGTTTGGAATTATCCAGGGAGACTAGTGTGTATGAAACAAACAGAGAGAAGCCAAAGGAAGTGTTTGGCCATAATGCAGAATGGATGGAGAAGGCCAGTTGCTGAGAACATATTAAAATAATAAAAGAGGTGCACTAATTCAGAGACAACCAATATGGGAAGGAAATGATTTAATTAAAGGATGATGAAGCACTGCAATGCAGAGTCTCCAAAGTGCTCACCAAGTCATTTTTTCAATCCTATACACAAAGCTAAACTATTCTTTTCTGGCCTACAACCACCATCTTGTAGAAAGATGAAACCATGGGATCAAGTTTTGGCTGATAAAATATGGGCAGAGATGAGGCATCTCTCTTCCTGGTCTATTACCTAAATTTTCTTTTTCCCTCTTTCCTCTTGAAGGCTGGAAAGGTGGAAATGAGTCTGTGGAGAGCTCCATATTTTTGAAGGATGTTGGAACCACTTAATGGAATACCTATATCCTGTATCTCAGTTCTTTAAAAAGCGCCGTCCTAGAGAGTTGCATGTTTAGCAAATTTACATTGGATGTAGGAAGAGCAAAACATATACGTTTGCTGTGTTAAGCCACAGGGATATTTGATTATTTATTTTGGCAGTTTACTGAGTTCTTAGTTCTAGAAGTAAAGCACAAAAACAAGGCTGACAAAATAAATGTAGAACGTTGGAACAAAAATGAGAATGAATAAAATCTCTAAGGGAAAGAAAAAGGCCAAAAGAAGCAATACTCAAAAACGGAGCTCTTGGAATGCGTCAAATTGGGAAACAAAAGGAGGATAAGTAGCTCTAAAGGAATAAAATAAACCGATTATGTAATAAGTATATAATAACATGATGTCATTGAAAATAGGAGAGTGAACATTTTTTTAAAAATGAGGGGTTAAACTGAATAAATAAGATCCAGACTACATTGATTAAATGTGTACATGAGAGGGATTCTGAAATTTTAAGTTCAATTTATCATAAAACTTACAGTTGAAGGGAGACATTTTATTCAGTGCTCTCATTTTAAAAGGGATATGGAAAAATTAATAGAGAAAGATATAATGATTAAAATTACACATAATACAGTGAGTCTTTTAATCAAGATAAACTATCATGAATGTTTCAGCAACAGATTTTTTCAAATATATTACTGTGTGTTGTTTTATGTTAAAGTCAGTGCCAGACACTTAAGGAGTCAATGTAAAAGTAGACTGAATTTCTTCACTCTTATTCCAGTGAAATTATTAGAAAATTGATCAATGCTTAATTATTTAACAGGGAAGTTTTGCTTGTGTTATTACTAGAAAAAAGAGATACTAGCAAAAATATATCTAAACATCCAAATAGTGATAATATAGCAGACCAGGAAATGTTAGAATTGTATGCAATTTTAGACTCTGAATCTAAAATTATTTAACTAGCAGGAACCTCTAGGACATACTCATGAATGAGCTACAGGGTGTCATTGTATTCCTGAAATTAAAAGTAAAATACAAAGTGCAAGTCATTTTTATAGAGAGAAGATATAACTTTAATCAAATTTTCAAAATGTCCATGACTCAAAAAGATCAAAAGAAATTGTTATAGTTCAGCTTTATCCCTTTTCAAATGAGGCACGTAAAATTCAGACCAATAAAATGTCACACAGGTAGTTAAAAAATTACCACCGTAATATATGTTTTCTTATCTATAGTACTATTCTTTTCCAGATACTGTTCTATGAAGAATTCTAGAAGCAATAAAAAAATTCAAATCAAATGATACAGTTACAGGGGAGAGGCAGGGGATGTTTTTTCTCATTCTTTAAGACCATACAGCTCTTTTATTCTGTTGCTTCCCCTGTAAAATGCCTGGAACCATTCTAATAAGCATAACGATTTACATGTTCTGGGATAGTTATTAAATCTGTCTAGGCCTTTCAGGCAAGGTATTATCAATTCTACTTTTTCTTTACATATTATATTTTCCATTACTTTTATATTTGGTCTCTTATGAAAGGTCTCCAAGTCTTTCCCATGTATTTTCATGTTCGATAACTACAAATTAAAGACATGGTAAATACTCTAGTAAAATATTCCTTTCCTGAAGCATTTTTTATTATTTATTCTTTACTCTTCCAGATATTTCACTTATGTAATTACTTTGGTCTCTCTAAAGTTGAAGGAACTTTGGAGAAAATAAAAGTATCCATTTAACTGAATTAATTACTGTAACACAAGTTTTTGAGATTTTTCATGAAATTTGATAGCAGTGTAATGTAGTCAAAGAGAATAGACTCTGAAGCATTTATGAGCTGCTTTGAAATATCTCCAACAATTAATTAACTGTGTAACATTGGGTATATTATTTTACTTCTATGAGTGTCCATCTCCTTCTTAAAATGGAAGTATTAGTAGAGAGACTAAAGGTTTTTAAATTAAACGTATCAATGAATTAGAAATAATAGATTTAAATTTCCTATAACCCTTCCCAAAAATTTTAATTATTTGTTAAATCTTAATGTATCATTTGAAATATATATTAGCAACCTTACTCAAGATTATTAATTTATGCTAAAAGATAATACAATATTGATTATTAGATTTTATCATTTTGTCTTTCAGTTATATCCTACATTGTCTTTTTTTTCGGTTTTTAGGTTAATGTTGAATTCCACAAATAATTTGGATTTTCTCAATTTTATTTTTTCATTTTTTTATTATACTTTAAGTTTTAGGGTACATGTGCACAACGTGCAGCTCCGTTACATATGTATACATGTGCCATGTTGGTGTGCTGCACCCATTAACTGGTCATTTAACATTAGGTATATCTCCTAATGCTATCCCCTCCCCCCATCCCACAACAGTCCCACAACCCCTAGTTCAAAGGGAATTATGGATGAACAAAGTGTGAAACACATAAAAACCAAAACTGGTTTTATTTAATAATGAGTTGAAAGTTCAACAGCTCACCTGCTGATTTGACATTTTTCCCCAACACTATAATCCTCCTGAGAGTTCATATTTAAAATAGTAATGGGGATGTATTTATGGGAGAATTATGTTTGAACTCTATATCTCTTCCTAGGCACCAATTTTATTTTGTATAGTATTTTAAGGTACAAATTGCGTGTGTGTGTGTGAGTGAGTGTGTGAATGCTGACGATAATGTGTATACATCTTCAATCCTAGCACAGAGAAATGACAATTTTGACTCCCAAAATATTACTTTTACTTCCCACAGCTTCTTATTGTTCCTTTCTTTGTCCAACAATTTGTCTATAAGAAGTGTTTTCTAAAGTTTGACAAAATATTTAACCTAATTATTTTAAAGCTTAAAAAAATCAAGTCTGAGGAACATAAATAGAAAGGAACTGGAGTAATACTGCACAGGCCATGCTTTACTGAGATAACATATTCACATGTCCCAGAATCTCAGCAACTTGCAGCTCTTTCTTTATTTTATTTATTTATTCATTATTTTCACAACTTAATTTAAAATATGCTTACTAGTATATTATGAAGAAGCTCAATAAATAATTGATACTACCGTGAAAATAGATATATTTTGTAGTTTGAAATATGCATATTACAATTTTTGGAACAAATGAGAACACTGTATTTTCTACATAAAGAGTGGTAGTCACATATGTTAATGTCTGAATTACAATATGACACAGCACAAGGCAGCACAATATGTCACAATAACAACACTGGGTACAATGTACCTCTGTGCTATAAACTTGGAATTGTTTTATTGATGCCCTGGCAATGTGAACGTGAGTATCTGGTTATAATTTAATGTGAAAAGTGTTTCTGCAGGCATTTTAACAGTGGACATTTTTATTGTTAGTCAAATCTAGCTTTTTGCAAGACAGGTAAACATAAAACAATCATGACATGTTATTTCATTGTTTAGTGACCAATATATCCGAGAAATATTTTTCCAAATGCAAATAACATTCCTATTTTCAATGCTAAAAAAGATAAATATTTGTCAAAACTGAGTACACCGAATGTTGTGTGTTTTACACATGATTTTTTCATTGTTCTATAAGTACATGGATTTTAACAAATATAACTCTTCATGCTTTAAACATAAATATTTTATTAATAACTGAATTTTTTTTAAAGTCATGGCTCTTGGAGATTTGCATGAGTTTAAATATATTAAGTACCTCACAGAATGCCTAATACTCAATGGAGACATGTTTCCTTCAATTTCCCTTCTTTATTAAAGATTATGATTTACTTTCTGCTATGTTTTAAAAGATAATTTAATTTACTGTAAATCCATAAATTGATGATGGATGTCAAAAATTTCCCCCTCATCAAGTCTAAAGCAGTATCTTCATTTTAGAAAATCTCCTTCAATTTTTCTCTCCAAGCAAATATCTCCCAAATTTTAAATTATGTCTTATTTTATTTTCATTAGCTAATTTACAAACATGATGAATACAAATCTCACTCTAAGTACTACGCTGAACATTAGGAATATGATGTCAGTAAGAAAAATATATTTTCTATCCTCAGATGCCTTACATTTCTAATGGGAAAATATGGAATAGAAACAATTAAGTAAATAATTTAACTCCTTAGAGTGCTCTGTGCTTTGAAAATTCAAAGGAAAAATATCGGTCAATGTATGACAAGACGAAAAGCTACTTTTGGAAGGATATGCTGAAAGAAGAACTCTTTGATCTTGATATGTCCTACATCTCATTGACAAGACATGAAACTCTGAGGAAAAGACCGTCTAGGTAAATAAATAAACAAGGACGGTGCCTTGATTGGAATGAGTTTGATTTGACAAAGGAAAAAGAATTACCAGCCTCATGTTTACATTACAGAAAGAGTTTTCTAGCTATATTTATCCTTGCCATCCTACATTCAGTTCTCCAGACAGCAGCATTTGTTGAAAAACATCATCAGATGCTTTGCTTGGCTAGTGAAAGGACTTCAGTAACTTCTTTTGAAATATAAAATAAATTCCAAATGATTTACTATAGCCTGCAAAGCCAACTCATGCTCAATCTTGTCTTTCTGACATCATCTTCCATTAGTACTTTTCTCATTCAACAAGCTCCAACAATATTGATTTCATGGTAAAGGGCAGAACATTAACACACACATGCTTTATCGGTTTGCAACTGATGACAGTTTGAAGACTAAGATGCATTGGTGAAGGTGACAAGATGTATCCTTGACTTGGAATGTAATCATACTTGATATTCTTCAGAGTGTTGTAACTGAGAAAGAAAAAGCAAGGATGTGCCCAAGGTTTTGGTCTGAGAAATTAAGTAAGAAGAAGAATGTGACTGGGTGTAACATGGGCAAAGCTGAATTTATTATTGCTCAACCCCTCCCAGTCTGGCCCTTTGCTCTATTACCTGGCAAGTCATTCATTTGAAGTTTTTCAGACTCTATTACCTTCACTCTTCACATTTAATTAATAGTCAGATCCACTTGATTATAAGTTTTAATATTTTTGTGTCAGATCTCTACCAGGCATCTATTAACTGGGTTAGGGATAGGGTTAGGGTTCGGGTTCGGGTTCGGTTAGAGTATGTATGATATATATACTTGGTGATGATATTTCATCACTGTCTCTAGAAATATTCCTAAAATGCAAATCCAACTATCTCTTGCTCTGCAGAAAGTCCTTTATGATTTTGTATTACCTTCAAAATCAAATCTAACCTTAGTAGAAAGGGGATAGATAGATAGATAGATAGATAGATAGATAGATAGATAGATAACCTCCATCATAAGGTTTCTGCTTCTACCACCAATGTCATCTTTTACTGTGTCCTATTTAGGACTTCCAGCTTTAGCTATTCTTAAATAATTGCAACCTCCAAAAATAAATGTTTCATAATCTATTCCTTTTTCCCCCCTTGAATGTCTCCTTCCACCATTGGACAACTGTTAACATTTAAAGACTCATTTCAAGGGTATTATTCTAGTAAATTCCATTTATAAAAAATTTTTTAAAAGATCACAGAAAGCACAATATATTAGTCGCTGATTGTATGATTCATTGCTGTGTGCTAAAAGAAAATCAGAAAACTTACTGACCTGAAAGAACAACAATTATTTTGTTTCTGTATCTATTCCTCGGGCAGGGCTTATGAAGGGTTTAGTAGGGAGCTTGCCTTTGATTCAAGAGGTCAGTTTAAAGCAATTGATCTCAGAACTGGAGAACATACTACCAAAATGGTTGACTCACATAGGTGGTGATTTGGTACTAGCTATCAGTTGGGATCTCAGCTATACTGTCAGTCAAAATTCATGCATACATCCTTTCCACGGAGTCTCACTGCTTTGCCTGTTTGAACATTCTCACAGCGTGGTGGCTCTTTTTCTACAGCAAACATCTCAAAAGATCACAGTGGATGATGATGGCATTTTTATGTAATATATTGAAGCAGTCACAAAAAGCCAGTGAGTTTCAAAGGGAGAGGGCAAAGACCCTATCACAGGATGCACTGTAGAAAGAACTTATGGAATGGAGATACTGTTGTGATCTTCACTGAAAAATGCAATACACCACAAAAATTTTGATTACATACCCCACACTCCAAAGTATATCACCCCACCCTTATAAATTCTGGCTCCCATTCTAAAGCAATCAATCGCTTGTTAGACAGAATGGATTTGACTGACTACTTAATCACACGGCAAATAATAACTTTCTCATTTGTTTCCTCATTTATGGCTGATATGAAATGGCATGGTGGGAAGAGGCTCAGCTTATTCCTGGTATAAATCACATACAGTGTAATGACCATCAGGCATGAAATATTTCAGCATTTTACCTTTATACAAAGAAAACTCATATTCTACGTTATTAAAAACTATTCCCATCCCTGTTTACTCAAATAACTATACCTGTTAAGATTCTCTTGCTTAGCAGAGTCCCAGTCAACTAACTCCAACTTACTTATAACAGTCCTCAACATATGTAATGTAACTCAGACACTAAAAGGGAGTAATGTGCTCTTCCAACTTCAGGGAAACATGATTGATAGTAGCTTCTCTATTCTAATACAACTAATCATCTTCCAGAAACGTCTATACTATACTATAGTTACATAGCCTGAATTCAAATTTTTATGAAACAAGAGGTGCTTAGGTATTATCCTCTTTCAAAGCCCATTCTGTAGACTGTAAGTACCCGTGAATTGAATTGAATGCTTTGGTGTGATCATGGAGGGGAAGTCTAGTTCATGTAGTATAAAGCTTAATCACTAAGGCAGATGGAGCAATAGCTGTGAAGTGGTGGGATGAAGCATGAATAGGCAGACTTTGCTACAGTGCATATGGAGGGCAGGAATAAAGGTTAACATACCCAGAATAACATAACAAAACTTGCATTTTCAATATCTGGTTTCTTATTACATTGCACCTCTTTTCCTTCAAGGTGCATGTGTGATTCATACTCTAAGCACTATGGGTAATACAAGGTAATCCTCCACTAATGCCATATGCCCTAATAAATGACAGCATAAAGAAACCAATTGGTTATATTATTTATTATGGTCTTTATGGCACTGGGAGATTATTGTAAACAGGGTTCATGTCAGGTCTTATATACAATAACATGAAACCACACTATATATGAGGAAAAGTCAGACAATTTCCAAACACTGAGTCAGGCACTTTCTACACAATGAATAATAAATGATACGTGCAGCAATTTGCTTTAGTATTTAGTTAACCAATTATTTAAATCTATCATATTCAATATATTATCAGGAGATATACGTGCTCTAACCTACTGTAGGATAGTATTTCAAGATTAGTACCTAATCAAGAACCAGACATGATACCTCTTACTTAGTGCATACTTCTGAATGGAGGACATGAATTCTCCCATATCGAGAAAGCACTAAGACACTAAAGTAGAAACTCAAAATATGAGTGACAAGTTTTGCAAATATTCTGTTTGATTCAGGTACATACTCCACTTTAAAGACATTAAGCAAATTAGAGGATTGTTTTAGTTCATATATGAAGATGGGCACAGAAGAGTAAGAGAAACAGGATGGGAGAAGCTTACCAAGACACAGTGATCTGGATAAGTTAGGAGCATTAATTTTGTGTAGCCAGGTACCGAGAGAGTACATACATAACAGCAAAAATACAAAGCCATAACAACAAATAACTTCCTGACAAAATCATGCACAAATCAGCACGTATTTTTTTAATTAAATAGGCTTCCCTAAGTGGAACAAAACAGAGCCATTGGATAAATATCATAACAACAGAGAAATGATCCACATTTTCATGTTTCATATAAATATTGGAATTCTGTCCCAAATCAGGATTTACACAATTGGGTGATGGATGTGAGACGGAAATCCTGACTCACAGCATAATAATTGTAAATACAGCATAAAAGATGCATTTCTACAGGAGAACATGAACAGCTTTAGCTTGTTGGTTATAGTTTTGCAGATCTAATAGTTAACAAGACAGCATTTCTACTGATGCATAGGTTCCACTGACAAGCTCCAGGATCATCTCATTCTAGTCATAATCATTGTCTGTCTTGAAGCCTGGTAGGGCATTGGTCATCTTCTTCTGTGGACATTTTCTCACTATGAAGTGACACATTATGTTATAGGGAATATAGCACATGTACCCTTGGCTGCCAGGTATGCATATGAGTGTGGCCATTCTACCAAAATTTTCTTTTCTGCAAAGCCTTGCAGAGGTGGAAATACTTGCCCTCCTACAGAGAGCTTGAGATTGAGCCATTAAACTTAATGTAGCAAAAAAGCAATGTTTGAGATCATTATATAGCTTGTTTTGGATTTACATATTCTTAATGCAAATTTGTGATAGTCAAAATTTCAACATAGAAATATCTATTCACCATAACAGTAAAGTTCCCATTTCAGTGCTTTCAGATATTGAAAAATATATATTTAAAGTTATGCACACATTCACATATACATGAATACATATATATGTAAAATCAAGCCAAGCAACCAAGCTGTACATATATTAAGGAAAATATCTAGTTCGAAATAAAATAATGTAAATATGACTATGAAAGGAAAAGAGTTATCTGTGTTGTTTGCTGTTGGAATTCCCCCGGATTACTAATCCTTGTTAAGTTTAAGTTTCTTTTTAATAAAATGTTGTATAATCTCATTTTTTTTTCCTAGCAGTTTGATGAATGTATTGTTTGGGACATTTAAAAAAAATATTTCTCAATTAATGCATTCTAGAAAAAACTGTTAGATATTGATCCAGAATACTTCAAGAATGGAGGTTCCAAAATATTTCAACATAACCAACATGACCTGTTTTTATGTTTCACTGTGGCAGACCTCCCCAAGAGGATCCCGAGTAATTCCCTCCTCATGGTATATCACACCTCTGTGTGTTCTCCCTGCCACCCCTGTCCCTTGGCTGGAGGTGGCAACTGTGACTTGTTTCTAACCATTAGCATATGGCAAACATGGCAACAGTAATGGCGTGTCATGCCTATGGTTTGCTTACATAATATGGCAAAGTTGATGGAACGCCTATGCCATGGTTCCCGTGGTTACATTATGTAAGACTTCATTCTAGCAGACTGAACGTGAAAATTCACCTTTGCTGGATTTGAAAGTATGCTTCCATTTGTGAGAGGATCTATAAAGTGGCTAATGTGGCAAATAAAAAAAATAAAAACTTCAGGCACTTAAAGGAGACAAGAGAGGCCTGCAGGCTATGGCCGTCAAGGAAATGGGAATCACAGTCCTACAAATCCAGGAAGATTGATCCTGCCAACAACCAGAGAGAGCTTGAAGGTGACTCTGATCCCAGCAGAGCCTCTGATGAGACTAAAGCCACGACCAATGCCTGGATTGCAGCCTGGTGAGGTCCAATTAAGCTATAGTTGGGTTTCCGACATACAGAAACTGAAATACAAAATGTGTGTTGTTTTAAGGCACTAAGTGTATGATAATTTGTTATGAAGCATAGAAATTAATACACTCATACATTAACGTGCCTATAGCCAAAGTAGAACATTTCAGTAAAGTTGAACCTTATGAAACCAGTCACGATGAAAAAAAGAAAACTTTCATCTTTACTATGCATTTCACATTTTATGGAGACATATTTAATGAGGAAATTATTTCATTTCTATATTTTGTGCCCTGGATCCATTAGAATTAGCATGAGACTAGACAAAGAAAAGGAGTTATTCTTCTCTCGTGATTTACAGCCCTAAATGTTGTCATTCTTGGCAGTACTATAAATCAGAAGTGTCTTTGTAAGTTACTAAAAAGTTACAATAGTAATTAAAAATTAGACTCAACCCTTAATATTTGGAATTGCTGAATGCGAATGTTCATGTTCTCTTTTTCACACACCGTGTGTGGGGAGTGCCATGGTCTGAACGTGTTCTCCAAAATTTATGTGTTGAAACTTAATTCCCACTGTGATGGTATTAAAAGATGGGGCTTTTGAGACATGTTTAAGTCAATGAGGGTGAAACTCTCATGAATGGGATTAAGGCCTATATAAAAGAGGCTTCAAACAGCATTCGGCTTTTTCTTTTTTTCTTTTTTTTTTTTTGCGTTCTAGGATTTTTGGGGGTTTTTTTGCCCTTCTGCCTTTGCCATGTGAGGACACTGTGTTTGTCCTTTTCAGAGGACACAACAGCAAGGTACTATCCCAGAAAGCTGAGAGCAGCCCTCACCAGACACCAGACCAGCTAGTGACTGGATCTTAGACTTTCCAGCCTTCAGAACTACAAGAAATAAATTTATAACATTTCTATATCCACTTATTTACATATTTACATTATCTGTTGCCCAGTCTCAGATATTTTGTTATAGCAGCACAAAGACAGAGAAAGAGCAAGAATTGAGTCTCTTTCTGCAAAGGAAATGGCCTTTTCAAGAACTGCAAAGGCAAATCTGGGTCTTTCACTGGTTAACAGCTACTACCTTAATGTCCTCTCATTCCTGTAAGAAAAATGTGGTCTGACATCCGAGGCTCTTCACAATACGACTCCACTTATGTTCCTAACATCCCGCCCTGCTTTCATGATATACCAAAATACTCAGTTATATAAACCGGCAATAGAATGTGATGCTATTTGATCTATGATCTGCCTATTTTGCCACTTCCTATTTTGTTCATTTGCAGTTTCTTCAGTTCCTTCAAATATGACTCCCCAAGGATGTGTTAGTTGCACTCCATTCATGCTGCAGCCCTGCCAGTGCATTCCCAGTCTTCTTAACACCAAGAATGTTGTACTGTGATTTTTTATATGCATTTACCTTTATAATTAACAACAATTGTCTTGAAGTCAGGGACAGTGTGTCATTCATATTTATATGACCAAATGCAGCAACTAGCATGCAGTAAAAACTGAAGAGATACATTTAGTGCATATACACACACATACACACACAGTGTAGTAAGCCCTTAATAGATAATTATTGAATCAATAGCTTGTAAGATAGTATTTGATTGTAAAAGGTTTTCACAAAAATAATGAGTTCTTCAGAGGAAGCTTTAATTCCATGATACTTTCTGAAAATGTGACAGTTAATTTTATCTGTCAGCTTCACTAGGCTATGATGCCCAGTTGTTTGGTCATACATCCTTCTAGATATTGCTGTGAAGATATTTGTGTGTGTTTTTAAAATTTTCAATCAGAGGAATTAAAGGAAAACCAGATTACCCTCCAAAAGGAGAGTGGGCCTCGTTCAATGTATTGAATGCATGAAAAGACAAGATGGAAGAATCTCAGAGAAGAAGTAATTTCTTCTCCAGACGGCAACATAGAAACCATGCCTGAGTTTCCAGCCTCTTGACTCATATGCAGACTATTTCAGATTTAAGATGGCAAAACCAACCTTTACCTGAATTTCCAGGTTGCTGGCTACAAATTTCAAATTTACTAGCCCCCACATTGCTAGAGTCAATTCTTAAAATATATTTCTAGATAGATGATGAGATAGATGATAAATTGATAGAGCTATTGGTTCTCTGGATTACCCTAACTCATACAGTGAGTAAGTTTTAATTGATGATGGCTTAATATTTACTCTGCCCTAAAAATGGTCCATCCAATAGGAGACGTAAAGAATGTCCTAATCCCATTATTTTGAACCTCAAATAAGATAAATCTTTTGGAATTTTAGAAAATTGCTTTTGACAATGAAATATCATATGTATAACATGTGTGTTAAAGATGTGTGTGGTGGCTCACGCCTGTAATCCCAGCACTTTGGGAGGCCGAGGCAGGCGGATAAAGAGGTCAGGGGATGGAGACCATCCTGGGTAACACGATGAAATCCCATCTTTACTAAAAACAAAAAAAAAATTAGCCAGGCGTGGTGACATGTGCTTGTCATCCCAGCTAGTCGGGAGGCTGAGGCAGAATTGCTTGAACCTAGGAGGCAGAGGTTGCAGTGAACCCAAATCGTGCCACTGCATTCCAGCCTGGGCAACAGAGGAGACTCCGCCTCAGAAACAAACAAAAAACAAAACAAAACAAACAAAAAAAAAAACCCACACAATTTTACTTTTAACCAACTTTCCTTATATACCTATGTTATTTATACTAAGCTCAATCTTGGTTTCAATGGATATTCAGATGACTTAAGGGTGCCATTATAAGATAAATGGCTTTTAAATAGGTATTTTATTGTCCTATGGGCTGAGACATTTTTTTTGACAGAATATCTATATAAAATGAAAGGAAAAAGGATCCCTGCTAGTGAGAGATATAGTTCCTATCAAAATACTCAGAGCAGTAGAGGAGGCTGTAGGCAGTGTAATGCAATCCCCTTTAAAAAGATGTCTCCATTCTAATCACTAGATCTTGTTGATATTAATATATTATCCAATACAGAAAAAAAAGGTTTTGTAAAAATAAGCAAAGGCCCTTGAGATATGGAAATTATCTTGAGTCTGATCTAATCACACTCATACACATACAGTCATACACACACACACACACACACACACTCTTTAAAAGTGGGAATCCTTTCCCATTTGTAATCAGAGGAAGAGTCGACAAATGCAAAGGCACTGGTTTTGAGGATGATGGAAGCTGGCCATGAGCTAAGGAATGCGAATGGTTTTTAGAAACCAGAAAAAGCAAGAAAATAGATTGTCCCTCAGAGTCTCCAGAACACAGTGCAGTAGGTACTGACACTTTGATTTTAGCCCAGTGAGGCCTATGTCAGACTTCTAACTCATTGAAATGCAAGATAATTCATTTGTATTGTTTTCTGCCAGCGAGTCGGTGGTAATTTATAACAGCAGCATTAGAAAACTGATACAGAGGTTTTCAAAGTAATTATGCTATGGAGACACGTCTATGAAGTTAAAAACGCACTGTTCAAATAAGGTCATCTAGCACATGCAAGTATTGGCTCACACCACTGATCGTTTCCACCAGCAGGCAATTGTGAGCACAGCTCACTTGGTTCAGTGGTGACCTTAGTACACAGCTAGAACTTCTAGATTGTTTCATTGAAGAAGACCTCAATTCAGGGCTGTAGCCAAGCTTTTTGAAGATGTGGGGCATTATTTAAGAAAGTTAGAAATTTTTGACTTCGTAATACCATCTTTTTCCCCAGCGTAGTTTGGGGTGCATTCTTGTCTTCAGTGTTTCTAAAGAGGAGCTTTTCAATGGCATTATCTCTAATAGGCACAGATGTACTATCCAAAGTTCAATGGCTGCATTGCCTGTCACGGTGAATTCCCATAGATGAATAAGTAGCATGTTGGGCTCCAAAAGAACAATATTGAGGACAGTCAGCCTTTCAAAATTATATCAATTATGCAAAAATAAGACAAATCTCTTGACTGATTATTGAATGAATGTCTAAATTATAATGAAGAAATGTTGCTGTAAGATGCTCTGCTCCCTGCATATAGGCAGATTAGTAAAGGAAAGGTAAAGCTAAAGTGAAGATAATTTATTTCCTATCACAGAGTTATTCTGAGGATAAAAAGGGATAAAGAAAAATATATTTGAAATTATATACATATGGAGAGGCAAGACTTTATTAAAAATCACAAAAGCTACTGAAGAAAAATAGAGATGAAAGAAAAATATAATGTACCTTTTGTATTGGTAATTTATAATTTTTAAAGTATTCTATAGCAGCAATAACTTTAAAACATTTCCTTCTCTAAATAAACTTTTGATTCAATCCTAAAAATATAT
This sequence comes from Homo sapiens, assembly GCF_000001405.40. Classification (NCBI taxonomy): domain Eukaryota; kingdom Metazoa; phylum Chordata; class Mammalia; order Primates; family Hominidae; genus Homo; species Homo sapiens. The sequence continues at coordinate 21,754,006 of NC_000021.9, read as the reverse complement.
AAAGAGTTTGAAAACAGCTAATTGGGACCATCCTCCATAAGCTAAATTAAGTTCCAACTTAATATTCATTGATGTTCCCTAAAGCCCAAATGCTTAGAGATTAGCACTGTCTAATAAAGACAAAATGTGAGATGCATATTTAATTTTAAATTTCTGGCAGCTGCATTTAAAGGGTAGAAAAGACAGAGATGAACTTAGTTTTAACAATATATTACATTTAATCTAATATATTCAAAATAGTGTTACTTCAATATGTAATCAATACAGTAAATATTATTAATGCATTTTATCCTTCTGTTTTACTATGTGTATAAAATCAAATGTGCAGACTATCTTTTTAACTATCTATATTGCAAAGACCTAATAACCACATGTAGTTAGTAGCTACCATATTAAAAAGAATAGCTGTAAATTTTATGCTTGTCCTGCATTTTGTTAAAAAAGACAGGTTTCATTCAATCCCAAGTTTTATTCAATTGATTTCTCAGAAAAAAACTTGATATACTCTCAGTCACTGACCATCAATCTGTAGTGGAGATATGGGCAGGTAGGAGCAATGACTTCCTTTCATAGCTTGGGCTAGAGCCATTCTAGTTGGTTTTTTATTTGTTATTTTAAATTTTTATGTAATTCTTTTTGGACAAACTTTTCTTGATAAAAAAATAGGCTTGAAAACAATGCTTTTGGGTAGTGATTACAAAATACAACCCACAAGCAGAAAGAAACCCATGGATATAGTATACTTTGGGCTTGTATATTTTATTGGAATTTTCTTTTTTACATAAACTGCTATGCTTATAGCTTCTTTCAAAAAATTAAATATTTCTTTAAACATTCCTTGCATGCCCGTTCCTCAGTCACTGACATATGTCAAAGTATCCTAGACTGATTTCTAACACATATTTGTATCACCTATTAAGTTTATAAGGGAAAATACAAAATTTGGGTTGTGCTCTAGCATCGGAGGTGACTTTCAAGACTAGACTCCAAATACATGAAATTAAAGTTTCCTATTAGTTTTTTTCTAAGTGCTTGAGCATTACCTACTTTCCTTTAATCTCAGAAACTGAAGCATACCTTCTCGAATTTGAGGTTTAGTATTTCGACCTGTGTTTTTCATTCTCTATTCTTCTATTGTCTCCAGGCAATTTGTTTTTCAGTTATCTCATTTCCTCTCCTATATCTTCCAACTCTTCCTCTCTCTGCATTCTTTACAAGTCTGATCCATATTACAGATCTGTTCTCTATTTATTAAATAGCACCATTATTATTTGAATCACTTGGGAATTACTAATGATTCCAAAGATTCTGAGTAGATTGAAAGTGGTGTGGCCTGTATATTAGTATGCTTTAAGTGCCCATATAATTCTAATATGCTGAAGTTTGAGAACCACTGGACTATATAATTTTCAGCTAGAACCTGATTCATTTTTTATTTAGTACCTATCAACACCAGTGAGAGACACTTTTAAGAATCCTGTCAATCTCATTTCTTAATCAGCTGTCAAATTCAGTCCTTGTTATGTATACATTACCACTTCCTTGTGTGGGAACTCATCTTTCCTTAGGACTAATTCGTTAGTAAAATTAATCATCCTGATCTTGATCTGCCTCTTGGACAGTAAACTCTTCAAACTTGTCAGACCATGCTGTATAAGTTACAAAGTGGATAATAATTTACACTCATTAAAAAACATTTGAAGGTTCACTATTGTGTACAGCATGAAGTTCAAATGCTTTAGTTAAATACATGACTATGTTAATCTGGTGCTTTCACATTCTTCACTATCTATAACATCATTCTCCCTCCATCCCACACTTTATCCTAAGCCCTTGTTCTATGTGATTAGTGATTAGTGCAAATCTTCTTGGTTTTCAGCATTTAGCTAAGACATCAAATTCTCTATCTAACTTTTCTATCTTACTCCCCACTGCATACTCCAATTCAAGTAGAAAATTTATACTTTGTTTTTATGCCATATATACATTTTTGCCTTTTTGCAAAACATGTATAAGCTTTGGTGCCTTATTTGCTTATAGATTTGCCTTCATTCTCCAGATTTTAAGGTTCTTAACAACAAGCACCATATATTTCATCTTTATATTATATTTATGTATACAGAAGTGGTCGTAACTGTGTGAATAGATATGATCAAATTAGATGATCACATGCCCTTATCCAAGTATAAATAGTGCCGACACTTCCTTCAATAAGACCACTTTACCTTCATGGGTTTTGTTCACGTATCTAAACCTATAACAGAGGTTCTCAAAGTGTGAGCCTTGGACAAGATGCAGCAGTGTCACCTGGGAACTTGCTAGAAATGTTCATTTGGGGCCTTCTTCCAGTCTTAATTAATCAGAAACCTGGGGGAAAAGCCCAGCAATCCACATTTCAAGAAGTTCTTCAGATACTGGTGACCTGCCAAAGTTCAAAAGCCACTGTAACAGTCAGGGAAAGAGCTAACATTTGCTGCCTGCCTAATTTTTCTCCTTCATATCATGCTGTCTACTAGGGGGCCTGGGAGAGCAAGCTCTCCATGGGAATTATAGCTCACACTCATCATCTGAATAACGTGAGGAAGTGGCTTAATTTTTTTGAACCTAAGGTTTCTCATTTATATAACAGGGTAAAATCTCACCTACCTCAAGAGTTGCTGAGAATATTAAATGAGTTACTCTATAGAAAATGCTTAGCACAGTTGATAGAGAAAGTGCTTCGCCTAATGGCTGTTCAAAATTTTTAGGTGTTTTTCTGCCACCTTTGGCACTATTGCTGCTATTTCTATAATTGCTATTACCCCTATTATCTACTATTACTACTATTACCATTACCAGATAATACAATTTTTATAGTAAATATTACGACTAACATAACCTACACTGCAAAAGAAGGGAAAATAAGAAATGCTTAGTAAATGAATAAAAAGGAAATTAGGTCATTTGAATAAAAACTATAGACACTGCAATGTCAGGTCATTTTAAAAAGTGGTAACTCAATATTTCACTGTCAAAGCCCAGTTAGAATATGGCAATAAGGTATACAACCCTTATGAGCCTATTGTTTTCTTTTGAAATTTGATATGCATTTCAACCCGAACTCACTCAAACTGGGGTGCTTACTTAGTACTGAGATGTTGTTGGAATCTCCTAGCCCTGAAGTAATCTGTTCATCTGAGTATCTTCCGAGATTTTATTGATCCCATTTGGTCTTCAGTCACTCATTCTTTCAGGTTGTCATTAAAGCATTCTCCTTTCCTGTCTACTGACTTCATTCAGATTCTGCTGCTCTTGCTGCTACTTTCAAGCCAATTGAAAGGCCAAGGGCATCATCCCTGGCTTCTTTCTCACCCTGGGACTTGGAAAACACTGTTATCTGTGACTCTTTTCTGCTTAATGCTAAAAATATCCATTCCCACATATGGGGAACGCAAAATAGCCTAAAGGCGTTGGCAAGGCAGGAAGTGAACTACAGAGAACATAAAAATGATATTAGTATTTATAATAAAAATCATTCAGTTTTATTTCTAAACATGGCATACTTTCTGTAATATTTCAAGGCTTGAATCATGTGTCCTTAAATTCACCTTTGGTTGGAAGTCACCTAACCCAGTTAGCTTTCCTTCACAAAACAAATTAAGTAACCATTCATCTGATAAGCTAATTCAATTCACCTGATCATGAAATACACCCAGTTCTGATATCTATCATGTGCTTGGCAACAATATTCAAAGTTTGTATGAACTGACAAAGACGTTCAGATCTTTACCCTGGAGAAAGATGAGGAGAAACATACAGTATTCACAATGCTAGTAATCAAATCTTAAGAAGCATAAAAGGAAAAACTTTAAGATCCTGCAAAGTGGAGAGAAGGAACATCAATAATGGTCCATGCATTAGTGGAGAAATAGGGATACAAATTTGGTTTTATCAAGAAGATGTGAGTTGAAATTGATAAATTTATTCCAAATGGGCTGAAATAGGTTCAAAATGTCATCAAGCTTAAATCTAAACTGTCAGGGAAAATTGATTCAAAAGACAATAATTGGTTTTGTGTCCCCACACAGTCACAAGATAAAACCACATGCACATGCACCCATGTACACAAGCTTTATTTTTGATATATGATTGTAATACATTTTGGTCCATAGATTTCTTTAATATGCAGATTTATTTATTGCACCCAATAATTCATACATTCATTTCTAATTTATCTTAATAATGGACTTGATATTTTCATTATCTATGTAAACGAAGTGGTAGTTTATCAGACTGAACAGGCTGACTTCATGATCCAAAGCTCAAATACCCAGTCCCAGTGTTGAATTAATTTACAAGGCTTGTTACTGACCCAGAGATAAAATAGAAAAACTACAGTCCCAGAATAAATGCTTAATAAATATTTATTTTAAACACAAATTAAAAATACTGAGGAAGGGAGAAAGGGAGAGAAGAAGGAAAAGTGGAAATTAAAGAAAGGAGGGAAGGGAAGGAAAGTAGAAGAAAGAGATGAAAGGAGAAGGAGAAAAAAGAAATGAAAAATAAAAATAATTTTCAGAAGCTCTGGTGATAAATATGCAAAGCCACTGGCTGCTGTTCTTACTATGAGCATTAGCTATTTCTTTCTTCAACTGATGCACAATTTCTACTGTAGTCATCAGTCAAATTTTTATAATATATAGAGAGAATCCCATTTCTTTCAGTAGGACTCATATTCTTCCATTCATTTAGGTTAATTCCAGAAGCTGTTTTTAAAACCTCACTTTACCTTGACACAAATTTCAGTAGCTTCTCAAGAACTGTGAACTCTCTTCTAAAGCATCTATATTGCTGGTAAATATCTGCTTCCAACACCACATTTAGACTGTTGTAATGACCACTTTAACGATTCCCAAGCATTAGACTCTCCCTGTAGACCTACCCAAAAAGCATAAATAAAACCCATCTCATTAACTTTTCTAAATTCCTGCTTGTTTGCCATCACTCCTTTTAACCGTCTTCAGTTTTCTACAATATCATATTCAAATGTGTACTCTCGCACTTTTCCAAATCTATGCCCCAACTACATTCCCAAACTTATTTTCCACTATTCCTAGGCATAAAAATCATTATCTCCTCCAAGGCTGACCTCTAAATATTCCTTTTATATTCCTACCTTGTCACCTCTTTTCTGAAGTTCTCAAATGGAATGCCCCCCCCACCCCGTATCCTTTCCCTCACCCTTACTTTATGACTTTTACTCCTAATCCCAAGCGTTATCAGTTCCCACTCTTTTTGCAAGCTTTCTCTAGCCAGCCCAGTCCACAGTGTCCCGTAGCTCACCTTTATGTGAATTGTATCTATGATCAGCCCATGTATTCAGCATATGCCATGAAGAATTCAGTACTTTTAGTTAACATTTTCTGGAGGACAGCAGTCCCCGTCTTATTATAAGTGAGATAGGCCAACACAGGATTTGGCCAAGAGGAAACACAAATCATGATTAAGAGCATGGGTAATGGTCAGGCGCGGTGGCTCACTCCTGTAATCCCAGCACTCTGAGAGGCTGAGGCGGGCGGGTCACGAGGTCAAAAGATCGAGACCATCCTGGCTAACACGGTGAAACCCCGTCTCTACTAAAAAATACAAAAAAATTAGCCAGGCGCGGTGGCGGGCGTCTGTAGTCCCAGTTACTTGGGAGGCTGAGACAGGAGAATGGCAGGAACCCGGGAGGCGGAGTTTGCAGTAAGCAGAGAGCGCGCCATTGCACTCTAGCCTGGGAGACAGGGCGAGACTCTATCTCACAAAAAAAAAAAAAAAAAAAAGAGTTTGAAAAGTGAGTAGATAATGACCCAGTGAAAGCAAGATATGTCTACATTTCAAAATGTTTTCAGAGAAAGAAAAGAAACAGATAAATTTAAGGATCTAAAGAAGAAAACTTTCAGGATAAGACAAACTAGAACATATTTAGAGGCAGGAATACAGGAAGTAATACAGAAATTTAAATTAATGAATTTCTATTAATTTAATAGAAATTTAAGCACAGAGGTAGAGGAGAAGATGCTGAATGGATTGTCTTCCCTGAGACATATGTGATGAGAGCAGAGATCCCCATCTTGATATGAGAGATCAGGAGTGAACTAGGATAAGGAAAGGTTTATTAGGAAATACAGGGTAGGGATCTAAAACATTTTAAGCTCAAGGACTTCAGCGAGGTAGGAGATAAATTCATCTTTTTAAAATAAGGAATGGAGGTGTATTAGTCCATTTCACACTGCTGATAAAGACATACCTGAGACTGGGAAGTAAAAGGGTTTTTTTGTCTGTTTGTTTGTTTGTTTGTTTTTGAGACCAGAGTCTCACTCTGTTGCCCAGACTGGAGTGCAGTGGCAAGATCTTGGCTCATTGCAACCTCCGCCTCCAGCGATTCTCCTGCCTCAGGCTCCCAGGTAGCTGGGATTACAGGCACGCACCAACACACCCAGCTAATATTTGTATTTGTATTTTATTTTTATTTATTTATTTATTTATTTACTTATTTTGAGATGGATTCTTGCTCTTGTCACCCAGGCTGGAGTGCAATGGCATGATCTCGGCTCACTGCAACCTCTGCCTCCTGGGTTCAAGCATTTCTCCTCCCTCAGCCTCCCGAGTAGCTGGGATTACAGACACACGCCTCCACGCCCAGCTAATTTTTGTATTTTTAGTAGAGACGGGGTTTCGCCATGTTGGCCAGGCTGGTCTCGACTCCTGACCTTGTGATCCGCCCACCTCGGCCTCCTAAAGTGCTGGGAATACAGGTGTGAGCCACCATACCCGGCCCATATTTGTATTTTAAGTAGAGATGGGTTTTCGCCATGTTGGCCAGGCTTGTCTTGAAACTGCTGACCTCAACTCATCTGCCCACCTCGGCCTCCCAAAGTGCTGGGATTACAGACATGAGCCACTGCACCCGGCCAGGAAAAGAGTTTTAATTGGACTTACAGTTCCACATGTCTGGGGAGGCCTCAGAATCATGGCAGGATATGAAAGGCACTTCTTACATGGTGGTGGCAAGAGAAAATGAGGAAGAAGTAAAAGTGGAAACCACTGATAAACCCATTAGATCTCGTGAGACTTATTCACTATCACGAGAATAGCACAGGGAAGACCAGCCCCCATGATTCAATTACTTACCCTGGGTCCCTCCCACAACACATGGTAATTCTGGGAGACACAATTCAATTTGAGATTTCAGTAGGGACACAGCCAAACCATATTGTTCCACCCAGGCCCCTCCAAATCTCATGTTCTCACATTTGAAAACCAATCATGCCATCCCAACAGTCCCGCAAAGTCTTAACTCATTTTAGCATAAACCCAAAAGTCCACAGTCCAGAGTTTCACCTGAGACAAGGCAAGTCCCTTCTGCTTATGAGCCTGTAAAATCAAAAGCAAGCTAGTTACCTCCTAGATACAATGGGGGTACAGGTATTGAGTAAATACAGCCATTCCAAATGGTAGAAATTGGTCAAAACAAAGTGTTTACGGGCCCATGGAAGTCCAAAATCCAGCAGGGCAGTCAAATTTTAAAGTTCCAAAATGATCTCCTTTGACTCCATGTCTCAAATCCAGGTCACGCTGATGCAAGAGGTGGGTTCCCATGGTCTTGGGCAGCTCAGCCTCTGTGGCTTTGAAAGGTACAGCCTCCCTCCTGACTGCTTTCATGTGGTGGTGTTGAGTGTCTGTGGCTTTCCCAGGCACCTGAAGCAAGCTATCAGTGGATCTACCATTATGGGCTCTGGAGGATGATGGCCCTCTTCTCACAGCTCCACTAGGCAGTGCCCCAGTAGGGACTCCGTGTGGGGGCTCCAACCCCACATTTCCCTTCTGCACTGCCCTAGCAGAGGTTCTTCATGACAGCCCTGCCCCTGAAGCAAAATTTGCCTGCACATCCAGGTGTTTCCATACATCTTCTGAAGTCTAGGGGGAGGTTCCCAAACCTCAATTCTTGACTTCTGTGCACCCACAGGCTCAACACCACGTGGAAGCTGCCAAGGCTTGGGGCTTCCACTGTCTGAAGCCACAGCATGAGCTGTATGTTGGTCCCTTACAGCTATGGCTGGAACAACTGGGACACAAGTTCCTAGGCTGTGTTCCAAGTTCCTGGAACACAAGTTCCTAGGGCACCAAGTTCCTAGGCTGCACATAGCACGAGGACCCTGGGCCCGGCCCACAAAACTGCTTTTTTCTCCTGGGCCTCAGGGCTAGTGATGGGAGGGGCTGCTGCGAAGGTCTCTGACATGGAGAACATTTTCCCTGTGGTCTTGGGGACATTTTCTCCAAGGTCATGGAGATTAACATTAGGCTTCTTGCTACCTATGAACATTTCTGCAGTTGGCTTGAATTTCTCCCCCGAAAATGGGTTTCTTCTTTTCTATCACATAGTCAGGCTGCAAATTTTCCAAACTTTCATGCTCTGCTTTCCTTTTTAAACTGAATGCCTTTAACAGCACCCAAGTCACCTCTTGAATGCTTTGCTACTTAGAAATTTCTTCCACCACATACCCTAAATCATCTCTCTCAAGTTCAAAATTCCACAAGTCTCTAGGGAAGGGGCAAAATGTCACCACTCTCTTTGCTCCAGTTCCCAAGTTCCTCATCTTCATCTGAGATCATCTCAGCCTGGATTTTATTGTCCATATCACTTTCAGCATTTTGGGTGAAGCCATTCAACAAGTCTCTAGGAAATTCCAAACTTTCCCACATTTTCCTGTCTTCTTCTGAGCCCTTCAAGCTACTCCAATTCCTGCCTGTTACCTAGTTCCAAAGTCACTTCCACATTTTTGGGTATCTTTTCATCAATGCCCCACTCTACTGGTTCCAGTTTACGGTATTAGTCCATCTTCACACTGCTGATAAAGACATATCCAAGACTGGGAAGGAAAAGAGTTTTAACTGGACTTACAGTTCCACGTGGCTGAGGAGGCCTCAGAATAATGGCACGAGGCGAAAGGCACTTGTTACATGGTGGCAGCAAGAGAAAATGAAGAGCAAAAGCAGAAACCCCTGATAAACTGAGCAGGTCTCATGAGACGTATTCACTATCATGAGAATAGGATGGGAAAGACCAACCCCCCATGATTCAATTACTTCCCTCTGGGTCCCTCCCATAACAAATTGGAATTCTGGGAGTTATATTTCAAGTTGAGATTTGGGTGTGGACACAGTCAAACCATATCAGGAGGAAAATATTGAAAAAAATGGCATAGCCCATGCAAGGAAGTGTGTCAGAGGATCAGCAAGAGAAACATTTCAATAAAGACTGTGGTATCTATTGGTCAGCTTGTTATCTAAAGTAAGATTATGGTTTTTAATCATTTCCATCATTAAAAATTTTTAAAATAAGGTTCATGTTTCACTGTCGTAATTATTAGATGCTCCATTACTTGTTGTGCTAAGTAGGCAGTCAATGGCATAATTTAAGAAAGAGCTCTCAAATGAACCAATAAAGGATTTGTGTCAGCATAAAATGTTAAATAGGAAATGATTTTTAATATTAATTACCATAATCTACATTGGAGCTGCAAGAAGGCAATAAAGTCAATCACTGAATCATTTGTCATCAATTAATGTTTCAATGGCTGTAGGGAATCTTACTGTTACTCTATCACACATTGGCAATTATAGGTGTTGCAAATTAACTTTCAAAAATTTTATTTAGTTTTTCTAATTACACGGTTTTAATTATTTTAATTTTTATCTTATGAAGCTATTTTCCACATGCTGGAGTGTCCGAAATAGGCTACACAACTTTTGTCAGAAAACAAAATAAGAAAATCATTTAAAACTGAGAAAAAGCAACTAAAATTTGCTTCTAGCAGCATCTAATTTATTTAGGCATTGCAAAGTACATAAAAAGTACTAGGAAAATGTAAGTCTATAATTTTTTACATTTCTATACAAACTAAACTTAATGTAGAGCTTTAACAAAACATATGTTTATGGAATCTTCTAAGAAGTTCTAAGAACATTCAGACGCAAATAATATACAACAATCAGAAGGATGATGTGAGGGAAAATTGTACCTAAATTGTTTGTGCCAGAATCACAGATGCATTGTCCTTCTGCAATAATGATTATTGTAGTTAGTGTTTCAATGTAGAATTATTCCATGTACTGTAGAGATGTCTGGAGTATATACTAGAATTTGTTTATCAGAATTTAACTGTGTACTCTCTGAAAAGCTAAGGTAACAACAAGAACTTCTTAAAACCAAAATTATGAAAATTTATTCTCTGAATATTCTGTGACCTGTAAGGATTTACAGTGTTCATTTATTATACAGCAAGTATATTAGTTTCTAATAGCTGTTATAACAAATTTCCACAGATTCTATGGCTTCAAACATGACAAATATGTTTTCTTACATTTCTGGAAGCTAGAAGTGAAAAATCAGTTTCCTTGGGATGAAACCAAGGGCTATGCTACCTCTGGAGGCACTAAGGGAGAATTGTTTCAGCTTGTAGGGTTGCATTCCCTGACCCATGAGCCCTTCCTGCATCTTCCAGTCAGCAGCATAGCTTCACTCTCTGATTGTTTCCTGCTGATTCCTTCATATGGTTTTCTTCTTCTGTAGCCTGTGTTAAATCTCTTTCTTATATGGGTACATGTGATTGCATTTAAGACCTGCCCATTTGGATAATTCAGAATAATCACCTTATCTGAGGATTGTTAATTTAATCAGATCTCCAAACCCTTTTTATGCCATGTAAGATAACACTCACAGGTTCCATGGTTAGGATGTGGTTATATTTGGAGGTTCCATTTTTCAACCTACTACATTATGTAATGCACACAATAATCTAAAACTTACTATTGTATGCAATTTTTCCTTTATCTAGTGTATAAAAAGGAAATTGCAAGGAAAAATCTTAATAGTTGAGAACTTTCAAACTGAAAGGAGCATACTGAAACTTGCAGACTAAAAGGAGCATGTTTAGAAAAACATGTTTCTATAAATATATAAAAAAACAGAGGCTGGGTTTCCACCCTGAGGGATTGTCACTTCCTTTACTTACAAATCTCTCATAACTGATAACTATGTGAGCATCTCCAGGTTACAGCACTTTTATGTCAAGGACACTACCTAGCAAATGTGTGCCCATGGGCAAAAGAGTAGAAATATAAAGATGAAAGCAGAATATTGGGAGGTTAAGTCAACATCAAGAAAACATGTGCTTCAAAAATGCAAAGAGAGTAATGTTTGCAAAAAGTAATAAAGGATCCTGGAATATTGGTAAACAAATACCTCTGCCTGGCCGGGCGCGGTGGCTCACGCCTGTAATCCCAGCACTTTGGGAGGCCTAAGTGGGCGGATCACGAGGTCAGGAGATCGAGACCATCCTGGCTAACACGGTGAAACCCCGTCTCTACTAAAAATACAAAAAAAAAAAAAAAAAAAAATAAGCCGGGCGTGGTAGCAGGCGCCTGTAGTCTCAGCTACTCAGGAGCCTGAGGCAGGAGAATCTCTTGAACCTGGGAGTCGGAGCTTGCAGTGAGCCGAGATCTCGCCACTGCACTCCAGCCTGGGTGACAGAGGGAGACTCTGTCTCAAAAAAAAAAAAAAAAAAAAAGAAATACCTTTTCCCAGGATATGCTATTACTTTTAGATTATTAGATTATCATGTGCCTTACATAATATGGTAGGCTGAATAATGAACCCTCCAAATATAACCACATCTATCTATCCACACACATATATATAATTGGTAATTGATCTCATTGCGAGTATATCTGGCATAACAGTCTGGATTAATAAGCTGATCTGCTGGTATCTGTTAGATAGCAGTAGAGGAAAATGAAAAGTATTTTGTGTGTGTGTCTGTCTATGTGTGTGTGTCTCTGTCTATATAAATATGTATACAGTTGATGATTGATCTCATTGCAAGTATATGTAGCCTAACAGTTTGGATTGATAAGCTGGTCTCCTGTTATCTGTTAGATAGCAGTAGAAGAAAATTAAGTGTTTTGTTAAAAGCACAAATCAGTCTCAGTAGGTGGAATATGTTCAAATGAGTTCAAATGAAAAATACACCCTTTGGCATCAGAGACCTGGGCATATTTTGATATGGGCTTATTTTTGTATGAAAAGTATGCAGATTTAGACATTCATAAGTTCCTTATAGAGACACAAACCTCAGTGTAAATGTGTCGCAAATTGGGCTATTACGTGATGACATCTGTTAATTAACTACTCATATATTTACATGTTATCTCTTCAACTGGCTTTTTTGTCCCTCATGGGATAGAGCATGGCTGAGGCATAAGACATAATCACGCATAGCAATAAATGTTCTGAGAGAAATATCATTTCCCTTTCAACAATGGCAAACCTAAGAGTTCAAAGTGAATCTATGTGTTCTAAAATCACTCAGGCAAAGCTTTTGAACCTAATGTAATGCATAGGATAGCATCTGGTACATAGTAAAGAGTGAGTAAAAGTATATTAAATATGTCATTAATGCAATTTGTAAAACCTCATCTGTATACAGCTGAATAACTTATTTTTAAAATAAACCAAACATTGGACTCAATATCAGAAATTCTTAGCTGAATAAGAAACTGTCGTATTTTTCTTTGGAAAAATAACAGTATTTAGCCACTGATACAAAGGTATACTCTCCTCATTTTTTTTCCCACCTTTTCGATTCACAGCTTGACTTTACAAACATCACTCAGATGACTGACAAGGGCTTAAGACATTTTCTCATAATGAAGAAAGGAAAAGAGACATCATAGAGACAATTCTATCTGGGTACATGGTAAATCAAAATTAAAATTACTTTTTTTCAGTCTAGTTTTCAGCTACCTGCAGTCTTGAAACTAAGTTCTGGACACCAGGCTATATGTCTATATAATCTCTGGAATTGCTGAAATGTAGAAAGAAAGAGTTCAGCTATTATCCCTTTTTTATTCCTTCTTATTGATTAGAATTTGGACCTAATTTTAGCAGCTGGAGAAGCCATCTTGGACTTCAGAAATCACAGGTTGAGTTTTCCCTGAGCAGACGCTGAAATGGAGTTTGGCATGCAGGATATTTATTAATAGGGCTTGTTATATCATTCTCAGTAGAATGTGGGGAAAGAAACAGGATTGGACAGAGGAAGAAGTCGAACAGAGATGGAGGCCCATGATAACCCCTCGCAGACTCTGGAGATCTGTGGATTTGGAGCTGCCCTTCAGAACAGTTTCATGGTGGTTTGAAGTGGTCATGGCTTTATACTCTTGTATTGCTTATTCACTGGCTATGGGTTACCCTGGCAAGGCATGCGACCATGGGAAAAGAAGCTCTTCGCAGCTGAAACAACCCCTTAAGGGGCTGATAGTTCAACAACCAGGAAAAAAAAAAAAAAAAAAAAAAAAAAAACCTTTCAATAGTGGAGATCTCAATGGTGCATCATAATGTCCAAAGCAGTGGCCACATTTTAACGGGCAATAAAAACCAGAAGTATCATGAGGCGTGGATCCCTGACAGAAATTTCCAGTCTTGTTCTGCTGACCTCTAGACTTCGATACGACATGAGAAATTCAAGCACATTCACTGTGGCATCTCCTCCACTAGCATGGCTTTTATTAGCAGCTTGATGGTAAGTCCCAAATCTTTATCTCTAATCTAGATCAAATACCAGACCCATATAGTTCATAAACTACTTGGCATCTCCAGTTGAAACAATGACTTCATCTTCATTTTCCCTCCACCAAACTAAAGTAAACATTATCGCCATCCAAAGAAGATTTTCTTTTTGTGCTATTAATCACAGTATATGGCACAACCATTTATGTAGATGCTCTTGTTCCACATTCTGAATTCTTAACTGAGTTCATGAAGGATTTCATGAGCTGACCTTTCCTATTCCATCTCATGGCACTCTTTACTAGATACTAAAACTTTCTTTCAGTTTTAAAGATGAGGCATTTTCTCTTTTTCCTCCAAACTGTTGTTCATGTCATTCCCTTTTTCGACTCACTCTTAAACTCTGTCCCCTTCCAACTAACTTCTATTCATGTGTAATGCCCTAGGCTAGATATTTCTGGTCACTCTCTCTACAGTGTAAACCAACTGCATTTCCAATAATTTCCATCCAAAACATAACTTAATCATGTCATTACATTCTTTTGTCTCTAAGGCCTGCAAAATATCTAGCATATAGCAGATGATTAATAAATATTGAGTGGATATGTGAATGCATGCATTAATGAAAGAAATCCTCGGTTTCATCTATTCCACTTTAATTTCCTTTCTCCATCAACTTCTCACCATCCAGTCTTCATGGGCTAGAAAAATGGTGAGAGGTAAAGTTGAAAAAAACACATTGGGATCAAATAATAGACAATGGCAAATATGAGAACAAAAGTAAATTGGACTTACTTCAGTAGTGTGGAGCCATTGAAAAAATTTAGAAGTCTTTACACAAAAACATGAGTTTAAGTTCTATGCTGTCATCAATTAAAGTGAACCAGAATGATTACTGCATCAATTACATTTATTTTTTAGAAATGCGTGGTCAGTGTTAAGCTGTGAATCATTTACCTGAAAAAACTCTGAAATCAAGGTAGTAGAATATCAACTGTGCACCTTAACTTCAGATAACATTAAACAGCAAGAGGAAAAAAGGATGTGGCTTAAAACTGAGAGGATAGGGTAACAATTTAAAATGACCTCTAAGAATAGAAAGACACACAGGACAAGATGCATTAAAGATAAGATGAAGGAAATATAACTAGAGAGGAAAATAATTTTAAAATGCAAAAATACAATATGTGCAAGTGTGACAGAAACACAGCTATGTGTCATAGTAAATAACAAGCTAGCCATGATCAGTGATGCAGCTCTGGAGAAAGCAAATACAGTGCAAAATTCTAAGTAGGAACCGTACACTCAGAGACAATATGATTCTCAAATTATATTCTCAGTGCTTCTGACATTTTTTAAAAGATTTTGTTTTTGGAACAGTTTTAGGTTCACATCAAAATTGAGAGGAAAGTACGGAGTTCCTATATTTCCCCTGTCTCAGCACATGCATAATCTCTACCATGATCAATATCCCCCACTAGAGTGGTATATTTGTTTCAACTGATGAACCTACATTGACACACCATTGTCACCCAGAATTTGCATTGTGTTCATTCTTGGTGTTAGACATTTTATAGGGTTGGACAAAGATATAATGACATGAACCCATTATTATGTATCAGATAGAGGATTTTTAGTGCCCTAAAAATCTTCTGTGCTCTGCCTGGTCATCTCTCTTTCCTCTCTCCCAGTCCAAACCCTAGTGACTACTGATCCTTTTAGTGTCTTTATGTTTTTGACTTTTCCAGGATGTCACGTGGTTGGAATCATATAGTGTGGAGCCTTTTCAGGTTATCTTCCTTAACTTTGTTATGTGCTCTTAAGATTACTCTATGTCTTTTCATGGCTTTATAGCTCATTTCCTTTTAGTGCTGAAGAATATTCCATTGTTAGGATGCACCACAGTTTGTTTATTCATATGCCTACTGAAGGACATCTTGGTTGCTTCAACCAAGTAGTGGGGATTATGAACAAAGCTATAATTATCAGCATGTAGGCTTTTGTGCAGACAAAAGCTTTCAGCTCCTCTAGGTACAGACCAAATAGCATGATTGCTGGCTTGTATGTTAACAGTATGCTTAGTTTTATAAGAAACTGTCAGATTGTCTCCCAAAGTGACAATTATTTTGCATTCTCACCAGCAATAAATGAGTTCTCTCTCTCTCTCTCTTTCTAGGTGCACAGAGGAAAGGCCATGTGGGGACACGGTGAGAAGGTAAATGTCTGAAAGCCAAGAAGAGAGTCCTCATGAGACATCAACCCTGTTGAAACCTTGATCTTCAACTTCTGGCCTAAAGAAATGTGAGAAAACAATTTCTGTTTTTAAGCTATCCAGTCCATGGTATTTTGTTATGGCAGCCCTATCAGACTAACACAGGTGGTTAGATTACTGTTCTTTATACATACGTTTTATCAATCAGATCATTAGGTTTTGAGTTCTCTTGGCTGTGTTTTAATAATGTCTCCTATAAATAGATTGTAACATTATTAATACATAAGTATATTTAAAAAGGGGAAAAGATTAGTGAAATCAATGCCCTTAGTAGAGTTATATTAAAATTTCATCACAACAATGAGAGTGTAGAAATTAGACACAAACTTGAAGTTGGGAAATTTAATATAAGGATAATCTATGTTCCAATTTTCTAAATGATGGCAATATAAACAATAGAGAAAATTAATGGAAACCTAAGTAATAAAAATACTATTGTGTAAATATATTCTTTAAATTATTATATTGTTTCTGGAATTTATAATTTTTAGGGACTGTGTGTATGTGTCCCTCCTCCATCCCCAAAGTTCATGTGCGAAAGTCCTAAAATGCAGTGTGGCTGCATTTTGAGTAAGAAAGTAATTGATGTTAAATACGGTCAAAATAAGTTGTTAAATATGGCTTGGCTCCGTGTCTCCACCCAAATCTCACCTTGCATTGTAATAATTCCCACATGCCTAAGGAGGGACCTTGTGGGAGGTAACTGAATCATGATCCTGGGTTTTTGCCATGCTGTTCTCATGATAGTGAATAAGTCTCACCGGATCTAGTGGTTTTATAAAGTGGAGCTCCCCTGCAAATGCCCTCTTGCCTGCCGCCATGTAAGATGTCCCTTATTCGTCTGTCATCTTCCGCCATGATTGTGAGGCTTCCCTAGCCATGTGGAACTGTGAGTCCATTAAACCACTTCACTGTATAAATTACCCAGTCTCGGGTATGTCTTTATTAGCAGCATGAGAACGGCCTAATACAGGTGGGCTTTTGAGACAATGGAATTAGTGTCCTTATAAGATGAAACAGCACAGAGATTGGTGTTTTTTGGTTTGTTTGTTTGTTTGTTTGTCTTTTTCCCTCCATGTAAAGACACAGGGGAATACTACAATCTGCAAGCCAGAAGGAAAGCCCCCATCAAAAATCAAGTTGTTTGGCACTTTAATCTTAGACTTTCCATTCTCCGGGACTTTGAGAAAATAATCTGATGTTTAAAGCACACAGTGTGGCAGTCTGTGGTATTTTATTAGGGCATCTAGGGGCAGATTAAGACAACATTTATTATTTCAAATGACTGCACTAAAAATGGTAAAGTTTTAAAATATCTGGGCAATAGGATGAGAGACCACGTGTAGACATGAGAATCATGAAGAATAAAGTCAGAGAATAAGTTATGAGGATATTGTCTGTTTGTGAGGGAGTGTGGCTTTCAAATACATTCCCCATTTGTTATTCACCTCTTAGAGGAATAGAGAGGGAGATTGATTGTCATCATTATTGTTGTTTTTGTTTAGTTGTTTTTTTTTTAAATCTAAGATAGACACAGTTCTTTGTGTGTGTGTGTTCATTATGAGACATCGTTTTTAGCTGATATTAAACAGATCAGAATTTTTAAAAATTCATGTAATACTATAAGAATTGCACGTTTTCAGAAACAAAATAGCATAAAAGTAGTATCAAAGAATGTCATTTGGGGGGCACATTAAGGAAATCTCATGCCGGCGTTCTCAGTGGTATTTTTTTCCATTCTTAATATTACCTCATACTCTATGGACTTAGTTGAGAGAAACTAGTGTTAGCTTTAGGAGAACTAACAAGATATCTTACTTTTCTTTAATAACCTACTAACTTTTGGGTTCAAAGATAAATTTTATTAATGCAGGATTTTATAAATATGCATTAATTTATGTTTACATAAAATTATACAATGAACTGAAAACTTTGGAAAACACAAATTCACCATAATGTCATTTCCTTGATTAATTTCTTTAGTTACTTTCAGTTAAAGAGGTTTAAATGAAAAAACTTAACAAACCACGTTAAGTTTCCTTGAAAAAAGGCACTGAAAGGTTAAAATAAATGAGAAATGAAAATGTGCTAACAGAATAAATAATGATTTTACTTCCTCCAAAATACAAATTTGTTGATAGTGATTTCTTTTGTATTCCAAGCCATAATTTTATCTTCTGTGTTTACTAAGGAATAATTTATTTTCTGAAGAGTAAGACTTTCTGTCATAAAATGATATCTGATTCAATATTGCAAAGACATTCTTCATAATTTTCTGCTGAAATGGGAGAGAAATGCTTTTCATTATCAAATTATTATTGGAAACATTGGGCTTACCAGTATTATAACTACAGTCAGAGTGTTTGACTACAATTATTTAAAAAACGTAACCTCCCGTACAATACAGCATTCTAGTTTAATTCTTAATTATTTAGCAATATTAGATAATTTTACGGTTTTCTGCTATGAATGTTAGCTTCTCTGGACCTGTTTTCCTTATCTATATATTAAAAAGAAAATTTGCTTCAATATGGCAGAAAAAAACTTAGGCAATAAGTTAGTTTTCTGCTCCAAATACATAAAAGTACTTTATAAAAAGAACAAATTTTAATTCATTACAAGATTTTTAATACATAGCAATAAAGTATAATTTTCCCCAGCAGTAATAAAGCACATATATATTTATATGTATTCAGTACATGAGAAGTAGATGTGCAAATATAAAAACATAATTAAAAGTAATTTTCTTAAGAATAGAATGCATAATATGTACTTAAAAAGATATCTCAAAATTTGAAAAATGCATTTTGGCGGGAAGAATTATATGGAGACTTCACAGTTTATCACAAATTTATTAGAGTTATATAAAGTGTGAAATATTATTTTTATAGCCCAAGTAAAATATCTTAGTGAAAAATAATTTTAAATAACATGCTAGGTTACCCTTATGAACTAAGTAAGACCATCTGAATTTCACATTAGCTTTATAACCTATGCAAATTAACGACCATTTTGCAAATGTCAATTTTAATGTGAAAACCTTTTATATTTAAAACCACGACAAACTAATTGTTACTCAGAAACGAACCATATTTGTAACAAATTCCATTTTGAAATGTGCATCTGATAGAAACTCTGCAGTTGAATTTTACTAAAGATTTTGAATTCTTACATTATTTGAGCCTCTGAATTTTAATAAGCTTTTACAGACACATTTTTGCTGTTTGAGTAGTACTCTCCATCAATGTTAATGAATATTTTTACAACATAACTTGTAAAGAACTGTTCCAACCATTAAATTAGATGAGACTTTTAGCATCATCTTGAAAAAAGAGATGCATCAGCTATTTTCAAGCACTTTTAAATACGTGATACATAACTTCTAGACTACAAAATAAAGTTGGCAGAACTCATATAAAAATGCTTTTGGTATTCTTATACAAACTTTTCAAAGACCAATGTCAATAGAGAGGGCAAAAGGTTAGATGAAAAAGGAAGAAACTTGAAAAATCTGGGAATAAATAAGCCATAGCTGGTAAACATGTTTAAAGCCAAGATGTGTTTAAAGATATTAGACATAACCCTCACATCTGTTTGAGAACCAAAAATATATATTTTTTAAAGTGTCAATGTCTTTAATTGATGAATAATCCTACTCATTTATGGTACATTGTGATATTTTACATATATGTATACATTGTATAATGATCAAATCAGGGTAATTAGGATATCTATCACCTCAAACACTTGTTTCTTTGTGGTGAGAACATTCAGAATCCTCTCTTTTAGCTCTTTTGAAATATACAATATATGATTGTTAACTATAGTCACCCTATTGTGCAATAGAACACTAGAACTTACTCCTCCTATCCAACAGTACCTTTGTACTAAGAGAACAATCTCTCGCCTTACTCTCTCCAGAATCTGATAACCACTATTCTACTCCTTACTTCTACAAGATCAATTTTTAAAAATTCTACATATGAGTGAGATCATACAGCATTTGTCCTTTTGTTCCCTGCTTATCCCACTTAATGTTCTCTAAGTTCATTCATGTTTTGCCATCGTGTATATACATCACATTTTTAAATCTAATCATCCATTGATGGATGCTTGGGTTGATTTCACATTTTGGCTATTATGAGCAGTGCTGCAATAAATAAGACAGTGTCTTAAAAAATGTTATAACATCAATACAATTATCTTGAGACAAATGCAGGTGAAGATAGATTTTTAAATGTATGCTAATATTTATCTTTGATAATGTTTTTCATTGTCTTTTCTTCCCAAGGACTTAAGGAATATTAGGAAGATTTTAAACATTACTAAATTTGAGAATGCTTTCTTGCTGAAAAGGATGGGCTTTGAAAAATACCTTAAATTTATGTAGCAGAAGGAAAAAAATCATAATAGTTCCAGTAGTATAAGAAAAAGTCATCTTTTTCTGTATTTCCTATAAGAATAGGTAAAGAAAAAGAAATTCCAGATGAATGTTTTCACTGCTTACAATGTTAATAAAAATGCTCTATTTGAAAAGTAAAAATAATTGGAGTAACTCAACGTTTACCAAAATAAACTGGTAGAAAGTGTTCATAGAATAAGTATTTTATCACACCCATATTTTATGAATCTACCTTCCAAATATTTAAATTTAATAGCAAAGTAGCCCAGAACATAAAATATTAAACATGTATAATAGCTTCTTTTCCTCAATAAATCTAATGTCAAGTGAGTTATACTTTTGTGGAAGCGACTGAAGTTTCTCTGTTTCAGAGGCTTTAGAATAATATATTTTTAAAATGATAGAAAGCAAGTATCTCCAGTATTATAAAATTATGGCAACACAAAATACATTGTGAATCATTCTCTGGACATCATTAAAAAAATATACTAACATGTCTGTATGTGTTTTATGTTTCTCATTCTGCCAGAAACACATCCTTTAACAAACTACCACATTTTGAACGAGTTTCAATTGAGCATAGCCTATGTATTTTATGTATATTTCATTATTCAACTGGTGATCAGATGCAAATTAAAGATAGTCAATATCTTTTTTTCAACTCAGCCAATATTCAAACACAGGTCAGATAAAAATCAAAGAGCTTAAGCTTTTCTATACAGATAGTCTCATTATAGACTTGTCAAACTAAATCTCAGTCTTTTCACAGTATTTCTATTCGAAGAAGTTCTAAATTGCTTTCTAATTCTTTAGGCAGCCTGCATTCACCAGATGTCAAGACCGTGCATAACATTGAGCATGAACTTAAGGCTTAACCTACAATGTACATTTGTATTCTTTAATTAAGCTAGTGCTAGGTTAAAGTGACTATACATTTGCAGCAACTGAGATAAAATATCTTATAAAATACAAGGGCTTAATCACTTACGTGTGATTACAAAATCCAAAACCCTCTAAAAAATTGAATGTTTTTATTCCTCGATGGGCAGTAAAATTTGACCTGCTCTGTATTCCCTTAGCGAATAAATAGATTTGAGATTATTTATAGTTTTTCTTACCCACTTAGTGTGAATATTCATAGGATTTGCTGTGAACATAAAGCTGTGCTTGATTGCAGACTTCACTAGAATTTGTATGTAATACACAGTAGATACGCATATTGCTTCTGAAAGTATTTCCAAATTTCTACATTCTAAAATACATCTGGGTTCATGGGCTTCAGAAAGACATATATATATATGTATATGTGTGTGTGTGTGTATGAATTTAGGGACAGTATTCTTAAGTAAGTAAATAAAAGGAGTCTGAAGTTTTTCATATAGCTCCCCTTTCTGAGCAATTTGTTGCAAGACCAGAGCTACGAAGAACCATTCTGACCTTAGACCTATATCTAGTACTGTCCCCCCTGAAAGTCACATCTACCTGGATGTCATTTTGCTCACTATTTCGCTTTTTGGAAAGTCTCATTTTTCATATTTGAAACCTGGGATGCCACTAGGGTCTTTGCCTTTGTAGTGACAGAAATGAGTTCTTATGCTATAATTTTGCTGAAAGAAACTATTTTCTTGCCTCCGTACTCCCCATAAGATGTAGCAACCTAATCTGACTGCCCTGAAGTGAGCTTGGTTTACTGGACAGACCACCAGATGGGTTGACCTTCTTTCACCGTTGTGCCTTTAGAATGTCTTGTCAGTAAATAAGGTGATGTAAGTCATGTCAATCCTTGGCTTAAAACCTTGAGGTAGTTCTCAGTTCTATCCAGGTAAAACACAAATCCCTTCCGATGACCCAAAGGCTTCCGGGTTACCCACTCCTTCTTCAACCTTGTCTTCCATGACTCACTCTTTCAGCTCCAGCTACATTGGCTTCCGTGTGTCTGTTCCTCTGGCACACTTCGAAGACTTTGCACTGCCTTTTTCCTGTACTGAGTTGTTGTTCCCCCGAATGTCCACTTACTCAACTTTTTATCTCCTTTAATTCTTCACTGAAATGATACCTCTTAGATGAAATTCATGGACTACATTTTTCAAATTTCAGTAGTCCCCAAACTCATTCCCTGCATGCCAATCCCCCTTAATCTGTTGCCTTTCTTTTTCCATGGTACATAAAACCATTTGGCACACACTATAATTCATGTATTTAATAGTTGCAATGATAATGTTATTTTGTCTGTATGCCATGTTAACAAATCAGTTGTTGTCACACAGTAGGCATTCACTAAATATTTGTTGTATGAATGAATGAATTTTTAAAATAATGGTATTGATATTGACTTAATCCAACTATGAGTTTAGAAAGTGCTGGATTGTTGGAAAATACATTGGATGAAGAATTAGGAGATGTGGAGTCCCCTTTGCTATTTTTCTGGTAAATCCCTACAGTGACTTTGAACAAGTTACTTAACATGGGCTTTAGTAATACAATGTTACAACAACAACAACAAATATAGAAAGGATTAGACTAATTCATTTCTAATTTTTCTCCCTTCTTATTTTCCATCTTCTTACTCAATTACTATTCCATAGTTTCCCATAAAAAGACAAAAAAGTGCCTAACAACCAACTTACAAATATTTGCAATGCATGGTAAATGGTAGGAGTTGAATAAATATCTGTTGGATAAACAAATGTATGGATGAAAGAAAAATTTAAGTGTATTATTTTAAATATTCAGATGATAAACTTATTAGGGTACTTTGGAAAATAATTCTGGGATGAAAACAAAAATTAGAGGTACAGCCAACTCTCGCATAGTATGCACACAGAAGAGGACAACAACATTATAAAAGTCATCGATGGGTCACATTCTACTAAGTGGATAGAGAAATAATTTTTGTGGGAGTGTAGAAAGAACACTTATGGAAGTGTGCCATGCCTGTGAAATTCTTTCTTAGTCGTGTTAGTCTTAAAAATGCATCCACAGTTGGAAATAGTGACCTTTGGGAAATAAAGGATGACCTAAGCTTTCTCAATCTTGCTCTGATGAGAGTAAGATATTAGTCCAAGAAGGAATGCTGCCAACAATTAGTCCATGTGCTGTATTTCTAAAAACGCTGCAATCCTTATCTCCAAAAAAGATGATGACATTGTAGTATATAAATGTGTACTTTCACTACAAAGCTAAAAAATAAATTCTACCTGCCAACGATTATACCCTCGAAAAGTTAGATGAAGTTTATTTCAATGATATTGATATATACTTTTCAAAACTAATTGAATGTTTTAAAGTATTATTATCAGTAATAACTTGACTCAGAATTAGTGGTTTATTGCTAAAATTAGTGTTTATGTTATAGGTAAAAAATCGCTAGAGATAAATACATTTAAATGTATTAAATCCAAACATATAAGAGCAATATGTTGCATTGAGAATGACTGGAAATAACATTTCAAGCTTTTTATTTCTCAAATAAGTAAAATATTACATCTGAGTTTTGTCCAAAAGATCAGGGTAAACCAGGAAGGAGGAGAATCTATAGTACACAAGAATGAAAAAACCAGATGAAGGGACTCCTGTGGATTTTTCAAATCAGGACAAAAGAGGAAAAAATCTAAAGTAACCTGAGGCTGTGAAAACGCAATGGAAATTTGAAGTGAAATTTAAGAAAATGAAAGTTTGTAACATGATTCGAAGTGCTTACAATATCAAAGGGCCAGAAAGTAGTAGAAGATGGAACAAGTGAGGGCAAAGTGTCTGTGTTTTAGAGATTCCAAAAGGGCAGTAAGGCAAGCTATTCAGAAATAGGCATGAACAACCTAAGGATATAATAAAAGTTAAGCTGGTGGCCGGAAGTGTGTCTGTCATATGCTGTTGTATGTGGTCATCTGAAGGACCCATGGAGAGCTGTCAACCGCATAATGTGATAGAAACGAGCCTCAGTAAGACATCTTCCTTAAGATAATAATTATGTTTGAGAGAAAATGTATTTGAAGTGAGAAAACCTGGATCTAGACTTAAGTATGTCTCAAATAAAAATATATCATTAAACAAATATTCTAAGAATTCAATCCCGTTTTCTAATCTAAAAAATTAACTAGCATCATAAAAATCCACACTATTGAGGCTACAATAACATTAAAAACGAAAATTTACATTTTAATCGACATTTACTTAAAATTACATTAAATTAATTAAATATTATTGTAGCCCTCAATAGTGTGAATAAGCAGTATTTACAACTATGAGCGTATCATTCCCCTGAACCTCAGCGTCATTGTGTTCTGAAACATATTAGCTATAAGTAGAAATGTTTTATTTGAATTATTTCCACCTATGTTAATAATCACTTAAATAATAATTAATTTACAACACGATTTTCTCACACTGCCATGATTCCCAGAATTTCTGCTAAAAAATAGTCCATCCTAGCCTGGCGCAGTGGCTCACGCCTGTAATCCCAGCATTTTGGGAGGCCGAGGCGGTGGATCACGAGGTCAGGAGATGGAGACCATCCTGGCTAACACGGTGAAACCCCGTCTCTACTAAAAAATACAAAAAATTAGCTGGGCCTGGTGGCAGGCGCTTGTAGTCCCAGCTATTCGGGAGGTTGAGGCAGGAGAATGGCATGAACCCAGGAGGCAGAGCTTGCAGTGAGCCGAGATCACACTTCAGCCTGGGCGATGGAGCGAGACTCTGTCTCAAACAAAACAAAACAAAACAAAACAAAACACAACAAAACAAAAATTTTATATATATATATATATAGTCCATCCTCTTTTCCTTCTTAGGCTTTTGAAAACAGATTGTCTTTTACCTATGTTCCTTCTACACTTTGAGCAGTGCCAGACACCTGATTAAAACTCAGTCAAGTATGTGTTAAACAAAATTTTGACTACCCTTCAGATGTCCCATAATATCAAAATCAAAATAGCTGCTGCTGCAAAATATCCAGGCACTACCTTTGTATCTTGAAAGCAGCAAAACTTGAACCAGTCTGCATGAATATTTTTACGATATTTCTTAGTTTGTGTTCCTAGGAGCAATGTTTGGAATAATGACTTGAGTGCAAGTATGTGTTGGGAAGGATCCTAACGCCTCACTGGAGGGCAGGAAGACAGAGAGGAAAGGAGAAAATGTGTAATAAGGAGGAAAGGAAGAATAGTTTGTTTGGTAAAGATGTAGTCAAGAAAACAGAAACCAGATGAGGTATTTTCACAGAAGTAAGTTAGTGTAATTTGTTATATGGGTGCTGGAAAGCTAACAAAGCAAAAGAGAATCATTCAGGTAACAAAGAAAGATGTCAGGCTAGAGGAGCAACAGGAGGAAGTTGGGGTTCTGGAAACCTAGAAAATTGGAGAAGGGATCCCATGAAATGGGGCTAAGACCTTCAGGACAGGATGTTACCAGGCTCTTGCGGGCACCCCTCGCGGGAGAATGCATGAGACTAGCCTTGGGTGAGCTGAAAGAAGCTACTGCCGGTTTTTACGTTAATTTCTGGGGAGAAGCTGTTGGGAACAGCTTACAAATGAAACAGATTCAGTCCTTTCTCTACCTTCCTGCCTTCCAATCTCCTTGTGGGTCTTCTTATTAACAGAATCTATTGAAAGGTGAGTAAAACAAAAAGAGATGTGTCTTGCTGAGATGCAGTCCCAGCATCACTAAACAAAGCACAGAAATACCAAGTATAATAGCTTCAAGTTCAGCAGCCTCTTTCAGC
Organism: Homo sapiens; assembly: GCF_000001405.40. NCBI lineage: Eukaryota > Metazoa > Chordata > Mammalia > Primates > Hominidae > Homo > Homo sapiens. The sequence goes on along the minus strand of NC_000021.9, from coordinate 21,728,022 downwards.
GGTTCAATCATTGAACCATTAAACTCCATTATAGAGGTTAAAAGTTTTTTTCTTTTCAAAATAAAGAATTATTATAGCCACAGGAGACACTAAGCTATGCAATGTATTTTTGGAAGTATTTTATTTGTTCGTATAGGCTATGTATGAACTAACATACAGTTTATATCCCTTTACAACTATAAAGGAAAGACATTAGAAATAGGCAAAATGTGTACTTTATTATTTTTTTCTTTTCTAACTTTTAAAAAATTTAAGTTTATGATTCATGTGTTTCATGACTGTTCATCTTGAATAATGTAATATGTTTTAATAGAGCCCAGATTCACCAGTTCTGGCGTGCACATCCTGAGGATGGATTTCTAATACTAATTCTCTGAATCTTGATTCATAACGTTGTGTAAATAAATAATAAGAGAAAGGTTAAAGTGATATTTTTAGTTTTAAAAGTATATAATCTCTTAGGTAATCTTTATTTTGTCAATGTTCAAGTGAACATTTTTCCAATCATATAAAACTGTGGTTTGATCAGTTTACTTTTTTTGGCTTCAAGAACAATGATTTATGGAATCAGGGAATTTTTGGAGAATATTTTTCCTACATCAATGATTTGCAAACCTAAAGAATTTTCAGAAATTATAACTTAAGGGTGACGGGTGGGAGGAGGCTGAGGACCAAAAAACTACCAGTCAGGTACCATGCTTATTAACTGTACACCAAAACCCTTGCCACAGGTCATTTACCCATATAGCAAACCTGCATATGTAAGCCTGAAACAAAATGTTTATTTTTTAAAAAAAGTTTTCATGTAAAAGACATGCTGACTTTTGTGTTGATACGCAATCTTTCTTCAGTTTTATATTTCTTAATGTTGAAAAATAACAGACTAAAATATTATAAAAACAGATAATAAAACTGTTTCCAATATTTAGGCAAGAATTCTATCACTGAACTACCAATGCCTTTGGAAGTATCCAATATTTTGGTTGTTTTGGTGAGTAACATTTCTGTGATCATTGATTGACAGGTGGCTTATGAAACAGTTTATATTTTTATGTATATAATCTATTAAGGTAATTTTTCTGTTGATTTGAAAGTTGATTCAGTTTTAACTATCACTAACATCTGAACAATCGTTTGTAAGGCTTTTAATAAAAAAACTCACCCAGCTGCATTTTATCAGTTACTTTTTAAAAATTTAATAGAAGAAAATTATTAAATAATTCAATTTTCAGAAAGGTGTATTTCCCAAGCTTCAAAAATAACACAGAAAGTATTATTATAACACGGCAGTTATTTTTCTTTAATGCATACTTAAATATCTTTTAAGTAAGGCCAAATAATTTTGAATCCTTAGGTGAAATTTAGAGTACATGATGTTTTTTCAACAAGTATTATGAAATATTCTATGGAGAAAATGAGGAATGCATGAAACTAGGTTGTGCTTTCTCTTCCTAAGATAAAAGAAGCTGTGAATAATTATGCCAGATTGGGTGGGAGTGTGTGAAGAACTAAAAACGGGGATCATCTCGTATATTAATGTTCTAATACGATAGAAATATGAGTTACTCAAAATCTGAAAAAAATCTGTGAAATTCAAGCAGATTAAATACTACATTTTAATGCCATTGAAAAAAATTTTCAACCTCTGTAAGAAAACACTTGTAAAAAAGGTAATACGGCTATTACAGTAGTCCCCCATTATCTTTGGTGGATGCATTCCAAGACCTCCAGGAGATGCCTGTTACCTCAGATAGTCCTGAACCCTATATAAACTGTATTATATTTTTTTCTATACTAACATACTTATGATAAAATTTAATTCATAAATTAGGCACATGAAGAGATTAACTGTAAGAACTAATAATAAAATAGAACAATTATAACAACATTCTGTAATAAAAGAGATCATGAATATGATCTCTCTCTCTCTCAACATATCTTACTGTACTATACTCACTCTTCTTCTTGTGATGGAGGAGAACCAAATAGATGGTGTGAGATTTCATCCCACTACTCAGAACCACATGAAATTTAAAACTATGAATTGCTTATTTCCAGAATTTTCCATTTAATACTTTTGGACTTGATTGCAGGTAACTAAATCTGCAGAAAATGAAACTGCAAATAAGGAGGGACTACTGTACATAAGAGATCCCTGCAGAAACTTTATGGGATATTGAAAGCATATTAGTGCAATACTAATTTGCAACAAAACAACTAGAAATAAATGTGATGGGAATGCATACCAATGATTGAATAATCTTAAAATGCTGTTTATAAAAAGTAATGATGTAATAAAAGGTACATACTTCAGGGAAGAATCCTCTCTGACATTTCTTAATGCTGTAGATAAGTAGAATGTTAATGCAAAAGTGTATGCCTGGGAGCGGTGGCTCACACCTGTAATCCCAGCACTTTGAGAGGCCGAGGCAGACGGATCACGAGGTCAAGAGATCGGGACCATCCCGGCCAACATGGTGAAACCCTGTCTCCACTAAAAATACAAAAATTAGCTGGGAGCGGTGGCAGGTGCCTGTAATCCTAGCTACTGGGGAGGCTGAGGCAACAGAATTGCTTGAACCTGGGAGGCGGAGGTTGCAGTGAGCCGAGATTGTACCACTGCACTCCAGCCCGCGCAACAGACGGAGACTCTGTCTCAAAAAAAAAAAAAAAAAAAAAAAAAAGAAGTATGTTTGTATGTCCTGTAGGGTGTGAAGCAGACAGAGGACACTGCAGTCTATGAACAGAGAATGGTATGAATGGAATAAAATTGATAATATAAAAACATACTGTGAGAGAACAATATATTCTATCTAATTCACTCTTAAATTTTCTACTCTCTGGTTTTAAAATACAGTTTCCTCCATAATATTTCCTAATATATATTCAAATTGTTTTCTGTTTTTGAGAATTACCTGTTACATTAATGAACTAATTCCAGGAATTACAAATATGTTTTACAAGCAATAAATTCCTAACCACATTAAATCCAGCTCAAAAAAAAAAAGTTCTAGGTAGAATGATATACTCACTGAACAATTTTCTTACATTTCAATGAGATGTAGTGTACAGGAAGTATATTTCATGAAATAGTGTCATTAAAAACTCACTACATCTTCTTAATAACATTTTGGTTCACTTAATTAGGCACATTCATTGTGTGCCATATTATAGATGCTCAAAAATAAGATATCTAAAATAAAAATCTGCCAGCCAATTTTCTTACAGTGTAAAAAATACATAAATTAGAGATGTTACTGTTATTTATTCATCAAATCTGATAGGATATTTTTCGCATAACAGTAGATAATCAAGAATGCTAGGGGACAGAGGAGGAACAGCATAATAAGCAGGAGAAAAATAAGAGAAAGAGAAGGAGGAGGAGGAGAAGGGGGAAGAAAGAGACAAACTTCCATATTGTTGCACCCATTTTTCTTGCAAATTTTGAAAATTATTTTTCCTTCCTACACTCTAAGCTTTAGAGTTAAACTTTAGAGGAACATTGCTTTACTAAATGTTATTAAACTTTATATTTGCATGATTTCCTCTTATTTTATCTGATCATATAAGAAGTATTTCGATTTTCTCATAACACCCTTAACCAAAAATATCACCTTTAGATTTTTACTCTTTGAGAAAAATCAGTTGAGAATAGTGAATATTCACAATGTGAGCCAAAGATGGGATATGCATGTGCATTAGGAGAAGTAGAAGAATAATAAAACTCATGATTTCAATATTCATAGCAAATTTCTCCAGCAATTTATGAAATGGGCATTGATATTTTTTGTTCTCTTTCAGCCCTCCATCAATGTTCATGGGTAAATAAGAACCCCGTAATATTTTTGTGAAATGTTTTCTACTCAGTCTAACCTATTCCAGCAAAATTTGTCCAAAAGAATTACTTTCATGGGGTTTTGGGGCAACATTTAATTTTGAAATAATGTTATATTATTATATATGACATACGGTTTTTGATTGTTTCATGTATTATTTTAACAGTAGATTTAAGCACTCTTTCCATACATACATACAGAATACCTATAATATGCAAAGCTCTGTAACAAGTGTAATGGGTGAAACATTTAAAAATGCATCTATAGTATGCATTTTTAAAATATAAAAATGCACATATAGTTCATTATATAAATATTTTGCACAAATGAAGCTTTATCCTATAACCTGTTTTTCTTTTTCATAAAGCTTTATTATTTATTTACTTATTTATTTTGCTTGCCCCTACTTCAGCTACCTATGGGATCATGCATATCAGTACTTGGAAATAAATGATGAAAGCAGCAGCTCAGCCACCTGTCCTCAATGATGGGAGGGCATTCACCTCTACAGGAAAGAAGACAGATGGTCAACCTGATCTATGCTGCTTGTAAGCATGGTAATGGCACACTTCCTGTCAAACAAGTTGGTGACATTGACTAGGCATGGCTTCTGGGAAAATGTCATGTAAGCTTTGTTACCATCTGAGCAAAATGGAGATGTTCCTTGACTGAAATATTTAGCATGTGTGTGTGTGTGTGTGTTTAATTTATGTGGCCACAGTTATTACATGGAAGACACATATTTTAATTTTGGCCATAAAATATACTCAACATCATAAGGAAGCACCTGGAGAGCTGTGTTCCTTTTCCTGAGGCTTCCCTGTTCCTTGTGATAACTTACATACTTGGAATTATAGAGACTTAATTTTGGTTAAAATCTCTAATTTGTGTGAATTCAATGCCTTGGGTGATTACATCAACTTTGTATTGGTCAGGGTTCTCCACAGAAACAGAACCAATAAGATGTACATATACAAAGACAGACAAGGCCCACAAAGAGAAGTTGGCAAACTGGAGACCCAGAAGAGCCCGTGGCGTAGTTAATGTTCCAGTGCTGGCAGGCTCAAGACCCAGAAAAAGCCAGAATTTCAGTTCAAGTCTAAAGGCAGGAAAGAACCAAGATCCCAGCTCAAGGCAGTCTGTGCAGTTCCTTTCTGCTGATGGGATGGTCAGCATTTTTGTTCCATTGAGGCCGTCAACAGACTAGATGAGGTCCAACCACATTAGGGAGGGCAAGCTGTTTTTCTCAGCCTATCAATTCAAATGCTATTTTCATCCAGAAACATCCTCACAGAAATACTCACAATAAATTTTGGCCAAATGTCTGGGAACCCTGTGACTCAGTCAAGCTGACATGCAAAATTAACCATCGCACATAGTAAGCATCCTTCCTTTTAAAAAAATTTTTAAAATGATACACAACTTTTGATATACCTTACTTTTTTAACTTAAAAATGACTTAGAGGGGCCGGGCGCGGTGGCTCACGCCTGTAATCCCAGCCCCTTGGGAGACCGAGGCGGGCAGATCACGAGGTCAGGAGATCGGGACCATCCTGGCTAACACGGTGAAACCCCGTCTCTACTAAAAATATAAAAACAAAATTAACCAGGGCAAGGTGACGGCCACCTGTAGTCCCAGTTATTTAGGAGGCTGAGTCAGGAGAATGGCGTGAATCCGGGAGGCGGAGCTTGCAGTGAGCCGAGATCGCGCCACTGCACTCCAGCCTGGGCGACAGAGGGAGACTCCATCTCAAACAAAACAAAACAAAACAAAACAAAACAAAACAAAACAAAACAAAACAAAAAAACGACTTAGAGAACTCTTCTAGTTAAACTGGAATAATGGAAATTAATATTTTTAATGGCTGTGTAATTTTTATGGCATGTATTTTCCTGGTGTATACACCATGCTTTGTCTATTTTTTAAAACTGATGACAAGATCTCTGTTTCTAATTTTTGCTACTTAAAAAAATGCTGAAATTAACATCCTTGTACATATACCTTTACATGACTTCACTTTTATTTCTTTTGTATAGATTCTTAGGTGTCAATGCTGCATCTAAAGATGAAAGTATTTTTTATTTTAATAATAGTCCCCAGAAAAAAAACCAAAAATGTGTGTAGACACTCTCATACTTTACATTACAAAATAATGGACTCTCATACATTAATTATGTTATAAGTTCTATGAAGAATGAACACATGTTCTAATAGTTTGTGAAACACGAAGATTGCCAGTCACTCTTTGTTCCTTTGCTACTGCAGAACCAATGTATTCTGATTTGTGCTTCAGTGTTTTACAGAGTTATCAGTAAAACAGCTTTCTTTTTTTGTTGTTGTTCTTATATTCTTAAGCCCTAGCTATCTTTTAATGATTTCTATGAAATCATCACCTAGTATCAAATGATTCATATGAGACATACACGCTCCTACAATCATCATCATTTTGAACTCTGAATCTTCATCCTTTCTTAAAGCATGTGGGCTTCAATTCTCTCTTTCCTTAGCTTACTTATTTCCCAGAAAGTAATTTTTAGAACGTGACTCTCATTAGCATTCTGCAATTTTTTCAATCCTGTATAAGAGATTATAGACCTAGAAAAGTGGAGCCTTTTATAAAATGGTACTGAGTAGTTGAGAAGGAAGAGGTTTCTGGAAATGCTATGAAAGTTGCCATTGTGAAGTCATTGTTGTAATGTTAAAAGAGTAATGAGATGAAAGACTAGCAGAGCTAAAGGAGAGACAGAGAAATTTGATGTCAATTATAATGAAATAGAGAAGATATTATATTAGAGTGGTAGCAAGAGAAAATGGGTTTGAAGCTTAGAAAATCATAAGAATTTTTGTAGTTAAAAGGGTTCCATGGAGAAAGATTTGAGAAGCATGGCAGAATAAGGAAATAATGGAACAAAATCCCTAGAGATAGAATAGATTGAACAGAGGATACAAATGGCGGAATTGGCTCTGGTGAAATGATAGTCAACGTCTCACTCAAAGATAGAACAGAATAAAGAGAAGGTGGATGAACATAAAGGGAAGTTTCATGCATAAAGAAAGTTCTGAAAGTACATAGTAAAAATAAGTTTTACATTTTTTCAATTAATTAGGAACCCAGGTCAGCTTTTGAAAGTAACAGGGTGAAATAAGGAAGCCAAGTAACTGATCTCCCCAATAGAAAGAAGACTTAGCCTTTTCCACTGGGCCCAGAGAACCAGATTGTGTTGCTTCATGTATCTGGCCTGGATACACGAGTGGGGAAGGACATGTTCTTGGCTGTTGTGTGTGGTGTCAAAGGAACAATAAGATAAATGACTTTATAGAAAAGTTAAGATTTAAACCCAGGGATACATTCCAATAGGGCAATCACTCTATAAAGGTGACATAAAGAGAAATTGGGAAGGGTGGAAGATAATAAAATATAATCTTGAGAAACCAAAATAAATATGGTGGGTAGAACATAAAGTTTATAGAAATTCTGTAAGCTCTGTGACAAAATTCACAACTGTTATATGTATGTGTGCATGTGTGTACTTATGTAAGTTTAAATAGACAAGCTGTTGTCTTATGCAATGTGTTGAGGAAGCTATTCAGAAGACAAACTTAGCCAGGTGCTGTAGTTACACTTGTAATCCCAGTACTTTGGGAAGCCAAGGCAGGCAGATCACTTGAGCTCAGGAGTTTGAGCCCAGCCTGGGCAACATGGCAAAACCCCATCTCTACAAAAATGCAAAAATTTGCTGGTTTTGGTGGTGCCTGTGTTCCCAGCTACTCTGGAGGCTAAGATGGGAGGACCATTTGAGCTCAGCAGGTTGAGGCTGTAGTGAGGTACGATCATGCCACTGCACTCTAGCCCCGGTTACCAAGCAAAACATTGTCGAAAAAAGAGAGGAAGGAAGGGAGGAAGGAAGGAAGGAAGGAAGGAAGGAAGGAAGGAAGGAAGGAAAGAAAAGACAAACTCAACTCTTATTTGGGAGCTTAATAAAAGTGGAAAAGGACATATTAGATTATGTATTAAGTAAAATAATTTAAATGAGTAAAAGTTAACAATGAGAAATTACCTAATTCTGAGTGACAGGAATTTTAAGTAGACAATCATCTATATTTACAATTTTCCTTTGCAACGTTAGCAGTGATGCGGTGGTAAGTGAAGAAAGGCTCATCCAAACATAGCAAGTTTTATGTTTGATCTCATTAAAGGTCAGAGGAAAATCAAGAGTGCTCTGGATAGGACAACTGACATGGTTCAATGTAGACAGGATAACAAAAAAAAAAATTAAGACTAAAAGTAGAATGAAAAACTAATACATGGAAAATTTCTGAAGAATACATGAGCAGATGAAGGAAAATATCAGATGCACTAAACATGATCAGATGATAAAGGGGAAGGATGAGATAGAATAAATAGACACAAAAACGTTAAAGTTTTCAGTTTGCAAGTGATGCCGTTCTGTGTCATTAAGAGTGGAAGTCCGAGATCAAGGTGTCATCAGGGTTATTTTTTCCTGAAGCCTCTCTCCTTGTCCTGCCTTCTCGCTGTGTTCTCACATGACCTCTCTGTGAACAAGCATCTGTAGTGGTTCTGCCTCTTCTTAAAAAAATCACAGGTCATATTGGATTAGGGCTCACTCAGATTACCTCTTCTAACATTACATACCTCATTAAGGTCCTATCTCCAATTACAGTCACCTTCTGAGGGGGGCTAGGGGTTAGGACTTCAACATCTGAATTTGGGCACGGGCATAATTTAGTCAATAGTAATCGTGTCGTAGCCTTGCCTGTGGGTGTAAGAAGGACAATAGAGAGAAAAAGGATCAAGAAAATGGAAGAAATAAACATAAAGATAGTAACTAACCAAAGGTGAAGAGAGGCAAGCGAAGTAATTACTCTGTGAATGTAAATTTGAATCATATAATTTTGGAATACATGAGGTAGCTAATTGATTAAAGCTATGTTAACAATTTATTTGGGCTCTTTCTTCTGTCAGACATTAGAATAACTGCTTTATTTCCATTTACCATGTCATATTCCTAACAATTTCGTGAAGTTGGTGCTATTGCTAAGCCTCTTGTACAGATAAAAATATCTAAGACTCAGAAAAAAAGGCTCAGCAAATTGTCCACCATCACAAAGTAATACAAACTGAGATTTAGACCCAGAATGTTTCAATTGTAGAGCCTTTACTTTTAGACTTAACTATCAGACACAAAAACTATATTAACTTATCAAGTTTGTCTTTCTTCACTTAAAGACTTAATATTATGGATTTTACAAGCTATTTGAATTTGAATAATATGTCTGACTAATACTCTTTAAAAAATCATTTGTAACAAACACATTACAGCCTATGCTTTTCTATCTGATGCATAACTAGCTGAAAAAAAGCTTAAATATGGATTAGGTTGGTTATGTTTTATGTTGCCTATGTCTTTATTCTCTTTCCAAGTCAGTTCTTTCCCAGCTGATTTTTATGATCTCTATATTTTTTGTTCTGTATTATTAGAAAAGTTAACAGAGAGTTCAAACAGTTCACCATAGAACTGATTCTTAAAGTCTTTTCTCACAAAAATGTGACATGAGGGCTAGCCATAGCACAAATTTAGATATAAATAAAAACTAAATAACATTATATGTGTACCTATATATATAAATATGTGTGTATATATGTGTGTGTATACATATATGTGTATATTAAAAATTTTTTCTAATATTTTAACTATGTGTGATACATACTATGGTATACTATACTCACTATACACTATAACTATTTATGTATATATAATACTGTACTGTATATTATAGCATACTATACTATATACTATATGTGTGTATATACAGTATAGTATATGATACTATATAGTATATAGATAATTTGTATAGTATGTGTGTATACGTATTATAGTGTAGTATACATATAGTATAATGTACTATACTATATATTATAGTATATAGTATATAACCCCATTAATGATGGGAGTAAATGGTATATAGTATACTGTACACTATAGTATACCATAGTAGTGTATACTTCATCACTTCACGTTACTGAAAAGTTGGTGGAAATTAATTACTGATGAAAAATGATAATTTTTTTTAACTTGATAAAAACTCCTTATACTCATTTGGTGAATACTAGGTAACCAATGCCTCTGTAAACTGAGAAAGAAAGGGAAGGACTCTAGCATTTGTTGTAACATTTTTATACAACTGCAACTAAATAATTGATGAAATATACACTATTATGATGTATAGCATATAATATCTATATAGAGTATAGTATATATAATATAGTATATAGTATGAATACAGAGTATAGTATATAGTAGGAGTATAGAGTATAGTATATAGTATATAATATAATGAATCATATATAGTCTACAGTATATACTGTAAAGTATATACCATATATAGATAGTATATACAATACAGAGTATGTACTATACAGAGTATGATAAAGGGGTAGGATGAGATAGAATAAAAAGACACAAAAATGTTAAAGTTTCCTGTTTGGAAACGGTGCAGTTCTGTGTGATTAGATAGCATATACTTTATAGAATAATATATACTATGTAGAGTATAATATATACTATGAGTATATAGTATATATTCTCATATACTATGAGTATATAGTATAGTATATATATTATGTATATACAGTATACAGAATTTAGTATATATATTATGTATATAGATTATATCAACTATATTATATACTATGCATAGCATAGTCTAGTATATACACTATATATAGAGTACATAGAATATAGTATATACTGTATACTATGCATAGCATAGAGAGTATAGTATATGCACTATGTATATAGAGTATATAGTATATACTATGAGTATACAGTATATATACTTTACATATAATAAAGTATAGTATATACTATATACTATACTCTATAGTGTATGTGTGTATATAAAGTATAGCGTAATATACTATATAAGTATACTATACTATATATACACGTATAGTTAAAATAATATTAGTAAAAAGTCTTTAATGTCTTTACACTGTTTGAAAACCTTTAGGATTTTCAAAACCATATAGAAACTCATAGTACTTGCGGTATAATCTGATATATGCCTTAAATTTTATAGACATTTATTATGATTATATTCCCAAAGAAAGTAGCTGTAAGTTATGTAAAACAGAAAAACAGGTACATAAAGTAATATTTTGCAACATTGTCTGCTTCATTTTCTAAATTTCCATTTCACATAACTTCTCAATTTTCTCAGTTTCTCAAAATTCTCAATATTCTAGTTCTTAATGTGATTTTTATCCTAGTTATTGATTTTCTACAGGTCCTGTGTCTATATTCATTCACACATAATTACATGAATATCCCATAATAGAGAATAGAAAATGTATGGTTCACACAATATTGATCTAAATTTACTAATTAATGATAATGCAAATACAGAATTAAACGTTATCTTTTTTTATTCTTTACATGTTAATGATTTACATGTGCAGTACCTTAGAGATATGGTGTTACAAAAAAAGCAAATATTTTAGAGTGTTTATATATCACCACTGCTTCTTGAATATAAGTAATAATGAGCCAAATGTTAGCATCTTCTGCCAACTGGGGTCCCATAAACCTTCTTATACTTCTAACATCATTGAACAAAGAGCTTAATTTATTGAGAATTCTGAATCCTAATCAGGATTCTAGATTTTTGCTTTTTCTGATATTTCTGAATAGCTGGCCAACGGAGCTTCTGGTTTTTTCCTTCTTATTTACTAAATTTTATAAAAGAACATATAATTACAGTTTATTTCAGAGCACAAAATGTACCAAATTTTATTTTTGATTTCTATTTCCACCTGCTAGAATTGCAGTGAAGCATTAAATCAAAGAGTTGATTGAGGTCTGAGCAATTTAGCATGCCACAGTTGTTTAATTATACAAGAAAAAGATAATTTAATACACTTTTGAGGTTTTTCCCCATTATAAACATAATTATAGAATTTTTTAAAGACTCATGAATTTATTTCCATAGCTAAATTTTAAACAATTCATGAAAAAATGATCAGGTTATTGATGCATTTTTAATTTTTATTTCCAATTAAAGCCTTAAGACACTTAATTTTATCTTTTCTCGTCCTTTATTTGGCCAAATATTTTTGTTAAAAAGTGACCATTTTACATTTTTAAGGAAATGAAATTTTATTAGTATTTATTAACTTGACTATGTTGAGTCCACTGTCCAATGTTTTCATGAATGAAATATATATATATTTTAATTCACCCAGTACATTCCTAGTACAAGCTTAGCCTAAACTATGATGCGGAGCTCTCCAATGCACTAGGTGGGATGAACCACAAAAATTCTGCTAAGAGACTGAGGAAATTCCTGGGAGCGAAAT